>NC_000007.14:32740242-33365242 GCF_000001405.40 Homo sapiens | reverse complement strand
AACACGAAAAACAAAGAAGACATATCCCTACCAAAAGAACACAATGATTTCCCAGTAGCTGACCCCAAAGAAATGGACATCTACAGGTTAACAAAGAATTCAAAATAATTGTTTTCAGGAAGCTCAACAAACCAGGAAAAAAAAGAAAAAAGAAAAAAAAAGAGAAACAAAACCCAGAAGAATAACAAGTTTTGGAGCTGAAAAAATACAATGAATGAAATGAAAACAGCTGGGCGCAGTAAGTCTAGCACTCTGGGAGGCCGAGGCAGGCACATCATTTGAGCTCAGCAGTTCGAGATCAGCCTGGGTAACAAAGTGAAACCTTGTCTCTACAAAAAATAAGAAAATTAGCCAGGTGTGATGGCATGCACCTGTAGTCCCAGCTACTTGGGAGGCTGAGGTCGGAGGATTGCTTGAGCCCAGGATGTCAAGGCTGCAGTGGGCCATGATCATGCCACTGCACTCCAGCCTGGATGACAGAGCAAGACCCTGAGAGAGGAGGGGAGGTGAGAGGAGGGGGAGGAGGACAGGATGGGAGAAAAGGGCGGAGGGGGAGGGGGGAAAGGATGGGAGGGGGAAGGGGAGTGGAGAGGAGGGGGAAGGGGAGGGGAGAGGAGGGGGAAGGGGGAAAATATAAGGAAGAACATCAAAAATAGAACTGATTAAGCAGAAGAAAGAATCTGTGAACTCAAAGTCAGATTATTAGAAAATACAGTGAGAGGAGGAAAAAAATGAAAGGAAAGAAGAAAGGCTGCAAGATTTAGGGAACAGAATCAAGCAAAACAATAAGAGAAAACCTTCCAAATCTGGAGAGAAGTATAAATATCCAGATATAAGAAACTCATGACATCAAAACATAAAATGTGGGGGGATGGAGTAAAAATTATTCACATAACTGTAGAAAAAAACTAAATTACAAATCAATTTCTCTCATGAACATAGATACAAAAATTCTAAAATACAGTTTGGCAAATTAAATCTAAAAATATAGTGAAGGCCGGGCGCGGTGGCTCACGCCTGTAATCCCAGCACTTTGGGAGGCCGAGGCGGGCGGATCACGAGGTCAGGAGATCGAGACCATCCTGGCTAACACGGTGAAACCCCGTCTCTACTAAAAATACAAAAAATTAGCCGGGCGTGGTAGCGGGCGCCTGTAGTCCCAGCTACTCGGGAGGCTGAGGCAGGAGAATGGCGTGAACCCGGGAGGCGGAGCTTGCAGTGAGCCGAGATCGCGCCACTGCACTCCAGCCTGGGCGACAGAGCGAGACTCCGTCTCAAAAAAAAAAAAATAAAAAATAAAAAAAAAAATAAAAATATAGTGAAAAGATAATATATCATGACCATCTATAATTTATCTCAAGAATGCACGGTTGGGCTAACATTAAAAATTAATCAATGTAATCCACCATATTTAATCAAATAAAGAAGAAAACGATAAGAATGTCTCAGCTGATGTAGAAGTAGTCTTGAAAAAATCCAATATCCATTCCTGATTACAGTCTCAGCGACCTAGGAATAGAAGGGAACTTCCTCAACCTGGTTAAAAAAAAAAAAAAAATCTAAAAAATACTTATAGCTAAAACATACTTAATGGTGAAAGACAATGTCTGTTCTCACCATTTCTATTCAACATTATCCCAGAGGTTCTAGCCAAGGCAAAAAGCAAGCAAAAACAAACAATCCAGTTGGAATGGAAGAAGTAAAACTGTTTTGATTTGCATGTAACATGATCATCTATGTAGAAAATCTGACTGATTAAATCTACAAAAATGCTAATAGAGCCCACAAGTGGTTTAACAATGTTGCATGATACAAGATTGATATAAGAAAATCAATTGTAAGCCAAGTGGGGTGGCTCACGCCTGTAATCCCAGCACTCGGGGAGGCCAAGACAGGTGGATCACCTGAGGTCAGGAGTTCGAGACCACCCTGACCAATATGGTGAAACTCCATCTCTACTAAAAATACAAAAATTAGCCAGGCATGGTGGCGTGTGCCTGTAGTCCCAACTACTTGGGAGGCTGAGACAGGAGAATTGCTTGAACCTGGGAGGCGAAGGGTGCAGTGAGACGAGATTGTACCACTGCACTCCAGCCTAGACAACAGAGTGAGACTCCATATCAAAAGAAAATAAAATAAATTGTATTTCTATGTATTAGCAAAGAACAATCTGAAATTGAAATAAAACACAATAGCATAAAAATATATGAAATAGGGATATATCTGACAAAAGATCTGTAAAACCTGTACATGAAAAACTACCAACCCTCACAGAGAGAAACAAAATAGACCCTAAATAAATGAACGATGGTCTGCATTTTCATCTTAAAAAAACTAGAATACAGAGAGAAAATTATACCATGTTCAATATTGTTAAGATATTGGTTCTCTCCAAATTGATATATGGAATCAATACAATCACAATCCCAATCAAAATCCCAACAGCCAGTTTTATTTAATTTACAAGATGATTCTAAGATTCATATGAAAATGCAAAGGACCTAAAATATCCAAAACAAAATTGAGAAGAATAAAGTTGGAGAAATTATACTACCTGACTTCAAGACTTATTATAAATATACAGTCATCAAAACACAATGTTATTGGTATATAGCAATAGACAAAAATATCAATGGAACAAAATTAAGAAAGCAGAAATACACCCACATAAATGTGGTCAGATGATTTTCAACAAAGTTGAAAAGGCAATTCAGTGGAAAAGGATAGTCTGAAAAATAGTGCTGTAACAATTAGACACCCAGATGCAAAAACATGAATTTCATCCATCCCTCACATCACACATAAATATCAGCACAAAATGGGGAAGAGACTTAAATGTAAAGTTTAAAACTAGAAAACTTCTATCAAAAAAAAAGAGAGAGAAACTTTGCAACCTTGGATTAGGAAATATCTCTTAGATGTAACAGTAAATTTATGAACCATTAAGAAATTGATAAACGGGGGGGTTTATGAAGATTAAGAACTTCTGCTTTTCCAAAGATTCTGTTAAGACAATCAAAATACATATCACAGGCTGGGAGAAATTATTTGCAAATCACATATCAAATAAAGGAGCAAAAGAAGACAAATGAAAAAGAACATATACTATATAGTTCCATTTTATAAAATTCTAGAAAATGCAAATTAATCTCTAGTAACAGAAAGCAGATCAGTGGTTGCTTGGGATGCAGGATAAGGAATTACTAATAGACAAAAGGAAACTTTTGGCAGTGATGGATATGTTCAGCAACTTAACCGTTGAGATGGTTGCACAGATAAATACAGAAATCAAACTTTTCAAAATTATACGCTTCAAATGTGTGATTTATGGTACAAAAGTCATACTTCAATTTAAGCTTTTTTAAAAGCACAAAAATATGCACTGAAGCTGTGTTTGAGAACAAAAGTGTATAAAAATGTACCAGAAAAAATAAGTAAGTATTTTATAATCTTAGAATAGAGATCATTGCAGGCATAACATGAAAACCTGAAACTACGAAGAAAGTAATTAAGAAATTTTACTACCTAAAAATATAAACCTTAAAAGAAGGAATTAAAAGAAGAAATGCAAGTAGTTAAGAAAAATTAAACATATTGGAAATTCAAGTTAAAAATGAAATGTCATTTTTTACCTAATAATATCAAAAATTTTAAAAGATTTAATGAATCCAGCTGCTATCATGCGCATGAACCTTGATGCTGGGAGTATAACGTGATACAATTTTTCAAAAAGGCAGCTGGTATTTGAATAAAGTTTTCAAATATGCATACCCATTAACTCAAGCATTTGTCTCCAAAGAATTTCTCCTAAGAGAAATAGAGAAGTACAAAAAATCTGTATGTACATGACACCTCCAAACAATGGAATATTATGTAACTATTAAAATATAAATGTATTGACAAGCAAATGTAGAAACATACTTGAGCAACATAAAAGACTATTATCAAATGACATTTTATCTGTTATTACATTTAAGTAAAATTTTTGTATAAAACTACTGGTATTGTGACATACATTGATGGTCAGGTAATTTAACACATGTTCCCAACCCCCTTTTCTCTAGCCCATTTAGTTTTCAGCCTCTTGTACTGCTAAAGGAAGCCATGTGACAAAAATTATGGCTATTGAAACCTAAGCAGAAATTTCCTAGGGAATCTTGTGAAAAAATCCTTTTCTGATAAAAGTTATCATCATTACTATATAGCTATTTCTTCCCCCTACCTCCTACCTTGTAGTAAGATATGATGCCTGAAGCTGAAGCAAATATCTTATTGTCGTGGAACAAGTCAACACACTAAAGATGGTAGATTACAAAAAAAGAAAAAATGCTAGGTATTTCATAACAGTCATAAACTACTGCCACAGCTTCCACTGCCCACTTCTGGATTCCTCTTTATATGAGATAAAGAAATGTCTTGGCCAGGCACAGTAGCTCACACCTGTAATTCCAACATTTTAGGAGCCCAAGATGGGAAGACCACTTGAGCCTAGGAGTTCAAAACCAGCCTGGGCAACACAGTGGGACCCTATCTCTACAAAATAATTTTTTTTTAATTAGCTAGGCATGGTGGTATATGCCTGTAGTCTCAGCTACTCTAGAGGCTAAGGTGGGAGGATTGCTTGAGCCCAGGAAGTAGAGGCTGCAGTAAGCCATGATTGTGCCACCGCACTCCAACCTCAGTGACAGAATGAGACCCTGTCTCAAAAAAAAAAAAAAGGTATTTATTGCTTAATTCACTTTTCTGGGGTGCCAGAAGCACCCCAGATAGCTATTTATATATGTAAATAAATGTTTTCTATATAATTATTAAGCATATTAAAAGGTTTTTCTTATAAGATTCTCTATTGGCAAGGTTTGGGGTACTGGACGCCTTTATTCAAACATTGTTGTTAGGGTTAACTGGTATTCCTTAAGGAAGTCAATTTCACACTATATTTCAGAAGTTTTAAAAACATTCTGATTCTCTGTCTCACCCAGCAATTCCACTTTTAAATATTCATCAAATAAACTATAATAAATTTGAAGAAGTATTGTTACAACAGTGTTCATCACAGGTATATTTACAATATTAATAAACTAAAAACAACGTAAATATCTAAAAGTATAATGCTGGTCAAATGATTTTATAGTATGGATTTATGAGAGAATACTATGTAATCATTAAAATCATATATCAAAAATATCTAATGGTGTAAAAAGATGTCTCAAAACAGAATGACAAGTGAAATTCTTTTTGGGGATAAATGCTTAGAAAAAATATTTATTTAAAGATTAGAAAAATGTAATGAAACAGAAAAAGGTATTGCTGGATAGTAGAATTACTAGTAACATTCACTTTTTTCCTTTTGGTTATCCACATTTTCTAAATTTCACATTTCTTTTGTAATAAGAAAAATTAAAGCTATTTTAAATATACCTATATTTGTTCACAGAAAGAGAACTGGAATAAACAAATGGGAAGACATGTAGAGTAAAAGTTGTTTTATTTCTTCTCTATAAAGCTCATTAATTTTGCTTCTTTCAGTTAAAAAAAACAGACACAGAAGATTTGCAATGGCAACTTTATCTAAGTCTTACTTTTATCAGAGTGAAGTGATACTTATTTTAAACAAGCACATGATTCCATCCAGCATGTTTAACATTAATACAAATCCAGGAATTTTTTAAAAACCACTCTATATCATATATATTGGATCCCAGAAGAAATTTTTAAAAATTTGTCATTGTGTCCCATTCCTAAAGTGAGTAAGAAGCAAATATATGCTGATGAGCATAATGACATCAAAACAATTGAGCCCAAAATCAGGAGGAAAATGGATAAGTCATCTAAGCTTTCTTTAGTACACACTATACAATTCGTATCTTATGGACTTTACCTTTCTGCTCAAAGGCATGTGTTTTTATTCAATTCTAATTGGGTTGCATTTATCTACAGTAAAGATCAACCCTTCCTCAGAAGTCAGGTGTTTAAACGTTTTTCAAAGCCACCAATAAATTTGGTGTTCAACATATAATTTCCAACTATGTTCCTAAGGTAGTATAGGAGACCCAAGAAACTAATAAGTTTATACAAGATGTTACAAAAGGTAGTGAGTCTGTTTTTTTCATAATCCAAGTTTGTTACAAGAAAACTGACTAAAAAATAAGGAGGTAAAAGAAGAGATGGGAGAAAGAACCCAAAAGGTAAAAAATATTTTGCTAACAATATATACATATATATCTCCAAACTCAATTCACACTTAAGAATAGAATAATTGTAGTAAAATATTTAATCTTGGAGATTTTTCAGAGTTATATATAAATAAAATTTTTGAAATACTGCAAATTAATAAAAAATAAATTTTAAGCACTTTAAGTAGTTAATAACACAAAAGTTGACTTACCATAAATTTCTAAACCTTGTGAGAAGTATTGTTTGTATCCTAAATCTTATCCACTAATGCAAAGGTGAAGATGCATCTCCTAGCCAACAGTGCTGATTTTTAATGAAGGATTTAAAAGGGTTGATTTAATTCCAAGATTTTATTCTTCAATTCTACCCCACCATCAAGAAAATTAATGACATGACACACTAAAAACCTTGGTTACTAAGGATGTTTGATCCAAAAAAGCTTCTTTAGTTTCTAAGCCACTCAGAAAGAAAAACTGACACTTCTCTCCAAGTCATACCATCACAAATTACCCCAAATGTTCACTGTGATATTGAAGCATTAAATATGAAACCCTTCTAAACAACCAGAAGCACAGGATGCACACCCTCTAGCTGCTGTAGACAGCAGAATAAAACAGTACAAAGAGCATCTACTTATAAGATTACTTTTCAGAGACATAAGAATATACTTTAAAAGGTACACATACAAAAGCCTACAATGAAAATAATAAATATTTATACACTTAGAAGACAGATATATCCAAAAACCTACCATAAAGATGAATAATAAATATTTACATTCCAAGCCAAAAAAATTCAGTCTAAAGAGAAACACTTGATTTTTATTTCTGAATACCATAGCAAAATAATTATTATGATAATTTTAATCAAACTTAAAAGGAATACCTTATTACCTTGTTGATATAAGCTATTCACCTTTGAACAGGCAAAGGAGGGAAAAATCCTTGAGGCATTTTTATACTCTTACTTAACAATTATCTGATAATTACCCCATCATTATCTGCTGATGAAGGATTCCATTCTAAATTCTTAGCATTTTTGATGCTGCAGGCATGTTATTTCAACAGTCTTACCTGGGAAGAGACTAAGAAGACTGACTGGAGATTTGTTGGTATCAATAGTAATTTTGTGGCTTGCAGTTTTTGAAGGCTGACCTGGTAGGCAAATTAACTTTAGGGGAAGTCTAAATTTACATTGGATAACTCGCGGAATGCCTAAAATAAAAGAGAGATATGTAGATTCATAGACTTGACAAATAATTTGGCAAAAAAAAATTGTACTACTAATAGTTTGAGCAGCAATATATCTTGGTTTGCTTGTTGCCTGCCTATTTTGCTTAACAAAGCTGAAATAACTGTAAATTATTATCATGATTCATATTTCATTACTATTTTCAAAAGGTACAAGGCAAAAATAAAATTTTAAAAGAAGCATAGACATGAGATCTGTCTTTAATAGTATCATATTTTTAAAATCATCACATTTGGATACTATATAAAACATTATAGTCACTTACATTCAATTACTGAACTAAGTCTTTAAGACCTTCAGAGCTCTAGCCCTAATCCAAGACTATCAGCAAACATGAGCAAAGAATATGAAGTTTCTATCATATCTTTAAGACTGTATATTACCATATCTAAAAATTTCTCTACTCAAAAACATTTTAAATCTTTAGCTTTTTTTACTTGATGAAGATTCAGATTATGAACATGAAAGCAAGATTTGCTCTTCTGAAGTTCTATTGAAGTCCATGTTCATTTTACACATTAATATGTAGAATATTACCTTTATATGAATTATACTTTTCTCAAGCCATTTAACTTTACATATCACTTTAAGTGACATTTTAGACATTTAGACAGTCATTCAATTGTTAAATGATTTTAATACTCATACATGCATACTGAAATAGGTAGCTGAATATACGACAATGAAGAGTTTCATATTAGAATTTGTATAAAGCTTTTCAAAATCATTTTCAATATTTTTACAGAAAATGAAATTGAAACCAAAGCAAATTAGGCTCTCTACTTATAAATCTAGAAAAGCAATACTAAAATCCTAGTTTTCTCTCCTTTTTTCTAGAACTCTGTTTTTGACTGGTTAAGATGAAAGATAATATATAGAAGCCTATGCCGTGCCATAGTGCTGTAGAAAAACTGAACACTCAAAATGTTCTAACTCTACTTGATGAATCCACACATTAATTCCTTTATTTCTTTATAGAGGAGTCAGGGAGCTGCTTAAAAATAGCAAAAGCAGAAGCAGTTAGTTTGGAGACATGATCCCAAAGCAGGATCCCTGGAATTAGCAATATATTTTGCTAAAGTCAATTGGAATTGTATGTCTTACTCCACATCCAAGCTGGGAGTACACTTTCCAGTACTACTTATTCACTAGGATAGTGAGAAATCATCAACAATGGCAAGCATATTGATATATGAGGTCAATTAAATACTTTTTCAGAGCATGTGGAGCATATTTGTCATTCTCTTCAATATAATCTATTATCCATCAAGTTTTACGTAGCTCATTTTTTGCTCATAACCAACAGATGTTAAATTCACTTCTCCTGGAATCCTAGATGCGAATTACAACTGGTGTCTCTTAAGAAAAGTCCCAGGGTATTATTTCATGACATTCTGTGAGGTTTTTAGAGGCATGTGTATTTGTACTTTACAATGATGAGATGTTTTGACTCAAAATATTATGGTAACATGATCTAAGATACTGCACAAAGCACGACTGTCAATATCACCACAAAACAATTACAAAGCACTACTTTCTCCAACTTCAAGGAAATTTCCATATACTCTATATATCCTCAAATTATGGAAATACACCCACTGAGTATGTTTCCTCTACAATAAGTAAACTGTAGAGAAAATTTCAGATTGTATCAATTAATAGATACAGTCTGGAAAGAACAAGGAAACTTAAACTTGTTTCCATCTTCTTCATTTTTAATGACTAGTACAACAAAAACAAATGCTTCCTTTTCTGACAATTCTGTACAGGCACAAAAAGAAACTATCTTCTATACACTTTCAACCAAATTCTGAGCTAATTACTCAAACCAGAATTTGGCTGTGAATGTTCCTCCAAAACTATACTGCTAAAACTGTAGCCACTACTTTACTTGGACCAGGTACTGACTGAATTCACAGTTAAAAAAAATTAAATATAATCAACAACACTGCCTATAAGTGACTGAGCCTATATATTTGAAGATTATTACCCTACATCTCCACGAACCCAGAGCTAAAGAAACTGGTAGTGTATATGTTTTCAGAAATCGAAACAAATGGATTGCAAGCACTAATAAACCCAAGAAGGAAAATACATTGTAACTCAATTTACAGTTCAGTTAGGTCAGTTAATGACAATATCACACACTAGGGCAATGGTTTGCAGTTGCTAAGATTTGTAGAGCCCCTCCAGAATATCTTTTCTCTGCAGGAATTATAAGCCTGTTTCATAGGACATTTGGAAAACATTACTTTGAAAAATGATGACACTCATACTTAATAAAATGATTATGGCTATTTTTTAAATGATGGCAGCTTGAAAAGTTTTACCATTAGGGAGAAAAAGTTATGAAATCCTTTAAAAAAACCAGTCTACAGAAACCATCCCTTAAAAGAAAAATTAGAATGTCACTATTTTATAACACTATCAAATTAAAATCCAAGGATTTTACAATACAATCTCTAGTTTTTAGACATGAGGTTCATCAGAGGCACATTTCTACTGGGATTTACACCTTCTTAGGAAACCTGAAGTGTAAATTTGGCTACCAATTACTCTTCAGGCTGTAATTATGTCTAAGAACCTGAAGCCAAAGACTCATAGAGGCATGTGTGGGTGTATGTGTTTGTAATAGAGAAGGAAAAGAATTACATGTATTTAAAGACTTTTCACAGTTGCTAGCAGAACAGCTTTCAACTTAGTTGAAAGAGACTAATTGGTCCTAACTTTGCCTACCATCAGCAGTATTTTCTCTCTATAGTTGGCAAAGTAGTCTCCATATCTGGCTTACTGAATTCTCTAAGTGTTACGCTGAGAGAAAAGAAACTTTTGTCATTTATTTTACTCCAATATTGGCCTAGTCATTTATCACACTGACTGTTCTGTAGTTCTTTTTACCAGATATAATCACCTCTCCTTCAAACATTTCCCTTCCTAACCTACTAGAGGAAATGGATAGTCGTAACTACTATGGTGCAATTAATCACAAAATTATTTAACACTCAGAGAGAATATTCTCATCAAAACTACCTCTAACAGAACATTTTACTTCCAGGAAGAGACTTCTAATTACATCTGGCACACCCCAAAAGCCCAGTATCACTGTCAAATTGGAAGCCAAAATGTGCTTTAAAGAAATAAAGGAAAAAAGAACATAGAAAAAAAATAAGTATATATGAATAAAATAACCATACCTATATATTATACATCTATATAATGCCTTTAGAACTCTTTCCAGGGGCCTGCTAGAGTAATTTCATATTGAAAACAAGGAACCCCAAAGCAGTAGCAATGTCTGGTAGCCAGAACTTCCTTGATTCCTTCCTGTTATGTCTGGCTACGTACTGTGCTTCATCTGCATTCATGTTTTACACTGCTCACGCCATGTAACTTTAATGCAGAAATAATGGAGACTAACCCTTATGGGACAACATAAAACCTCGTTTGCCTCTCTTTTTCCACATATAAAAGCAGAACTGCTTATCTGCATTGCAGCCCGAACAGATCAAGACAATAAAATGGATCAGTCTTTGAAATATGAAGCCTTGTGTGTAAGTAAGATCTAAGTGGCAACATATTATTTTCTTGCCTACTAGGTGCCGCTGAATATTTCAACTCCACTCCCTAAAGCTTAATTATAATTTTAAAATATATCAAAGAGATTATTAAAACCAGCTTTCACTTTGTATTGAAACACTACCATTTCTATAAATTGTGGGTTTTTTCCTCATAGTTTGGGCTGAATTTACAGTAAGAAGGAATAAATTTCTTTGAACAATAACCTTAACTGATTTTTTTAAACTTAAAACTAATCATTTAAATAATAACATGATATTTTACAAAATTTGGTCCAAAATCTTAAAAATTACAGGCAATCTAGCTAATTAAAATGTAAATATTCATTATTAATATCAGGTTATTTTTTAATGACCCAAATTCTAATTTGACAAGTATACTTTGTGTTATTAAGCTAATCGTTTACTTCTATTAAAACACTTCTCATATAAATATATATATAACTTCCAGATATCAAGATGACATGTGCTATGCAACTCAGATTGTTGGCATCACCCAAACGGCATTAGTAAATATTGCCACAATCTTTAAGTCATTTCATTATATTTATTTAATTATTACTAATTAATATTGCTATCTAAAATGTATCTTAAAATAACTTATAAAGATAAACTACCACATTAAGTCTATATCTAAGAGGGAAAAATAATCAGAGATACTTGTAGTGCCTGCTATGTACTCTGTTAGTATGCAATTCAAAGATGAGTGCTTGACCCCTGCCCTCAAAAAGCTCAAAACCTAAAAGGAGAACCTAAGGAACAAACTTAATTAAGTTCATATTGTGATCAGAATCATAGCAGAGTCAAACAAAAGATTTGGGGAAAACAAAGTGAGTAACAACACTGACCCAAGCAAGTTAGAGGGAGTCAGATGTTTGATAACATTCCCCTACAAATTCTAAACAAGACAAGGAATATGCCCACAGAGCGAACACACACACCATTCTTATCACAGAGAGGTGAATCTCTTGGAGGATGTAGAAAAACACAACTTAGAATTCAGTGACAAACACTTTTTTTAAACTCTTTCTTTCTTTTAGGTAAAATAACAGAGCATGCAGCTAAATAACCAATGACTTGCAGTAATAAGTTGTCAATAACACCTTTAATATTTTTCAAAAAAGACATTCTATTTTTACTCCTAATTTCATTCTTTCTCATGACTCCGAAACAACTAATAATGACAAGTCTCTGTGGAAACATCTACTATGCTCTCCATAGCAGAATCAAGGCACTGTATCATCCTAAAGAACTTCTTCTAGTTAAAAGAGCAGTCCATAAAAAGAGTTCATTCATGGTATAATACCAATTCAATTCATCAAATTTCAGTTCTGAAATTCATTTTTTTCTAAATTATCTTTACACTTACCATCAGGATTTCGATCTGTCCATCACAGGCAATGCAAAAATGGGTAGGGGGAAAAGAAGGCAACAAATTATCTGTGGTAAAGTTACAACACAAATTTGACACATATCTGCTTAAAATACAAATTAAAATTTCAAGATTCTCACAGATGACTTAAATGACTCTCCAAACACAAGTCAATCCACAATTGAGAGTATAACACAAATAAATGAAACCCAACAATACATTTATTTATATTTCCATTCTCAGAAGTCTATGAGAATGTGTTATTCCACTGTAAATGTGGGAAAAAAACAAGTAAAGATATATGATCTAGCCAAACAGCAAAAAAGACTCAATAAAGGGGAAAATACATAATATTAATATTTCCAGTTACTTTTTGAATTTATTTTCTTTTAACTTTCCCCTTTAAAGTCAATCCAGTTCCTCTTTTTTATAATAATTTAAGTAAATAATACTATTGATAACGTCTCTTTTTGCTTCTCTTGGCATTCTGCAGACTCTCTCAATGTTAATTTCTAATTCACTTTCAACCAATACCAATGATTAGTAATCTTCTAAATTCTGTCTTTCAAATTGCAGAAAAGCATAATGGCCAAAAATGGTTGAAAAATGCAGACTAAGTTTTAAAAGATCTGTTCTTAAGTATTTTAACACATAAGATGCTAAAGAGTTTTATTTAGTCACTAAAACAGTGTCTAAAACTCTGATTACTGCCCTAATGTTGGAGTAATCCATAATATTATTTTCTACTAATTCATACTGATAGAGGTAGGAGGCAGACAAACGCCTAAGCAAATACGGAAAGGTCCCAGGTGAAATCTTACCTTCAGGCTTAAAACAGCCTGAGGGCTGAAAGACCGTACTGCTGGTCCTGGATGAAACCCAGAACCCAGAAGAACTTCTGTCCCTGTGTGCCTGCCCTTTCCCAATTGATTCTTTCTGAATAATGTCTTTTAGCCAATCGAATGCTGCCTTTTCAAATACTACCTATGGCTTGCCTGGACATGCCCGCGAGCGCACTGGGGAAATGGGGTGGGGCCACAAGGAATAAGTGCCTTACGCAGGGGAGGAGCCTGGCCTCATCAGCTCAGGTGTGGGAGCCCTGGTATTCAATTTGTGAGGTGGAAACCCGCTTTAAAAATTCCACCCTCCTCACTCACTGTGTCCGCATGCCTAATTCTTCCTGGTCATGAAATAAGAACGCAGATATGGCTGAACTAAGGAGCAAAAATCCTGCATCAATACTAGCCTTTGGTTCAAATAAATGAAGTCTGACTAGATAACATTCTTCTATTAGGAATAAAAATGTATCAGATTTGCTATTAACTGAAAAGAGGGAACCAAACATTACATATGGAAATCAGCTAAATAGCCTTATCACGAACTACTCATAACACATAAAAGTAATGAAAACATGATTTTACTTAACAGTAGAAAATAACATTTTCTCATTTAATGATATTTCACAGTATGTTTTCTCATCTTAAATGCATAAGCATTTTACTCATAACTCCAACAACTTAAAGTAATGATTAAGCCTGTATGTTTACCTGTTGGTCTGGAATAAGAAACAACAGCATTTCCTTCCAATTCTGATGGTGTATAACTTCTTTTCAGATAAACAGAAAAGCTTACTGTTCTAGTCAAATCTGGTGCTATAAGCAATGTAAAAATAATATAAATTACATAATTTGGGGCAACTGTTATTAACAACAGTTAAAATTTAATAAGCACTCACCACATGCCAGGTACTGTCATAAGCACTTACATGAAGTAACTCTTTAAATCTTCACAACAAACCTGTGAGGTTGATACTATTATTGTCCTCATTTATTATGATGAGAAAACTGAAATACAGAGAGATTAAGAAGCTTGCCTAAGACCGGGCACAGTGGCTCACGCCTGTAATCCCAACACTTTGGGAGGCCTAGGTGGGCGGATCACGTGAGGCCAGAAGTTCAAGACCAGCCTAGCCAACATGAGAAAACCACATCTTTACTAAAAATACAAAAAAATTAGCTGGGCGTGGTGACACCTGGAAGGTGGAGTTTGCAGTGAACCGAGATTGCTCCACTGCACTCCAGTCCAGGCAACAGAGTGAGACTCTGTCTCAAAAACAGAAACAAAAACAAAAAAAGAAGCTTGCCTAAGGTAACACAGCTACTAGGAATTAACTCCAGAACAAGGTACAAAGAAACTGGCATTCTACACCACTGCTGTTCTTTACTTCGAGGAACAGACAGCATGAACAGAGAAAACGGTACACAAAAGGGCAAGAGAATTTGGGAGGAAAATAGCAATTTATCATGGGTAGAACATAGACTGAAGGAGAAAATGGATGAGGAGTGTTACACAGTAGCCACTTAACAGATTGTGCGTGCTCATCTATGTTAACATATCTGGCCCCCAACCTGTATTAGAGAGCCATAATAAATGGAAAAAATAAATTATTTAGAATGTATTTTAGAAAGACAAATTGGAAGTGTTATACAAAATCAGAAATGCAAGCAAAAGTTCAATGGCTGGGTATCACCTATGAGGTTACTTCACTCAATCGTTTATTCATTCATTCTGCAAAGATTTGTTGAATTCCTACTAACGGCAGGCACTCAGCTATGGGTTGGTTATGTGGAGGCAAAAAAAGAAAGATATGTTCTTGACTTCGTGAATAAGAGATAGAAGCCTTAGCAGAAAAGCTATAGTAAACTAAAAAAAGAAAAAAGACTTGAAAGGTAGTTCAGATTATCTTAACAGGACTAATGACAATTTGGATATAAATGGTTGGGAGTAAGAGATTCTATACAAAGAAACCTTACTAAGAGTTGCCATTAATGACATGTCTACTATTTTAAGCATTATTATGGATATCTTTTATAGATTTACTTTTTAATCAAATCCTCAAAACAACCTTGTAAAACAAATATCATTACCCCCTTTTTGCAGATTAAAATAAATGAGGCTCCAAGTGATTACTAATGTAGTTTTTGCCTAAGGTTACACATCAAGTGAGTGTTAGAGCTGGATTCAAACTCAGGCCAAACTCCAAAGTCCATATTAATTCTTCAAACATTACCGATTCAATAAATAGATCACTAAAGAAACACCAATAAAGAAAGCCTTCTAAATTTTAGTATCTAAAAACAGGCCAGGAGTGGTGGCTCACGCTTGTAATCTTAGTACTCTGGGAGGCCGAGATAGGCAAATTGCTTGAGCCCAGGAGTTCAAGACCAGCCTGGATAACATGGCGAAACCCCGTCTCTACTAAAAATACAAAAAATTAGTCAGGTGGTGTTTTCCTGTAGTCCCAGCTACTCAGGAGGCTGAGGTGGGAGGATCACTTGAGCCCAGGAAGTCGAAGCTGCAGTGAGCCATGATGGTGCCACTGCACTCCAGTCTGGGCCAATGAGAATGAGACCCTGTCTCAAAAATAAATAAATAAATCAAAAACAATTATAGGTCCAACAAGTTCAGAAAAGCACCTAGAAATCTGTAATCGTAAAAGATTAATTTGACCCAACAATCATTGATTGAACGTTCATGCTGATGCTAAGAGGGAAAATATAAGCAAAACAACACAATCATTGATTTTGGGACGATCCCAATCTCACCATTCAGACATGAAATAATAGCCATTAAATGAACAAACTAGTATTTTTAAAAAATTCACACCATGGTAGACTTTCAGCCAAAACAAAAAACTTACTCATAAATTCAAAGGTGAACTGATCACAAGTCAATTCTAATGGTGGTTGCACGTAGACTGATAATTTGGCTTTTTGCAATATCACTCTGTTCTGCAGTGTGACCTAAGGAAACAGAAATTGTTATCAATAGAAAATTACATTTTATTCAAACTGATAGACTATCGTAACTACTTAAACATAACTAGCAAATAATTAGAAAATATTACCTGAGGAAAAAATGAGTAGTCACAAAACATAATACAGTAAGTAATAGATTAAAATATTCTATCAAGTAGAAACTGTGCACAAAAGCTAAACAGACTTTACTCAAAAGAATAAAGATTGGCAATATGTACATGCAAAGATGCTCAATATCCTTAGTTATGAAGGAGATACAAACTAAAAACCACAATGAGATACTACTACGTACCCAATAAAATGGCTATAATCGAAAGGACAGACAATAACATGTGTTAGCAATGATGTGGAGAAACTAGAACCCTCATATATTGCCAGTGAAAATGTAAATTGGTACAGCTACTCTAAGAAAAGTTTGGCAGTTTCTTCAAAGGTTAAACATAAATTTAACATATAACTTCACAATTCTATACCAAGAGAAACGAAAACATAGGTCCACCCAAAATCTTATACACAAATGTTCACAGCAACAATATGCTAATAGCCAAAAAGCAGAAATAATCCAAATTCCCATCATGATGAATGAATAAACAAAATGTGACATATTCATACAATGAAATATTGTTCAGCAATAAAAGAAATGAAATACATTATGAATAACATTAATGATAAAAACCATTAGCAATTTTCTATATCCATGGAACCATGCTAACAAATTTATGTGCATTATTTCATTTACATGCCACAACATGGGTGAACCTTGAAAACATGATGCTAAGTGAAAAAATCTAGCCACAAAGAACCACATATTGTATGATCCATTTATATGAAATGTATAGAATAGGCAATCTATAGAGAAATAAAGTAGATTAGGAGTTGCTTAGGGATGAGAGAGATGGGGAATGGCAGCTAATGGGTATGGCATTTCTTTTAGGTGGGATAAAATGTTCTAAAATTAAATTGTGGTGATAGTTGCAAAATTCTGTAAATACACTATACTAAAAGTCATCGGATTGTAACTTTAACTAAGTGAATAATATAGTATCTAAATTATATCTAAGTAAAGCTATTTTAAAATGTTCTATCATGGTGACTCGTATGTCATGAGAAAAAAAATTAAATAAAATAAACCACCATTCTATATGGTACCTTTTCTATACGGCAGTTCAGTCTAGTTATTAGACTTTGTTATATGAGACAGATACATACATTAACATAATTCAAGGACCATTCTTATTGTTAAGAAAAGTAGTTTTGAAGTTTCTTTTCAATAAAAAGCATGTATTACCTCTTTCTTGATTAAATATATATAATATTTTTATATATACAAGAATATACAAGTGGCCCACAAACATTATGAACACATAATTAGATTCAGTAAATGTATTAATTTTAAGTGATGTGAGTATTCTGCACAACTTAAAAATAAGTTAAAAACATAAAAATTTTGACTTGCAAAGGAAAATTTTTAAGACAACTATCGATGCAATTAAATATGATAAACACCATGAACAATGAATCCTCAATTTTTACTTTGTAAATCCTGGGAATACACAGGGAATCATCATGCCACAAACTAAACTTCCTCAATGATGTCTGGCCATTGTAAACATAATACCTTTTTAGTAAAACCCTGATGGTTATTATGGCAGGAAGACACCATGCAAGTGCTACAAACAACTTTCTTTCAACTAGCTAGTCCATTAAACAAACAAGACACAATTTAAATATTCTACTATTATAATAATATAATACTAGTCTGTACATATATTTTTAAATAAAATGAATAATATTAATGATAAAAAATATTAGCAATTTTCTATATTCATGGAACCATGCTAACAAATTATTTACGTGCCATTATTTAATTTACTCTTTACAAAAATGTTTGACAGGTACCATCATAAACCATTTTACAAAAGACTGTGGCTCAGAGATGCTAAGTAATTTGCCCAAGGCCACTTTGATTGCAAGTGGCAGAACCACAATTTAACTGCTATCTGCCAGAATCCTGAGCCCATGCCTTTAACCAACTGTGGTTAAGACTCAAAATAACTTTGCAGATGAAAAAGTATCCCTATTTTACAGTTTAAAAAATAGAGGTTCAGAGAAGGTAAATAACCTGTGCAAAGCCATCAATCCAAGTAGAGAGTTGAAAATAGTGACCAGGAAAGTCTTATGAGAACTCAGTTTTAAGTAAAAATGAAAATTCCTTTAAGTAGTAATAAGCCATTTGAAAAAGAGCAGTCTGGCTTTTCCTGGCACAACGATGTCTACTTAGACAATAATCACAGAATTTTACATTGTAACAAGAAGGGTTTGCATTTGGTTTAGTTGCACAATCATGATAGCTCTCATGCACATATTTATTGAACCCCAACAATGGGCTAGGCCCTTTCAAAATACAAATCAAGGAGATAGGTAATGAAAATAACAACAGTAACAAAGAATAGTTGTGTTTGAGCCAAAAAAGAGTTAAAGACTTGGCTAGATCACAAGTCTTATATTTTAACAGGAAAATAATTATAGAATATTAAGGAGAAAATATAAAACATTGATACAAGAATTTTCCATGCTATTTTCTGCCTCTTATGAAATATAACCCTTAGGAAATATAATACCAAATTTTTATCCTAGATATATAAATACAACACCAGAGGCCAGGTATGAACAACCACTCGCCTAGTTGCCTGGAATAGATGGTCACGCATCATGCACACATACTCAAGGTAGCCACATCTTCATTCACTTGGAACGGATGGAAAAATTTTCTCAATTAACAGGATTTATTATGATGGAAACTTGCATGGTTGTATATCTTGGCTGCTGTTGTTATAAAAGGTCATAAGGAGAGATTTATAGTAGAAATTTGTATAGAAACTGTCAGACAGGATCAGGAAGACATTGTGTCTGCTGTGTGAGTCCCACCAATTTTCTGCACCCCTTGCCTGTTGCATTCTTTCTCATGCTTTTATAATGGCAATGAGAAAGACAGTTGTGACTTAGGTATTCTCAAATATAGTAAGTTCCACGAACAGAAGGAGAATTTTCCAGTAGTGTCATGCCATCATTTTAAGGTGGCTACTACACATGAAAGCTTAAGAACTGCATGGGAGGGAAAGGTATGTTTACTTACGGTGCTAATTCCTGGTTGGCTGGGGGTACAATTAGCATGAGCAATGTTATCTAGTTAAGGCACAAGATCTCTTATTGCAATTAACAGTGCACTCCTAAATTATTACATGTATGTGTCTGAACGTTATCAGTAGATAGATTTAAAAGAGGTGTCCCTATACAAAAGTACAAATCATTCCTGGAACTCGACAGTTATTTCTTTTTCTTAAGTGTTTGATTTCTTGCCACTAATGCCTTTCCAGATTCGGAAGTATTAATGAGATAGAGCCTTTGATTGGACTGGGGGAAAGGAGGTTGGGGAAAGACCACCCTTGTTTCCAGTGGCAAGAATCCAAAAAACTTAGCTTAGGAAACTGTTGTAAGATTCAGCTCCCTTCAAGTTCGACCAAAGATCTCCACATTTGGGCCACCCGCTGGTTCCAGTGTAAGCGAACACAATTGGTAAAGCTTGGTGCCCTGTCAAGCTCCTCCAAGGAGAGCAACCCATAATCTAAGAAAATATAAAGCCCCATCCAAGTTTTGACTAAGTGAATTGCCAAAATCCACAACCTTCCCTTGCTTCCAAGGTCTGGGCATGATAAATATTTTCAGCTTAATAATGTGCTGACTGATTACCATATTTTAATCTAAATGCTTTAAGAAGGTTCTACATTTAAGTTCTAGTTCTAAAATTCTACAATGACAGGACTAAAAATCTTAACCAAAACCACATCCTTAATATTCTATTTTCCAGACTATCAATTTGTTACCATTCTAACTTTGTGGCATCTTCATTCAATATTTTCTTGCTGTAAATACATCCACTTAAAGTTAAGGCAGAGAGATGGCTGGAAATTCTTTTCAAACACCACATAATCATAGGTAGAAGAAAGATATTACCATCCCCGTGCTTCTCCAATATCAATTCACAGTATACTATGTATGATGCTACTTGATTGTTCTATTATGAATGGTGATGACACAATTCCTTTAGCAGATTTAAAATGTTAACTTTATTTCCAAAGAAAAAAGCCTGGATCATGCTACACATTTAAATAATGGTAACAGTACTTCATAATAGTTATTTATATTATATACATATTGCTATAAATGCAATTACCAGTTTTATATTTGCAAGTAACAGTAAAGGTTTTCTATTCACTACTCAAGGCTGGGGAAAAATCTACAAATGCCAAGTGTTTATTTTACATTTCTGTAAGCTACTTACAAGTTCTCAACAGTGACAGATGTAATGAAATAAATCATATTGTTTGCACATTACAGTCTAAAATCTGGTACAATACCTTCACCGTGACAGAAGGGACAAGGTCAGTTCCCACCTCAACATCGGTCGCTTGCTGTAAACACAGAATTGAGAAGGCAAGAAAGAATGATGTCAATATTACACAGCAGTGAGTGAACACAATGAGTGCAATGTATATTTCCTACTATCAAAATAGGAAACTATAAAAGATTTATTACTCTAATGACAGACTAAAAGAGACAATCTGGCTTTTTTGATGCCTTCGTCCAGAAAGTCATAAGCTAATATTTAAAAACTCATCCCCTGGGCCGGGCACGGTGGCTCACGCCTGTAATCCCAGCACTTTGGGAGGCCGAGGTGGGTGGATTATGAGGTCAGGAGATCGAGACCACCGTGAAACCCCGTCTCTACTAAAAATACAAAAAATTAGCCGGGCCCGGTGGCGGGCGCCTGTAGTCCCAGCTACTCGGGAGGCTGAGGCAGGAGAATGGCATGAACCCGGGAGGCGGAGCTTGCAGTGAGCCGAGATCACGCCACTGCACTCCAGCCTGGGCGACAGAGACTCTGCCTCAAAAAAAAAAAAAAAAAAAAAAAAACTCATCCCCTAAAAAGGAAAGAAAAGGTCACATATTTTATCAAACCACTCCATTCCCAGATTTACTTAAATATTGAAAGTATTAATTCTATTAACTTGTTATTTATATTGCATAGAAGAAGACCTCCCTGTATGTCCCAGAAAAATATTATGCCATTCTTTCAGGTCCCTGTATTTTCACCCTGTGTAAGGTATGTGTTATTCTGATTAACAACATGTATCTAAGACATGCAGCTAATGATATAAAGATTGAGTGGCCTTACACCCATAAAATAAAAGTAGGCCATGTGCGGTGGCTCATGCCTGTAATCCTAGCACTTTGGGAGGCCGAAGCAGGTGGATCACCTGAGGTCAGGAGTTCGAGACCAGCCTGGCCAACATGATGAAACCCCGTCTCTACTAAAAATACAAAAATTAGCTGGGCATGGTGGCAGGCACCTGTAATCCCAGCTACTCCGGAGGCTGAGACAGGAGAATTGCTTGAACCCGGGAGGCGGAGGTTGCAGTGAGCCCAGATCACGCCACTTCACTCCAGCCTGGGTGAAAGAGCGAGACTCTGTCTCAAAAATAAAGGGGCGGGGAGGGGAGGGGAATGGAAGGAAGGGAAGGGAAACTTTTTTTTAACCAGTGCATATCATAAACTAATTCAATAGGCATTCTTTGAGCGTCACCTCGTGTTACCTGCTCCTTCCTCTTAAAGAATACATAGTATAATATAATACATAAAACACTTCCCTTATCACTTATAACTTATTTTTTAGAGTGATACATTGGTAGGGGAAAATGCTCTATGATAGAATAAGACTAAGGGGTGACATATTTTCTAATAATACCGTTATGAATTCTGGGGACCAATTAAAATTATGTCTCTATCCAACCAATGAATATGATCCATTGCGTTTTTTTACTTGAAGTATTTTTAACTAAGAAAAACTAAGCCACTTCTAAGCAATGGGGATTCTATGATGTAATGAGCATCAGCAGAATTCAAAGTTAAGAGATTCATATTCTACTTATGGCTCCACAGGAAACCATATTTAAACTATGATCTTGCTTCTCAGTAAGGAAGATGGGATAGCAATGCTTATCTCCTCTAAGAAAGACTCCATTCTAATATAAATTATATTACTTTTTTGAGATGTGTGCTTTCATAATAATGATTCAAAGTAAAATATTAATCCAGGCTTTGTGCTCTAATACCTAAAATCCAGGAAATATTTTACATTTAGCTATCCACAGATCTAGAAGAGAAACCAACATCTCCTGTTTCCTGCTCATATCAATCCATGACTAAACACCTAGATACTTCAAGGACAGCAGTCCTTTGGGAACATAAAACTATAGCAAGAAAGAAATGGCTATAAGAAGACGTCATGGCACCAAAGCCACATAAATTGTAGGGCTAATGTTTTCCAATGAGATGAATATGATACTCTCAAGAAATCTCTTAAGAAAGAAAAAATAGTAACACAGGGAAAATGAAGCTGGAAAGAGACACCTACTTAAGAGGAAATAGCATTCAGGGTTACCAATAGGGAAATATACATTATAACACAGTGCTACTACATAAGGAATTTTCCTACAAAGACTAAAAGTTCCTAAAAAACAGAAAGGGAATTCCTCATTCCAAATAGCCTATGTTGAAGAGAACCTAGAAAAACTTATATAAGTTGCCCAAAGGAAAAAAAAGTCATTTCCACAGCAAGAAAATATGTGTACATTTGTCAGCTAACTAAGCAGAAATGTTCCACTTAGACTACACCCTTCAGGTAGAATGAAAAATGGTGTGTGCTGAATGGCCAATATTTAAAACAGTGCCTCTACTATGTGACTCAGCTGGGTGAATGTTTCTTTCATATATAGTCCTACTTTTTTGTGTACCCAATTTACTATAATATAGTAATGTTAATGTGATTTTTATCACAAATTGGATTGGCTGTTTATACTAAAATTAATCTTTTGACACTCATGATATACGTTTTAAAGTATGTTCTGATACCTAAATAATGAAGACACTTCCCAAGCAGAATTATATGATATGAACTCCAAATATTGTAAAATGAGTGAATTCAACCACTTCCCTAAATTGATCATCTGTTGGTGATCAATTTCTACACAGATTTCTACACAGATCAATTTCTACACCAATTTCTGTTGGTGATCATCTGTTTCTACACAGATAAACTGCAGTCAGTGAGATATAATCAATCACATCCTAACAAGTGCTTATAGAAAACTTAAGTGAGGAGATGAAGTAATATAATCAAGAATAGTCCTCCTTTCATCCTTTCTATTTCTCAGTTGTATTAATTCACTTATTCATAGAGCAAATATATATTGAGCACCCATTATTTGGCAAGCACTAAGGATACAGCAGTGAACAAGACAACTCATGGACATAGATGGTTGTGATAATCATAATGATTATGATGATGTTGATTATTATAATGTAGAAAGAAGTAAAATGTAATTTGATGATAATGACAATCATAACAATTATCATAACATTCAACAAAGTAGATTCTATTATTATTCCCATTTTGTGGATGAGAAAATTGAGACTAAGAAAATTAAGTACCTTGCCTTGTGTCACACAGATAGAAACAGGGGAAAAATTAAGTATTGGACCAACTATATACTCTTAAGCTACCCTACCACCACCACCACCATAATGTATTAAAGACTAGAAATCATCAAACTTTGAGCTAGGCCACTCACAAACCTTATCTAACTGAATCTCCAACAAAAATCTGGTAGGGTCAGTATTATTCAGCTACATTAGTATTACGTCAATGCTATGGTACTAAGAAAGTTTGAAAAAAAATTTTTTTAAGTAGGATTAGAACTAGGGCAAGAAGCCCTCCTACTGCTCTCTCTTCCCCTACAACCCCACTTCTTTTTAAAACAGAAATCCTGCCCAAGGAGCTCCTTACTGGCACTAAGGGGCTACTAATGTTTTTATCTAGAAAATAACAAGGCCTACAATTTGTTATCCTCCCTGAAGTGTCTACTTGGAGGACCAAACTTTAAACCAATGCATTTTGGTCCTAATTCATCAGAGTTTACCACTCTTATAAACCCCTTTAAAATCTGCAAGTACACCTACAGAAACTGAATCAAAGTTAGGAGAAACCACGACAGAAACGTTCAAGTCATCTTCTCTCTCAGTCATGGGCCAAACACCTGTGATTTAAAAAAAGAAAAATTATTTAATCATAAAGTAAAACTTTCTATATATAGTTTTTCTTTAAAGGTTTGTCTATACCACATATAAAAAAAACCCCATAAACATACTCACAAGTTGAAAAAACTAATGCATTACAGTATTAGAAGCTTGATGCTAATTCTTTCCCTCTATAATATGGTAAAAAATATTGTCTTTTTCTGCAGATATTTGCTAAGATGTGAGCCATTGACTGACCAGCATTAGGAATCTCAATGCCCTCTCTGTAACTACTAGTGGAAGCCCAAATTAGTACAGCCCTTGTGAAGGTAAGTTGGCTAGAACTAGCAAAATGTAAAATGTACATATCCTGTGACTTAATTCTACTCCCAAGAATGTATCCAATACCCATAACCATGCCCAAGGAGGTCTCTAATGTTAGTAGTTATTTTTTCAGAAATGAAAACAACCTAAATATCTATATATCTATTAATAGGCTAATTATTAAATAAATCATGGTATATCTGTACTATGCAATGTCCCAAAGTCATAAATAAGGGTGCTGTCCATCTTTACATACTGATATTTTAAAAACTCCAAAATATATCTATTAACTTTTAAAAAGCAAGATGTAGTACAATGTGTCTAATATGCACATATTTGTGTCAAAACAATTACATAAACATGAATATTTTCTAGACAAATACACAAAAGCTCTTGATAAGGATTGCCTTTAAGGAGTGAAACTAGGATCTTGGGTTGAACAAAGATTCACCTTTCATTATTTATCCTTTTAGTACTGAATTATTTTTACCATACACATGTTATTTTCATAATTTTAAACATGTTTATGTTGCATAATGAGATATTTATTCATAGTATCAACAAAGATCTTAAACAAAAAACATTTTTAAATTATATATATTCATATATATAATATATATACATATCAAACTATTGGCTACCTACTTAACATCCATTCTTCCCTCCTCCCTCTGTGTATTGGAACCCTAATTTTGTGGAGCTATTCACCTTCATCTCAGAGAAAGTCACCCCTTCCAGGCTCCACGGTCAAATCCAATCATCATGATTTCCTTCCACTGACCATTTGTTGTTTTAGCCATGAACATGGGACTTAATCCTGGCAGATGGAAGGTAAGGGAAGTTGGGAGTGGAGAGAGCTGGCACATGTTTCTGGGAAAGCTATTCCTCCCTAATAAGAGGAGAGACTCAGGAGAAATAGCCTGATGATTCTTCCCTGGAAATCATATCTGCACATAACACCTAGAATTGCTGAGATCACCCTGTGACCCTGAGAGGAAACATTCCCCACACTCTGAGGATGGCTGACTGAAAATATGAATCAGCTATCTCACAAAAAAAGGAACTGCCTACAACTGCTATCAGGCATTCCCACCAAACTGCACGATTTGGAATGGGAATTTCCATAACTTAATGAGAGTACAAATGGCTGTTCATTGCCCATCCCAATAACCATTCTTCAATTCTTCTTTACTTAAAGCCCAACTTTATTCTAAGCAACAAAATACTCAGCTAAGTCATGTAATTCCCCAGCCAGTTTTGCAGCTTGGAGTGGCTGGTGAGATTTAAGTAGGAGCCATTCAGGGTGTGGCTTCCAAGAAAGCTCCTTAAGGGGGCTGACTCAGCAGCAGATGCGAGGGCAGGAGTTCCAAAAGCCATGCAGGACCAATATATGACTCCGAGATAGAAGGAATCAAGAGTCTCTGATGACTGTGGAACTGCCAAGCCAACCCTGGACTGCCCATCACTAGGTTTCTTTTGCAAGAGAAAGAAAGAAACCTCTATCTTATTTGGGTATCTTGTGACATGTAGCCAGACAGAATCCTAAATGAACAATGTCACAAAATACAAATGATTCTACTACTCAGTGTTATCATCAGCTTAGTTATCCTGGACATTTCAAATGGAGTGCAGACTTTCATTTATATCCCCACGTCTTACTGCTCTCTGTCCCTTTCTGAAGACACAGCTGTATGGGCACCTATCTCAATGTTGCACCCAGTCCTTCATACTCATGCCAGGTAGACAACATGATCAACTATCTAAATCATAAATAAAATTCTGTCTTCGAAAGTTCCTACGAGTAGATGTTGTTGACTACTGGTAACAAAAATACTAGGCAGGATTCACATTAATGAGTTGAGTATGAAAAGCTTCAGAATCCATGAGCCATACAGAAATTATTACTATGATTTCATGCTTACAACATACATTCCTCTTATAACTTACACACATAAAATCAGCTTCAAAAACACTTTTATTACGGTAGATAATATACACCATGTGTACAACAAAATGTACTCTTTAAACTGGCTTTAAATTTTGCTGCAACTCTTCCTTTGAAAACACTTTTAAAAGCTTTAAGTACTGAACATAACCCACAAGGCTATGAACATTTTTTGTAAGTTAAAGCCCCCAAACTAAAATAAGTGACATTAAAATGAATAATGGGGTCATCAAAAAGTTCAGCATTTTAACTTCTCATAATAAAGAGAAGCTAAAACTGTAATAAAACAATTTTGTGCTTTTATTAATTACAGGTATTTTAATAAACAAACATACCATGGTTTTATAAGGGTACAAGTTACTAAATTTTTTTCCATATCTAGAAATAAAATGTTTTAAATACCTCTCAGTTTAAAAAGTTTCCCTTTGTTTCTTTCCCAGAAATAAAACTAAATGATGGTGGCATAGAAGGGGCAAGGAACTTCAAACATTAATTAAAAATTGAGGTTATGTAAATCATGCACTTTACACCTAAGTCTGTGGGTGTATCCCTATCTTAATTAGCGGTTATTTTAAGACATACTGAAGGATCAAGGTAATGACAAGTAAAACAGCCTAAACTTTCTCACCCAAGGTCATCACTATAACCACCAAGAAATAACTTTTAGCTGTAAGGGATTTTCTGAGAAATTTCATATTCAATTAATGTTAATCAAAATATTATTGGAACATTACTATGGAAAGGGCAAAATCTCAGGACAAAATTTGAAATGAAAGCCATATTATTTAATGAACTCTGGAAATTTCATGTTTCATGCCTATGCCACCCTTCCCCAATTATATTTTTAAATGACAAAACAAGACTTATAATTCTATTATTCCCAAAAATGCTAGTAACAAAAATTGAAACAAAAAATTATATACTGCGATATGACACATCCCATTTTAACCACTCTCTATTTGACATGGCAGCGCTGACAACAAATAGATTTTTAAGTAATTGGAGGTACTTGAAAGACCTGAACTTCACTGGTTTACTTTCAAAACTTTCTAAAAGAATGTGTGAAACCAAAGCATAATAACTTTATTTTAATATTTGTATTTTAAAAATATATTATCTCAATTCCTCAGGACCAGAGGAATACAATGTTGGTAACATAGACTCAAAAGTACATAAATCTAGTAAAATGATTGGATCAGGATTAAGATTGGCTCTGTTGTTTTGGTTGGCTTTTGATGCTCTGCTTCTTTTATTATTCCTACTTGTTTTAACATTTCTTTTATGTGAAAATAGTCCATATTTTTTCACATTAAAAAAATACTTTTACCTGACCCTGAAAAGGGAACTTGAAGTAATGCTTTTCACATGTCCAACTCAAACTGCAGGATTGGTGTTTTGTTTCTCCTTTTAATTTACAAAAAAAAATTATACCCTTTTGAGTCCCAAAGTAAGATAATATTGAGTTATTCAAAACTCGGGAACTGAAAATATCATCAGCCTCTGAGTCATTAGAAATCAGCATACCGCAAGCTACACACCATTTGGATGGTTAATTAACTACAAACATAAATTATGTCACTAAGCTGCAAATGACTACATTTTTAGTAGCAAAATGGTAGCTCATGTGCTTTGGTTTCTTTTAAAAGAAGAACTAAAGTTGTTTCAGGAGTATAAGAAGTTAATAAATGACCACTCTAAATTTTAATGCTCTTCTCAAGGCCTAAAACCACCACCCAAAGAAGTACTTCTTCCTTTCTTAGCATGTAAAGAAAAAAACTAGATAGTGCTGTCCATGAAACATTAACAACAAAAGCACTTTCTTAAATAAAATACGTTTTCAGAAGCCATAACATACAAAGTAGACATAAAGACCTTGTGTGCTAAAGAGCAATACTGTTTTTACAAATATGATTTTAATTAAGCCTAGAGGAGAAAATTAACAAATACACAAAATAATATCTATCTACAAGATAATATGAATTTCATAATGAATACTAAAATAATAAAAAGCTGCAAATGAGATACCTTGTGATTTGTTAACATCTTTGATGATTTTCTGAAGTTCTTTCATTTCTACATCAAGTTCATCATAGTTTAGTTCTCGAGATTGAACGTTTGGAGCTTGGAACAGAGAAGGATCTGTCCCCAGGTATGAACACTGCAAGTGACCATCATCACTCAGAGTGACTATCACTCCCTTTAAATCACTACAATAAGGAAGAGAAAATGAGACATAATTTTAAATTTCAGTAGAGTTAGTCTTGACCAACTACATTTTTACTCAATTCAGCATCAACACACCATTAAGAAAATAACTATATATCTATTTCTAAAGTTTTACTTCAAAGACTCAATTCAAATGTTTCAAACACGATTTGTATTTACAGAAGTATTCCCAATGTTAAGGTCCACTAAGGCCGGGAAAAAAGCTTAATTATTATAATAGCTACCACTTTTGGGGACCTAACTACAAAGCAAATCCTGCTCTAAGAGCATTTTAAGTACTGTTTTTAATCCTCCTTCCAGCTACTACTTGGCATTTCCGTAATAAGCATGTGAACAACACTTTGGAGGTACAATGGACCAAGAGATGGAGCGGGGCTGCTGGCTGGCTGAAGACCAGGAAGGAGGCACAGGAGTGAAGACAGGACAACCCAGGGGACAGAAAACCAACGAAGTTGATGTGGGAAGCCATCGGAGGTCTTGCGAAAAAAAAAGTGCCCCCGGTCTTTCCTCATCCTTTTCCCTCTCTACCCTTAGGATTCATGTTTGCCCTCTTTCCCAGGTCCTCCCATCACAGCTTCCTTCACACGCTCTCCTATTCAAGTGGCCCTCTGGTTTGTTCTCTCTTTCTCTTCACTTTTAGCTAGAAGCAGCCAATTGTCCCATTTACTAGCTCTTTCTCTATCACTCTTCTCATCCTCATTATCTTTTTTATTCCCCATTCTTTCACTCTTCCTTCTCTCTTAGGCTCCCTGAGGTCTGTTTTACTCTAGAAACTAGCCATAATATATAAATTAAGGATAATTTTAGCACACAATTTTTTTAAAGTTGTTTTTGTGAACATGTCATAAAAAGTAGCTGAGATGAATACTGTATTTGCTTCCTCCCTAAGTTTGCCATAAAAACAAAAAAATTCAACATCGTGATAAGCCATTTTGAGTTGATACATAATGGATTTGTTTGACTCACTTTTGTTTGTTAGGTTTTCTACAGAAACTTTTGATTTTTTTTTAAAGTATTTTCTACTTGGTTCTAAAGGTTAGATATTAATCAAAAATAATAAATTGGGCACAGTAGCACAAGCCTGTACTCCCAGCTACTTGAAGAGGCAAAGAATCACTTAAGCCCAGGAGTTTGAATCCAGCTTGGGCAACATAGCAAGACCTTGTCTCTAAAAGTAAACAAAAATAGAAAAATTGTGAGAGAAAAGAAGATGTTTAAATGTTGCTATTCATCTGAAGAAGAGAAAAGGACATAAAGTATATAACAGATAAGGCATGTAAGAGTCTAGGATTATTTAGAATGAACAAAAATGTTTAAAACTCCCCAACAGTGGATCATGGCAGGTAGTCATTTCATTAATCTAAAAGCTCAACTGGGTTGGGAGTAGATACTACCATTGCTCAGTTCTGCCCATAAGATGGTCACCAGCATCCACTTCACCACCTGCCTTAAACACAACATTCCAATACACATCATCTCCAGGACTCAGGCATAGTCAGTGACATGCAACCCTGTCATATTACTTGAGAGGAATAAAAAATAGATTGTTGTCACTGGTTCAACAGCTAAAGAACTAGACTAGGACGCAGGAGACTTGAGTCTGGCTCTGATGCTGCTCCTGTAGAGCTCAGTCAACTTGGGAAAGCTTTCCTAAATATTCTTTATATGTAAAATGAGAAGGTAAGACTAGATAATCCTCAAAAACTTTAAGTTTTATCAATTGCTTCTGCCATCTACCCCTCAGAAAACAAATAGTCCAAAAATGGAATGATCTTCTTAAAGTATGAAAAGCAACCCCAGAGTACCTTTGGGTTTGAACCTTTCTTTGCAGGTAACTGAAGCCATCTAGTGGCCATGGAAATCCCAACTTTCAGCTCTGACAAGCCCATTTCAAGAGAGCAAATCTTCCCTTCCCTCTGAGTTGTGACTGTAGTCTGTTCCGCATTCTAGCTAGCCCCACTAAGCCCTACGAACCCAATGAGTCCTCAGGCAACTCTAGGGTGCTAAAGCGCAGACCTCTGGGGGGGGCTTCTCAGAGAATGTGAGATTCATCAGTTCTTTGAATTCAAACAGGCATTTCCATTTCATCTTCATCCTTTGAACAGTCCATCATACAGAAAAGCTAGCATTACCCAATACAAGTATTCCTCCTTATCTAAATTGAGTTGGTCTTTGAGTTGAAAGGTTTATTACTAAATCAGTTTTATTCCATCAATTTAGATAGCAAATGGCAACAATTTAGATACAAGCCATTTATCTAAAAAATTATCTGAACCTATTAAGTTTCTGAGTTCAAATAGGAAGAGTTTGGATAATAGAGAATACATATATTTCTTCAGACTCTCTAAAAACACTTTTTACTGGTATTTCACGTGTTCAAGTGGTAAAGAGAGTAGCCAGGGTCTTCCCTCACCAAAAGAACAAATTTCACCAGAATGTCTTGACAGCTAAGGTAATTATAGAACTTAAGCAATTTACTTTTTAAAAAATCAATTGCAAAAGACATTATAGGCTGGGGATGGTGGCTCACGCCTGTAATCTCAGCATTTTGGAAAGCCGAGGCAGGTGGATCGCTTGAGGTCAGAAGTTCAAAACCAGCCTGGCCAATGTGGTGAAATCCCATCTCCACTAAAAATACAAAAATTAGCCAGGTGTGGGTGGCAGGCACCTACAATCCCAGCTACTCAGGAGACTGAGGCAGGAGAATAACTTAAACCCAGGAGACAGAGGTTGCAGTGAGCCGAGACCACTGCACTCCAGCCTGGGCAACACAGCAAGACTCGGTCTCAAAAAAAAAAAGACATTATAGCTTAGTTTGTTTATTTTTATGGCTGAGTAGCATTCCCTGATGATTAGTGATGTCGAGCACTTTTTTATATGTTTGTTGGCTGAAGAAAAAAAAATCTTCTTTTGAGAATTGTCTATTCATGTCATTTGCAAAGATATGAAACCAACCTAAGTGCCCATCAACCAATGAGTGGATAAAGAAAATGTGTATACACACCATGGAACACAACTCAGCCATAAAAAGGAATGAAACAATGTATTTTGCAGCAACTTGGATAGAGCAGGAGGCCATTATTCTAAGTGAAGTAACTTAGACAACCAAATATGGTATGTTCTCACTTATAAGTGAGAGCTAAGCTATGAAGATGCAAAAGCATAAGAATGATGACATGGACTTTGGGGACTGGCAGGAGGGGATGGTTGGGAGAGGGGTGAGGGACAAAAGGCTATATATTGGGTACAGTATATACTTCTCGATGACAGGTGCACCAAAATCACAGAAATCACCACTAAAGAACTTATCCATGTAAGCAAAAACCACGTGTACTCTAAAAACTATTCTTTTTAGATGAGATTCCTAGAGTAGTCAGATTTGTAGAGACCCAAAGTTGAATGGTGGTTTCCAGGGGCTGGGGGAGGGGGTTGAGAGATACAGTCTTGTAAAGATGAAAAAGTTCTGGAGATGGATAGTGGTGATGATTGCACAGCAGTATGAATGTACCTAATGCCACAGAACTGTACATTTTAAAATGCTTAAAATGGTAAATTTTATGTTATGTGTATTTTACCACAATTTAAAAAAACACATAGCACCAAAACAAGGGTGAATGAATAAATTTCAAAAAGCTGTATCAAGAATGATAATATAGTATGTAATTTGTTTAGGGACATTAAAGCCTTCAATCTTGTTTTTCTTTTTTGTTTTTGTTGTTGTTGTTGTTGTTGTTGTTGTTGTTTTGACATGGAGCCTTGCTCTGTTGCCCAGGCTGGAATGCAGTGGCGTGATCTCAGCTCACTGCAACCTCTGCCTCCCGGGTTCAAGCGATTCTCCTGCCTCAGCCTCCTGAGTAGCTGGGATTACAGGCGCCTGCCACCACACCCAGCTAATTTTTATATTTTTAGTACAGACGGGGTTTTGCCATTTTGGCCAGGCTGGTCTCGAACTCCTGACCTCGTGATCCACCTGCCTCAGCCTCCCAAAGTGCTGGGATTACAGGCGTGAGCCCCACACCTGGCCTCTTGTTTTTAATTGTTTTTAATTCAATAGTTTTTGGGGTACAGGTGGCTTTTGGTTATGACTTCAGGTTTTAGATTTAAGTCTTTGATTCATCTTGAGTTGATTTTTGTATAAGGTGGGAGATAAGAATCTAGTTTTATTCTTCTACATGTGGCTTGCCAGTTTTCCCAGCTCCATTTATTGAATAGGGTGTCTTTTACTGAATTTATGTTTTTGTATGCTTTGTCAAAGATCAGTTCGCTCGAAGTCTGGCTTTATTTCTGGGTTCTCTATCCTGTTCCATTGGTCTATGTGCCCGTTTTTATACCACTACCATGCTGTTTGGGTAACTACAGCCTTGTAGTATAATTTGAAGTTGGGTAATGTGATGCCTCTAGATTTGTTCTTTTTGCTTAGTATTGCTTTGGCTATGCGAGCTCTTTTTTGGTTCCATAAGAATTTCAGGATTGTTTTTTCTAGTTCTGCGAAGAATGATGACGGTATTTTGATGGGAATTGCATTGAATCTATAGATTGCTTTGGGCATTATGGTCATTTTCACAATATTGATTCTTCCCATCCTTGAGCTTGGGATTTGTTTCCATTTGTTTGTGTCATCTATGGTTTCTTCCAGCAGTGTTTTGCAGTTTTCCTTATAGAGCTCTTTCACCTCATTGGTTAAGTATATTCCTAAGATTTTTTGTTGGTGGTGGTTTTTTGGGGGGAGTTGTGTGTGTGTGTGGTTTTTTTTTTTTTTTGGCAGTTGTAAAAGGGACTGAGTTCTTCATTTGATTGTCAGTTTTGTTGTTGTTAGTGTATAGCAGTGCTACTGATCTACGTACATTGATTTTGTATCCTGAGACTTTACTGAATTTGATCTAAGAGCTTTTTGGATGAGTCTTTAGGGTTTTCTAGGCATACAATCATACTATCAGCAAATAGTGACAATTTGACTTCCTCTTTTCTAATTTGGATTATTTCTTTCTTTTGTCTGATTGCTCTGGCTAGGACTTCCAGTACTATGTTGAATAAAAGTGGTGGAAGTGGACATCCTTGTCTTATCCCAATTCTCAAGGGAAATGATTTCAACTTTTCCCCATTCAGCATGATGCTGGCTGTGGGTTTGTCATATACGGCTTTTATTACTTTGAGGTAAGCCCCTTCTATGCCTATTTTATTGAGAGTTTTTATCATAAAGCCATGCTGGATTTTATAAAATGCTTTTTCTGTGTCTATTGAAATAATCATATGATTTTCGTTTTTAATTCTGTTTATGTGATATATCACATTTGTTGACTTATATATGTTAAATCATCCCTGCATCCCTGGAATGAAACCCACTTGATCATAATGTACTGTCTTTTTGATGTGCTGTTAGATTCGGTTAGCTAGTATTTTGTTGAGGATTTTTGCATCTAATGAAAATTTTAACAATATTGTTCATGTGGGTTAATAAGTAAGGTTCTATGAATGACAGAATGTTATGCTGAACAGAACCATCAATTAAATCCAATACCGTGTACCCTATTGCTTCTGTCTTAAAAGCATCATTAACATTGACAAAATCAAGGTCTCTGAATTATTATCGGTCTGTGAAGTGCATCGACTGAGCTAAGTCACTAGAATAATGTACTTTATGAAGAATCAGGGTCAAAGATATTACATTCCTAGGACGTTTGGTAATTTTGTAATTTCAGCAATGGGGCATGAAATTAAACAACAGAATTTTGCTCAGGAATCTGTAAATAATGATTCTATCACTCAGTAAACAGATTCCTGCCTTAACAACACATTAAAACAAAATTCCAGATGGATTTTTAAAGTTCAATTTAAAAATATGAAACTACAAAAATATTTATCTCCCTTTGAGATGGTAAGAAAACTTTTGCTATAAGAACGCAACAGAGGAAGCTACAAAGGAAGGGATCTCTAAATTAAACTACATTAAAATTTTAAACTTGTTATAGGCTTAAGAATATGACATAATAAGAACAAAGGACAAACTCAGAAAACATTGGCAACCAATATAAAATACAACATTTTAAGTTAAACCATGTGAAGTTCCTGATATTCAACTGGTTTTGACCTATAAAAACAATTTTATAGACCAGGCGCGGTGGCTTATGCCTGTAATCCTAGCATTTTGGGAGGCTGAGGTGGGCAGATTGCCTGAGCTCAGGAGTTTGAGGTCAGCCTGGGCAACACGGTAAAACCCCATCTCTACTAAAATACAAAAAATTTAGCCGGGTGTGGTGGCATGCATCTGTAGTCCCAGCTACTTGGGAGGCTGAGGCAGGAGAATTACTTGAACTGGAGAGGCGGAGGTTGCAGTGAGCCGAGATCATGCCACTGCACTCCAGCCCAGGCGACAGAGCGAGACTCTGTCTCCAAAAAAAAAACACAATTTTATATGTTAAATCTAATATGTAAAGAACTCTTATAAATCAATGAAAATGATACTATACCCAACAGAAAAAGGTTAAATAAAGGCCATCTACAGACAATTCACACATAAAAATAATACAGTCAATAAATAAATGGAAAAATTTTCAAAATCAAAAAATGTACATTTTAAAACTTTTTAAAAAGGTATATTTGATTAACACCTCAAACTAGCAAAAAGATTGTATTTAATAATGTGTCCAGCTGTTAGAGAAGGTACACGGAGACATACTCTCATATACTTTTGATACCAATGTAAATTTGTTATAATCCTTTTAGAGAACATTTTAGAAAAATATATCAAAAACCATAAAAATACTATTGTCTTTTATGCAGTAATCTACTTTCATGGTTATTTTAAAAATTTAGAAACAACCCAAATGATAGGGGGGGAATATTTTTTAATTGTGGTGTATCTATAATAGAATGTCTAGAAACCATTAAAAATCATATCTTATCAAATATCTGTTATCAGAAAAAATAATAAATGTAAAAGTAAAACATAATACTGCATGTACATTTTATTCTGTTTATAAATATATATGTATAAAACATGAATTAGGAAAAATACCTAAATGTTAATAGGATGTGACTATCCCTAACTAGTGAAATGATGAATTATTTTCATTTTGTCTTATAGTTACAAAATAAGATTAGGGCCAGGCACGGTGGCTCACACCTGTAATCCCAGCACTTTGGGAGGCCAAGGTGGGTGGATCACCTGAGGCCAGGAGTTCGAGACCAGTCTGCCCAACATGGTGAAACCCCATCTCTACTAAAAATACAAAAATTTGCTGGGAGTGGTGATGTGCACCTGTAATCCCAGATAGGCAGGAGGCTGAGGCAGGACAATCACTTGAATCCGGGAGGCGGAGGTTGCAGTGAGCTGAGATCGCGCCACTGCACTCCAGCCTGGGACACAAGAGCGAAACTCCGTTTCTAAATAAACAAATAAATAAATAAATAAATAAATAAATAAATAAAAGAAGGAAAACCTTATCCTTTTTTAAGAAAAAAAAAGTTCTATTTTCCATTCCCAGTGACCAAATTTCAATCAGTGACTTAAAAATTAAATATTTGTGGGATTAAAAACATTTAACTAGTTTTATTTTTCCAACAAAGCCAATCTATAAAATGTGTAACATGAAATTATTTGAAATATAGCTCAATAGATAGAAAATAAATGGTTTCTTTCATTTCCTAATACACTAAAACAAAAGAATACTAGTTTTAAAAACAAATAAAAAGAACATGCATTGGACCTAATGTTCTCTTGTTTGGCTTCATTTTATGCAAAATAGGAACATTGTAGGTTATCACATTGTCAAAGTCTGGTTTTTACTACTATATATAGATACCAAGGAAATCTTAAAACCCTAAATAGTATTTATTGCACCCCAAATTTTATTCTACCTCAGTAAGGAGCATATGATTGAAAGGCATTTCCCTTCAAGTGCAGTCAGCCACACTCAGTTCACACAGCTCTTCCTCAGTCCAAAAGTACTGGACGTGGGCACTTGAACATATTTTAATCAATCCACCATTAATCATTTCAGACATTTTTATTGAGCATCTGCTATACAACAGAAGCTATAAAGGCAAAGAAGACATGAGGCTTGCTGTATAAAAATCTTTGGTCTAATTGGGAGGACTTCAAACTTACTTTAAATAAAAGCAATTGCAATCCAATGTAGTAGATAGAGCACAGTAAGAAGAGAGTGCAATGGGCCTGCATGAGAGAGCAGAGCAAGGCTTCACAGGGCAGAGGATGCAGAAGGTGGATCTTGACCTACAAGTAGATCCCCACAGATGAAAAACAATGGACAAAATAAAGGCAAAGGATTCCAGCCTTGGTGACCTCATTCAGTCTTAATGACTTTAAATACTTTCTTCACGCCAGCTCCCACCTCTATATCTCCAGCCAGACATGTACATCCAGCCCCCTACTTGACAGCTACACTTAGAAGGCCAATAGACATCTAAAGCTCAACATGGCTACCCATGAGTTCCTGATTTTGGCCCCACCTCTCCAACTCAAAGCTACCCTCCTGCATCTTTCATATTTCTGCTATTGGTAACTCCATTCTTTAAGCTGCTCATCCAGAAAGAACCTTAGAGCCATCCTTGACTCCCCCTCCCTTTTCTTTTTCTTGCAACCACATAAATTCCATCAGCAAATATTGCCAGCCTTACTTTTTAAATATGTCCAGAATCCAACCACTTCTCACCAAGTACACTACTGCATGCATGAAACAAATATTTGTTTTTTAGTGTTTCTTCTTTAGAGACAGACTCTCACTCTGTCACTCAGGCTGGAGTGCAGTGGTATGATAATGGCTCACTGTAACTCAAACTCCAGGGCTCAAGTGACCTGCCTCAGCTTCCGAAGTAGCTGGGACTATAGATGCATGCCAACATACCAAGCTAATTTTTTTGTTGTTGTTAGATATAGGGTCTTGCTATGTTGCAGGTCTGGTCATGAATTCCTGGCCTCAGGTGATCCTCCTGCTTCAACCTCCCAAAGCACTGGGAATATAGGTGTGAACCACCACACCAAGCCTAACAAACACCCTTTAATCTGCCCTTGATAACTGCTATTAACCAGCCTCTCCACTTCTATACATGTGCCTCTATAGTAACTTTCCAACAAAGCAGTAAAAATATTCATGTTACCTTATAATCCTCCGGTGGCTCCTCTGGCACTCATAACAAAAGCTCAAATCCTTACAAGAGTCTTCAAGGCCCTACATAATATGTTCCTCCACCTCATTTTCATTTTCTATTCTGCCAGAATAAAAAATGAAATTGTCCATCCAAGTGGTAGGAAACTGAGTTCCAGGAAACCTTGCCACTGCAGGTAAAGTGTTCTGTGGTCCCAAATAAATTTGAAAGTCTAGGCCACAAGAACCACAATTCCTGGGCAAGTCCTAGTGCTTCACTGGGCTCAGTGCCAGTGGACATGGAGGGCAAAAGACTTAATAAGACACCAGATTGGGCAGCCAAGGGAGTGCTTGCACCACCTTTCCCCGAACGCCCAGCAAAGTAGTGCACAGCTCTGGAAAAGACCCCTTCCTTCTGCTTGAAGAGAGGAGAGAGGAGAGTAAAGAGTACTTTGTCTTGTAACTTGGATGCCAGCTCATCCACAGTAGAATAAGGCACTGAGCAGAGACCTCGGGTACCCATTCCAAGCCCTAGCTCCTAGATGACATTTCTAAACATACCCTGGGCCAGAAGGGAACCCACTGCCTTTAAGTGAAAGATCCACTCAAGGCAAGTTTCATTACCTACTGATTAAAGAGCCCTTGGGCCCTGAATAGTCAACAGTGGTAGCCAGGCAGTACTCGTCATTGGCCTTGAGTGGAATTCAGAGAAGTGCTGGCTTCCGGTCAGCACATTCCCAACTGCAAAGGCCATGGGGGAGACTCATTTTGCTTCAGAAAAGGAGAGAGAAGAGTAAAGGGGACTTTGTCTTACAGCTTAGGTACCAGCTGGGCTGCAGTGGAGTAGAGCACCAAGCAAGCTCTTCAGGTCCCCAATTCTAATCCTTGGCTCTCGGACAGCAAGCATTTTAGGACCTGCCCTGAGAGGGGAACCCACTGCTCAAGCCTGGCAGCATTCATCACAAGCTGACTGAAGAGCCTGGGGCTTGAGTGAACATCAGCGGTAGCCAGATAGTACTCACTGCAAGCCTAGAGGTGGTAGTAATAGGGAGAGATTCAAGGGAGAAGAGGGGAGGGGGAGGGGAGGGGAGGGAAAAGAGTAGGAAGGACATTGTCTTGTGGCTTGAGTACCAGCTCACTGTACTAAAACAGAGCACCAGGTAGATTCCTAAGTTTCTGATTCCAGACCCTGGCTCCCAGAGAGCATCTCTGGACCCGCCTGGGGCCACAGGAAATTCATGGCCCAAAAGGGAAGGACACAAGCCTGGCTAGCTTTACCACTTGATGATTGTAGAGCCCTAGGGACTTGACCACACGTAAGTGGTAGCCAGGCAGTGGTTATGAGAGGCCTTGGATGAGACCCAGTACATTCTGGATTCAGCTCTTACCCAGCATACTCCCATTGGTGGTGGCCATGGGAGTCCTTGTGTCACTACTCCCCCAGCTCCAGGAAACACAGCAGAGAGAGAGAGAGACTCTTTTTGTTGGGGAAAAGGTAAGGGAAGAAAGCAAGAGTCTCTCCCTAGTAATCCAGAGAATTATTCTGGATCTCAACCAAGTCCACCAAGGTGATACCACTGTAAGAGCCACAGTGTTACTGGGCTTCAGGTGCCCCCTAATGCAGATATGGCTGCAGTGACCCAAAATCTAGATTGTAACACCCAAGTCCCCCTGAATACCTGGAAAGCCTTCAGAAAAAAGGACAGGTACAAACAAACCCAGATTGCAAAGGCTACAATAAATACCTAACCCTTCAATGCCCAGACACTGATGAATATCCACAAGCACCCAGGCTATCCAGGAAAACATGACCTTACCAAACAAACTAAATAAGGCACAAGGATCTAATCCCAGAGAGACAGAGATATGTGACCTTTCAGAGAAATCAAAATAGCTGTTTTGAGGAAACACAAAGAAATTCAAGATAACACAGAGAAGACATTGAGAATCCTATCAGATAAATTTAACAAAGACATTGAAATAATTTAAAAGAATCAAGCAGAAATTCTGGAATTGAAAAATGCAACTGACATAATGAAGAATGCATCAGAGTGCCTCACCAACAGAACTAATCAAGTAGAAGAATTAGTAAGCTTGAAGACAGGCTATTTGAAAATATACAGTCAGAGGAGACAAAAGAAAAAATAATTTAAAAACAATAAAGCATACCTACAAGATCTAGAAAATAGCCTCAAAAAGGTAAATCTAAAAGGCATTAGCCTTAAAGAGCAGGTAGAGACAAAGATAGAGGTAGAAAGTTTATTCAAAGAGATAATAACAGAACTTCACAAACCTAGAGAAAGATATCAATATTCAAGTACAAGGAGGTTACAGAACAGCAAGCCAATTTGACACAAATAAGACTACTGCAAGATCATTAATAATCAAACTCCAAAAGGCAAGGATAAAGAAAGGATCCTAAAAGCAGGAAGAGAAAAGAAACAAATGCCCTACAATGGAGCTCCAGTATGTCTGGCAGAAAACTTCTCAATGGGAACTTTACAAGCCAGGAGAGAGTAGCATGATATATTTAAAGCACTGAAAGAAAAAAAAGACTTTTTCCTAGAATAGTATATCCAGCAAAAGTATCCATCAAACGTGAAGGAGAAATAAAGATTATCCCAGACAAACAAAAGCTGATAGATTTCATCAACACTAGACCTGCCCTACAAGAAATGCTAAAGGGAGTTCTTCAATCTGGAAAAAAAAAAAAAAAATGGATGTTAACTAGCAATAAGAAATCATCTGAAGGTACAAAACTTACTGTAATAGCAAGGACACAGAAAAACATAGAATAGTACAACACTGTAACTGTGGTGTGTAAACTATCTTGAGTAAGAAGACTAAAAGATGAACTGAATCAAAAATAAGAGCTACAACAACTTTTTAATACATAGTACAATAAGATATAAAGAGAAACAATAAAAGTTAAAAAGCAGAGGGACAAAGTTAACTGTAGAGTTTTTATTAGTCTTCTCTTTGTTTCTTTGATTTGTTTGCTTGTTTATGAAATCAGTGTTAAGTGTTCATCAGTTTAAAATAATGGGTTGTAAGATCATATTTGCAAGCCTCATGGTAAACTCAAATCAAAACACATACAACAGGGACACAAAAAATAAAGAGTAAGAAATTAAAATGTACCACCAGAGAAAGATAACTTTCACTAAAAGGAAGACAGGGGTCCAAGCGTGGTGGCTCATGCCTGTAATCCCAACACTTTGGGATCCCAAGGCAGGTGGATTACTTGAGGTCAAGAGTTCAAGATTAGCCTGGCCAACATGGTGAAACTCCGTCTCTACTAAAAATACAAAAATTAGCCAGGTGTGGTGGCACCTGCCTGTAATCTCAGCTGCTCGAGAGGCTGACGCAGGAGAATTGCTTGAACCCGTGAGGCAGAGGTTGCAGTGAGCTGAGATCATGCCACTGCACTCCAGCCTGGGTGACAGAGCAAGACCCTGTCTCAAAAAAAAAAAAAAAAAAAAAAGGAAGACAGGAATGAAGAAAAGAAGGAAGAGAAGACCAGAAACCACAGAACAAAATGGCAGGAGTAAGTCCTTAATTATTAATAATGAAAACTGAACATAAAAGTACTAAACTGTACAATCAAAAGACATACAGTGGCTTAATGAATTTTTTTAAAAAAAGACCCAATGATCAGCTGCCTACAAGAAACACACTTCACATATAAAGACACAAATAGACTAACAATAAAAGAATGATAAAATATATTCCATGCCAGTGGAAACTAAAGAAGACAAAGAGTAGCTATACTTATATCAGACAAAATAGATTTCATGACAAAAACTATAAAAAGAGACGAAGGAAGTCATTATATAATGATTTAAAAAAAACTCAATTCAACCAGAAGATATAAAAATTGTAAATATATATGCACCCAATACTGTAGCATCCAAATAAATGAAGCAAATTATTACTAGAGCAAAAGACAAAGGTAGAACCCTGTAAAATAATAGCTATAGACTTCAGCACATCACTTTCAATATTGAACAGATCTTTCAGACACAAAATAAACAAAGAAACATCGGATTAACCAGCATTACAAACCAAATAGAAGTAACAGATATTTGTGGAATATTTCATCTAACGGCTGCAGAATACACATTTTCTTCAGCACATGGATCATTCTCAAAAACAGACAAAATGTTAGGCCACAAAACAAGTCCTAAAACATTCAAAAAAAACTGAAACAACATCAAGAATATTCTCTGACCAAAATGGAATAAAACTAGAAATCAATAACAAGAGGAATTTTGGAAACTATGTAAACACATGGAAATTAAACAATATGCTCCTTAATGAACAGTGGATCAATGAAGAAGTTAAAAGGAAATTGAAAATTTTCTTGAAATAAACGATAATGGAAATGTAATATTCCAAAACCTATGGGATACAGCAAAAGCAGTACTAGAAGGGAACTTTACTGCTATAAGCATCTACAGTTAAAAAGTAGAAAAACTTCAAATAAACAACCTAATGATGCATCTTAAAGAATCTGAAAAGCAAAAGCAAATCAAACCCAAGATTACTAAAAGAGAAAAATAATAAACATCACAGAAGAAATAAATGACATTGAAATAAAGAAAACAATACAAAAATCAATGAAAGAAAAGGTTATTTTTTGAGATGATAAACAAAATGAACAAACCTTTCGCCAGACTAAGAAAAAAAGACAGAAGGCCCAAATAAGTAAAATCAGAGATTAAAAGGGAGACAGTACAACTGATATTGCAAAAATTCAAAGGATCATTAGTGGCTACTATGAGCAACTATATGCCAATAAATTGGTAAACCTAGAAGAAATGGATAAATTCCTAGACACATACAAATATACCAAGATTGAACCATGAGGAAATCCAAAACCTAAACAGACCAAAAACAAGTAATGAGATTGATGCCATAATAAAAAGTTTCCCAGTCAAAAAAAAAAAAAAAAAAAAAAAGCCTGAGACCCAGTGATTTCACTGCTGAATTATACCAAATATTTTTTTAAAAACTAACACCAATTCTACTTAAATTATTACAAAAAAACAGAGAGGGAGGGAATACTTTCCAACTCATTCTACAAAACCAGTATTATCCTGACACCAAAATAAAGCAAAAACACATCAAAAACAGAAAATTACAGGCCAATAAAACTGATGAACATTGATGCAAAGACCCTCAACAAAATACTAGTAAAGCAACTTCAAAACACATTAAAAAGATCATTCATTAGGACCAAGTGGGATATATCCCTAGGATGCTGGTATAGTTCAACATATGCAAATCAATCATTGTGATACATCAAATCAACACAATGAAGGACAAAAACCATATGATCATTTCGATTGATGCTGAAAAAAGTATTTGATAAAATTCAACATCCTTTCATGATAAAAAAAAACCCTCAAAAAACTGGGTATAGAAGGAATATACCTCAACACAACAAAAGCCATGTAAGACAGACCCATAGCTAATATCATACTGAATGGGAAAAACCGAAAGCCTTTCCTCTAAGATCTGGAACATGACAAGGATGCCCACTTTCACCACTGTTATTCACCATAGTACTAAAAGTCCTACCTACCAATTCAACAAGACAAAGAAATAAAGTTCATCCAAAATTGGAAGAGAAGAAGGTAAATTGCCCTTGTTTGCAGACAATATGATACTACATTTGGAAAGAACTAAAGACTCCACCAAAAAAACTAAAAAACAAATTCCGTAAATTTGCAAGATACAAAATCAACATACAAAAATCAGTAGCATTTCTATATACCAATAGTGAACAATCTGAAAAAGACACCAAGAAAGTAATCCCATTTACAAAAGCTACAAAGAAAATTAAATACCTAGGAATTAACCAAGGAAATAAAAGGTCTCTACAATGAAAACTATAAAACACTTTTGAAACAAATTGAAGAGGACAGAAAAAAACGGAAAGATATTCCATGTTCATGAATTAGAAGAATCAATATTGTTAAAATGTCCATACTACCCAAAGCAATCTATACACTCAATCCCTATCAAAATACTACTGACATTCTTCAGATAAATACAAAAAAAAATCCAGTGATTTATATGGAAGCACAAAAGACCCAGTATAGCCAAAGCTATCCTGAGCAAGAAAAACAAAACTGGAAGGATCACATTACCCGACTTCAAATTAAACTACAGAGCTATGGTGACCAAAACAGCATGGTACTGGCATAAAAACAGACACAAAGACCAATGGAACAGAAGAGAGAACCCAGAAACATCACTGTAGATGAATGTATTTACAGTGAAATAATTTTTGATAAGGCTGTCAAGAACATATATTGGGGAAAGGACAGTCTCTTCAATAAGTGGGTCTGGGAATACTGGATATCTATATGTACAAGAATGAAACTAGACCCCTCTCCCCATGTACAAAAATCAAATCAAAATGGATTAAAGACTGAAATCTTTTATCTCAAACTATGAAACTACTACAAAAAAAAACATTGAGGAAACTCTTCAGGACTACAACGAGATATAATCCCACCTCAGTTAAAATGGCTTTTATCTAAAAGTCACGCAATAACAAATGCTGAGGAAAATATGGAGAAAAGGGAACACTCATACATTGTTGTTAGAAATGAAAATTAGTACAACCACTATGAAGAGCAGTTTCAAAGTTCCTCAAAAAACTAAAAATAGAGCTACCATATGATCTAGCAATCCCACTCCCTGTTATATACTCAAAAGAAAGGAAATCAGTAGATTGGAGAGATATCCAGTCTCATGTTTATTGCAGCACTATTCACAATAGCCAAGATTTGGAAGCAACCTAAGTGTCCATCAACAGACGAATGGATAAAGCAAATGTTGTTATACATACACAATGGAATACTATTCAGCCATAAAAAGAATGAGATCCTGTCATTTGCAACAACAAGGATGGAACTGCAGGTCATTATATTAAGTGAAATAAGCCAGGCACAGAAAGACAAAGTTTGCATGTTCTTGCTTATTTGTGGGTGCTAAAAATTAAAACGATTGAATTCATGAAGATAAAGAGTAGAACAATGATTACCAGAGGCTGGGAAGGGTAGTGGGAGAAGGATGGATAATGGGTACAAAAATATAGATAGGAAGAATGAATAAGATCTAGTATTTGCTAGCACAACAGGGTGACTAAAGTCAACAATAATTTTTTGTATATTTAGCTAAAGAGTATAACTGAACTGTTTGTAATACAAAGAAGGGATAAGTACTTGAAGTGAAGAAACCCCCATTGCCTTGATGTGATTATTAAGCATTGTATGCCTGTATCAAAACATCTCCTGTACCCCATAAAAATATAATGCTACAGTGTGCCCACAAAAATTAAAAATACTTTTTTATATGTTTGTGGCCATTTGTATATCTTCTTTTGAGAACTGTCTATTCGTGCCCTTGGCCCACTTTTTGATAGGATAGTTTGGTTTTTTTCTTGCTAATTTGTTTGAGTTCCTTGTAAATTCTGGATATTAGTCCTTTGTCAGATACATGGATTGTGAAGATTTTCTCCCACTCTGTGGGTTGTCTGTTTACTCTGCTGACTGTTCCTTTTGCGGTGCAGAAGCTCTTTAGTTTAATTAAGTCTCACCAATCTATCTTTGTTTTTGTTGCATTTGCTTTTGGGTTCTTGGTCATGAAAAAATATTCAACATCACTAATGATCAAGGAAATGCAAATCAAAACCACAATGTAATACCACCTTACTCCTGCAAAAAAATGGTCATAATAAAAAAAAATAGATGTTGGCATATACGGGGTGAAAAGGGAACACTTCTATACTGCTGGTGGGAATGTAAACTAGTACAACCACTGTGGAAACCAGTGCAGAGATTCCTTAAAGAACTTAAAGTAGAACTACCATTTGATCCAGCAATCCCACTACTAGGTATCTACCCAGAGGAAAAGAAGTCAGTTTATGAAAAAGATGCTTACACATGCATGTTTATAGCAGCACAATTTGCAATTACAAAAATATGGAACCAGCCCAAATGCCCATCAATCAATGAGTGGATAAAGAAACTGTGGTACATATATACAATGGAATACTACTCAGCCATAAAAAGGAATGAATTAATGGCATTTGCAGCAACCTGGATGGAACTAGAGACTATTATTCTTTTTTTTTTTTTTTGACATAGAGTCTTGCTCTGTCACCCAGGCTGGAGGGCAGTGGCGCGATCTTGGCTCACTGCAACCTCTGCCTCTCAGGTTCAAGCGATTCTCCTGCCTCAGCCTCCCAAGTAGCTGGGATTACAGGTGCCCACCACCATACCCAGCTAACTTTTGTATTTTTAGTAGAGACGGGGTTTCATCATGTTGGCCAGGCTGGTCTCAAACTCCTGACCTCGTGATCCGCCCACACTGGCCTCCCAAAGTGCTGAGATTACAGGAGTGAGCCACTGTGCCCAGCTCTCGAGACTATTATTCTAAGTGAAGTAACTCAGGAATGGAAAACCAAACATCATATGTTGTCACTCTTAAGTGGGAGCTAAGCTATGAGGATGCAAAGGCATAAGAATGATACAATGGACTTTGGGGACTGGGGAAGGGAAGGAGAGGAAGGGGGGTGAGGGATAAAAGACTACAAATTGGGTTCAGTGTATACTGCTCAGATTATAGGTGCTCCAAAATCTCACAAATCACCACTAAAGAACTTACTCATGTAACCAAATACCGCCGTTCCCCAAAAACCTATGGAAATTAAAATATTTTTTAAAAAATAATAATTTTTATTTAAAAAGTAAAGTAGCCAGACTAGATATAGATACATAAATAGAGATCTCAAAGGAACTTGAACCAGGCAGTGAGAATATGGGATTGAAGGGTAGGGACAATGGTTACAAGAGACCTCACTGTCTGAAAAAGTGACATTTAAGCCAAAATACAAAGAAGAGAGACTTGGGAAAGGAGGAGCAGAGCTATAAGAGGACAAATGTTGTAAAAGCTTCTTTCAAGAAGGACCAATATATGTAAAGACTCCAAAAGAAGCAAATACATGAAACATCCAGTGAAATAAAGAAGCCAAGAGTGGCAAGAGCAAAGAAAATTCAGAGGGCAATTAAGTCAAGATTGGGCCAAGGAATCACAAAAGGTTAAATTATTCAGGCTCTTTAGACTCCATTAAAGGTGGTGAATTTTATCTTCAAGCAATGGGAAGTTATGCAAGGGGGTTTTGCTTTTGTTATCTTGTTTTGTTTTGTTTGAGACAGAGTTTTGTTTTGTTCTGTTTTGTATTGTTTTGTTTGAGACAGTCTTGCTCTGTTGCCCAGGCTGGAGTGCAGTGGTGTGATCTCGACTCACTGCAACTTCTGCCTCCTGGGTTCAAGCAATTCTCATGCCTAAGCCTCGCAAGTAGCTGGAATTACAGATGGACACACCACCATCCCCAGCTAATTTTTGTGTTTTTATTAGACGGGGTTTCGCCAGGTTGGCCAAACTGGTCTTAAGTTCCTAGCTTCATGTGATATGCCCTCTTTGTCCTCCCAAAGTGCTGAGCTTACAGGCGTGAGCCACTGCGCCTGGCCCATGCAAGGGTTTTAAGTACAGGAGTGACATGATCAGATTCATCTTTGACAAAGATCTCTTCTGATTTCAATGTGAAGAGACCACTTTGGATAGAGTTAACACAGTAAATCCAGGAAAGAAAAGATGGTAGCCCAGGCAAGATGGATGGGAAGAGAGAGGAGACAAACTCAAACATCTTTAGGGGGTGAAACCACATTATCTCATTTAATCCCCCAATAGCCTTATGGACGAAAAGGTGTTGCCTCTACTTTATTTGAACAGAAATATGCTTTAAAAAGATACACCCTTAAAGACTTAATATTGTTAAAAAAAAAGATGTTGATTCTCACCAGTGATCTACAGATGCAACATAATCCAGATGAAAATCCCAGCCAGCTTTTTTTTTTAAGTAACAAGTTGATTTCTACACTTTCTACAAAAATGCAAAAAAACCCAAAATAGCAAAACAACCTTGAAAAAAGAGGAATAGATATGGAGGGGTTTCACGAGTGAACTCAAGATACACTATAAATCTACATACAGTAATCAAGACAATGTGGTATTGGCATGAGACTAAACAGATCAATGGAACAGAATAAAGACTCCAGAAACAAACCCATGCTCATATGCTCAATTGGTTTTCAACAAAGATGCCAAAGTAATTCAAAGAGGAAAGGAAAGTCTTTTCAATAAATAGTGTTGGAGCAATTGGATATCCATTTGGAAAAAAATAAGCCTCACATTATACACAAAAATTAATTTGAGATGGATCACAGACCTAAAAAAGAGCTAAACTTATAAAGCTCTCTAAAGAAAATATAAGACAATATCCTGATGACCTGTAATAGATAAAGATTTCTTAGGATGCAGAAAGCAAAAACCTTAAAGGAAAAATGATAAACTAGACCTCTTCAAGTTTCAAAACTTCTGCTCATCAAAAGTCACTGTGAAAAAATGAATAGCCATGCCAAGGACTGGGAGAAAATATTCACTAAACAAATTTTCATCAAAGGACTTGCGTCCTTCTATATAAAGAACTACTATAACAACCAAAAAAAAATTTAACTGGGCAAAAGACATGAATATACATTTCACAGAGCGAAGTATAAAAATGGCCAATAAGCCACGAAAAAAATGCTCATCATTAGTTATCAGGGAAATGCTAATTAAAATCACAAGTAGCTAGCACCATACACACATTAGAATATCTAAATTAAAAAGACTGATAGTACTAAATGTTGGAGAGGATGTTGAGCAACCAGAACTGTCATATCACTAGTAGGAATGTAAAATAGTCTAACTACTTTGCAAAAAGTTTTGGCAGTTTCTTAAAGAATAAATATATAACAACCCTTTAACTCAGCAAATCTTCTCCTCATCATTTAGCCAAGATAAATGAAAACATAAATCCACAAAAAGATTTACACAGAAGAGATTTTTTAATTATGGTATATTCATTGAATGGAACACTACTCAGCAATAGAAAAATAAATTGCCACTGTTACATGCAACAACACAGATGAATGTTAAAAAATAGTACGTTGAACAAAATAAGACAAATATTAAAACATACCTACTGTATGATCCCACTTACATAAAGTTTTAGAATAGGCAACTTAAACCTATTGTGAAAAAGAGAATATGAACAGCAGTTACCTGGGTGCAGGCAAGAGGGGATTATTAACAGAGAAAGCACACAAGGAAACTTTCTAGGTGATGGAAATGTTCTATAACTTGAGAGACGTGTGGATGAGACAGATACAACCATTTGTCAAAAGTGCATAGTTAAGGTTTGTATCTTTCAATGTATGTAAATTTTACCTTACAAAAAGCCATAAAAAATAAGAGTAGATGGAAGTATAGAAAAAGCAAGCACACCAGAAGGTTGATAATTGTTTAAGCTTAGTGCTGTGTGCACAGGAGTTTATTATACTATTTACTTTGTATGCATTTGAACTTTTCCATAATAAAAAAACTGATGGTTTAAAAAAATCACAAATAAAATTAATACATGTATACACATATATATCCACATAAAATGACACCACCAACACACCTAGAAAGATGATACATAAAATCTACCCTGACATGACCTAGGACTGCCTAACATTTTAACTCTATATTATGCTACAAATGTTCTCTTCCACCCCTATTTAACCCTCCCCTTCATCCTCCCCATTTCTCTTTATCAGTGTGGTAGACTGCAAATATGACCAAAATGGTCTCCTCTAGGTATTCGCTGTCCTTGTAATGAGACTTTACAGCTCGTTTCATCAAGGGAAATTACGGAGGAATCATTTTATTCCTCCGCTCCTTGAATCTGGACTGACTTTGTGGCTTGCTTTGGGTAAGAGAATGATGAGATCATTCCGAATTAAGACAAGCTGTAAATCCAATGATGTGTATCCTTGTAAGAGACAGAAAAGGAAAAGACAGAGAAACACAGGGGAGAGAGCCTTGTGAAGACAGAGGAAGAGACTGCAATGATGAGTCTACTAGCCAAGGAACACCAAGGGTTGCCAGCAGCTAGCAAAGACTAAGAGAGAGGCATGGAACAGATTCTCCCTGACAGCCTTCAGAGGAAACCAGCCCTGTTGACACCTTGATTTTGGAGTCTGTCCTCCAGAACCGTGAGAGAATAAATTTCTGTTGTTTTAAGTCACCAACTTCGTTGTAATTTGTTACAGCAGCCCTAGGAAACCAATACACCAGCCAAGAGCAGAAAAATCATCCAACTAAGTCCAGCCCAAAATTAACCCATAGAATCATGACCTAAATAAATCATTGTTGTAAGCTACTACATTTGTGATGGTTTGTTACACAGCAAAGCTAATTGGCACAATCAACCTAGCAAATACCCACTCCTCTTTTAAAAATTCTCTCTCCCAAAGCCAGTCTTACTATCTTCAGATAAAATACATCACTCCTACCTTTATAACCTCACTATCCCCACAAAATAGTTTTTCTATAATAGCATCTATAAAATGTTATTGCATTTTTGTGCATGTGTGTCAACTTTGAATAGACTGTACGCTCTCTCAAGGCAAAGACTATGTGAGATTGAATTTGTGTATGTCAATGCCAGACAGGATGACATTATCCACATGAAATTTTCCCCAAAATATCCACTCTTTATGAAGTTTATCTTTATCTATAATACTTATTTATAAGCAAATACAAACACACTACAACACTCCAGATACCAATCAACTAACAAAGAAATGTAAAACTCTTTAATTGCCCATAATAGTTCAAATGGAACCCTTGAAGTCAACATAAAATATAACCAACTCTTTTACAGTCATGTAATATTCCTTCCCTATTCCTTCTAATTGTCAAATAATATGGTAATGCCAAAAGTGGGCAATACCAAAAGACTATGCAAATAATAGCTCTAATCTAGCACTGAGCTTTGAATGTATAAATGCCAAGAAGGCAAGTATTCAGATATATCCTCTCCCAAAGAAAAGGAGAAACTTCATTTTTCTAAAGTGGAAGATCGAGGCAACAAATGCTTCCATAAAGAAAATCTGTAAGAAAAAAAAAAAAAGAAAGGAAATTAAAATTAGATATTGAAGTCCTTACCTAACACATAAAAGAAGACATGATTCTAGGCCAGAATTTTCCACTGTATTAACCCCTTCCTGGAAATAAGTCAAGCATTTAGCAAATTACCTGCATATGTTTAGCAAATATGTGCTGGGGAGCTACTTTTGCTATTTTTAAAAATAATCATGTCTTGTTGGTCCTTTCTTACATAACCATCTTTCAGGAAAAGCTTCGTAATAATACATTTCCACATACACAGCTCATTCTGAACACAAAAACCCAGGAGCCAGGAAGAATCAAACCTAGAACCTCAGTTTCCTGATTTATACTGAGGTATGTTTTGCTCTCTATGCCATGCTGACTTCTCAAGAGTAGACATTTTTAAATAATTTTTAAGGTGCAATTTGAGGTTTATGTAAATGGCTTTCAGTTGTTATTGCTATTCACCATTAGCCTCAATAATCAAGAGCTGGATTACTTAATGAGAGGGACATGGTAATTAAAATGCCCAAGAAAAGGACAAGTAAAATGGAGGAGCCAAGGCCAGCCTTCAAAGATATCAAAGCAGCAAGAATTCTGCACAAAAAGAAGTTGTCACCGAAAACTGCAAAAATTACAGAGGTTATAGAAGGGAGACTGAACAAAATACCTTTTGTAGTAAAGAAATGTTTGTGTATCAAGAACTCAGAGGTTACCCTGTTCTTTTGAAACTAACTCTTATTAGACTTACTAGAAAGTCAACACAAGACTGTTAAATCTAATTATGTTCACAGACTAAACAATTGCTAACCAGAAAAAAAGAAAATGATGTAACTTTCAGACGTGCCTATTTCGTACTCCAGAAGCAAAATATGTTTATAAATATTTGACGCAACTTCTTTCATTAATGAAAAAATATTTATTTAGCACCTACAATGTTCAGGCACCACGCTAGAGGCTAAAGATGGGCAAGTTACACTGGTCATTCCCCTCAAGGAACTTAAAAGTAAAGAGAGTAATATAGAGATATATAAGATAAATAAACAAAGGAGAAGACCAAAAAAATCAGACAGTGAGGGAAAAGAATGCTTCCTAGAAGAAATGACCTAAGCAAGAATTCAATAAGGGAAGAAGTAGGGCATTTCAACAAAGTGTTATCCACAAAGCACACAAATACAAATACGTGCCTGTGCGCGCACACACACACACACACACACACACACACCACAGAGTACAGCACATTTATAGAAAAGTATTTTACTAAGGCCAGAACCACTCATTTAAAAAATACATATTGAATACCAATGATGTTTCAAGCATAGTTCTCAGAATTAGACTATAAATGAAGAAACAACCCAAAAATCTCTGTCCTGAAAAAGTTCATTCAAATTTTAGAGGGGTGAGAAAAATAATGAACAAAAGAAATAAATGTAGTACATTCAAAGATGACAGGTGCTATGAAGGAAAATTAAGCAGATAAATTAAGAGTCAAATTGAACCCAGAAGAACAAGTATAATTTGTAAAGGTGTTAAGGCTAGGGAGGTCATTCTGAAAAAGTGGAACAGCACAAGCATAATATTAAAATACATGTGTTCCTACCAGCCAGAGAAGTCTATTTCTCCCCAAGAGGCTTGAAATGGAAAAATTATGATAAAAATGAAAGGTGCATAAGGCCTTTGAATGTCTGGCAAGATGTTGTAGGCCTTACCCCACTACCAATGAGAAGCTATGGAAAGACTCCAGTGGAGGAAATCAATATATTTTCTCAGTCCTCCTCAATATCTATGCGGCATTTGAAAATATTAATCACACCCCTCCCATTCCCTCATTCAATAAGCATTCACTGCGCAGCTACACGATGCTGTGTTAAAAACAATATTTTTAATGCAACACTATTACATGTCATCATGTCATAAAGGTTACAGAAGTATATTCATTTCCAGTCACTAAGGAAGACAGATGCCTATATCCCGCTCTAGCTAACACAAGACGCTATGTGCTAAATAATATCATGGATGCACAAAATTCAGTCATAACACAGAAAAGAACATTATAAAATGTTAATCTTGTGAAACCAAGAAAGGTTTCATGGAGGATTTGAAAAACAAGTAGAATGTAATCAAAAAAATGGTGGACAGAAAAAAGGTATTTCTGGTGGAGGAGCAGCAGGAACAGAGGTTTAAGGGTACACAATTGTATGTCATTGCAAGTGCAGTGTGGCTAAAGCATTGGCAAGAAACCTTGTATTACAAAATGCAAATGTTTCTTGGATGAACTATTTTTCTTTCAAAATTAAAATTGCTTTTAATATGCCATATGGGGGAAAGCAGGTTTCTTACAATTTAGATTAACATTCTATTGCACAGAGGAATGTCAGTCAGAAAAAAAATAGCCATTGCTTTTATGCCACTGGAAGGTTAATATATAGACACTTTTTTTTTTTTGAGATGGAGTCTCACTCTGTTGCCCAGGCTGGAGTGCAGTGGTGCGATCTTGGCTCACTGCAACCTCCGCCTCTCAGGTTCAAGCGATTATCCTGTCTCAACCTCCCAAGTAGCTGGGATTACAGGCACATGCCACCACACCCGGCTAATCTTTGTATTTTCAGTAGAGACGGGGTTTTCTCATGTTGGCCAGGCTGGTCTCGAACTCCTGACCTCAAGTGATCTGCCTGCCTCGGAATATGTAGACATTTTTGAGGAGAAAAAGCAAGGCAGCTTTCTAACAGTAAGCAAGGTGGGTATATGAGAAGAATATACAGAGTGAGAGATAAGTCACAAATGCAAATGGGTCTAGCTAGGACAGATCTCAAATGCTGTGAGCACTCAGTCTCTTTAAAGCAAGATAGTAAAAAAGGTAGTGACACAATTAGATAATATTTCAGAAATGCAGCCTTCTATAAAATGCAAATCTGATCATTCCCTTGATCAGAAACCTCCAATGGTTTCCTGTTTAGAAATCAAAACCCTTTGAACAGACCCCTGGATCACCTCAGCAGCCTCCTCTCATCACCTACCTCCCATCCCCTACCCTAAGTCCCTCTACCACTCTGGCCCTCTTCCACTTATCTGAAGTGGTCATCTTCCATGCCCCTTTGGCACCTGGTACACTCTTCCTCACCTCTTCTTAGAAAGGATCTTTGTCTGGTTCAGGTCTGCTTAGCCATTGGATTTCAATATGTCAGAAAAACTTTCCCTCACTTCACATTCTAGGCCAGGTCCCCTGTTATATGCTCCCAAAGTGCCAGCTACTATTCCTTCACAGTACTTCTCACTGTTGGAATGATATGTTTATTTGAGCAATTATATATTTAATCTTGGTCTCTCCCACTACAAGTTCCATGAATTCAGTGACCATGACTGCTTTGCTCATGAATATATCCCCAGAATCTAGCACAGTGGCTGGCATAGAGAAGGGGGTTAAATAAGCACTTGCTGAATTAATTAAATGCAAAAAGCCAAATAAGTCTTTCTTGTGGGGACTGTCTCATGTATCACAGGATGTTTAGCAGCATTCCAGGCCTCTACCAGTAAATACAAAAAACAAACAACACTTCCTGCTCCGGTTATGACATTCAAAAATGTCCCCAGGCATTGCCAAATGTCCCCTGGGGTAGGGAACTGCTCCCAGTTGGGAACCAGGGAGCTAGTATAGCCATATATCCTGGTTGCACAAGGCAGTCCCTTTTAATGCCTGTTATCCTGGTAAAATTATTAACAGAATCCCCTTTTACTCTCAGAAATATCCCAATTTGGATGAATATTATATTGTCATCCTATCCATGGCCCATCTGGATGTGTTTTGGCTCTTGCCCAGAATGAGTGAATTGTTATACACATAATGACCATGGTTTCACTTCCAACATAGAAGAAATTATAACATTTCCAACAAGTGTGTTTTTTTTAAAAATCTATATAGTAGGCTTTGGAATTAGTAGAAATAGTGTAATGACAATGAACAGAAAAAACAAGACAAAGATAGAAAAAATAATACTACATGACGATTAAATGTAGAAAAACAATGACAGAAAGAAATCAAAGATGATTCCTAAGTGTTAGCCTGGGAAAGCTGGGTATGAAGCCATCTATCAAGATTAAACACACTGTAGGAGGAGGGCTGAATTTTGTGGGGTGATTGAGGAGGCAAGGCAAGCAAGCTTGGATTTTGAGACAGCTACTCAACACTAAGGTGATACCCAGCAGACACTGGAAAGTACAGGTCTTGCAGACACACAGATATTTGTTGTGATATGTGCCCCTTTTTTGGCTCCGATGCCACTGGACTTAACTCTCTTGCTTCTCTACCTTCTCTAGTTTCTTTTAAGATCTCTTCATCCTGCCTCCTAATTATGAGAATCCCTAAATATTCTACTCAGACCTTTCTTCTTCCCATGCTCCACTAACTCCCTGAGAATTCAATGCTATATTAGCTACTAATTCTGCACTGACAGGTGCCAGCCTAACCCCTAGTCTGTAACCTCCAATACCACATGGCCGGATCCTTCTAAGTATTTCCACTTGAATTATATTAACTTACATGAGTATGAGTATTTTCAGTTTAAAAGGGACTTTCATATACATTTATTTCCATCTATGTACCTCGGTCACCATACATTCAACAGGCTGGAAACCAAGCTTTTCTTTCTCAAAAACCTGGTCCCTTTTCCTACCTTCTTATTTCTTATAATATCACTATAATTAACCCATCACCTCTGTTCCAAAGAATAACAATAATTCTTTTTCTGCTTCATGCCCCTATATAAAAAGTCACCAAATCAATTTATGTACTTGCTTCTTGAGTTTCCTCATTTCTAAAATGAAGCAGTTAAACTACTTCTAGCTCAAATGTGTTATAATTCAAAGTCTTGGAAATCTTGGGTTCATTCACCAGTCAAACGTGTTATAATTTGAAGTCTTGGAAATCTTGGGTCCATCCTTCACTCAAACGTGTTATAATTTGAAGTGTTGGAAACCTTGGGTTCATTCACCACTACCTTAGTCTAGGCTAGTGATTCTCAATCCTATTGCATATTAGAATCACCTAAGAATCTTCTTTTAACTACTTCTATGTAATCCTCCTGCAATCCAGGCATCAGTTTTATTTAAAGACCCCCTACTCCAGTGATTCTAATGTCATCAAGACTGAGAACCATAGATCTAAGCCCTCATTACTGTCACCTACATTTTGCAGATGAGAAAACTCAGGCTCAGAGAAGTGACAGATTGGCTCAAAATTTCATAACTAATAAATGAACCAAGCTCACTCTGATTCCAAAGTCCATATTCTTTCCTTGTGCCAAAAAGCAACTGGTACTTAAAAATACAATCTATACCAATTGATATAATATTTGTTTTTACGTTGCTTTAAAAATGCTTCATTTTCTTTCATATGTGTATAGTTGGTGGCTCCTAAGAGGCCATAAGTGAGAGGTGGAGTCTTCTCATTTGCCCCATAGAAGCTACGTCAGGATTGAGGAACAATAAGTACAAAGTCTATTTTTAAAACACTGTTCATAAAGTACTGATGTGGGTTTGCATTTTCAAAATTCCAAGGAGAGATCTATTCATCTCTTGAAAACTGCCACAATCATTTAAGTAAGCTGTCAACTGACTGAGATGGAGAATCATTATGGTACAAAGTTCAGTAGGGAAATACAAATCCTAGGTACAGAACTGTGATGGATAGTGCTCTCCTATACCTCTACAAACACAAGCTGCCAAACATCAGACCGTTAGTGAATAACCAGATCTTCTGAACAGACACCTTAGCAATGATAACATGTTAGTACACTCCAGTAAAAGCAATGAATTTCAGAAACTCTGTAATTTCTAATTTCTCATCTACTTCACTCCTACATGAAAAGTTAGGCTAATCTTGATAAATCAACTTTTTTCTAAATTTGCTTTCACACCCTTTGGGCAGTCTATCCCTTAATTCTGGCCTTATTTTGTTCTCTAAAGAGAGAAGCGGGGTCTGGAATGAGCTGTGTCCTCCAAATCCAGTCCTTCCTAACATGATTCCACATTTCTCAGCAGATGCTGCAGACCCTTTATTGCTATGCTTCCTACTAATGATGTCTTCATGAGGCATACATTCAGCTAGCTGCCTGAGCCTCTGAGAATATCAAACTAACAACATGCTGCTTACCTGCCTTTTACCAGTCAGAAGATGACATCTATTCATTTGCACAATGAAATCCCAATCCCAGCCCCACTATACACATACACACCAATGAGCACGTGTCACTTCACTCCCACCTGGTTTTCGACTTAGGCCACTTTGGAGATGTGCTAACAATACCTAGCAATTGGTTTGTGTTAGAACTGCACTTTTGGAGAGTATAAAGTGACAACATTTCAATAAATGACTACCAGGTCCTACAGCCGAGGAATTAATTAGTAACAAATACCATCAGCCCTCTATATTCATAGGTTCTGCATCCATGAATTCAACCAACCATGGATCAAAAATACTAAAAAAAAAAAAAAGATGGCTGCATCTGCACTGAACACGCAAAGACTTTTTTCTTGTCATTATGCCCTAAAAAATACAGTATAACAACTATTTACATAGCATTCACATTGTATTCAATTTTATAAATAATCTAGAGATGACATTAAATAATACAGGAAGATGTACATAGGTTATAAGCAAACACTATGCCACTTTATATAAGAGACTTTAGTATTCATAGGTTTTGGATCTGCAGGAATTCCTGTAACCAATCTCCCACACATACTAAGGGATGAGTGTTTACAAAAAAAAAAAATGCAATAGTTAAGGCAAAGATTATACTTCTAAACTGGACAAGCCAATTTTGTAAACACATGTCACTGCTAATAAGAAACTTTTTTGAAATTCTAGATGGTTTATGATAAACCATCAATAATAACAGACCACAACAAACACATGCTCTTCAAAATGAGAAACAAGAATTGGCCTTCTTTATGATTACTAATTACTTCTGCTACCACTATTACAACAGGCTGAAAAGTCCCTTTGGGTTCAAATGACTTCAGAATGTTGCCAACATTTAATATCCAATAAACTCAGACCACAAGTAGGAAAGAAAATCTTATTTTTGTTACTGTATATACACAACTAAGTGATACTTTAAAGGCAAATATAGGTTACAAATTGAAAATTGAAAAGAATGCTATATTGCATTTACCAGTGAATTGTGATTCAAATTGCTTTGTGTTCTTGCTTTTTAAAATTTTGAGGTTTAAGACAAAAGTCTTGCATTTAATAGCTGAGAAGATTCCTCACAGATACCGCGTACATACAATGTTCCTGCAAATATCCTTATTTCATTCAAGAGATTGCTTATAGAATGTGTTACTTCAATTATTTGCCAAGATATTTTATTCTGTGCTATTTCTAACATATATCATGCTAGAGTCACAGGGATACTAAATTTGAAGGGGCATTTCTATGCTTAAAATATGAAACAAATTATTCTGGTATCTAAAATAACCTAACTGCAAAAGCAACTCCTACACACATGTGGTAATAATTTTCAAAAAGCTATCTTTTATTGGATTCTAGGTAATAACAATAGCATATGCTTTTTGTACGTCTACTCTTACAAAACAAATTTTTCACAACATAACCTTTCAAGAAACCAAAATGCTTCAGATACTTTCCATCATACAATATCAATTCACTAACTCAAATATCTGGCTTACCGGATTTAATACAAACACTTTTTCAGATTATTATCAAAAGAAAAGCCATTCATCATTTTTATTCCAAAACAATTTATTGATTGTAAAAGACTCATATTTTAAATCATAAAGTTTCATATTTTCCGTTTTCTACATGTTCTTGTCCTGAGTAACAGGACTGACTATGAGAGACTTCACATAAAATGAATTTCGCACATGGAAGGAAAAAACCTTCAGTAGCATGATGGCCTTCATTATAGATTTGTGACTTAACATCTATATGTTAAGTCACAAAACAAGTCTTAAAACATTCAAAAAATTGAAATAATATCAAGCATCTTCTCTGACCACATGGAATAAAACTAGAAATCAACAAAAAGAGAAATTTTGTAAAGTATACAAACACATGGAAACTAAACAATATGCTCCTGAATGAAGAGTGGGTCAATGAAGAAATTAAGAAGGAAACTGAAAAGTTCTTGAAACAAATGATAATGAAAACACAACATACCAAAATCTATGAGATATAGCAAAAACAAATACAAAGCAAAAACAAAAATATAAGTGCCTACATCAAAAAAGTAGAAAAACCTCAAACCTCACAACGCATTTTAAAGAACTACAAAAGCAAGAGCAAACCAAACCCAAAATCATTACAAGAAAGGAAATAATAAACATCACAGCAAAAATAAATAACACTAAAATGAAGAACACAATACAAAAGATTAGCCAAATGAAAAGCTGGTTTTTTTGAAAAGGTAAACAAAATTGGCAAACCCTCAGCCAGCGTAAGAAAAAAAGACAGAAGACCCAAATAAATAAAATAAGATATAAAAAGGGAGACATTACAACCAATGATACATAAATTAAAAGGATAATTAGAGGTACTATGAGCAACATATGCCAATAAATAGAAAATCTAGAAGAAATGAATGAATTCCTAGACGCATACAACCTATCAAGATTGAACCATGAGGAAATCCAAAACCTAAACATATCAATATCGAGTAACGAGATGAAAGCTGTAATAAAAAGTTTTCTAGTAAAGAAATGCCTGGGACACGATGACTTTACTGCTGATTCTACCAAATATTTAAGGAAGTAATAACAATCCCACTCAAACTATTCTGAAAAATAGAGGAGGAAGGAATACTTCCTAACTCTTTCTACAAGTCCAGTATTAATCTGATACCCAAACCAACAAAGGTACATCAAAAAAATAAATAAATAAAACTAAAGGCTAGTATCCCTGATGAATATTGACACAAATATTCTCAACAAAATACTAGCAAACTGAATTCAAAAACACATTAAAAAGATGATTCATTAGGACCAAGTGGGATTTATCCTAGGGATGCAAGCATGGTTCAACATAAGCAAAATGATCAATATGATACATCTAATCAACAGAATGAAGGACAAAACCCATATGATCATTTCTTTTTTTTTTTTTTTTAATATTTATTGATCATTCTTGGGTGTTTCTCGGAGAGGGGGATGTGGCAGGGTCATAGGATAATAGTGGAAAGAAGGTCAGCAGATAAACACATGAACAAAGGTCTCTGGTTTTCCTAGGCAGAGTTCCCTGCGGCCTTCCACAGTGTTTGTGTCCCTGGGTACTTGAGATTAGGGAGTGGTGATGACTCTTAACGAGCATGCTGCCTTCAAGCATCTGTTTAACAAAGCACATCTTGCACCGCCCTTAATCCATTTAACCCTGAGCTGACACAGCACATGTTTCAGAGAGCACGGGGTTGGGGGTAAGGTTATAGATTAACAGCATCCCAAGGCAGAAGAATTTTCCTTAGTATAGAACAAAATGGAGTCTCCTATGTCTACTTCTTTCTACACAGACACAGTAACAATCTGATCTCTGTTTTCCCCACATTTCCCCCTTTTCTTTTCGACAAAACCGCCATCGTCATCATGGCCCATTCTCGATGGTCGCTGTCTCTTCCAAGCTGTTGGGTACACCTGCAGAAAGGCTGTCACTTCACACTTGGAAGATTGCACAGCAGCCAGGCAGAGGCGCTCCTCACTTCCCAGACAGGGCAGCCGAGGAGAGACGCTCCTCAGATCCCAGACGGGGTGGTGGCCAGGCAGAGGCGCTCCTCATTTCCCAGATGGGGTTGCGGCCGGGCAGAGGCACTCCTCAATTCCTAGGCGGGGTGGCGGCTGGGCAGACACTCCTCACCTCCCAGATGGGGTGGCGGCCGGGCAGAGGTGCTCCTCACCTCCCAGACGGGGTGGCCGGGCAGAGGTGCTCCTCACTTCCCAGACGGGGCGGCCGGGCAGAGGCGCTCCTCACTTCCCAGAAGGGGCGGCCGGGCATAGGCGCTCCTCACATCCCAGATGGGGTGGCCGGGCAGAGGCGCTCCTCACATCCCAGATGATGGGCAGCCAGGCAGAAACGCTCCTCACTTCCTAGACGGGGTGGCGGCCGGGCAGAGGTGCTCCTCACTTCCCAGACGGGGTGGCCAGGCAGAGGCACTCCTCACATCCCAGATGATGGGCAGCCAGGCAGAGACGCTCCTCACTTCCTAGATGGGGTGGCGGCCGGGCAGAGGCGCTCCTCACTTCCCAGACGGGGCGGCCGGGCAGAGGGGCTCCTCACATCCCAGAGGATGGGCGGCCAGGCAGAGACACTCCTCACTTCCTAGACAGGGTGGCGGCCAGGCAGAGGCTGTAATCTTAGCACTTTGGGAGGCCAAGGCAGGCGGCTGGGAGGTGGACCTTGTAGCGAGCCGAGATCACGCCACTGCACTCCAGCCTGGGCCACATTGAGCACTGAGTGAGCGAGACTCCATCTGCAATCCCAGCACCTCGGGAGTCCGAGGCAGGCAGATCACTCGAGGTCAGGAGCTGGAGACCAGCCCGGTCAACACGGCGAAACCCCGTCTCCACCAAAAATACAAAAACCAGTCAGGCGTGGCGGCACATGCCTGCAATCCCAGACACTCGGCAGGTGAATCATGGGAGCCCGAGGCAGGGAGGTTGCAGCGAGCCGAGATCACGGCAGTACAGTCCAGCCTCGGCAACAGAGGGAGACCAAAGAAAGAAGGGGCGGGGGGAGGGGATCATTTCAGTTGATACTAAAAAAAGCATTTGAGAAAATTCAACATCCTCTCATGACAAAAATCCTCAAAAAACTGGGTACAGAAAGAACATACTTCAACACAATAAAAGCCATATATGACAGACCCATAGCTAGTTTCATACTGAATAGGGAAAAATTGACTTTTCTCTAAGATCTGGAACATGGCAAGGATGCCACTTTCACCACTGTTATTCAAAATAGTACTGAAAGTCCTATCTAGATCAATTGGACTACAGAAAAAAATAAAGGGCATTCAAATTGGAAAGGACAAAGTGAAATTATCCTTATTGGCAGACAATAAGATCTTATATTCAGAAAAACCTGAAGACTCCAGCAAAAACTTAGAACTGATTACCAAATCCAGTAAAGGTGCAGAATACAAAATCAACATACAAAAATCAGTAGCATTTATATATGCCAACAATGAACAATCTGAAAAATGAATCAAGAAAGATATCCCATTTACAATAGCTATGAAGAAAATTAAATACCTAGGAAATAATCAAAGAAGTGAAAGATCTCTACAATGAAAACTATAAAACATTGATGCAAGAAATTTAAGAGAAAATGGAAAAATGTTCCATGTTCATGGATTGGAAGAATCAATATTGTTAAAATGTCCATACTACCCAAAGCAATCTAGACATTCAATGATATCACTACCAAAATACCAATGACATTCTTCACAGAAATGGAAAAAAATAATCGTACAATTTATATGGAACCACGAAAGACCCAGAATAGCCAAAGCTATCCTAAGCAAGAAGAACAAAACTGAAAGAATCACATTACCTGACTTCAAATTATACTACAGAGGTACCATAACTAATACAGCAATGGTACTGGCATAAAAACAGACACAAAGACCAATGGAACAGAAGAGAGAACCCAGAAACAAATCAAAACATCTACAGTGAACTAATTTTTGACAAAGGTGTCAAGAACATAAATTGAGGAAAGGACAGTTTCTTCAATAAATAATGCTGAGAAACCTAGATATCCGTATGCAAAAAATGAAACTAGACCCCTATCTCTCACCATATACAAAAATCAAATAAAAAGGGATTAAAGACTGAAATCTTATATATCAAACTATGAAACCACTACAAGAAAACACTGGGGAAACTCTCCAGGATATTAGACTGCTCAAAGATTTCTTGAGTAATACCCCACAAACACAGGCAACGAAAACAGAAATAGACAAATGGGATCACATCAAGTTAAAAAGCTTCTGTACAGTGAAGGAAACAATCAACCAAGTGAAGAGACAACCCACAGAATGGGAGAAAATATGTTCAAACTATCCTTCTGACAAGGGATTAAAACCAGAATATATAAGGAGCTCTAACAACTCCATAGGAAAAAAATCTAATAATACAACTAAAAACGGGCAAAAGATCTGAATAGGAATTTCTCAAAAGAAGACATACAAATGGCAAACAAGCATATGAGAAGGTGCTCAACATCACTGATCATCAGAGAAATGCAAATTAAAACTACAATAAGATATAATCTGACCTCAGATAAAACGACTTTTATCTAAAAGTCAGGAACTAACAAATGTTGATGAGACTGTGGAGAAAAGGGAACCCTCATACATTGTTGGTGGAAATGTAAATTAGTACAACCACTATGGAGAGCAGTTTGGAGGTTCCTCAAAAAACTAAAAATAGAGCTACCATAAGATCCAGCAATCCCACTCCCTCTTATATACACAAAAGAAAGCAAATCAGTAGATTGAAGAGATCTCTCCACTCTCATGTTTACTGCAGCACTATTCACAATAGCCAAAGTTTGGAAGCAAACTAAGTGTCCATCAACAGAAAAACGGATAAAGAAAATGTGGTACCTATACACAATAGAATATTATTATTATTCAGCCATAAAAAAGAAATGGAGATCCTGCCATTTGCAACAACATGAATGGAACTTCAGGTTATTATGTTAAGTGAAATAAGCCAGGCACAGAAAGACAAAGTTTGCATGTTCTCACTTATTTGTGGGAGCTAAAAATTAAAATAATTGAACGCATGGAGAGCACAAGGATGGTTACCAGAGGCTGGGAATGCTATTCAGAGGTTGGGAGGAAATGGGGATGGTTAACCATATTTAAAAAAATAGAAAGAATGACTAAGACTTATATTTTCTGGCATACAAGGAAGATGATACTCAAAAATAATTTAATTATATATTTAAAAATAATTAAGAATATGCTTATATTATTTGTAACACAATGGATAAATGCTTGAGGTGATGGATACCCCATTTACCCTAATGTAGATATCCCATTTATCCTGATTTTAACATGCATTCCATGCCTGTATTAAAATATCTCATGTAACCCATTTATGTGTGTGTATATATATACACACATATATATTGTAAACCCACAAAAATAAAAGCAAATATAGTAGCCAGAAAGGGACAGGTACCTTCAAAGAAGTAATAATTATAATAATATAGCTAACTTCTCAATAATACCTACAGAAGCCAGATGGACCAATGGACTGATATCTTCAAAGTGCTGAAAGAAAATAACTGCTAATCTAAAATTCTATACCCAGCAAAAATATCCTTCAAAAAATAAACAGATTTTTTTAAATGCCTTCAGGCAAAGAAAAACTGACAGATTTACTTAACAGTAGACCCATACAAAAAGAAACAGTAAAGAGCATTTTTTAGGCAGAAGGAAAAATAATCTCAGATAGCAGCTTGAAGATTTAGAAGGAAGAACATTAAGGAGGAAGGTTAAAATATGAATATATCTAAATGTTATTAAGTGTCCAGAGTTCATTACTATTTCATGAATCCTTCTTATATCCACACAGAACAGGGATAGTATTGATATTGCTATTCCCATTTTACAGAAGAAAAAAAAAAAAAACAAGGAAAGTCATATCCAAAGTTAATTTTTCCAAAATCCAAATTATAACCCTGGCAACTGCAAGGAAAGAGCCTTGGTCTACATTTCCCCTACCATAATTAAGAAGACAAAATTAAAATTAAAATTAAAAAGAAATGGTTCAAATAATTAGAGACAAAAATAGAAAATCCTGGCTCACCGATGCTTTGACATTGAGAAAGTATTTTCTCAGTACAGCATCTGTGAACTGGATATTTTCTGTTTGCCCTGCAAACTTCCCATCTGTTTCCAATCTGCTCCATGCCAGAAGCTGACCACTGCATCCAAGGATCCCTTTCCCTCTGGCTTCCAGTTGAGTTTGGCCAATGAAAATCATTGGCAAGAGACTGGAGAGAGGGAGGAAGGTGGGGTCAGAGTATTAACTTCCTCACCTCCCTCCCTGCTGAGTCTCCAGGATTGATTGTGTCCATCAATCTAAGGCAACAGCTCCTATCAGATGGCCCTCTCTTATAGCTACACTACTCTCTGCAGGATCCAATAACAAATCCCTTCTCTGGCCCTTTCAGATACAGGAACGGTAATAGTTCCCATTGTTGTTAGTGCCAAGATGCTTCACCATTCCTTGCTAGTGTCTCTTTGTTCATTTCTACTCTCTCAATTACCCCATTTGAGTGAACATCTATTTGCTGCCAAGACTGCTTGCCAATTTATAGCATGGAAGGTGGTAAAAACAGAATAGGGAATAAGAACCCCAACACTAAAGTCAAAAACAACTAAAATTGGATCCCTGCTCCAAAACTGGCTTTGTAAGAGTTTGCTAACGTTTCTAAGCGTCTCTTATCTCATCTGTAAAATAAAAAAATACTAGTAGTACCTGCTTCAAAAATTATTGTTTGGTGTGAATTAATAAGGGCTTAGCCCAGTGCCTGATTGATGCAAAGCACAGGCTTAATAAATATTAAACTAGTATTATAAATTTAATATTTAGTAAATATTAAACTAGTATTATAAATTTAATATTTAGTAAATATTAAATTACTAAATTGTGAATATTACTAAATTATAATAATATTGATTATTATTAAATTATAATAATATTACTATTATTTTGGAAGAGAACATTATCATAATAAGTAGTTCTGCCCTACTTCAACATTACTGGAAAAACAGTGGCATAAATTAGCTCAATCTTATTTCAGCTGGCTCAGGGCTAAAGAAAATTATAATTGGGTCAAGTCAAAGCAAATCATTTCAGCACATCATATACAACTTCCCTGAACTCCCTAAAAAAGAATATATTACATAGAAATTGAATATATAATTGTGATCAGAAATGTTCAAAAATAAGGGTAATTTGAAGACTAAAAATAAGAACAGATGAAAGAGAAGACAGATCATCAAAATACAGTACCCATCCTTCGGTTTTAATATTATGACTGAAAGTCTTAGTATGCATGCAATTGTGAATAAAAAGACCAAATACAGCCAGCAATGCTGAAGCATGATAGCTAGATTGGTTGCATGTCCTTTGGAAAACAACTGCAGCTGCTGCCCACAGGGTCTGCATAATAACAATATATTTGGCAGCACTAAACAGATAACCATCTTCCAAAATTTCTCTAAGTGAAAAACAGTTATCAACAACAATAAAAGACTTCTGACTGCTGTTTTAACCATGAACTAAAATATTTTCTCCCAGGTTGGCCATGGTACTGATTCAATAGATGGAAAAAGAAAAGCGTGACTTGTTCCTTTATACTGCATCAAGGTACCAGTAGTTCAGCCTCGCCTCTATGTGGACTACAGTTCAAGTCCTTGATCTTCCAGGCCATAACTAGCTGCCTTCCTGAATCAAATGCCTCTAAGAAACACCATTTCCCAGCTCCCTCTGATTTGAACTGTTTGAACTTGTTGCAATCCAGCAAGCAAAGGAAGCTAAAACAGAACTCTGCACACATGGGCACTAAATGATGTTTCTAAGTGGCCCATTACATAACATTCACCAGGAAATACCTAACTCTTTGCCTAGCTTTGCTATCTTGGGCCCAGTCTTTCAAGAGAGATATCATTCAGAAACAACTATCATTCTTAAAGGGATTTAATTCAATAACTGTATTTATAGCTTCTCTAAGTAAAATAATTGTTAAAAGTGGGCATATTGGTAAATGTGCCAAAACTAACAGTAATGTTGGCTACAACATACATAATGTCATGTGCCAGGCAGTCTAATAAAAAGTTAACTTATCCAATCCCCAAAATAACCCCACAAAGCAGATATTATTATTAAACCCATTTTACAGAAAAGCGGGGAGGCACTGAGGCACAGAGAACTTAAATAGCTTGCCCAAGGTCTCAGAGCTAATGAGTAAGTTAATCAGCCATGGTCGGAGTCTTCTGCTTTAACCTTTATAATACCCCAACACTAAAAATACAGCTTTAAAAAATATTCCTATGTGTCAATGTTGAACCTGGCAAATAAAAAAAAATTAAAATGAAAAAAAATGAAAATATTCCTGAACCATGACATTACTGAATTAAGATGCTTCTATAGCTCCCATCTCTCCTTTCTCTTCTATTTATCCTCAAATTAACAATTCAAAGTCTAGATTTACCAACAAATAAGAGAACTGAGCATATCTCTCCTAAAAAAAAGAAAAGGCTGTAATAAAATTTCTACCCAATGAAATTTTGAAAGGTTCACTACGGTAAAACCATAGAGGACTGAAAAACTGTCTTTGATAACTATTTATAAGGTACTATAATTGTCCAAGAAGTTTTCAATAAGATGATGGTATTTGTGTTTAACAAAGTTAAATCTGTCCTATGCTCAATTTTTAAAGAGAAGCATCCTTTCATGATTCTGAATGTATTATTGACCAACCTATCTCAGAAGTATTATCAAATGCCTGCTTTTGGCTTTTTCTGTTCCTACATAAAATATAATCAACAAACTTCCAGGAGTCCACTGCATTGGTAATATTGTGAGATACATCTTTTGTTGCCCACTCCACAAAAAAGGTGGCAAGTAGGTGCCTAAAAAAAGAGTTTATTCCTTCTTGCTTCTCTGTTTCTTGATTCTTCTACTGTTTCCAGATTAAGGTATATGATGCCAGAATTACCAAACTATAATAGGCAAAACACATCTACCAGTTTTAGATTCTAAAATCTATAAACCAAGTCACCCACCGCTAAAGACTGATCAATGATTACAATTTCTTAGAGAAATGCTTCCTTATATTCTTTAGTCATACAGAAACTTATTTTGTTCTTTAAAGTACATATCACATGGTATGTTCCATAGCAATGGTTTACAGTTTTATGTATTTAGAACAGTGGTATTCATTGAATAGATTTTCACCTCTAAAACAAATCTGATGCCCACTCAGGAAGGTAAGTTCATAGGAGCAAACATGTAGAGAAAAATCAACCATCTGAGATATCCACTAAATTCTGAAATAATTCACAACAGGTCATCTCCTGGAGTCATATGTTATTCATTTCTACATGTTCTTTTACTCCGGCTTGTTTTCTAAGGCTTGCATCCCAGAAAATCAGAATGTTTTCCCTTTCATGTCAACAATGACTCTTTTAAAGGTCTTTTCTATATCAGAAAGAAATATATTTCCACTGAAATTTTCTTTTGTACTCTGCAACTTTTGAAGATAACCAGGCACAGAAAGACAAAAACTTTCCTTTGAAGAGTAAATGTTACTGGCACCTAAACCTTTTCTTTTTCTGTTGTTTGTAACAAAAGTACTGGGTCCTAAGATTCAAGATACAATATTGAATTCTATCTGGTTTCCTATCCTAAACAAACCACAAGTGGAAGTGCCAAATTAATTCTGAACAAATTTGCTTCAGGGCACCTACAGGGGCCATGGGCCTTTAATCTTCACATACCAAGAGTGTTTATTCGCCTCTGTTGGAAAGAAACACAAGTCTGGGAAGTCAAAGGTTGGTCAGTAGAAGAGAAAAATGGGGTAGAATCTCTCAAGATGACAGAAGAAAGTAATGAACCCTGCAAGTGTTTTCCCTGGCTAGCTGAGAGAATTGCCAAGTTTGGGTCAGAGGTCTCATTTAACTAGGAGTTCCATATTGCTCTTTTAGGTTACAACAATCTCAATAAAGCAGGTGATTATTCCTTGACTTAAAAGAACTTCCAAACTACAAACTCAAAATGAAGTTATCATTGCCAAATAATGCAACTTGTGAATAGAAAATAATGGTGTTAAAGCAATTGGGTATCAAGATTGTTTACACTGTCCATAAAATTTTATCAAAATACGATCAAATGTCATAAATTAAATTCTAATTGTTTTACACATACGGTATGTGATATTTTCCACAGATTTATAACTTAAAAGTACTAACTGATTCCAAGATATGTTCAGAAAATAACTATCAGGAGTCTCTAACGGAGAATTCCAGAGATACTTCTTAAGCAATAGTACATCAGTTTAAGTAATCTATTTTGGGTTTTTTAAGCTAGTTAAAATCTTTTTCTACCCATTTTAAAGTGTGTTGAATTTATGGATGAATTAAAATGTATTTCAACGTATAAGTAGGTTTAATTTTTACATGGTTGTTTAATTCTGTGATTAATAGGCCATTGAAAAATGAGTTTGTTAATTGTTGGGATTTTTCTTACTCATGTTACATGGAAGGTTCTGGATATCCTCACCCATTTTATATATTCCACCTTTTATTTTTATGTGAAAAATTTCTCTTTTTGGTATAAAAAATTTTATTATCTTTTCTTTGCAAATAAAGAGTGGTGTCAATTTGTAACTTAAAAAAATTCACTGTTGACCAAAAATTCCAATTACAATATTTTCTAGACTATTTTGTTAACAGTCTGGATCAAACAGATGTCAGTATAGTAATTAAATCACATTGCAATATATAAATTTTTCTTGATTTATCAAGAAACCATATCTTAAGTTCTCTCTTAACCGTATCTTAAGTTCTCATATCTTACTTCAATGTCAGTGTTTTCTAAATTGGAAAGTTGCTTTATTCCAATATTATCTGGAACTGTGTTTTTTTGAATTCCACAAACTAAAATAATAATAGACTATTTTTTTTAACTTACATGCAAGGTAGAAAAAATTCTGCAGAAATTTTAAAAGATGGGGGGAAATGGGATGAATTAGGAGTGAAAAAGAAGTTCAAAATTTAAGCATCACAAAAAAATCTGGTTTCTTAAAAAATTATTTCTTAATTTTGCTTACTTTATTGTTTTTCAAATAATTGAAACTTTACATAATCTGTAGTCTTTGAAGTTTAATTTTTAAAGTGCTGTTCAGTAATTTCTCATTTCAAATTTAAAATTAAGTACCAAAAATTGTGTATAAATACCATTAAGAAAATGACACAGGAGAAAAATATCAGGAAATTATCCACTATGGTTTAAGAATTTTACTCTTAAACATCAATGGCAATTAGTATCTCTTTTTCTCTAATATTATGAATAGGTAGAATACGTATGCTTGCCTTAGCAGTATAAATGTGTAAAATTATGTAATGTCTCTGTATATCCTTTAGTCTAGAACCATATTTTAAATGTTCAATATGCCCATTCTAACTGAATGGGTACTAACTGAAGAAAAAGCTCCTAAATAAAATGCCTAAATAAAAGATTGTACTGGTCTCATTGTAACAGTAAACCTATTAAGTTACTTCCAACTAGAGCAAGTTTACTTAGGAAAGAAGAGACTATTTGAAAAAGCATTTGGCAAAATAAATTTATTATCAAGAAAACCACTTGCAATGAAGCACAGAATATCATAGCATAACTTACATTTTTATTGTGTCAGTTTACATAGATGAACACTAAAAGCAACCATTTGAATTTCTAGATGAATTCATCATTAACCAGAAAATCAAATTTGGCTTCATGAATATAAATTCACTTTTAATGTGTATCATGTTTAGACTTTTTAATATACAAGCATGACTATGATTGCATAAAAGCTTCTAAATGTGATTTATTTAGTAAGAACATTACTCTAAGATATCACATTAAAGATTGCCTCTTAAAGCTTGGGTATCCAGCAGCTAAAAGGGTCACTACATTACCAAAAGGGAGAGGGCAGATGCTGCCTATTAATAATGCCCACTGTCTTAAATTAACTGGAGCCTCCAGCCAAGATGCCTCTGCCTGCCCTCTCTGGCAAGCCACTCACACTCCAGGGAAGAAAGATATGTACATACATACTCGGATGGATGGGTGGATGGATGGATGGATGGATGGATGGATGGATGGATGGATGGACAAAGAGATAGATAGATAGATAGATAGATAGATAGATAGATAGATAGATAGATAGATAGATAGATAGATGATAGATAGATGGAAGTATTGTGTGCGTGAGTGTGTGTGTGTTTGGCATATGGGGGGGAGGGTTGCTGCTGCTAACAGAAGTAAACATTTATAAATGGAAAAATATTTATAAGTAGTCTTATTGTTTTAATTGACTAGATCAAAGTTAAACAGCATCATATAATGTAAAATAAATTATTTGTACTGGCTTCAAAGTATATGTTAGACTAAGATTCACAATGCTGTGTTTCTGTGCCTTCAATTTAGAGGTTCTTCCTAGGCTCTTCTGAGAGAAATGGAGAAAAAGTCTTTAAGATGCCCCACATTAGAACAATATAACTTGTGCTCCACTGAGAAATGAAGTAACATAAAAATATTTCTAGGAGTCACACTAAAACCTACACTTTATGTAGATCTCTTCACGAAGAAAAAGAACTAAGTCTCTCAGAAGAAAGTGATGAAATAAAGAGGTATATAATGAAGAACAAAAAAAGATATTTGGGAGAAATACAGCATATTACTCATTAATAATTGTAGTAATTAACAGTATAGGAATCTCTATGATTTAACTAGAGTACTGAGTCTAATAAATAGTCTATAGAGATAGGTTCTATATATTGACTAAATGAGACACAATCCTATTTAGACATACAGAAAAGGGAAAATGGAAAGAAATAATAGCATACTGCACTTGGTCTTATATTTCCCGAAAGACACTTCATTTTATTATAAATTTTCTGTACTGATACTTTTTCCTAGATGACATCATGGGACCTCCAGAAACAATATTTCAATAGAAACAATACAAGTCTGCATTATACAGTATGAATGTGTTCAGGGCCTCCTAGGTAGAAATCCATACATACTTTGACCTGTGTTGATTTATCTCCTCTCATATAACAATTACAGATCCTTTTTTCCGTGTCTGTGAGTCATCTGCTTGTCTATATCATCATTAAAATTCTGAAGTTCTTCCCAAAGAGCATCAGGATACTGTATAATTCTGATACCAATTTTTCTTTGCTATAACCCCTTCTATTTTCACTTTCACATAATTACATATTTTATGTGGAAAATGATAATATGCATGTATTCAAGTTTAATAAAAATATAAAATATTTTCATGGTAAAATATATAAATGAAATGTTGACATGGTCCATTAGAAGATAACCAAATCTGCTTTTTTGAAAGTGGTATGAGAAATTTTGTACATAAAAACACTTGAACTCATGACTGTTGGTATAAAATGAGGTCAACGCTAATAATTTCTTTTGAAACTTTTTCTACAATTTTTTTTTTTTTTTTGAGACGGAGTCTCACTCTGTTGCCCAGGCTGGAGTGCAGTGGCATGATCTCAGCTGACTGCAACCTCTGCCGCCCAGGTTCAAGCGATTCTCCTGCCTCAGACTCCCGAGCACCTGGGATTACAGGCACCTGCCACCGCGCCTGGCTAATTTTTGTATTTTTAGTAGAGACAGGGTTTCACCATCTTGGTCAGGCTGGTCTCGAAGTCCTGATCTCGTGATCCACCTGCCTTGGCTTCCCAAAGTGCTGGGAGAGCAAGTATGAGCCCCTGTGCCCGGCCAACTTTTTTCTATAATTTAAAGTAACAGTATAGGCATACTTATCAGCATAGCAAATATTATTTATGCATACAATAAGTTCAAATTGCAATTATCACCTTAATTATATATGGATCTAAGACTCTTCATGGGATATTCACCTGACATAATAAAAACAGTAAAAAGTTTGACCTAAACAAAGAAATAAATGTTCCACAAATAGATGGTGTGCGGTGGGTCATGCCTGTAATCCCAGCACTTTGGGAGGCCAAGGTGGGCAGATTGCTTGAGCTCAGGAGTTCAAGACCAGCCTGGCCAACATGGTGAAACCCCATCTCCACCAAAAATTCAAAAGTAGCCAGGTGTGGTGGCACACACCTATGGTCCCAGCTACCTGGGGGGCTGAGGTGGGAGGATCACTTGAGCCTGGGAGGCAGAGGTTGCAGTGAGCTATGGGCACACCACTGCACTCCAGCCTGAGCAACAGAGGGAGGCCTTGTCTCAGGGGGAAAAAAAAAAACATTTTTAAGTAGCCAAACTAAATGTTCTTTTAATTTTCCACAGGCAAGGTATTCAGGCTGTGAAGTAACATGACTTTGAACCCTCTTCTAAGTGAGTCACTTGTTTTCAGATCATTCTTTCATTAATCTCTTCATCATGCATTCATTCATTCATTCACTCAACCAACATTCACTGAAAATCAACTCATTGCCAAGCATGAAGAAACTGAATAAGGGTGGTCCCTATATGAAAGAGGAAACATCTTTCTATAAGCCAATTCCCTGGAGAAAACTTCAGCTGGAGAAGGTAGTTCTCCCCAAAGACTTGAAAGTGGAGCGGCCCTAAAGACTACACACCACAGGACTCCAGTCCCAGCTATAGAAAAAACCTACTTAAGGAATTAAGACCTATTAAAATTCATATTGCAAGACAAAGGCCTTGTTTCCATGCTACATGGCTTCCTGAATAAACTCCATTTAACACTGCTATTCAGTTAGCTTATCTTTAGAACACCAAACTTTGTAGAATTCACTGGGTTTCTATGGGTTAATGAAATTTTCTGTGGTCTTCTATGGGCTAGTGATATCTGAGCATCACTTGGAGGTTCAAATGGTTTAAGAATGAGATTTCCCAAAACTCAAGGTTCATTAATCCATTTTAATATTCTAAACGTAAAGTAACATATACTTCTACTCACAATTGGATTTCCTGAACTCAAATGTGACATAATCTTGAAAAAATTATTCAAAATAGGCATGAATTTTCATGAAATATATACAAGCTGAAAGAAAGATATGTATTTGGGAGAAATAACATAAGGAAGGTAACAATAATCTTCCTAAAGGCAACATCTAACTATTGCTTAAGTATTTTAGCATTTAAAAATAGGCAAAGGTAACCTGGACAAAAATTATTGTGATTTTAACAAAACTTTAACTTTTCTTAAGAGAACAGATTTTAGACACTAACTAAGGAATAAAGAAATAAAAAAGAGTTAAGATAAATAACTGATCCAAAATTACTATGAGAACTGTGATTTCATTGATTAAAAGTAAAGAATTTACTATCTAAATTCTATGCTAGTAAACACAAATTCTATCTGATAAAAATATCAAAACAGAAACAAATAGTATTTATAAGGTCTGCTGTGAGGCAGGCACAAATAAATAAAAATTATTTTATGATATTTCATATTATTTAAGGAGAACTTTATTTTGCTTTGTACCCTATTTTAAATTTTTAACTACAAAAATGGTATATTTACTGAACTGAAATTAGCATAAATAACTAATACTTTTTTCTTTAAAGTAATTTTTGAGTAGGAAACAGCAATACACATTTCCATTTCTGGCAAAGATGTAACAGTCTGGACAAAAAGGAATAAAGCAAATACACAGGTTTAATGGACCACCTATTTATAACCATACTCCTTACTTAAAAAGTAATTCATTTCAATGATACATAAAGAAATCTCTATGTTTAATTCTAAGTCATAAAAAAATTTCTATACCAACACAAATACTGAGAATTCTGTTCTAATCTTAGAGTATGTCTGCCTGGGCATTACTTCTATCATATCACTATGCTACACACACTAAAAAATTTTTTAAAAATTTAAAGACCAAATCGTTCTGCAAACTTGTAGTTTAATAAAACTCTGTAAAAAGTTCTAAATTTTGCCTTTTTTAATGTCGATGCTTTAGTGGCTGCAGTAGTTGCAGTGATGTCGTTACACTAAGGAACAACAGATGGGTTGAAGGGAAGAACAAAGAATTTCCTACTATCTGGAAGCCTGCAGATATTGAAAAAGCAGTGAGATAACTTTTTAACTGCATCCCTCCATTATTCCCCATGTGATTGTGTTTTAATTTTTCATATATTTGACTTAAATTTTAAGTACTCTGGATATTGTCTCCATATAAACTGTGTTGCAGCTGCTTGATCACTCACACACCAGCCCCATGCTGCATTCACATGGCATGCACGTTGCTAAGGTTTTGGAAAGTGGAGGTCTTTATCTAACTATAGGACCTTAACAGATATATTTGCTTGCTCCATCATTAGTAAAGTTTTATAAAAGGCAAAAAGCAGAATTTTTACATTCCTAAATGCTTTAAGTTATTGCGACATTCAATCCTAAATGCGAACTGTAGATATTACAATTCAAAGTAATTTCCTTCTAAAAAAATTTTTTTTTTTTTTTGAGATAGAGTCTCTCTCTGTCACCAGGCTGGAGTGCAGTGGTGCACTCTCGGCTCACTGCGACCTCTGCCTCCCAGGTTCAAGTGATTCTCCTGCCTCAGCCTCCTGAGTAGCTGGGACTACAGGCACACCTGTAGCACTACGCCTAGCTAATTTTTGTATTTTTAGTAGAGACAGGGTTTCATCATGTTGGCCAGGATGGTCCTGATCTCTTGACCTAGTGATCTGCCCACCTTGGCCTCCCAAAGTGCTGGGATTACAGGCGTGAGCCACCACACCTGGCCCCAAGAAAATTTTTAAATATTCAATTAATATGAATTGTAACTACCCATTTACAAGAAAATTTTTAAATATTCAATTAATATGAATTGTAACTACCCATTTAAAATTTGGAGGTAACAAGATGGAATAAGAAGATGAGAGAAATGGAAATAAATACAAGTTAAAGATAAAAAGTAGTATACAAAATGTTGCATCTGAAATGCAAACACTACCATTTTTTTCATTGTATTTTGACTACTGAAATACTAGTAATTTCTAATTCACAAGCCATAACTTTTCTCTCAAATAAAAAGAAAAAACACTTTTACATAACACTGTCCTTAAAATACTTAATAATTTATCTTTCATTTTTTATTCATTCCAAATAATTTATGTTTGAATCTAATGCATCTAAACTATTTTAGATTTAAATGAAAGAGGCTTGGCTGCATCATTAGTTTTCCAAAGACTCAAGTTGATTTTCAGAATGTCTGAGACTTTCTAAAAGATATTTAAGGAACTCATCCAGGCCCTTCCACCCCTCAGTTCCACACTCCAAAAGTAATAACTTTTGTTTTAGGCTTCCACTTTCTGGTTTTTCCAGGTGTTTACCCTAACAACTCTAAATAACATACGTCTTGTTAGATAGAATATTGAATCGCACTAATCTGAAAGGGAAGCAATTATCTTAGAGAAGGGAAATGTATCAGAGTTTTTCAGTAAAAGCAAAAATTGTTGGGACTTCTAGCAATATGGTGGATAAATACTCTGAATGGACCTACCGTATTCTGCTTTTCTATATTGTAACACCAACTCACTTAGGCTGTAATTAGCTGTTTACATGTTTTCTTATGAGCTCGTGCATGTTATTTGATCTCTCTATGCCTCAGTTACATCATCTATAAAATGAGGATAACAATAATAGTAATAATAGTAGTAACTGTTTTAGAATTAAATATGTTAATATGTCCAAAGAATTCAGAATATTGCCTGGCACATAATGATACAAATTGCTATTATCATCATATAAATTCTTAGAACAGTGTTATTGGGAAATAACATGTTACTCATTAGCCAATAAATGTATGCTCATAAAACATCTTCATAATATATACTTCATGCTAACTATCAACAAATATAAAAATACTCTTGCTCAAAAACATTTGAACATAAAAGGTAATTTTTTGATGAAATACAAGAGGAAAAAGGGTAATAAGTCTTTCTTCACTAAGCAAAGCTTTTATCTAGCCAAGTTGTTTCAAGACTAGAACATACGTGCTAATTATTAATAGAACATAGTTCATCATGTTACATTATTCAACGTTAACGAATTCCCAGAATAACATTTTGTCATCTTCTACTTGATTGAAACTGTTACAGTCTTGCCAATGCACCACAATGTAGCAGTCTCTCATTTTGAGGTACCACCCAGAGTTTTTTGTCTCACAACCAAGAGAATTAAGTAGTGTGGACACAAAAAGGTTGAGGTTAGAGCAAAAGTTTAATAAGCAAAAGAAGAAAGCTCTCCACCATGAACAGGGAGCCTGGAAAAGAGTTGCCATTTTTACAGCTGAATGTAAAGCCTTTTATAAGAAACCAAAGGAGGGCTGGGTTGCATAACGGCATAAGGCACGAATTTCTGGTAGCTCCACCCCATCCTCCTAGTGCGCATGTGGGTCCTTAGCTTGAGTTAATCCATATTGCTTTGTTCCCCTTACTGCACATGTTTCAGGAGACAGAATTTTCCATTGCAGGCATGTCTGGACAAGTCACCCGTTTATCCTTTCTTACCTGTGCAGCTGTGGGCATGTCTTAGGCAAGCCCCGCTGTGCAAGTTCCCTCATCTGTGCCCAAAGCTTGATTTTTCAGGCTGTTCTTTAGTATGAAACAATTTAAGTGAGGACCCACCCTAACTGCCTGCCTGACTGGTTTCTTCCTTTCTCCTCTCTCAAAACAATAACATTTTAACCTTAAATTAATTCAGTTTTCTTGTATAGTCTTAAATATTACACACACAAAACATTATATGGGTATCTATCCTTTTTTTAGCACATTAATAAAGCAGGTAGCAATTCTTTTATTTTACACTTATTTTAAATAGTAAACTGCACTTTAGGGAACAAAAGTCAGTGGATTTTCTCTATTTAAAGGCAGGAAAACCATTGAATACAGTTCCACATTTTAGAATATCTGGGAACCCCCACAATCTGTTAACTGGCAGGTTCTGTTGATCAGATAACCTAGAGTTAAAGACCTATTTTATCAGGTGAGACTTAATTTGCTTACAAGTTTCAAGTTAGAATTCCAAAAATGACTTAAATGATATGACTATTCATCTATTTTACTTTTCAACCCAACTTTTAGTAATTTCAATTAATACCGTTATCTTGAAATGTAAACATGCACCATCACTCTCCTAAATCTTTTTTCTTAAGATGTAGGGGATTTACTAAGGTTTTTAAAATGTTAAACCTGATGTGTTAAAGACTTAGAAAGTTTTGAATAAGCTACCAATGTAGCTCTTTGTAGAAATTAAGAGTCTAATGATGAAATGATGCTAGTGCATAGCAAGCAATAAAAATTGCTAATTCTTGCATTTCCTTTTGATTCTAATTTTAAGTCACCCAACATCCTATACCATAAGAGTTATATATTTACACTCTTTTTTTATTCTGATGATAACTCTGATTTGTGCTCCAAAGCTAGTTCTGAAATACAGGTCATATACTACTTAATAGAATAAAGGACTAAGTCCACCCAAAGTTCTGAAGCCCAAAGTTCTAAGTTCTTCTACAAAGAGCTTAGTAGCACATAAATCTTATGTTATCAAAAAAAATCACTTTTTCCCATTTCCCTTTTATATTACAGTAAGCAACTAAGAAAATATAAACTTTTTCCTCTGGGAAACAGAGATACAGAGATATTTCTCTTTTTTTATTCTGGTGATAACTCAGATTTTTGCACTCCAAAGCTAGTTCTAAAAAACAGGCCATACACCAGTTAACAGAATAAAGGACTAAGTCCATCCAAAGTTCTAAAGTTCAAAGTACTTCTGCAAAGAGCTTAGCCGCATATAAACTTTATGTTACTGCCCCCCACACACAAATAAATCACTTTTTCTCTTTTATATTCTACAGTAAGTAACTAAGAAAACACAAACTTTTTCCTCTGGGAAATAGAGCTATTTCCCAGAATTCTCAGGAACCCATAAAAATAAACTCATTCTATCTTTGAAACCAGAGAGTCAAATTTCAGTTATCAGGAGGACCCACTATCTGAAGTAAGGAGAAAAAAATGTTAAATCACATGTGTTTTCTAAGAAAAATGAACGGCAAAGTCACTAACCTGATAGAAATGATCTCCGGGACCAAAGGGCCAAGAAGGTATGTGCTTAGTGAAAGGCAAACCCTTCATAACTAGTGAAAAGCAAACACTTTCCTTTTGGCTACAACCCTACTGCAACTGAATCCCCCATATATCAATTATGGGATACAGAATGAGGAACCCAAAACACAAAAGGATTTTTCCTACCGGTATAAATTATTTTCTTGGAGATTGAGAGTTTCATTTTTAAGAGATGTTCACAGTCTTGATGACAGTACTTCTAAAGAAGTTTTTCAGTGGAAACATGTGGTAATAAGTAGAATTCTACCATTGAAACATTTAATTTATAAAACAGAAAATCATAAACCCAACTGGCATTCTAACTGCAACTACTTATCCTTGGCTATACAGTGTTTCTAAAATCTCTGCCAGGCAAATTAAATAGACTTACTATGGAATGTAACAAAATCAAACAATCTGGAACTGTAATTACTATGATATTGTTTATAAGAATGGAGGATGCTGTGTTTTACATTATTACATTAAAAATAAAATGATCATGAAAACATGAGCCAAGCAGAAGATATCTAACTTTTCCTAAGGAGAATTTTTCTGAGAATTATAACCTTGACTGACAAATAAAAATAAAGATATGGCTTTTTAATTTATTTAATGATTCCTACAAGGTCTTTTCCATGTGAATAAAACACTTATCAAAATAGCCATACTACAGTTTATGAAAGTAGTGTACCAAATGACAGGCCATACCTCAATAATGGTTTAGCCACATGGCTATAAGGACATTATAAGCACAATTCTTGTGCTTCTCCATTTTAAGCCCCATCAATATAATATCTAGGGGTCATCTCATAAAGACCTTTTATCTGACACAATGGAAATATATGCATGCATGTAACGATGACCATCAAAAATCATGCAACTAATTTTACCCCCAAAATCCTTCAATGAGATTGACATAATTTGTCCAAATTATGTTTACTGAGGTACCAATAGTAAGAGGAAGAAAAAATATACGAACTATGACATAATTCTGTTCCTTCATCCCCCATAACTCATGTTAAGTTACAGTATACCACAATGCAATAGCAGATTCATTAGGCCCTAAACCAAAGCTCTCCTCTTTTGATAGGAACCCATGAAAGCCAAGAGTTCTGTCACTCTACCTAACATTTCTGATTATAAACTCACTGCCCCATCTGATTCAGAATTCCAAGTTCTATATGAACCAGAAAACTGTACAGACATCTGTTAGTGACCTATGATTGAAGCAACATATTTTATAACTACCCTCTTGAATCTTTCCAACCTCTACCACTGCCCGTGGCCCCTCTACACTATCTATTGACTTCTAAACAAAGGTAGCAAATTCTATAAAATTGTCCAAGTAAAGAACAGAGATTAATAATGGCATATTATATACTCAGAGATAAAGCCCCAAAATAAACACTATAAACATGTTTCAAAGTAAGATGTACTTGGTACTAGTGCCTCATGGGAATTGTAACTTGGCATATACTACACTGGTTAAGAGTAGCAAAGATACAGGAGGTAGGAGGGAAGTGGCTGGGAGAAAGACAGTACCTCAGCAGACTAAAAAAATCTTCCACTGTAGACATAGAAAAGACCAAAACCAGTGCCGTGGTTTCTCAAAACTGATATGGAACACAAATTTTACACACTTCCACAGAAAACAGAGAAAACAAATGACAAAGAAATGAAAATTATGAGGAAAAAGAGAGCAGATATTGGGAACAGAAAATAAGTAGCCAACCAAAAGATATTAGTTTTCCTGAAGGACAGATTAAATCAAACAAAACTGAAGAAATAATCAAAGATATAACATAGGAAACCTTTCTTCAGCAGCAAAACAAATGGTTTAAACAGATTAAATTCACTACATTCCCAATAATATCAAGGAAAATATCATCATACAGATATATGGTGGCAAGTGTGGCATTTACAGAAAAAATGAAAAACATTCTACAAGCAATCAAACATAAAGAACTGATTACCTACAACAAAACAAAAATCAGGTTGTCCATGGATTTCTCCTCAGCAACAATAAAGACTGACAAAGACTTGAATTCTAATCAAAGATAATACAGCAAAACTTACCAAAAACAGCAGAAAGTACTACAATAACTACCACCTCCCAAAAAAAGGAAATTGAATGAGGAAATGACTACAGTCACAATCAACAAACTTTGAAGCCTACCAAATATCTTAAATTCTGGACCACAGTATGATAGGATGCCAAGAGCTGGCACCAACTCTGCAGACTTCAAGCGGAAGAGAGAGTCAGGTCCTAGACTAACGGAATGAGATTTAAGGACATGCATGGGATACAGAAGGAGTGACATCAGAAGAACCAGAATGGAAGCAAAAGATATGGCCCTATACCTGTGCTTTTATCAGCTTCCTAACCAATGAAGACAGAAAGACAAGCGGCAGCCACTGATTCTTAGCACCAAGGACCTGTGACAGGGGCCGTTAGGGGCTTCTGTGACACTCACTAGCCTCTTGAACCCTGAAAACCAAGGAAAATGGACCCCCAGGGCAAAAGAGAAAATAAACAGAGTGAGAAGGTGAAAATATTCAGGTGATCTGAGCTAATCATCACTCTCCCTCAAAACTCCCCACACAATCCTTCAGCAAACTGCTGTCACCATTTAAAAAATGAGTAACTGTAAAATAAGAAGAGATGTATGTGTGGAAATTGCAAAAAAAGGAAAGGGGTAGACATGAGGGAGATGAGAACATAAAAGACAGAAAATCTCCATAGCAAAAACTTCCTAAAGAAACAAAAGAAGAATTCAGAGAAATAGTTACCCCTTGTATCAGTGAAATAAAAGAAACCCTTTTTTTCATTGTTTGGAGAACTCAAAAGATACGGGGTTGAAAGCCACACTAGAAGCAATAACTAGAATAAATAAATTTTTTAAATGAGAATAAATACACTAAAAACCAACTCAAGAACATGGATAAGCGACATGAAAAAAATCACAAAAATCAAAATAGAAAGAACAAATATATACAAATAATTAATTGATGAGGAGTAATGTTTTAATTCTTAAGGACTGAGAAATAAGTCAGACGAGCATCCAGACAGAAAAAGTAATTCATCCAATAAGATGTCTTTTTAAAAAAAATTAAGCTACCTTCAGGCTTTTCCACAGCAACTTTCAAAACCAAATGGAATGTCCAAATTTCAGAGGGAAGCGGATGTTATCTTCAGGTATAAAAGCAATATACAATTATTAAGGTAAGAACACTTACACGGCTTTCCACAAAACTACAGGATGATTAAACTCAACTCACCAAGAAATGAATCAAGATAATTCAGGAATAGTAAAAGAACTAGTGGTAAGCTTTGACTCCATTTAGATATATCAACAGGATGAAAGCACTATAGAAATTGTGATTACAAAAAATGTATGGAAGTGTTTTAAATTTTGACAAAATAAATAATAATATACCAATAATACCAGAATTTGGCAAGAAGAGAGGAAGAAAATATAAGTATGCTATTTTCCTTATGTTTCACAATAGGAAGTCAATAGACACTACCAAAATTTGAAATGCAGCTTTAAAAGACTAATGGTATCAACCAAAAAGGCATTTTTTTCTATTCTTGTTTAGAGAAGTCTTTTAGAAACTAAAATATAATGTTGTGAATAAACATTTATAAAAAATTCATATATTCCTTCCACTTCAGCTATTTCTTTTTTCCACTAGGATATAATGAAATAAATTTATATTTTAAATTCATGGCCACACACGGTGGCTCACGCCTATAATCCCAGCACTTTGGGAGGCGAGGCGGGTGACTCACGAGGTCAGGAGTTCAAGACCAGCCTGGCCAAGATATTGAAACCCTGTCTCTACTAAAAATACAAAAAAATTAGCCAGTCATGGTGGCGGGCACCTGTAATCCCACATACTCAGGAGGCTGAGGCAGAGAATTGCTTGAACCCAGGAGGCAGAGGTTGCAGTGAGCTGAGATCACGCCACTGCACTCCAGTCTGGGCAACAGAGTGAGACTCCATCTTAAAAAAAAATTAAAAATAAAATTCATGTGGTCCTGTTTTGTAAATTTTATTCTATGCCTAAATTTGCACGTGTGTAGAGAAAAATATCAGGGTTGATATTTAAAAGTGCCAACAAATGTTCATTCTATTTGATAAGACTCATGTAACTTTAATAAAAAGGTATTTTATTTTTCTTTGTACTTTTAAATAATAGTTTTTAAAAATGCAGTTCTATACTTTTTGCAAAAACCACAAAGGTTATTATTTTCTCTAAAAGCTATTTTAAAAACAAATAAGGGGCCAGGCATGGTAGCTCACATCTGTAATCCCAGCATTTTGGGAGGCCAAGGAAAGAGGATCTCTTGGGGCTAGGAGTTCAAGACCAATCTGGCAACATAGGGAGATCCTATCTCTACAAATTTTTTTTTAATCTGCCAGATGTGATGGCATGTACCTATAGTCCCAGCTACTTGTGAGGCTGAGGTGGGAGGATTGCTTGCGCCCAAGAGATCAAGGCAGCAGTGAGCCATGTTCACACCACTGCCCTCCAGCCTGGTCAACAAAGCAAGACCCTGTCACAAAAATAATAATAATAATTTTAAAATTAAAAAAATAAGGAAGCAACATCAATAAAGTCTGAAGGTGAAATATAACAATACATTTTTACCATGGAATATAATAACACCCTATATCATTCCTGGGAAAATTAAATGAACCTATTGAAAGATGAAGCATTGGCCAGACACAATGGCTCACACCTGTAATCCCAGCACTTTGAGAGGTTGAGGCAGGAGAATGGCTTGAGGCTAGGAGTTCAAGACCAGCCTGGACAATATAACAAGATCCTATCTATAAAAAAAAGAATTTTTAATTAACTGAGTGTGGTGACACATGCCTGCAGTCCCAGCCACCTGTGGGGCTGAAGTGAGAGGATTGCTTGAACTGAGGCATTCAAGGCTGCAATAAGCTATGATTACACCACTGCACTCCAGCCTGGGAAACAGAGTGAGACCCTGCCTCAAAAAAAAAAAAAAAAAAAAAAAAAGGCATAGACCACAGCATACCAATAACTAATATCTAAGTGAACTCAAAGCAAACAAATGAAAAAATAAGCAAACAAAAAAAATTAAATGGAACCCAAAAGAGGTCATTTTATAGTGACAAATTTTTTTAACTCACCAAAAAAAACAGCTATCAGGAATATAAGCTGACTAACATAGAATATCTAAACCAAAAAGCTTATTCAACAGAAAACTGACAGAAAAATATAGTAATGAAAAACTAATATTCTACTCTTGCATTATAACAAATACAAGAAAATATCAATAAAAATGCAGAGGTGCTAAATATCAGAATTTATACCTTACATAAATTCCAGAAATATTTATGAATTTTCTGTGGAATGTAAGAATTCAAAAAGAAAATCCTTAAAATACAGGATAGCAAAAAGTATATAGGCTCACATTCTCTTTCTATAATGCAAAAAAAAAAAAAAAAAAACAAAAACGACAAATTAACAGCAAAACTTAAACCAAAAAAGAAAATGTCACTTTGGAACTAAAAATATTTTGCTAATAAATTCGGTTTCAAGAAAAAATCCTTCTTCCCTCTATGAGTCTGTTTTTTCATATTTTAAAAAGGTTTTTCAACTAAGAGATCTTATAAGGTCTTTAGAGCCACAGCTCTTCCCCTGACACATAAAAACCACAATGACTTTTAAGTATTTAGGAAGCATATATCATATGTTCATCTTTCTCACTGATTATTCAGTGTGATATGCAAAAGTAAAATGGAATGTATTATCTAGTCGGAGAGTTAGGAAAGTCAAATAGTAGTTCATCAACATAATTATGAATGTGATAGAAATTCAGAGAAGAGGGAGACCATGATAAGCAGGAAAGGCTTATTTATGTGACTTGAGCTATGTCTCGAAATAGAAACATGAAAATCCAGAAAAGATATGGGGGAAACATTCTGGTCAACAATATTAGATCAATGAAAGCTAAAGAACAAAGTATTATTGAGCACACATGGACATAAACATGGGAACAACAGACACTGTCGACTACAAGAGTGGGGAGGGAGGGAGTGGCTGTGGGTGGAACACCTACTTATTGGGTACTATGCTGACTACCCGGGTGACAGAATCTGTACCCCAAACCTCAGCATCACACAATATACCCATGTAACAAACTTGCACTTGTACCTGCTGTATCTAAAATAAATGTTTAAAAAAATTTAAATAAGCTAGGAAATTTTTTAAAAAGAAGAAACTGTTAAGTAACAAATTTAAAATAAGTGACTATTGTGGACCTAGCCTAGGAAGAAAAACATTGAAGTACTAGACCAAATTGCTCAAACTAAAAAATGAGCTGCAATAAGTACTGCAATAAGATTTTAAAGCTTGCTGTGAGCTGCCAGCAAAGTTTAGAATGGTTCTCATCTTTGTGAAGTTTCATTCAAATGGACTTCCACACTTGTAGATATATTTATTTGATATCTCCAGAGAAAGTAACATTACTGATAAATGATGATCTTTATTTGCCACTTGAGAAACTGACCACAGCAGAAGTAAGATGCTGGGCTCTTCTGATTCTGTAACCTGTGTATTGATTTCATTTTCCCATAGTCTGACCTACAAAAATTGAAAATAATTAAATAAAAAACAATTTAATTGAGAATGAGATTTAATCTGAAAAGGAAGAAGAAAACACAGACAGAATTGGAACTGGTATGTAATAAACAAGGTAGAGAGGACTAAAGCTGCCAAGTAGGTGGGAGTGGAAAGAAAAAAAACATCTTAGACTCTGAGCAAAATGCTGTTATTAAGTATAATTGCATCAACTTGATCTAAATCCAACATTTCTTATTCACTGAAAAGAAACGTATTTAAAAAGCAGCAACTTCCTTCATAAATCAACACATTCAGCCAAGGAAGCTTCTATCAAAAAGCTTTAACCCTAAAGGTAATAAAAAGCAAGAGAAAAATTATTTCAGTACTGTCAATTTCAAATAACTTCCTAATATAAATATGTGGGCTGAGCACTGTGGCTCATACCCATAATCCCAGCACTTGGGGAGGCCAAGGTGGGAGGATCACTTGAGGCCATAAGTTCAAGACCAGCCTGGGCAACATGGTGAGTCCTCATCTCTAAAAAATATGAAAAAATTAGCCAGGAATGGTGGCATATGCCTATAGTTGTAGCTACTCAGGAGGCTGAGACAGGAGGAGGCATATGCCTATAGTTGTAGCTACTCAGGAGGCTCCTGAGACAGGAGGCAGAAGTTCAAGGCTGAAGTAAGCTATGATCATGCCAATGCATTCCAGCCTGAGCAATAGAGCAAGACCCTGTCTCTAAAAATAAATAAACAGATAAGCTATAGCTAAGTTAGTAATAATTACCTTTAAAATTCTAACAGATTATGATATTGATTTGAGTAATAACTCTCTCTCCCACATGGTATGGCTAGATGTGCGTCAATTAAATGCTCTCTCGACTGCAATGTCATGAATTAATTTTGTTTGTACAGTGAGCAGGAAGAACTCGTCAGACAGTTACAAATTTGGGGGCTTATCCAGGATCCACCCTTGCAAATATCTGCCCATGGTTCATCAGCCTCCTCCAGTATAACAGACCTAGAGGTGAGCTCTTACAACTGCTTATTTCTACTGAGGGTCATCTTTGGCACTGTACCTGCTGGTGAGGCACTGTCGACCCATAGGGCAGAGATCTAATTACAGTGAAGAAATAGTCCTGGAACCTGTCTGAAATGCCTCTTATTAAAAAATCTGTTTGCCTTCATCAAATACAAAGGCCTAGCCCATCTGCAATGCCACCTCCTGATATGGGAAACAGCTGTTCAGCTGAACTCATCTAGTCTCAGGACTAGGAAATTAAAAAAATATGGGATGATATATTTAAATTTGCTATTTCCTATTTAGTGAATCTGTATTTCTAACAATCTACTCATTATCCTATAGTCTGTGGTTCACTTAAGTGCTATGCTAAAACTGTGGGTGAGAATATTAACGTCTTTGTCATATAAGCCTTGGAAGCCCAATCAGGCACCTATGAATACATGCAAAGCAGTTCCACTCCTCTTACCCTAGGGGCAACCCATACCACAACTATGCCCCCTGTCAGTAGGAAGAAGTTAGAGCAGTCCTCACCCTTTTCCCATATCATAGCTTACACCTCGGGAATGAGGCATGCTGAAACTCAAAGGGCGAAAGTGAAACAGGCTTTGCAAAAATTGTCACAGTGAGAAAATTATGGCAGTGGGGGAGACATGATCTAACCTACATCCCTCTAGCCTCTAACCTTCAAGCTCCCTTAATTATTCCTAGGCTTAGGCTAGGCTAGCTTTGGGAGACATTTAGTCTATAGTTTAAGTAAAAATAGCCCTTCCCCAAAACTCAACTGTCTTTGTAAAGCTAATGAGAGAACACCAGGCTAGGAGGATAGAGTAGCCTGAATTTTGCTAAGGTGTAGACAAAAACAATTGCCAGCCATTATTCCAGAGGTCACAAGATATGCAACTTCCCCAATACTCCTTCAGATAACATCACTATTGTAGAACCTAACAGTGGTCTTGTAAGAGATCTTTACAGGTTTTTTGCATTTCTGAAACCCATGATGGTTCCACCTGGACCCACCAACTGCTCCCAGAAGTGATTCAGCATGCAACAGGATCATTTCCCACACCCCTATGATTGCACCTTCCAAACAATTAGCAGCAAGCACCCATTGCCTAGCCACCCCAAACTCTTCCCCCAAAGAACTTTTGAAAAACCCCTAACCTATGAGCCTTCAATGAGATTGATTTCAGTAATAAGTCCCTCTTCAGTGTGGTGTGGCTGGCCTTGCATCAATTAAACTCTTTCTCTACTGAAATACAGTGAATTGATTTTGTTTGTGCAACAGGCAGAAAGAACCTGTCTGGGGTTACAGTATCTGGCCCACAATATTTTCAGCTGTCTGCAGGAAAATATTTATTCAATTGTCCCTCATATAAAAAGGGAACCAACTACCTACTCAGCTATTGGGCATTAGATGTGCTTTGTTGGCAAGATAAAAAATATGGGGCTCTTCTTAGGGAATGACAAAAACAGGAGCATTGAAAATCCAAGTGCTGTGATTTCTCGTCACATTAAATAACAGCAAGACCCTCTAATGAAATGATGAGCATCCTCACATGGCCTTGTAAAGTGTCAGCGCTGGCTTCCTCAGGCCTCTGCAGGGTAAACATACTCTTCCCTTAGACATTCGCTGTCTTTGTGGTTTACAGACACTAATCCCAGAGCCACAGTCTGTCCCCAGGTGATGACAATGGGAAGAAGGCCAACTACCACAACTACATCATAGAACAGATCTTCACAGGTGGGCTGCAGTTGGACATCACCTGCCAAGTCTGCCATGGAGTCTCCACCACCACAGACCCCTTCTGGGACATCAGCTTAGATCTGCCTGGCTCTTCCACCCTCTTGTGGCCCATGAGGTGAGGGAGTGAGGGCAGCATGGTGAATGGCAAAAGCCACATTTTGGGAACCACCACACCTATGGACTGCTTGCAAAGGTGAGAAGCCCACCAGCGCTCACGTGGCAAGGAAGTATCTTCCTCACAGGAAGGCTGTTGTTGATCAGGACAAAAGCAGGGCTTTTCATTCACATACCCAGGATAGAGCCTTGAGAAAAGATGTGGCATTAGCCTGCAGTTGGCTGCAGATGCTCTTGCTAGTTTATGCTGTTTTTTTCTTTTTTCTTTTTTTGCCGGATGACTAGATATTGGTGTTCACTAGCTTTGCATTGTGTAGGGTATCTGTAACACCAGCTACTATTCCAACTTCCCCCCTGTAAATGATCTGACAGCCAAAGAGCAAAACTGGAAGCTCCCTTACCTTTTGTGGTTAATAACCTAAACCGCAGCATGAGCTAAGAGCTGAGTGCTCTCCCCATGGTCCACGGCCTTTTTTGCAAGTGATTAAAATATAGTTGTGGTGTTCTGTACTTATGATCATTTTTGAAATTGTCCATTTACTGCCTCAGTTTAGATAAGTAATAAGATTTAAGATGTGACTATGATAAAAGGTATTTAAATAACTGTAGCATACAGCTTACAATTGTGGTGAGGGCAGAAAACCTTCCTAAACTTTATGTTAATTGAGTCTAGTGTTTTACAATCTTTATTTTCTTTTTCATGCATTAATTATAGTTTACTGAAGAAGAAAAAAACTCTAATAGAAATTACAATGGAATTCTTTCAAACACAGTCTAATCCTATACTTTGTGTTAAATTATATGTAAGAAAAGAAAAATCTTCAGTTCAACAATTAGAATTTATTTTTATATATTAATTGTGGAAAATACTAATGGCAATATTTGGATTTAATTGTTTATAACTGTCATCTTGCAAAAGCTATGAGAAATAGGAAGGTTCACTCACAGGTACCGAAAATAAAATGACAGGCTACTTTTGAACATAAGCATCATGATGCACACTATATGAAAATTTGGTGTTTTACTCATAATATTTCAGTTATTATTGACTGTTAACTCATAAGTTGCACCTAGACCAAAAACTATAAATTAACAATAAATATCTGCTGAGAAGCCATACCTTTGCACTTTTCTCAGTATGGTGACTCCTGAAATGGGTACATCCCTTGTATATAATGTATGTGTAAAAATATATATATTTCAACTAAATGTTCTCAATAAGGTCTTTCTACCCATCATTCTCCTGTGCTCAAAATACACACCAAAACCCCAATAATTTTTAAGTATTTCAAGATATTGGCTCCTGAAGGACATGAAGATTATAAGTCAAAATGAGACCCATACTCACCAGTGTGGATCTGTCTTTTTGCAAATGAACTGTCACTTAAGAGACCAAAGAGAACAGCTTTGGATGGATATATAGACTCCTGCAAGAATTACTCTTCCAGAAGTGAAATACTTGATGTTGCCCTGCTGGCAAGATGTTTTTCCTGTTCTAAATCCTTCTAAGTAAATCTGATACAAAATGTCTGGTGAGTATGAATATTCTGTTAAATTTAAAAAGACCATGTGATGGACATTGCAAAAGCCAATCTCAAAACTTTTAAATTATTTTTCAGACACAAAATAACTATAACTTGTGTTAAGTGCATAGCAATTAGAATTATATGTTTTTTCTCATAAAACATAAGAAAGCAACTTCTTTTTAAAATATTCAATGTTTTCAAAACACCGTTTCCATTTTTCTAAAATTCAGGCTTTAGATAAAACACTGATGCAAATATGAATACCCTTCGTTGAGCTTCAACAATAATATTACACTCAAGCCCTTAATAGGAGAAAACAACTCCATCCTGATGAGAAACTATAGGTGTCACTGAAGAATTCTACAGATGGCTTTTTTTTTTTTTTTTTTTTTTGAGACACAGTCTCACTCTGTCACCCAGGCTGGAGTGCAGTGGTGTGATCTCGGCTCACTGCAACCTCCACCTCCTGGGTTCAAGCAATTCTCCTGCCTCAGCCTCCCAAGCAGCTGGGACTACATGCACACGCCGCCACACCTGGCTAATTTTTTGTATTTTAGTAGAGACAGGGTTTCACCATGTTGGCCAGGCTGGTCTTGAACTCCTGACCTCAGATGATCCAACCACCTCGGCCTCCCAAAGAGCTGGGATTACAGGCGTGAGCCACTGTGCCCCGCCCCGTATGGCCTTTAAATGCTCAATAAAATATTATAAATAAGTAGAACTGAATACATCTGAGAATCTATGAAGCTTTATGGAAAGTTGTATTTCTATACGTTTGCTGATATTTTCAATTCCTAAACATAATCTAAGATGCTAAAAAGTTCATCGGCATCTCAGTTTTTATACTGATGACCTAGAAAAATTACTCACTTAGATGGCTCATTTCTGTCATTTTTGATAAATTTTGTAAACTTAATGTTAAAGTATGAATTCTGTTTTTCAATTTAAATACAAAGTAGCCCCACTTAAAATCTAAACTGTGTAAACACATGATCATTAACAATTCTGCATCACTTGACTTAATGAAACGTCTGAAACAAGGTGAGAACTTATTATAATGAACAGTGTAATATCGTCACAGTCTATCAATAAATGTTCTCTAAAAGGGACTCATCAAATGCTAAAAGAAATATTTTTGTATTCTGAAGAATAATCTATCAAGTAAACCATTTTCTTGATGTCTTCACCAGTTTTTACCTTTAATTTACTAAGGATATCTTGCTAGAAATATTAAATGAAAATGATTAATAGCACTAATTATCCTTCCTTTCCAATAAAAGTTATATTTTAAATTACTTTTATTATTGACATTCATACTACAATGTCACCTGTAATTTTTTAATAAAATCACTTGTCATTATTTCATAGAACTTCTAGAAAATTTCTTGACTAACATCCTCTTTAAAAACTGTGTTAAATTAAATCACTTACTGCAAACAGCCCACTCTTACTGCTACAGGAATGTGGGGAAGTTGGGTGGCCCACTTCAGTGTCACATCTTGATAAATATGCAGCATGTTATTATGATTTCCAATCAAAGTATTTATTGTTCCTTCAGAAACTGTAAGTTGAAAATACAGAAAAGAGACACTAAGAAAACAGTCATTTGGAAAAGTATATCTCTTTTAGGAAATTGATAGCACAAACTAATTCTAACACCTGGATTTTAATACATAAAGATTTTACATAATAAAACATTATTTTGTAACTTTACCAGTATAAAAAAGAAAGGAATCATTTTACAGTCTTGGAAGCTATAACTAGATAATCACCAACATTTTTGCATTTCATCTAGAAAGCATGAATTTCATTAATATGTAACACATTTAAGCTAATGATTTACTACGCATTCACTACAGATAATTCATTCTATTAGACATTACTATTGTGCTTATAAAAGAGTCTGATGTTCTCTTGAAAGCATCTTGAATAGCCACATTATGGAAAGTATTAATGTATGCCGGAGGCCAATTTTACAAGTCATTTTGTACAAAGTAAAATGACTGACAAAACCAAATGTGTGCTTTATATCAAACTTCCATTCAAACTTTGAAAGTTAAAATTTCCATTACATATTCAATATTAAACTGTTTTCATATATGTTTACAATATGTGTATGAGTGTGGCTTTTTCTGGTGTATATCACATAGCCTTGACATATGGAAGAGATAAAAGAAAATCTTTCTACACACCTGAGCAATATGGCAGAAAACAACTTGGGCTCCAATCAAGCTTCTTCATGAATCGAATTTGTCCATTATCCTTAAGGCAAAAAAAGTTTCTCTCACCAAGAACAAAAACAGAGGATGCCGACTGATTGAAAGAGACAATACATATGTCAAGGGCTTGCTCTCCAATATTTAGAGTCCAATCCACCTACAAAGCAAAACTCAATATCAATTTAGTTGCTAACCTCAGAAAATTTCAGTTATTTTCATATCAATATAAATTAAGAAATTGCTTTACAACAAAGCAGAAATATAAAGATGGGCTAATCTCTTTCATTTCTTTATTCTTTTTTTTATCACTATGACCATTTTTCTGGTATTTTACAAGACTCTAATCAAAGTTTTGTTCCATGTCTTACCAAATGATATTAACTATTCTGCAATTCAAGAACACTAAAACACTTATCTGCTTCCCTAAAAAACTTCCATGAAAATGATATTGTGCTTAATTTGCAAATCAAATTTAATAATCCATAAAAACTATCATTATGATTGTACATGTGTTTTTATAGGGCAACTAAAAATATATCAATATGCATATACAGAGTAGTCACCAAGCCACTAGAGAGTATAGCAGAATATTCTATACATAAGAGCTACTCCAGGATATCTCCATATTGCTGGGATACAGTTAATGTTCAATAAATGCTTCTTAAAGTAATGAAAGAATGAATGTAAAATGAGAGCTTTTCAGGATTCATCTTCCATACAATATTTCTAAGTCAGGAAAATGCAAAAGAGCAAAGACACACCATTTTGAAAAACATTGGCAGAAAGGCATATACTGTTTTCAGTTTTTCTAACTTTTACTTTAGGTTCAGGGATACATAGGAAGGTTTGTTATACAGGTAAATTCATTTCACAGAGGTTTGGCGTATAGATTATTTTATCACCCAGGTATTAAGCGTAGTATGTGATAGTTATTTTTTCTGATCCTCTCCCTCCTCCCACCTTTCAACCTCAAGTGAAAGTAAGAACATGTGATATTTAAGTGAGAACATGTGATATTTGGTTTTCTGTTCCTGCATTAGTTTGCTAAAGATAATGGCCTCCAGCTCCATCCATGTTTCTGCAAATGACATAATCTCATTCTTTTTTATGGCTGCATAGTATTCCATGGTGTATATGTACCACATTTTCTTTATCCAGTCTACCTTTGATGGATATTTTGACATTTTTGAATTGCTGAGGATTGGTTTATATCCGATTGTGTAGTTTATTTTAGAGTATGTGCTATGTGGTGACGAGAAGAATGAATATTCTGTTGTTTTGGGATGGAGAGTTTTGTAGATGTCTATTAGGTCCATTTGGTCAAGTATTAAGTTCAGACCTTGAATATCTTTGTTAATTTTCTGCCTCAGTGATCTGTCTCATAGGGTCAGTGGGGTGTTGAAGTCTCCCACTATTATTGTGTGGCAGTCTAAATCTCTTAGTAGGTCTCTATGAAATTGTTTTATGAATATGGGTGCTTTTGTGTTGGGTGCATATATATTTAGGATAGTTAGATCTTCATGTTGAATTGAACCCTTTACTATTATGTAATGCCCTTATTTGTCTTTTTTAGTCTTTGTTGGTTTAAAGTCTGTTTTGCCTGAAATTAGGATTGCAGCTCCTGCTTTTTTCCATTTGCTTCACAGAGTTTTCTTCATCTCTTTATTTTGAGCCTACAGGTGTACAGCATGTGAGATGGGTCTCTTGAAGGCAGCATACAATTGTGTCTTGCTTTTTGATCCAGTTTGCCACTCTGTGTGTTTTAAATGGGTCATTTAGCCTGTTTACATTCAAGGTTAGTATTGATACGTGTGGATTTGATCCTGTCATTGTTGTTAGCTGGTTATTACGCAGACTTGTTTGTATGGCTGCTTTATAGTGTCATTACTCCATGTATTTAAGTATTTAAGTGTTTTTTGTATTGGTTAGTAACAGTCTTTCTTTTCCATATTTAGTGCTTCTTTCAGGAGCTCTAGTAAGGCAGGTCTGGTAGTAACAATTTCCCTTCTCATTTGCTTGTCTGAAAAGATCCTTATTTCTCCTTCACATATGAAGCTTAGTTTGGCTGGATATGACATTCTTGGTTGAATATTTTTTCTTTATGAATATTGAATACAGGCCTCCAATCTCTTCTGGCTTGTAGGGTTTCTGCCGAAAGGTCCGCTATTAGCCTGATGGAGCTCCCTTTGGAGGTAACCTGACCTTTCTCTCTAGCTGCCTTTAACATTTTTTCTTTCATTTTGACCTTATAGAATCTGATGATTATGTGTCTTGGGGATGATCTTTTTGTATAGTATCTTGCAGGGGTTCTCTGCATTTCCCGAATTTGAATATCAGCCTCTCTAGTGAGGTTGGGGAATTTTTCATGAATGATATCCTGAGAGAGGTTTTCCAACTTGCTTGCTTTCTCCCCATCTCTTTCAGGGATGCCAATGAGTCATAAAGTTGGTCTCTTTACATAATGCCAAATGTCTTGGAGGTTTTGTTCATTTCTTATCTTTTTTCTTTATTTTTGTCTGACTGTCTTATTTCAGAAAGCCAGTCTTCAAGCTCTCAGATTCTTTCCACAGCTTGGTCTCTTCTGCCATTAATACTTGTGATTACATTACGAATTCTTGTAGTGTGTTTTACAGCTTTATCAGGTCCAGTTAAGTTCTTTCTATACTGGCTATTTCGTCTGTCAGCTCTTGTATCATTGTATTGTGATTCTTAGATTTCTTGGATTGGATTTTGACATTCTCCTGAATCTCAATGGTCTTTATTTCCTGTCCATATTCTGAATTCTATTTCTGTCATTTTAGCCATCTCAGCCCAGTTAACAATCCTTGCTGTAGAATTAGTGCGATCATTTAGAGGAAGGGAAACACTGTGGCCTTTTGAGTTGCCAGAGTTCTTGCACTGGTTTTTTTTCATCTGTGTGCATGAGTATTCCTTTTCGTGAGGTGTAAATTGAGTATAGTCAGTAGACTTCTTTTCTGGATGTTTTCAGAGGGCTGAAGCTTTCTGCAAGGTTTTTATTTATAGCTAAATTCTTGCCTTTGGTTTCAAAGTGGGGTATGTTAGCAAGTGCATTGGTCAGTAAGTAGGCTCTTTCTCACTTATGTGGCACCTCTATATTTTCTCTTTCTCTCCTTTTTTTTTTTTTTTGAGACAGAGTCTTGCTCTGTCGCCAGGCTGGAGTGCAGTGAAGCTATCTCAGCTCACTGCAACCTCCGCCTCCCAGGTTCAAGCGATTCTCCTGCCTCAGACTCCTGAGTAGCTGGGACTACAGGCACACGCCACCACACCCAGCTAACTTTTGTATTTTTAGTAGAGACAGGGTTTCACCATGTTGGCCAGGATGGTCTCGATTTCCTGACCTCGTGATCCGCCTGCCTCGGCCTCCCAAAGTGCTGGGATTACAGGTATGAGCCACTGCGCCTGGCCTTTTTTTTTTTTTTTTCCATTTGGAGTCTCACTCTGTTGCCCAGGCTGCAATGTGGTGGTGCAATCTTGGCTCACTGCAATGGTTGCCATCATGTTCCGTATCAATGCTCTGAAAGTGCAGCTCTTCTCCCACTTCTGTGCTGGCTGTAAATCACAGCTTGGCACTCCCAGGCTGCACTCTGCCTCTCTGGGGAGATCTCAAGCTTTATATTCCCTCCCCAGCTTAGAGGCAGCAGAGGAATGGACCTTAGCAGTGGTTGGAGCCAAGGGTCTTGTCTCCTGGGGCTTCACCCAAGAGAGATGCAGAGCTGCAATCAATCCATTAATCGGCCCAAAATGGGAGAGCTGTGGACCCAAGCCAGGGTCCCTGACAGGCATATATTGTATATGAAAGTAATAATGAGATGGTTTCACAGAGAAAAATCTGCATAAACAGGAAATAGGGCTGCTGTGAAAGTTAGGCTATGATCAACAAACAATGGATCCAAGAAAAGATCATGAAAAGTCACATTAAAGACAAGATGAATTTTTGGCCATCAAGACATGATCTTAGGTATTCATCTACTTTAGATATTAAAATATTTGAAGAAGGTATAAAATCCAAATGGGGCTGGCCAGAAAGGCAAATATTGCCAGTATATGTATAAGATCAATCTGTAGAAGGGAGACAGCCTAGTGAACATAGGTAGGTGCATCAGACTATCTTAAGCTGAACTAGAATTCAACACTAAGAAATTATTTGATTACTATTTGGCTCAAGTATTGCTTACCTATATAAAATGACTCCACTGGACAGGACATGAATATCAGTCCCATGACAGTTATATTTCTCATTATATTGTAACAGGCTAGCATTTGGCTTTGTACGTCAGTGTCTGTACCTCGGGCTGATGTGTGCCTCACTCTGAGAGGTGATTTATCCAAAGTGAACAGGCAAATCATGTTTCTGAGGCCACAGTCTGAGATCCAGCCACTAAATACTTTCAATTTACCAGGTACTGAATGCCACTCTGTGACCTCCACTTAGGGAAATACACTACATTCTGAATTAATGAGTCTCATAAAACACAGAAATTTGCTAAGAACAATAATAAAAAAAAAATTCTTCCACTTCCAGCCAAGATGGAGTAATAAGGAAATGATTTAGCATCCCACCTAAAACAACGACAAAGTGGACAAAATAAATGAAACAATAGTTTGCAAGGCACTGGACACCAGACAACAAAGCACAGCAATCCCTTAAAGACAGAAAACAAACGAGGTGAGTGGCATGATTGCTCCAGCCTTGAAAGAGTTTCTAGGCCATAGTGCAGGGAAGAAGAACCTAGGCAGAGCCCAGCAGACTCTGTGAATTGTGGAGATGGATACTCAGAGTCTGGAGAAACCACAGCAGTTGGAGTTAACAAGACAGCACACCAAATAGCTACATATAAATGCTGCATACAGACAGAACTCTGGAGATCTGCAGAGAGTGCCCTCAAATATTCAGCTGAGTACTTACTGGCAAATTATTGTAAGGAAACCACACAAGGCCAGGGAAAGAACCACCCAAAAAAGATTAGAGATAACAGTGCCCAACATTCACACAGGGTATAAGATATTTCCTGTGCCCACCAGCCAGGCTGCAAAACCTCATAATTCTGAGTGAATTGGTACAGTACTAAGAAGGATCTTGCCTGAGGAATAGGGAATAAGTAGCCCTAAAATGAGCACTACCCTGGTCCCACTTAACAAGTCTTGAGAACAAGGCCCCCAAAAATCAAACTGTTTCCAAGTAACTTAACTGTGTCCCAGGGATAACCTCAAGAACAGTATATACATAAAAAATGAAAAATTCGTCACCAGCAGGCCCACACTAAAAGAAATGTGAAAGGAATTCCTTTAGTTTGAAGGAAAATGAAACCAGATGGAAAGATGGAATTATACAAATTAAAGAAGAACAGCAGAAATGATACCTACATGGGTAAATACATATTTTTCTTGTCATTTAAATCTCATTAAAATATAATTGATTATTTATGCAAAAATAATTACAATGTAATATGGGGTTCACAGCCTATGTAAAAATAAAATACAGGACAATAGCACAAAGACTGGAAGGTAGGAAACAGAAGCATACTTCTTATATTATATATAAGGTAATATATCACCTGAAGGTAGACTGTGTTAAGTCAAAGAGAAAAACTGGAAACCCTAAAGCAAACACTAAAATAACAAAACAAAGAGTTATAGCTAATAAACCAACAAAGATAAAATAGAATTTAAAAAAAAAACTGGATAAATCCAAAGAAAAGCAGAAAAAGAGGAAAAGGAAACCAAAAAAACTAGACAGACATATAGATAAATAAAACAAAATTAAATGGCAGAGTATATATCACACTGATTTTAAAAAGCAAATCCCAACCAACTACATGCTTCTTATAAATTATGCACTTGAAGTATAAAGGGACAAACAGATTCAAAGTGGAAAGATAGAAAAAGGTATCAGAATAACACTAATCAAAAGAAAACTGAGTATTTTACCAACAGATTAAGTAGGTCTCAGAAAAAAGAAGATTATCAAACAAAAGGATAAAGGTCATTTCATAATGTAAAGGGGAGGGGTTCATCATGAGACAGAACAGTCTTAAATGTTTATGTACCTAATAACAGAATTCCAAAATATCTGAAGCAAAAAATAAATAAATAAATATAGATATATGCCAGGCGTGGTGGCTCATGCCTGTAATCCTAGCACTTTGGGAGGCCAAGGCAGGCGGATCACGAGGTCAAGAGATCGAGACCAGTCTGGTCAACACGGCAAAACCCCATCTGTACTAAAAATACAAAAAAATTAGCTGGACATAGTGATACATGCCTATAGTCCCAGCTACTCAGGAGGCTGAGGCAGGAGAATCACTTGAACCCGGGAGGCGGAGGTTGCAGTGAGCCAAGATTGTGCCACTACACTCCAGCCTGGGCAACACAGCAAGGCTCTGTCTCAAAAATAAATAAATAAATAAATATAGATATAGATAGACATATTTCCAAGGAGATACAAAAAAATCCACAATTACAGTCAAAGATTTCAATACCCCTCTCTCAATAACTAATAATAACTAGTAAAAAAACTAATAAGGATATAGAAGAGTTGAACAACACTATCATCCAACATAATCTAATTGACATGTATGAAACACTCTAACAACAAAAAAAATACACATTCTTTTCAGGTGCACACTGAACGTTTACCAAGATAGATCATATTCTAGGCCATAAGACAAATCTCAATGAATCTAAGAGAATTTAAATCATACAAATTATTTTTCTGAACACAAAAGACTTAAATAGAAATCAATCAATAAAAAGGTAGCTGTGAGTAACACAGGAAGCTATTAAATGACTTCCCACAACTATCTTATTAAAATCACTCCATTGGGTAAGTTCTGTTTCTTCTGCAATAGATTTGATATTGCTCCATGGTATCACATTCCTGCAAAGTGACTATCGTGTAACAAAATGAAGTTTTACTGCTATTTCTTACTCTATTCACTAATCGAATGGAAAAACCACTCAACTGCAATTGCCTTCAGAATACATCCTCAGTGTGAGACATGGAGTAATCAATAAAAACTGCAAATGATAAGGAAAGGCTATTCCAGACAGAAGAAAAACCATATGCCTAGAATGAAGAAGAGCCATGGAATATTTGGAACAATGAGAGGCCCTATATGGCTGAAGTGCAGACTATAAGAAACAAATGGAAGAACACCACTATTGAGGAGGTCAAAGGACAATTTAATTACCATTATCAGTAAGTTCATCCAGACATTTTGCTATGTGCTTTATATATTTATTATATACAATACATATATTTATATATAAATACCTAATTTATCTTATAACAACTTTTTTTATTTTGAGACGGAGTCTTGCTCTGTCACCCAGGCTAGAGTACAGTGGCACGATCTCAGCTTACTGCAATCTCTGCCCCCCAGGTTCAAGCGATTCTCCTGCCTCAGCCTCCCAAGGAGCTAGAACTACAGGCATGGGCCACCATGCCCAGCTAATTTTGTATTTTAGTGGAGATGGGGTTTCTCCATGTTGGCCAGGCTGCTCTCGAACTCCTGAACTCGGGTGATCCACCTGCCTCAGCCTGCCAAAGTGCTGGGATTACAGGCATGAGCCACCGCGCCCAGCCTAATAACAACATTTTAAAATAGATATTATCACTTTGCAAATGAGGAAACTGAGATTTAGTAAGGCTAACAAACTTGCTGTAACTTGCTCAAAAAAAAAGTAAAGCTCTCAAGACCTGTTTGACTTCAATCTGTGCTTTAACTATTATTACTATGGTGCTTCTAAATTCTGTGCAAAACTATATCATATTTTTATTCATTGTGCTCTTTTACTTTTTACTACCAATGAAAAAAAATATATCTTCATCTGATTCTTGACTCTTTCCAAGTTACCCTTCTGTTCTACCATCTCCTGAACTTCTGTATCCTAATACAGAAAATTCTGCATAGTCTTCTCCAATACTGTTATGTTAGTATTCTAAATTCTACATTATTTCTCCATTTAGCTTCCTTCTTGTGTATCCTCAGATTTATTTCACTGTTTCCACCATAATTTTAGTTCCTTCTATTTTTTGCCTTGCTGTCTATGGAAGTTCTCAAGATAAGGAAGAGTTCATAATCACCATCTATTCCCCAATTTACAATAAATGGAGAATTCATCATTTACAATTTTTCTTCAAACTACTTTTCAAATTATCAAACTTCACCTTTGTCTTTGAGCTAATTCTATCTTTGTGAGCTGTGAATTTTTATCTTTTACTTATATATTCGGTCGCATGCCTACTAGTTACAAAATATTTAAAGAATTAATGGCCAAAACATTTCTAAATTTTATGCAAACTAAATATTCATAGATGCAAGAAGCTTAACAAATCTTAAGCTCAAAAAAAGAGAAAGAAAAGTACACATTATAATCCCATTGCTCCAAACAAGTGATAAGAGAAAATCTGGAAAGCAGCTAGAGAAAAAAGACACTTCAAACAATAGAATATAATCTACAAAATTTTGCCTATTAAGGAGAGATTTTTTTAATGTTTCTATTTTTATTTGTTAAAAGTGACTCCATCTGGATATCCACAGTTCTAGTGGTACAACTCTACAATCTGTTATATTAAGACCATGACCAGGCATGTGTTTCCATTGCTCAACAACAACCAACTCAATTCTTAGGTCATTAATATAACCATAATATAGGAAAGAGAATGGCTGACATATTTTTTTACATTTTCTTCCCATGAATTATTATTGACAAACATATGTGATTAGATATAGCATTATTGAAATTTTTATATATTAAAAAAAGGCCTTACAACTAGTCTTTTTCCAGAACCAAGTTTTTGCTGTTCAGTCTCCTGCCTTTTATCTGCATCTGTTGCAAAAGCAAGTACCTGGTACCTGTATGAAAGAAATTTAAAAAATTATAAATGAGTTTATAATTAAAAATTATAAATTATTTTAAACTTTAAAAGTACACAATAATCTATAAACTTTATAAAGCACTTTTTCCTAGTTTTTAAAAACTCTAAAATTTAAGATTGAATTCTTATTGAGTGATATTGTGACATAAAACTGTGTAAAATGTCATGATAAAGAAATTATAACCATATGTCCATTATTCAGTGTTGGGAAAACAGCTCTACCAACTATTAAAGCACTTCCATTAGAATTTTATGTGACAAGTAACAATGCTCAAGAAAGATCTAGCACCTAAACACCAAATAGACAGAAAAAAATGTAAATATGCAAAGCAGTCAGATGGAGTAGAAATTATCAATACATAATCTATGGAACCAAAAAGAACTCAGTTTAACCCCAGTTTAACCACTTAACTAGGTAAGTACATTTTTGGTGAATAATCACTCTGTGTCTGGCTTCCCCATCCATAAAACAGAGATAATAATCTCTAACACAATCATTGTTAAAAGGATTAAACAATAAATTATAAAGTGCCTACTATTTGGTATATAGTAGGTATACAATTATTGATTGATGGGTTGACAAAGAGACAGATTTATATAGAGATAGAGATCAATCACATAGTAGTTTGTAGCTGGTAGGTAGTGAGTTCTCAGTAATCGACATTATGATCTATAAGTATTTTACAGCTTCTATTTCAATAGTGGCATTTAGCTCAAATTATTCTTAAAAACAATTTATAAATATTATTCAATCTAGAAATGATTAATTTATCTAATAAAGTTGAAATTTCTATATTTCTCATTAATTAATGGCATATTTTTAGAAGAATAATCCTACTGTACATAAAGCAACTACAGACTCACAGATGCCTTTCCCTCCTATTGAATCAAAACTCACATTTTCTAAGACACAGATATCTGAGAGTGTAAAAATCAGGGACCTGAATGAAGGCAATGTGGCATATCTAAACAAGCACTGAAATGTACAATGGTCTTCAAATGTCATATACCAACTCTGAAAACATCCTATCTCAATCAAGAATAATTCACTTATAAAAAACCTGTAACTTCAGTTGAATGCAGAATGACTATGATTTAAATTTTCCAAGACATAGAAGGTGATGACAAACTTAACAATAGCTTATAAAAAATAGATCTTATTAATATGAAAACGTAATATATATAAATTTCATTCATTTTATAAACATATAGTAGGGATCCAATACAAACATTAACAATGGAAAAACTACTACATAATCTATACTCATAAGGTGCTCCCACACTAGTTGTAGAGACTCATATACAGACAGCTAAGTATAACTCAGAGTATCCTGTGCTAATTAACAGAAGGTATGCACGTAGTACCAATAGTAACAAGTAATTGGGGGAGAAAAGATATGCTCTTGGTATAGGTTCAGGAAGAGAAAGCTAGGTTTTAAAGGATGAGTGAAAATTCTATCACGCTGGTAAAGAAGGAGAAGGCATTATGGCAAATCAAATAACAAATGCAAAGGCATGCAGCAGTAAAAGAGACATGAAAGGCCATGACAGGAGTTTAGGAGAGATGCATGACAGGGAGGAATGAGTCATGGGGCGCATGAAGTAAGAGGGAGAAGATCTCAGCCTTGTAAGACCATGCTACAAAATCCCACGGTCAGCTGCAGCCAATCTCTCTATACCATCTGAGATTGACCTTCAAAATCCCAAAGTCTCTAAAAGTGCAAAATAATTAGACCTCACATTCTGAACTCCAAATAGGATTGTTTTCCTATTCCCAATTCATAGCAACAGAAATAGTATGCGCTGGTGACTAGAACATCATCCCAAAGCTTGTCCTGCTATGGATCTAACCCTAGGCAATTAGTTACATAGGTGGTTCATTTCCTACAGAAACCAACCTGCCAAGGGATAATATAGATATTCATGAGATTGTTACAAAGGTCCAAAACTCTTTGAGCTGTTTGAAGCTTATATATATAACTATGGTCATTATTTTATCTAAGAAATAAGTGAGCCCCTAAAGCGGCCTTATTAACATTAAAACAGCAGGCAGAGGCACAGCCAAAATTGACTACTGATTTCCAAATCCAAACCATTTCTCTTCCTAAAAGACAACTCAGAAGAGTATTTTATTACTTAAACTTGACAGTAAAATTAGATGATGACAAACTTACAAGAGCATCTATTTTATGGTTCTTCCTTAATTCCTCTTAACTGTGACCAATAAAGTATGTAAAAATCTATTTCTAAAACCAAACAATTCCAAGCAGATTTGGAAATTCTGAAATAAAATATTTGGATCTTTTTTCTTACCACTCAAGTGTTCAGTAACATAAGCTACACAAAAAAGTTCCCTTGTCGAGATTGCTGAAAGAATAATCAGGGCCAATGTAACAAGATCTTATGAAAGAGTGCCATACATGTCTCTCAGAACAGAAAGGCACTAATCGCAACTACACCAAGTGCAGCTAAACGGTGGTGCTTTTTGACTCACTAACCACAAATGCTTCACAGGTCCTGTAGTGCACCAATAACAAACTCAACCACATAATTTAATACTCTTCCAAATTGCTTTGTAAAAACAGTAGCAGGTAACTAAAATATAGATTGAGGCATCACAGAGCACAAAAGTAAACCCTCCAAAATCATTTATTTTCAAAATAAACAGAACTGTCACCTCAGTGAGTGGCAGGAAGTTTTGGAACCTTGATATGTAACCCAGAGAACTTTACTAGAAATGGAAGCTCGAGACACAGAGCATTATTATGTTGATTTCAACTATAGCTAAAACATTCTTGACTATGCCGGGGAGAATCCTTTTCATTGAAAGATGCCAGTAACAAAACAGAAGCTTTCTTTATACACTTTTCACTCTTTTATCAGTTCTCATTGAACACCCACTTTCACCAAGGTACAGTGCTGGGCACTTCAGGGGATACAGAATTCCTGCCATCGAGGAGCACTGAGCTTAGTCAAGGAGAAAAACAAATGTTTACTATCAGTGAAAGCATAAGTAATACCTAAGGGAAGCACTGAAAAACTACTATGTAAATTGAGAAAAAGGAGATGTTGGTTACATCTAGGTCAGGGAAGAACTGAAGGGGAGCAGGGAGGCTTCTAGACATAATTTCCACGTGCAGAGAAAGAAGGAAAAGCACTTCAGACATAGGAGATAGACAGTATGTGGGAAAAAAAAAAAAGGAGAGAGAGAAAAACCCTTAACATATATGGAGACTACAAATATTTCCATTTGGTCAGAGCCAAAGATTGGAGAAGAATACTTCTTTTTAAAACAGTCAATTAAATTCAACAGAAACACTTTTAAATATTTATTTAAGGCTGATTATTTACTTAGTGATGTATTAGGAGCTATTGAGGGGTTGCTGGGGAAGGGGTATAGCAGACAGAAGGAGAGAAATAACACCCATGGCAGGTATACTCTTTTAGGGAGCCTCCCTACATTCAACTCTTAGAGGTCCCACCTCGAGGCCTCCTCAGCATCCTATGCAAAGCTCTGCTATAGCCTGTATGACAAATGGACTGAAGTAGCTGACTGACTTCCTGCCTCCTTGAATACTATTTGAGGATAAGAGGCACGTCTATTTGACTACATTTCCAGTACCTTGCACAGTGTATGGCACACAAGCCTGTTGAAAAATATTTGCTGAATGAATGACTGAATAAACAAACTGAATTATTCAGTCAGTGAAGAGATGTTTAACACAGATTCTTCTCTCAAGAACCTGATAATGCAAGATACTCTGGAAAATGTCAGTACAAGAAGGCAATACATGACATTAGCCAAAAATCAGTGTTTTAGGCAGTAATATATCTAGGAGGTGAAAAAAGGAAGACAGTTGAACCAGTTAACTTCAAAAGTCACTTCCAAGTCCAAAAGTCCACATCATAGAGGTAAAATGGGACTGGATTATAAAAAGCACTGAATGTCAATAATAAAATATCTAGGCCGGGCGTGGTGGCTCATGCATGTAATCCTAGCACTTTGGGAGGCTGAGGCGGGCAGACTGCCTGAGCTCAGGAGTTCGCAACCAGCCCGGGCAACACAATGAAACCCTGTCTCTACTAAAATACAAAAGTAATTAGCTGGGCGTGGCAGCATGCGCCTGTAGTCCCAGCTACTTGGGAGGCTGAGGCAGGACAATTGCTTGAACGCGGGAGGCAGAGGTTGCAGTGAGCCAAAATCGCGCCACTGCACTCCAGCCTGGGCGACAGAGCAAGACTCAGTCTCAAAAAAAAAAAAAGAAAAAAGTCTAGGTCTTTTAGTCAGAAATAAAAATTATTCTGGCTTAAGGAGGTGTTTTAAAAGAAAAGATATGAGAAGAAACCTTCAAAGTTTAGAGAGAAAAAAAAAAAAACGGAAATCCAAGTGAAAAAATATAGGCCTGAACCAATGGGAATGGGAAGGAGAGGCTGAATAAGAGAAAGTATTAAGGGCAGGGATTACTGACTAAATAATTCTGCAAGGCAAAGGATAAGAAAAGAGAATAAAAGATGATCAAAGTTTGGACATACATGGCCCAGAGAACAGTGGTACCAAAGCCCTTACCCTTACCCTCAGTAAAGGGCAAACAGACCAGGAGTGGTGGCTAATGCCAGTAATCCCAGCACTTTGGGAAGCCAAGGCAGAAGGTTCACTTAAGCCCAAGAGCTCAAGACAAGTCTGGGCAACATAGTGAGACCCCGTCTCTATTAAAAAAAAAAAAATGTCTCAGGGCAAACAATTCTCTTACTTCAAAAAGAAAAATGGTGCTCAAAGTGTGCCCCTGAATTAGATTGATCTGGAGTAAAAATTTACAATGATGATTTCTGGGTCTTATCCCCTAACCTATTAAAAGAAATCTAGGGGACTGGGGACTAGCATCTGTAAAAGTGCATTTTATAACAGGCTGTCCAGGTGACTCCTACGTACACTGAAGTTTGAGATCCCTAGCCTTCACTGGTTTTTATTTAAACATAATTAAGCAGGGTTTAAAGAAACTAAAGGTATCAATATCAAAAATGAAAATGAGTTATGTGTTAAAAGCCTATTCTATTAATTGATTATATTATATTAACTGAATATAGACAGATTTAATAAAGCCTCAAAAGAACAAACATAGTTTTCATGCTTTCTCCAAAATCCAAAAATGCAGCAGTGATTATCATTTAATATAATCTATTAAAGTTGAAAGCATATATAAGTACAACATACGACTTAATGTTGTAAACCTTCTTGATTGTCATCATTTCACAATAATCTCGTATCTCATGCATTTTTACCATTATAAATGAGCCACATAATGCATAACGTGTACATTTTTTAGTCTAAGACAAAGATGAATTTAATAGATTGGTATGTTGGAGACTTACCACAGTTAAAACAATGTGAGCTTCTGTTAGATTAAACTCACACATTAAGGAAATCTACACATTACTTCTCTATCCAATCACTCCCAGAGTTATTATCAAATTAATTCCTATGCACATATTTCAAAGAGTAAGTAACTGGGTGTTTAAATATTTGTACTGTGGCTCTAGCATAGCACTACTTGGCAGGAGGTGAGGCACAGAGCTGGGTGGAAAGCTAAAAAGCAGATGTCCTAATATTGCTCAAGTTTGGCAGGCTTGAGTAAACTATACAGATATTTTTCCCAACCTCTCCAAATAAATATAATATTTTATTTATTACCAATAGCAATGCCACCATTCAATCATCTCCTTTGGATAAGAGCCATAAGAATTACAGAAGGAATATTACATGATGATACACTTCCTAAATCGGTTAAATTCTGCTTACTCACAAACATTCACTTATTTTCAGAGTTTTAACCCTAGATGCCTTGACAATGATTTACAAAAAGCAAATGGCTACTTATGATGAGAAAGCTGCATTAACTTGTTATATACACAACATTGAAACATGAAGACAAAAATTTACATCTGTTGCCTGATGAATTTATATCTTCTTCCCATCTTGGGAATAATGATGTGGCCAAAAATAATGTTGAAAAGCCATGATGATGTGTTGCTTAGATGTTTAAACTTCCAAATGTTGCCACCAGTAAGACAACACAATAAAGTTACTAAAGGCACTGAAAACCTCCAAGGCTATTTCTTTTCCCAGCATGAATTTCTACTCTTTTCCCCATTCTCTCTGCCAATAAAAAACATACTCTCCAAAAACTCAAAACCTTGACTTTTATTTAAATCTAGCTGGTGGAGAAGAAAACAGTCTCTCTCATACACAATTTACCAAGACCAATAAGAATTTCTAGCGAATAAGTATAAACTATTTGCCTAGGGTCATTTTCATACTTCACTTATACTATGAATTGTTCTTCTAAAAAAGTATTGACATTCATATTAACAGTTCATGCCAGTATTTTTCCTATATCACACATATTCTTTTTTCTTATAAAAGAATTCCACAGCTAAATCTTCAATTTGGCTTTTTTCACTCAACATCGTATTTAATTATTTATTATATCAAGGAACAATCACAATAATTATTGAGCATTTTCTACAGGGTAGTAACTGGACATACATTTAATCCTTATAATAAACTTGTCAAAATGAGCTATATTACCTCCTTTAGAGCCAGGATAAGGACCATCAAACATCTGGAGTGGTAAAATCAGGATTCCAATCCAGGTCTGCCTCCCAAACCACTGCACTATATTGCCTTTCAAATATTTTACAATAGTAAATGATATAGTCTAAGTCACCACAATCACATATTTTCAAAGAAACCGATCTCTTTTTCATTTGTGATATTGAAGCTCTTTGTGGACAAAAATTAGTCAGCAACAAACGCACCAAAAAATCATGATTCTGAAGACTTAACATCCAAACTTACTTATAACTTTCCACTTGTTGGCAGGAAGAGACAGTAAGGAAGGAATCTGTACGGGAACTGTAGGCAAGAGGACCAGGCAGAAGAAAGCCAGGGAGAAATCTTCCAAAAGCATAGCTCTCCTGCTCAAATACCATCAGCATCCCATCCATAGACTGGATGCAAATTAAATCTCGACCTAAAGAAGAATTAGAGAAAATTAGATAATCTATTCTTTTTATAAATATAATATTTTTATTAATCACTATCTACAACATGTATGTCTTAGGCACCAATTTTACATAAATCATAGCATTAAGCAGCATTCGGTGTGAAAATTACTAATAGTGAAAAATACCAATCCCTAATTGCCCTCAACTATAAACTAATTCTGAGGTGTCTTCTACTATTAGTCTACCAGTATTAAGCACAATATTCACAGTTCTTAAAATTTACTGAGATGATGGTAATGATGATGATTTCTATGATACAGTTTATCATAGAAAACTGATACAGTTTATCATAGAAAACTGATACATAGAAAACATAGATACATTAGTATCCCTAATCTGAGAAAGATCTAGTGGCTATAACCTTTCATGTCCTGCTAGTGTGATTAGTGTATCCTATAATGTATTACATAGGGAAAAATTATGTTAGAGGAAAATTAAGCTACTCATTAAGGGAATAAATAAAAGGCCAATCTTGTACCTTGTCATCTCTAGCTCATACACCATATACAGTAAGTACTATAGTAACTATTCTTTATTACCTTGAATATCAGTGACAATCTTAAATAGCATACTTAGATTTTAAAGAGTGCTCAAAAAGAAATCAAATTGCATAGAAATAGATGATACTCTTCTTGTATCTGACTAAGGACAATCATACAGCTAAGCAACTTTTAAAAAGAAAACATATCACCAAAAGAGGCTAAAAAAAAAGAAAAAAAGAGAGAGAACAAACTGAGTTTTGGAGTGCTTATTACTGCATTATACTCTAACCCACCTCAACTGATACAATAGATTTATCAACCTTAAATAGCCTGAAAGATGTTCTAGGATAAGTATTGTCTGTGAATGAATGTTCACTAAACATACATCTGAACCATTCAGGAATCTCTTTTAGAGAGATAAAAATTGTTTATATTAATGCTGTTTGAAAAGTATTCTCTCAATACTCAGATTCTTTTATAACGTATGGTAGGCTTTACAGTTACTGTTTTAAGCTTTGTTTTTGTTGTTTTGGTTTTTTTTGTTTGTTTTTTTTGTTTGTTTTTATTTGAGACAGAGTCTCACTCTGTTGCCACGCTGGAGTGCAGTGGCACGATCTCAGCTCACTGCAACCTCCACCTCCTGGGTTCAAGTGATTCTCCCACCTCAGCCTCCCAAGTAGCTGGGACTACAGGCACCACCACGCCCAGCTAATTTTTGTACTTTTAGTAGAGACAGGGTTTCAACCATGTTGGCCAGGATGGTCTCGATCTCTTGACCTCATGATCCGCCCACCTTGGCCTTCCAAAGTGCTGGGACTACAGGCGTGAGCCACCACGCCCAGCCTAAGCTTTGTTTTTTTAATGTTATCCTTATCCACTATGCTATTAAAAGTTTCCAAAAAAGATGTGAGTTTATATGCATGTTGTATGTATATGCATGCTGTACACATGTATTCACAGAGACACAATCAGACAAAAAGAATCTCATCTAGCTATCTGGCAAACCTACCTGTCTGCAATCAGCAAAAATGAGTAAGTATAAAAATGCCTCTAAGTAGTTAAAATAAATGCTGCAAGGTCTTTGTAATAAAAATCATGCAAATTTTCAAAGGTAGGATTCCCAGGTCCCACTAAGGGCATCAATTCTTATTTTAATTATGGTTCTAAGAATTGTCGTTTTTATAAACAAGTTACTGATATTCCTGTAGCTTCAGCCTTCTCATTTGTAAAATGAGTATATTTGTATAAGAGCTCCAAGGTTATCAGCTAATCTTCAGCAAAGGCGCCAAGAATACACAATGGTGAAAGAACAGTCTCTTCAATAAGTGGTGCTGGGAAAACTGGATATCCACATGCAAAAAAAAAAAAAAAAGATCCTTATCTTACACTATACAACCAAAATCCACTCAAAGTAGATTAAAGATTTAAACCAAAGATCTGAAGCTGTAAAACTTCCAGAAGGTAAACATATGGTAAAAAGCTTCATGGCATTGGTATTGGCAATGATTTTTTGGATAGGACACAAAAAGCACAAGCAACAAAACAAAAAATAGAGGGGAGGACTACATCAAACTAAAAATTTTCTGCACAGCAAAGAAAACAATCAACAAAAAAACACATAATGGGAGAAAATATTTGCAAATCATATATCTGATAAGCAATTAGTCTCTAAAAGATATAAGAAGCTCACACAACTCAATAACAAAAAACAAATAAACCAATTCAAAAATGGGCAAAGGACTAAAATAGACATTTTTCCAAATAAGACATACAAATCGCCAACAGGTATATGAAAAGGTGCTCAACATTGCTAATTATCAGGGAAATGTAAATCAAAACCACAATGAGATATCACCTCACATGTTAGAAAAAAAGAAAGAAATCCTACCATTTACAACAACATGGATGAACCTAGAGAACATCATGCTAAATGAAATAAGCCAGACAACAAAAGACAAACACTACATGATCTCACTCATACGTGTAATATTTTTTAAAAGTCAAATTCATAGAAACAGAGAGTAGCAGGGTGCTTACCAGGGGTCAGGGATGGGGAAAGCAAGGAAATATTGGTCAAATGATATACACTTGCAGTTATAATATGAGTAAGTTCTGGAGACCTAATGCACAGCACAGTGATTACAGTGAATAATAATGGACACTTGAAATTTGCTAAGAGAATAGATCTTTGTTCTCATCACAAAAAAGAAGATAATTATGAGAAGTGATCCATACTAATATTAATTAGCTTGATTCTGGTAATCATTACACAATGTATATGTATATCAGAACATCACATTGTACACACCTTGAAGATATATAATTTTTATTTATCAATCATATCTCAATAATGCTGAAAAAGAGTTCCAAAGTTAGAGGAAAGATGTCAAAGTCCCTAACATGGTATAGCACACATAAGACACAGAATAAATTATAGCATTATTAAGAGGGTTATTATTACCTGCTTCCCTAGCCCAGAAAAAAAGAAAGTGGTAAATTAGAAAGGGGGTGAAGACACTGTCAGCTGTGAGAAATGACAGCTAATGCCCTAACAAAAATAAAAGAGAACATCTATAAAACACATATCAAATAATCCAAAAAAGAACATCTGTCTGGGCTCAGTTAGCATAGGAGCAATTATGAGCCCTATATATCTCAAAAAGAGAAATATCATTGTTAAGTGGATTTAATATAGTTTGGTATAGCTCTTTTTTTGCAAAAAAGAACTTTTGGCAGAGATGCTAACTGCTGCCCCCAACAGCCATTCTTTCTTTAGTAGTAGAATCATGAATTATCACTAGACACATGGCCATCCAAAATAAAGCTTCCACTTACAGTCCTCTATTTACAGACGCATCATATTATTATGTTCTTCTCAACAAGATAGGAGCAGAGGTTATACATACAACTTGCAGACATGCCCTTACATGGACCAACTATACACTTCCCTCCCCTCTTTGTAGCATCATGGTAAGGCTGGAGCAGTTGTCTTGGCCTCAGAGATGAAAGTCACGTATTGTGGACAGCAGAGCCTCTCTATCAGCCCTAGACTCCTTTATCTCCAGATGGTTAAACACGACAGAAATAAACATCTTTTTGTTTTGTTCTGAGATGGAGTCTCGCTCCCTCGCCCAGGCTGGAGTGCAGTGGCACGATCTTGGCTCACTGCAACCTCCTCCTCCCGGGTTCAAGCAATTCTCCTGCCTCAGCCTCCCGAGTAATTGAGATTACAAGCTCGCCACCACCCCTGGCTGATTTTTGTATTTTTAGTAAAGATGAGGTTTCACCATGTTGGCCAGGCTGGTCATGAACTTCTGACCTCAGGTGATCCGCTCACCTCAGCCTCCCAAAGTCCTGGAATTACAGGGATTAAGCCACTGCGCCCGGCCAAACATCTTTCTTATTTAAGCCATCATTAAGTCTAGTCTTTGTTAAAGCAACCAAACCCAGATCTTAAATAACACAGAACCTAATCTGAGCCTAAAGATCCATCCAGCATTGCTGTCTCTTAAAATTTAGTTTCACTTAACTGAACCCTGGTACCAAAAATAACAGGTATAGGAAAGATATTGGGACAATTGGGGGAATTTGAATATGACTGCATGTTAGATAACATTAAGGAATTATTGCTAATTTTCTTAAGTGATCATGGCGTTGTGAAATGTAAGAGAATATTCTCATTGGGAGATGTGTGCTGACGTATTTATGGTAAAGTGGTGCAAGATGTGTAACTCACTTTCAAATGGTTCATCAAAAAAAGTGTATAAATACATATATATTTACAACTTGATGTGGTAGAAATATGGGTTTTCATTTTACTTTTTCTATATACTTTTTCACAACAAAAATATAAAAAAATTAAGTCTAAATATATACATTTTGTATGTAAATACAAATGTCGATATATTTTCTATTAAGATATGAAATATTTATGCAATGACCTTGACCTGCGGTGGAAGATATTATGGTAACCAAAATAATACTCTTGATATCTGTGTTATTGAAGACTGTAAGCTCAGAACATGTGTACTTGCAAGCAGAAGTACCAATAAAATTTGTGTTCATTTCAATATGTGGTATCATCGAACCACAAATCTTCAGTCTCCCAAAGACCTCAAAGAAGTGGTCTTCAAAATGTGGCCCCCAGACCAGCACCATTTGCATCACCTAGGAACTTCTCAGAAATGCCAATTCTAAGATACCAATCTAGGCCTACCATATGAGAAACTCTGGTCACAGAGCCCAGAAATGCTAGGTTTTAACAAGCCTAGAGACTACTACGGTGCATGCTAAAGTTTCAGAACCACTACCTTAGCATGATAGGATGAAAAAGTAAGGCCTGAAGAAAGCTTGAGCCCCAGAGAAAACCTGGCCTGTTAGCATATGATATGGTTTGGATCTGTGTCCCTGTCCAAATCTCATGTCAAATTGTAATCTCCAATGTTGGAGGTGGAGCCTGGAGGGAGGGAGGTAATTGGATCACGAGGGTGGTCCTTCATGAATGGCTTAGCACCATCCCCTTGGTACTGTTCTTATGATAGTGAGTGATTTATCACGACATCTTGTTGTTTAAAAGTGTGTAGCACCTCCCCCCTCCCTCTCTTGCTCCTGCTCTCACTATGTGACATGTGTGCTCCTCCTTTGCCTTCCACCGTGATTGTAAGTTTCCTGAGGCCTCCCCAGAAGCCAAGCAGATGCCAGCATCATGCTTCCTGTACAGCCTGCAGAACTGTGAGCCAATTATAAATTACCAGTCATGGGTATTTCTTTATAGCAATGCGAGAACAGCCTAATATAGCATAGTAGAACAGGTCCTATTTCCTGAAACTCTAGCAACATAGAGGAGAACACTTAATATATTCAAGTCCAAGTGGCTGCCTCTAAAGCCAAATAATCTAGGTTTGAGTCCAGCTCCACCAATTATTAGCTGTGAGCTTAGACTCAAGTTTCCTTATCTGCAAGATGGAGTAACTACTTCAGTAACTTGTGAGAATTAAATAAAATAATGTATGGAAACTAGACCTAGCAGTGGAAAATACCCAAACACATTATTATTTCTATAATTATTTTCTAACTCTTATACTACATGTTGTATTAATGTTTAACTGCTTGCTATTTCCCACACACATCATGATGATGCATGCTTCCTTGCTTTTGTTTACACAATTTTCTTTCCTCCAAAGATCCTTTAACTTTTCTCCCCCTCATCTAGCAAACATTTGCTAGCTTCCCCCTAGTTATCCATTCCCCTCTCCTCATGCTCAGCCATAAGGTTTGGGTGAGACTGACCTCACTCTAAGCTTGAGGCAAGGCCCTGACTTATGTAAACCAATTAGTACCCCAGTAGTCACAGTGATTGGTTCAGGGATAATTTACAGCCAATGAGAGAAAAATGAACTCCCTAATTTGAGCTGGAACTAGAGGAAAAGTTACTCTTCCCTGGTGAGTAATGCGTGAGGAGCATACGGTATGGAATCACAGAGGCCATTTGGCTTTTCCAAAAGCAGTTAAGAGAGAGCCATGGTAGACACTGTTTGAGCCAGTGCATCAAGCCTCACCTGGAGCCAAATCTTCCTCTGAACTCTGCAGGCAATTCATTCCTGTAGATACTGAAGTCACTTTGAGTCAGGTCTCTGTCCCTGAATCAAGTAGATCAGCGCATTTTTCCTCTGAGAGACATCACAAGCTAAGACTCACATCTTTCCATAAGTCTTCTCATTCCGCTTCAATCACCCACCATCTGAGATCCCACAGAGCCCCTGTCCCACCTCCATCTTAGAACACGTCATCTATTGAAATGATCTGTTTTTGTGTCTCTCATTTGCCCTGGACTAACTCAAAGGCAGAAACCATATCTTACTCATCTTTGTAAATCCAGCAACTATAAAATGCCTGGCACATAGGAGATACATTAATAAATGTCTGTTGAGCTGAAGTAAGCTAGGCAAAATAATTTATTCATCTGTACCTCAGATTGGCTGAGATTTTATTCCATGTGTTTCACTCTGCATACAAAGTATGTGAAAAATGCTTTATTTATTACAATCTTGGCTACTGATGTTTAGAAATATGTAGAGATTGATCCAAAACATTACTCAAAAATAAATAAATAAATCCTTCAAATCACTGTTTTGGAAACCACTTCAGAATACATACCAAAGGCTCCCCTTACAGATAATGGGAATAGAAAGAACAGTCCAGAAAAAGCCATGAAAGTTTTGTCATTCTGACAGAACAGAGCCAACAGGAAGCCTTCACAAAAGCAATGGGATTTCAGAAGCTATTTAAATGACCTTGCCATGAACCATACTCAAAGAGTCTTTACCACATGCTCAGTATTATATCAGGAGCTGTAAGAAATATGGAACAACAGCAATATTAACTACTACAGCCATTTACTGAGCACCTGTTACATTTCTGGCCTTCTGTTAAACATTTAAACAGCATTATTAGTTATAATTTTTAGTAACTCTAAAAAAGAGACAATAGTCCCATTTTATACACGAGAAGACTGAAACCTGCAGAACTTAAACAATTTGTCTAATGTCAAAGAATTAGAAAGTGACAACAAATATTCAAATAGGAATCCATCTGGCTCCATTATAACACACTGAAACCCTGGGAAGGAAAATTTATATCCATTTATTAAAATAATATGCATTAACATACAAAATCTAAGTGGTGTAAAACAGACTAAACACTGCAGAAAATCAAAGAACTGCATTACAATAAAATTTCCAGGAAAGATTTCATGACAGATACGATGCACCCTGGACTGCAAAAGATTGGCAGAGTGAATAGCAGTCAAAGGTAAAAGTAGAGGGAAATTATTGGACAGAAAAGGAACACAGAAAAAGATGCAGAGGCAATTATACTTGATCCACAGTGCAATGGATCATGTTTCACCAACAGAGCATGAAACATAAAAGCACAAATTGAAAAGATGACAATATCTTAACAATGACTCCTCAAAAATTATGCTTAAACCATACAGGAAAAAATAATTTTTAAATCGGAAAAAAACTAGGAGATTTCAACAGAATTTAAAATCTGGATTTTATTCTAGTCATTTTGAGCACAATAAGAGAAAAACAACTGTTGTGATTTGAAATATTACTTGTAAGATCTGGAAACAAATTGAGAAAGAACTGACCAAGATCAATTTGAGAGGATTTTAAAAATCAATTATTTTTCATTTTCAAAGGCAAAAAAAAAAATTCATGCCTGTGGGGATGGGGGGTAGAGGCAGAAAAGTTCCATTATGGCAGCTTCATGTCATGAACATTTATTCAATAGTATGTCTCATTTTCTGGCATTAAAATATCATATAGTCAAAGCTTTAACATGATGCATAAACTGGTAATCAACTAAATGTTAATCATACTGCTAAATTTAACAGTCTTCTCTATTAAATTATAATCTATTCATGAAAATTACAATCTATTCATGAAGTGTAGGAGTGTACGCGTGTGTGTGTGTGTGTGTGTGTGTGTCCCCATGCCCAGAAGTTCTTTCTACCATGCATGACCCAGAGCATGTTCCATCCTTCATTATTATGGCAACAAGGGCCTCATGGAGGGCAGTCCTGAATGCCATGTCCTCCATTTCTCTGTCTTTCTCTTCCTGTGGAATATATACAGCAGAGTAAGTGGTGTAGCAAACATGAAAGAAAACTACCATTACTCAGCATGCTACATGTTTTTTGAATCTCTCTATGCTCATATTTCTTTTACACATTGAGTAAAAATACAAGTGAAGAAATGCAAACGTGACCTATGGCCAAGCATATATGCAGTTCAGCATGCAGCTGTCAAAAATATTTGGTCTTTCTCCAAGTCTGAAAAACACACAAAAAACAGCTGTATAGGTAGTCAAAAAGGCAGACAGGAAACATCAAGAGACTGATGCATAAGAACAGAAGAGTCCAAAAGTCTGTGGAACTTCCGCTCATTTTGTTCATTTTACGCATGCACGGAAAAAAAATTTGTTATTGTTACAGAAAGACTGAAACACTAACACATTAATCTTTATTGCAAACCTACCTCAAAAATGATACAACATGTTTGCTATGAACAAAGACATAAAAATATTCAGAGTAGGATTCCAACAGATACTGCCTTAAAAACAAATAGCAGATGGATATCTAGAGGTTGCTGGATTGTAAATTTGCCATTAAATATCATTTTTGTACTTTTCACTCATATCATCATGCAAATAAAACTACTATCATAGTTTTGAGATCATGCTACTATTTGGCTATGCTTAGTAACTAATAATTGGTAATTAGATGAAAGAATAGCTAGCTTCTTTCTTATTACTCTCTCCCTCATATTCTGTTATTGTTTGAACATTCTAAAGATAATTAGTGCCTAATAATAATGCAATATCCAATTAGATTCTAAGTTTAAAACCTTAGGCATAAATAAATACATTTTAAAACCTGAAGTAAACAGAAGAAATGAATAAATAGAATGCATATGTTGAGCTGAATAGCTAATATTTTAAATGATGTACCAGGGAAAGTTACACAAATTCTCAACTATAATTCAAGTGTTACTCCAATAAATAGCCTCATGAGACTAATTGCTTTAAGATACAAGAAAATAAAATTTAAGTCTACATATTAACTTCTCCTATGAACTTGTCTTTTGACATTTTAATGTGTCTAATTTTAATAGCAAATTTTAATTGCCTCACAAAGACCATTACTAGGTGTTCTGTCAAGCTATTTATCACAATCTTTTCCCCTAAACTGTGAACAAGGTTAATAACATAATATAAGAAAATTACAACCATTGATTAAATTAGCATTATATGTGATAGGTTCAATATGAATGCAATTTTAGAGTTTAAAAGAAGGCCCTAAACATTATATTATTGCTTGCATCCACAAAATATTGGGTGAATTATTTTGTCAGATGGAACGATCATGAAAGTTTTGATAACATTTTCCATAACTCATATTCATTCAACAAATTCCATGCACATTCATTGTACACCTAGTATGTGCTAGGAGAGACACAGTCGCTACTCTCAGAAAGTTGGGTGAACATGGGAGTTAATTAAATAGTACAACAATGTAAGAACAGAGATATATTAAAGTAATTTAAAAGGCTATGGAAGGATGATTAAAAGCTTCAGAACACTGGGTCTTGCAGGTTGAGAAAGAGTTTCCCAAGCAATTAGAGAAGCAAAAGCAGATGGAACACCATGCATCGAGACATGGATTTAAAAAGAGGTGGGTGGAAGGTGTTGGGAGGGGAGGGACTGGGTGCAGAGAGACACTGGTGATGAAGATGACATGTTCATCAGAACTGATGGCAGAGCCACAACTTGAGGACAAGTTTGCTGCATCCTTATCCCAGACCCCTGGGAGCTCTATCAGTTTCCTCAACTGTAAAGTAATGGTAAGAAGAGAATATTACATGATACTGCAATAAGGATTAAATATAATTAAAATACATACTGCCTAGTACCTAGCAAGCATTCACTAAATGTTAAGTAATTGATATTACTGGGTTATTCTATTCCTTATAGACCAAACTTAAAATTGAAAAACTTAAAAATCAAGGGAAAAAATTCTTTCAGAGAAAAATGGATAAAATTTAACATGAGAAAGACTGCATGCACACACACACACATACATATACACTCAGAAATTCATCTTTTTTGCCAAAAATGGGGGGGTTTTAAGACTTTAAAAAATATGAGAAGTCTCTCGGAACTTAGGTCTGTGGGAACTGTTGGCTGTTCAAATGATTTTCTGACTATTTTAAGTTAACTTTCCTCAAAATAGCAATTTCCTTAACATGCTAACTATTGAACTCTCTAAAGAAGAATATTGTGAGTGTGTCAGAATCTGGGAATGGGGAATGAGCTGTCTCTGTCTGCACACCCTCACCCCAACACACACACATATTCACATTCGTATTCTCTCTCTCCCTTCCCCCACCCCAATATTGATATTTTCTTACAGGATGACTCCCTAAGAAAGACAAGACAGACAACATCATACAGAAGAACCCGTGTACTTTAGCATTCCTTTCTTCTCCTGTATCCAAAAGAAAAATTATTAAAGAATGAGTATAACGTTGAGGCATAAATTTTAAAAATATAACCAGTTTCAAACTAAGGTAAACTACTCAAGGTAATAGCCAATCATGATAAGACCCCAGAGAATACTCCCAAAAATATTTAAAAACAAAAAAAATTAAATACTTTATTTTGTATAAATATTCCTCACTTGCAATAATATCAGTCCCATAAAGCGTTAACTTCAAAAGCTAAATATTTGCTTTTTACATATTATCAACTCTCTTAATCTTAAATCATTAGCATCTCAAAAGAAGAAACAAGAAAAAAACCTTAGTTTACACTGAACTCACTGTGACCAATTAATTAATGTTGTGGAAAAAAAAAAAAACAACTAAAGCCAGGAAATTATCAGCTGAGTTTCAACATGATTTAAACTTACATGGTTTTAAAAGGCAAATCAAAATGAATTAGGGATAGTTACAACACTAAATTTCCTGAACTGTCCATTCCTATCACAGACTTCAATGTGCCATTTAGCCATTGTTTGATCTCTTAAATGTCCTTGGTTTCTTCTAAGGGAAGTAGTTAAAATACCACGTTTAGTAAAAGTCATACATACAAATATACCAAAATATTCATCTTAATATACAAATGCAATCATGTTATCAACCCACTCAAAAACTTCCAAGATACTCCAGTACCTCCAGAATTAAGTATAAATTCATAAACAAGATATCCAAAAGAACTCCTCAGTGTATGTCTGCTAAATGAACATAGTACTCCCTCTCACCCAGCCCCATCAGCCAAATACTCCAAGTAAAATAACCCTGCCCTAAATGTCCTTATATCTTAAGTCCTTAAAGATGTTTATTTTCTTTTCATTATCTAGCTCATAGCATTGAGCACAGTCTCTTATATGTTAGTGCTCCAAAAATATCTGTTTAACTAAACTGAACCATCATAAAAGCAAGAAACTATGTTAAACTGTAGTTCTAGATTAGCAATATGTCAATTACCATCAAGAGGACCAAAATGTTTGAAAGTATCACCATATTCACATGACAATTCCATAAGAACTGCCATTATGTTTTATTCACCATGCCTCTCCATCCCTGATAGTCCCTCGCATCCACTAGAACCAAAAGTATTTACTGAATGAATGAATAGCATCAAAGTAAAAATAATATAAGGTGAAAGTCCTGAAATAATTAGTTTTGGTATGTGACACTTAAGAGACTGTGATTCAAAATTATTACAGAGTTTAGTATCCATCTTGGTATTACAGAGTTAGAACTAAGTCAAAAGACTAAGTACTCATTGTATGCCTAACACTAGAAACACTAAGATCTGTTAAGAAGAGAGGGGAAAGGTTAAGGTTAAATCTGCTCTTAAAAAAATAAAATAAAGAGATAAAGCCTACTGGAAAGACAATATAAAAAATATAGGAAATAAAGGAAGCATGGCTGAGAACTCTACAAGGAAAATATACAAATTAGGAGAAAAATCATTCAACCACAAAGAATAAATTGTGGAAGCCCAAAGTGGACACCAAAGGAGCAGAATGATCCTTAGATCCCTTAGTATTTCATAAAACTCTGACTTCAAAAGCATACTCAGATTAAACTTAAAGCTCTAGTAATTATTAGAGCCTGGGTACAAAGTCTTTTTCTTTTCAATACAAAACAAGAGATTATTATCAGCAGGCAAAGTACCAAAAAGGGGCACTAATTAGGATACTCCCTGACTGTTCCCTGTTTCCAAAGCAGGATGGTATATCATAAAACAACAAATTGAACAAATATGGAAAGAGTATCAAATGTAGATATAGTACCAATAAGTAGTGGAAAGGGCAGTGATTTTTGATTCAGAAACACAAGATGATAAGGTTTTGAATTCTGGCTTTCACAGACACATCCTAAATATGTGACTTGGGTACTTTGTTTAATTTCATCCAGTTGGTATCTTCAAATGCAAAATAAGCCTTATTATAACCTCTATACCGCAATGGGTTGCTAGAAAGACTAAAGGAGGGGAGGAGGGAACCTGTATTAACTACCTGGTACAGTACATAGAACATGGTAGGAATGTATGGCAATCTTAAACCAAAATTTAGCATGCTTTAAAAAAAGTATCAAGCCAACTTCCCCCAGCACCCATACTTATTTATACCTTGGATATCAGATAATTTAGTTATTAAGTCTCACTCTTTACATACCAAAGGATAGAAAAGATCCCAGAGGAAGGTTAGGAAAAAATGTGCCAGGAAGTTGGAAATGGTTCAATTCAGAAATGTCAATTTTTATTTGCTAAAGTACTCAGTAAAACAGTGATTCCCAGGCTCATGAATTTCATTCACCTGTAACATTTCAGAAACTACTGGAGAACATCGTAGGGTTGTCAGCCTTGTGAAAAGCCCATCAGGATGTTTGTTTGTTTATTTGTTTGTTTGTTTTTTGAGATGGAGTCTCACTCTGTCACCCAGGCTGGAGTGCAGTGGCACAATCTCGGCTCACTGCAACCTCTACCTCCCGGGTTCAGGCAATTCTCCTGCCTCAGCCTCCTGAGTAGCTGGGACTGCAGCCATGTGGCACCACTTCTGGCTAATTTTTGTATTTTTTATTAGAGACAGGGTTTCATCATGTTGGTTGGCCAGGTTGGTCTTGAACCTCCTGACCTCAGGTGATCTGCCCGCCTCAGCTTCCCAAAGTGCTGAGATTACAGGTGTGAGCCACTCCGCCTGGCCCCAGTCAGGAAATTTTTTAAAGAAATAGATTATAATCACCAATATTCTCTTAAAAGACAATACTAATACAAATAAGTAGGAAGTAAAAAATGTCATCACTAAGTGTAGTCCTCTAACTGAATAAATTTTAGCTTTAACTTACTTACATTAGCTCTTTTTCGTCCATTATCTTAAGACCATCCAAAACTTTAACATAGGATAGTAATTGAGAACCTCTGTTACAACTCAGCATTAACCATTTTTAAGGAACTTGGGAACAACTATTATAAAGAACTCAGAAAACAAACACAAAAAGTTTTTCTCTTCCAGGAACAAAAGAAAAACTGGTTCCTATTCAGGCCTAGGTGAGGAAACAGACATTTTCCATAAATATTCTGACTTGTTAAAATCTCACTACTCTAAGAGTTCTGGAATCAAAAAGTGAGACAAAGGCTCCCTCTGCTGACAAGTAGGCAGTACGATCCCATTAAAAATCTTCCCAATATTAATTGGATACTGCATAGGCTTTTACTATTCTCTATCAAAGACTGGCTTTATTTTATGCCTTAAAACAGGAATTCAGCTGCATCAGATATGAATGTGAAGGACATGTGTAACTATGTAACACTCCTTGTGTATTCCAATAGATATTTCTAAATCAGCTTTCAAAATTCTTGGTTTCTGCTCTATGCTCTAAAAGTTAACTGAGCTCCAATGTCATACAAGGAGGAAATTAAACAAGGAAGGCTAAAGAATTGAGACAGGTTTTAAGAGGGTTTGAGGAACAACGGTAGCAATCTATGAATACATTGATGACCTTTTCTAACAGAAGTCCAATGAAATTAACAGAACCAAATGAAAGACTTCCGAATTAACAGTAATAGCCATTTACAACGTGGTCCATACATTATTAGCACATCCAACTATTCTATAACTTGGGAACGTCAAGAATTATTGTCCTCATTTACTGTGGAGAGACCTAAGGCTCAAGAAAGTTCAAATGATTTATTAAAGGACACACAGCTGGTAAGTAGCAGGGCCAGAACTCAACACTACGTCTTCTAACCTTCCTACTGTTTCTCCAACTGAATGTTATGCATAGTGTAGGTACCTAATGACATAATTTCTAAATTCCTTTCTGATTCCAAATTTAACATGGTCTATCATTACCATAGCATTTTATATGCTTATAAGTAACATCTAATTTAAATATAAAATGTTAAATATTTCACTTTAGCAGACAAAACTTGATGCTGAATTCTTTGTTAATTGCTTGCAAATGTAAATAAAATCAAACAATAAGTAGGGGACAAGTAGAGGAGGAGAATAGCATATAAGACCCTGATTCTCAGACTAAAATTACTGTATAAAATGTTTGTTCAAAGCAGTACTTTTAAGTACATCAATATGCTGCAAAAAAAAAGTAAATAAAATTTAGAAGCTAAAAACTAAGTAAAAGTGTGAACCCCATAAAGGTAAAAAGAGCTGTTGGGCATTTTCCTAAATCAGACAACCATAAGCTTCAGTTTTCCTGCTCTCAAATGAGATACAGTAAAGGAGAAAAAACTTGTGGACCACCTTTTGTGGAGAATCTAGTAGATCCTCATATTGACTTTATCTCCCCAGTACAAAGCAAAGACCACAAAGAGCTCTACCTCTACTGTAAGGAGAACTTGTAAATAGCATTCCCCCTCAAGCCCAGGAGAAAGCAAAATAAAGTACACATCTCAAAACCTGGAACCAGATGAAGGAAAAAAAAATCTATCCTAGGAATTCATAAACCCCAAACTGATTTTAATGTGGGTTTGCAGACTAAATTCATTCTATTGGACGACCCAAGAAACCTCAGTCTGTGATTTTAGTATAAAGTGATACTGGGTTGGAAGTACCACCAAACATCTGACAAAAGATTACTCAAATCTTTGAAGAAAGACACCAATCATTCCCATTGATAATGTTCAAAAGAATATGACCTCAAAGTCAAAGTTACAATACACAAAAAATTGAAGGTAACATGACCAAGAAACAGCAAAAATAATAGAGAATGAGATGAAAACTGCAAAGACTTCGTGTACTGAAATTGACAGAAAATATAAAAATATTACACTTTCTGTTTAAGGAAATAAAAGCAGGTATTAAAAATGATTAAGAGACCTTATCAATGACCAAGCGAAATTTTTAAAAGAACAGAAATTTGAGAAATAAAAAATATAATAATTAAGAGTGAACAAAGTTAACAAAACTCTAAGAGCAGTTTTAATAAGAATTTGTAACTAAATAGCAGTGATTTAGAAAGCAAAACAAATAAATCTAAAAAAATCCAAGATGCATCAAAATACTAGAGATGAATGGAAAATACATGTGAAGTTAAGAGACATAAAGAATAGCATAAGATTGTCTAACTTATATCTAACTGGATTTTCACAGGTACATAATAGAGAAAATATGGAAAAAGCAACATTCAAAGAAATAATGGCTGAGAATTATCCAGAACTGTTGAAAGTCACCAATGCTAATCCAGTTTTAAGTCCAATAAATCCCAAGTGGGATAAATAAAAATAAATCATCCCTTAGATACCTGATAAGAAACTGCAGAAGCACAGAGAATGTCTCAAAAGCAAATAGAAAAAGACTGAAACCTAACTTCTTTCTATCAATGGAAGCCAGAGTAGAGTGGAATGTTATATATTGTGTAGGAAAAATAACTATCAACATAGCTTTGCCTACCTAGTCTTCTCCTTGCCCTCCCCTCCAAAAAATGTTTTAAAGTAATAAAACAAAGATTTCATTCACAATAGCCACCAAGCAATTAGGTTCCTAACACACTAACGCTAGGTCAACTTCGAGATCTTGACTTGCTCAGGAAGGCTACATTAAGTAAGGTCAAATTAAGTAATATACCCCTAAGATACACCCTTATTAACATGGTATCTTTTCCCTCGTAATGGTTGTGATTTGACACCTATTGCTATCTACTTAATCATTATCTACTTAATGTTTATCTCCCTCCCCAAACTTAAAGAAGCCACAGACCTCGATTTTGTATCCATAGTGCCTACCAGGGTGCTGGCACATAAATGGAAGAAAAGAAGGAAGTGAGCAAGTGGGGTGGGAAGGAAAGAGACAGAGAAGATCTAACCAACCAAAAAACTAATACAGGTAAAACGTAAAATTTTTTTACTGAAAGACATAAAAGAATATCTAAATAAATAAGATATACTGTGTTCCTGGATGGGAAAAATTGTATCACAAACATGCCAGTTATGCATTACAATAATTTATAGATTTAATGCAATGCCAAATAATATTCTAAAACAATTTTTTTCATGGAACTCAATAAACTATCTTTTAAAGTTCAAGGGGGAAGTGAAAAGGAGCAAAAATAACATAGAAATTTTTTGAAGAACAATGGGTGGGCCCAGTGGCACACGCCTGTAATCCCAGAACTTTAGGAGGTCAAGGTGGGAGAATTGCTTGAGCCAAGTTCAAGGCCATCCTGGGAAACACAGCAAGACCTCATCTCTACAAAATAAAAAAATTAGCCAGGCATGGTGGCGCCTGCCTGTTGTCCCAGCTACTCAGGAAGCTAAGGTGCGAGGATCAGTTGAGCCCAGGACGTCAAAACTACAGTGAGCCATGATCATGGCACTGCACTCCACTATGGGTGACATAGCAAGATCCTGTCTCAAAAAAAAAAAAAAAGAACAATGAAGAATGATTAGCCCTCCTACACAGCAAAACATACTGTACATTAATATTTTTATATGGTATGGCATTCATTATAGATAAACTACAGACAAATAAGTCAAAGGAAATAAATAGTCTAAAAACAAATTAATGACTATGGGAATTTAGCATATGAGAAAAGAATATTCATAAAAGGTGCCTGGACAACTGGATAAATGTTTGGGGGGAAAACTGGAGCCCTACTGTAAACCAAATCTTTAAAAAATACTTTTTTAAGACAGGGTCTTGCTCTGTCACCCAGACTGGAGTACGGTGGCACAATCACTGCAGCCTCAAACTCCTGGACTCATGGGATCCTCCTACCTCAGCCTCTGAAGCAGCTGAGACTACAGGTGTGCAGCACCACCATGCCTGGCTAATTTTTTATATTTTTTTAGAGATGGGGTCTACATTGCTCAGGCTGGTCTTGAATTCCTGGCCTCAAGCAATCCACCTGCCTCAGACAACCAAAGCACTGGGATTATAGATGTGGGCCACCATGCCTAGTCCATATCTAAAAATAAATTTAAGAAAAGACATTAAATATTTTAGAATGTTAGTATAGGAAAGGTCTTAATGAGAATACAAAGATCAGAAGCCATAACAAAAGATTAAAATATTTGATATCATAAAAAATTAAAACATCTGTATGATTAGGCAAAGTTGGGGCATGGTGGCACGTGCCTGTAATCCCAGCTACTTGGGAGACTGAGGCAGGAGAATCGCTTGAACCAGGGAATCAGAGGTTGCAGTGAGCCGAGATTGCACCACTGCACTCCAGCCTGGTGACAGAGCAAGACTCTGTCTCAAAAAAAAAAAGTTAAAAAGATAACCCACCACTCATAGGCTGTGTGTTCATGGGCAGATTGCTTAATCTTGCAAATCTTAAATTTTCTCATGCCTAAAAGGAGAATGATCACCTATTTTACAGGGTTGTTTTAAGGATTAAATGAGAAAGTTTAGTTTAAATCCTTAGCGTAGTCGTAGGTAGTAGCACCAAGTAAGTCCCCAATATATTTTTTATTATTATTATAAATTATGCAAATATAAGAAGATGTCACTTTTGCCTGATGAAGATTAGGAACTTTTAAAAACTTTCAAAAAATGATACTACCTGGTATTGGCACAGATATTACACACAGCTAATGAAAACATAAATTAAGCCCATCTCTGTGACATAAGACAATTTAAAGTATGCGTCAAAAGCTTTTTGTCCCAATTATCCAGTCCTGGGATTTGATTCTAAAGAAATATCAGAAATGAACACTCATGGAGATTCAAATACTGGTAATTTATAACCACAGTATTTTTTAAGCAAAATATTAGAAACAATTCCACTAATAGGGGTATACCACAGAATTCTTTACGACCATTTAGATTTATATTGCAATAGAATAATTATTGACTTGGGGAAATGCTCACAATATTTTTAAGTGAGAAAAGGACTTTAAATTAATAAATACAATATGAATCCACTTTTACTGCATATAAATTCACAGTAAAAAGGCTAAAAAAAATCCTAAAATACTCATTTGGTTAAAGCTCTCAGTGGCAAAAATAGAAAATACTTTTTCCCTCTTAATGCAAACTTCATATGAAGTTTTCTACAATGAGCATGTTACTTAAGTTAAAATAAAAACAAGGGTCGGTCATGTTGTCTCACACCTGTAATCTCAGCACTTTTGGAGGCTGAAGCGGGCAGATAACCTGAGGTTGGGAGTTCGAGACCAGCCTGACCAACATGGAGAAACCCTGTCTCTACTAAAAAAAATACAAAAATTAGCCAGGCGTGGTGGCCCATGCCTATAATCCCAGCTACTCAGGAGGCTGAGGCAGGAGAATTGCTTGAAACTAGGAGGTGGAGGTTGCAGTGAGCTAAGATCGCGCCATTGCACTCCAGCCTGGACAGCAAGAGCGAAACTCCGTCTCAAAAAAAAAAAGACCTTTGAGGAATCACACTCCCCACTATTCCTGAAGTTCAGGCCCCACCAATGACTGACTCTGCCATGGGACATGATGATCAAAGTTTGGGCACACATTTTTTAAAATCACATGTTCAAACATGTATATTGAACCTTGGCAAGAAGGCAAATGTGTTAGAAGACTTTTAGCAAAAATGGTGACCTAAATATTGGCGGATTTATATCCCTCTTTCCAAAAGCACTTAGATAATAAGCAGTCAGTCTGAAAAGACTATTGTTATTTAATGGAGCAAACAATGTCCACTGTATATGAAATGGCTCTCTATTCTTGAGGATGAGGGAGGAGAGGAAGAGAAGAGAGGACAGAAAGAGCAGGCTTTCACCTCATCAGAAAGCAGTTGACACAATTTCTATCCACTGAAATTTGTCATCTGAACCATCAAAAAACCAGACTTCTACTGATCTTGATTGTCACAAGAGTAAAAGTTTGAATAAGCATCCATTACTGAGAAGCATACCTAGAGCTGATAACTCCTGAATCTTTATCAATTTATTTTCATAGAGTGAAAAGTCAGTGAAAATCTTCCATTAGCCAAATGGGCTTTCAGTGAGAAGGTTAATTTAAATGGTTGTTGAAGAAGGTACTAGATGAATGTGGTAATCCTGAAGTGAGGAACCTCTTCCTCTGAGCTTATTTGATCAAGCTCTCTGCAAACTTTCTAGAATATTTAGCCAACTGCCTCTATTTTCCACCACAAGATCAACACATACCACTACTCTTAAGTGAAATTAAATGTAAATGCTAAAATGTATGTCACAGACAGATCAAGAGGATACACACCCATGGGCTTTACTGTAAAGGCATATACTAAGGCAGAGTGAGCCACTGCAAAAACACACTGTCCATAATTGAAATTTTAGAAGCAATCTCAATGACTAAATAATGAAATATCCAAATATAGAATTGTACATAGCTCAAAGAAGAACAAAAGTCTGTGTGTTTGGACATGAAAAGATGTCCGTGTAACTGAAATGAGGAAGTTACAAGCTAATATACAGAGTGACCTCATTTATGTAAAACAACATAAAACAGAACCAAATATGTTTATAAACGCATTGAACATTGTATCCAACTGCAAGGTTGCTCACTATTTTATTTACCTTGGCACAAGAGTGAGATTTCATCTGCAGAAGGGAAATGAAAAGGAACTTTTCAGTTTTGGTTTAATAAAAATGTATTCATTTTATATTTTTAATATATAAAGAATTACAAATAAGTTCAATGATTTATAAATATAAAAACTATTGAAAGCATTAGATATACATCAACAGATGACTGATTAAATTAATTATAATGTGTATGCATGTGTAAAACACAAATTGTACGTCATTAAAAATGATGAGGTAAAAGGGTACAAAGTTTCAATTAGACTGGAGGAGTAAGTTTTAATGATCTATTGTACTGCGCAGTGACCACAGTTAATAATAATGTAATGTATATTTCAAAATTGCTAAAAGAACAGATTTTTAATGTTCTCACCACACAAAAAAAATAAGTTGATAAGGTGAAGGATATGTTAATTAGCTTCATTTAATCTTTCTACAATGTATACATAGATCAAAATATTACATTGTACCCCATTAATATATAAAATTGTCAATTAAAATACATTAAAAACAATAACAATCCTACTAGCACATATTATAATGTGTTGTATAAATATTTATAAATTATGTATTTTTTAAATGATGAGGTAGATTTATATATATTGCCATAGAAAGACAGGCATAGTATATTGTAAGGGGAAAAGCTTATAATGGACAGTATAACCCATTTTGTTTAAAGTATGTATGTGTATATAAATAAATATATAAAATTCTGAATTAGCAATCACAATTAGTCATAAAATTTAACAACATCCACAGTCGTAATTGTTTTGTATTCATTTAACTGTATTCTCTAATTTTTTTTTCTTTTTTTTTTTTTTTGAGATGGAGTATCACTCTGTCACCCAGGCTGGAGTAAAATGGTACAATCTCGGCTCACTGCAGCCTCTGCCTCCTGGGTTCAAGCAATTCTCCTGCCTCAGCCTCCTGAGTAGCTGGGATTGCAGGTATGTGCCATCACACCCAGCTAATTTTGTATTTTTAGTAGAGATGGGGTTTCTCCATGTTGGTCAGGATGGTCTTGAACTCCCAACCTCAGGTGATCACCTGCCTCAGCCCCCCAAAGTGCTGGGATTACAGGCATGAACCACCATGCCCGACCTTGTATTCTCTAATTTATAAACAATACAGTAGTGGTGTAATAAGGAAAAATACTTCTTAAAGTAGTTTCATTACTTTCATTTTCGTTACTCAAAAAGAGCTATATATCTAAAGTCAAGAATAAATAAATGCTAAGCCAGTTTCTTGTCAGACAAAGTGAAAAGTAAAAAGATTGTTTACATAATTTTAAAAATATATAAAATTTGGGAGAAAATAAACAAGCATTTCTGGTAAAGGTGATTAAGAGTCTGGAATCAACTCTACTTTTCCCCTTCACTTCTGGTATATGTATCCACTACCTCAGTGACTTTGAATCTTTAGTGCATACATATTTCCATCTTCAGTCATGTGGATCACTTTAAAAGTCCAGTTGATTTTGTCAAGGACAAAAAAGTGGCCAGTAAAGGCACAAACTTAATTTGATGTTATTCCAACAGAAGCTGCTACATTTTAATGCATCTTTATAAAACCCATAAAACAAGCACTATAATGAAAAAGAATGCCACAAAACTACTAACATGATGACTTTTAGCCTTTTTAGTGCACAATGGGCAGTCAACAGCTTTTTTTAATTCTGAGGCCCAAATGTACTATAAGGTTTATAAAAGAAAACTCTACTCCCAAGTTCAAAATTCTCATTGCTTAAAAGTAGTAATAAATTCCCTAGTAAAACATTGGATTCTGGTTTTAATTAGAAGTAAATATGCTAAGATTGCCACCTCCTGCTCAAGAAAAAGGCAAGTCCTTCATGACCTATGTCAGGTGGACTTTCAAAAGACCTCAGATCTGAATCCTGTCATAAAAAAAGAAAGAGGAAGGGGAATAGAAGAATATATATTTTCATGTGTAAACATAAATGATGCCACTTAAACTATTCAATGCTACCAAATGCAAAATTCTCACTCCTAAAAATCATTAAACATATTCTTTCTTTGGGTCCATGTCCTCAGATAACCAATAGAATCCCTTACTTAATGGCATTTTCACATTTAAAAGTCAGTAAGCACTTCCTCCAATAAAATGCTAAAATATACTTGTCACATATTAAATTCAAAACCAAAATATATCATCAATGCCAAATTAAAGGAGAAAAAATGATTATATTATAAAACCACTACTTTTACTACCTTCCATTCAAACAAATTTCTATGATGAAACAATGAATGTTGAAAAAAATCAGTATTTCCCAAGAACTTTTTCTCCATTCCCTTGAGACTGCCATTATGCCATTCAAACCTTAAAATGTTCAGATGTTTTTACCCGTGTCTGTATATATTCAAATATTCATATATACACACATATACATATATGTGCATGTATATAAATGTATGTGTGTGTGTGTGTGTGGATAGATGGAGGGATGGAGATAGATAAAAAGATATAGATATATAGATAGATATCTATATATGATAGATGATAAATAGATTTCAAGGGGGACAAAGTTTCAGCTATGCAAGATGAATAGCTTCTGAAGATCTAATGTAAAACAATGTGAATATATTTAAAAATATTGTATTGTACATAGTTGCTAAGAGGGTAAATCTTAAATACTCTCACAAAAATAGGAAGGGAAGGAAAAAATGCTAACTATATGAGGTAATGGAACGTTAATTGCTTGATTGTGGTGAATATTTTATAATGCATGCATATATCAAATCATCAAGTTGTAAACCTTAAAAATATACAATTTTTAATTGTCAACTATACCTCAATAGCTGGGGGAAAAAATTATAGCAGTCTCCCCTATCCACAGAGAATACATTCCAAGACCCCCAGTGGATGCCTGAAACCTTAGTACCAAACCCTATACACACACTGTTTTTTCCTATACATACATACATATGATAAAGATTAATTTATAAATTAGACATAGTAATCTTGCACTTTGGGGCCATTATTCAGTAAAATTAGGGTTAATTGAACACAAACACTGTGATCACCACCACAGTCGATGTGATCATTGAGAAGGCTACTAAGTGACAAACAGGAGATTAGTGTCTACAGGGTGGATATGTGGGACAAAAAGATGGTTTGCATCCTGGGTGGGACAGACATCAGCCAGAATGAAGAGCAATTTAAAACTTACGAATTGTTTATTTCTGGATTTTTCAATTTAATATTTCTGGGCTACAGCTGACCTCAGGTAACTCAAACCACGGAAAGTGAAACTGTGGATATGAGGGGACTACTGTAAATAGAAGCACGTGCTGGCACCTGGCACAGTCCCAGTCATATAACCTATAGTCAAAAAAAGGTTTGTTTTTCTTAGCTTTTGGAAAGAAATAGAAATTTCAAAGTTAAAAGCCTTTATCAAAAGACATCTTTAACACAACAAAAAGATATAGCATCAGCAGTTGTTTGATTTTTCCTTCTTAAATCAAATACACTCTTCATCTATGATAGCTGAACAGCTGATTACTGTCTTCTTATTTTGGGATGCCAGTTATACGATACCAGTAGCTTTTATAAGAAAAAAAATGCTTGATATGACAGAAAACATAGTGTATGAAATACAATGTCCTTCCTCCTTATAGAAAGTTCATATCCTTTAATAAGTATCACACAAAATAAAATCAGCTATTTGTCAATAAACCTCTAATGATTCCAAAAATAAACTCAGCAAAAAGTTAATAATGAAAAGCTTCCCTCTTCTAGGTAAAATGATACTAGACAGATTATTTGTAGTTTATAAAAAAACTTTTTGTGACCTTGTGACATTTTATTAACTCCTTGAAATCATTCAAAATTGCAATGGTACATTCTAAGAGAAAATAAAAACCAAACAAAAAGAGAAAAAACAAAAACAAAACAAAAAGAGAGAATAAAAACAAAAATAAATTAACACTTTCGCATCACCAATAGCCACCCAAACAATGGGTGCCAAGATTCAGATCTAACCTTGAAGATTACTTCAGCTTTCCAGGAATGGCTCATTTCTCAACCCCCCCTATTTCTTCAATAGATAGCATGCATCATTCTGAGAAATTTCTAATTGTTAAACTCTGCTAAAGGCTTAAGTCAAAGAACAAATGCTTCTTGTTACAAAACTCAACAATTGTAATAGAATTATGGGTTTAACATATAAAGTCCTGAAACCATTTTCTAAACAGATGAATTGTTTGAGAGTTACGACTTTCCTTAAATTTGCCTACACCAAAACACATGTTGTTTCAATTATATAGCAAAGACTATGGCTTCTGTTCAAACCTAGATTTTATTGTTTATAAAATTAGAAACAGATACACATACATATAGATATATACACACACATATACAAGCACATACACCTAGGCCATATATTATACATGAACAGTTGAAAGGTTTAATGTGTTATGTAAGAAGTTACTTTACACACATATGAGGAAGTTAGTATTAATCTCACAAATGGATAATTCATTCATAAACAACCCTTTTTATCTCAGAGATATCCTTGTACATGTTATCACAATTATTTATACAATTCAGACAAACCTAAGGAAGTAAAAATAATGATGAGCTCTAGCATCTTTATTTTCTTAAAAAAAATGAAGAACTGTTTAAAATCACAGTTTACCATTTTAACCCAGGAAGGGAGGATTTAATTACAATCTACAAAGTCTCTAAGTGTTCACCAAAACCACACTACATTTTTCAACAGTACTTGACTTAAAAGTACATGTATTTCTATTTATATCTAAACTTTAGTATTAAAGGTGATTTTAATTTTCTTCTTAATAAGTTTCTGCATTTTTCCAAATTTTCTTAAAATTATTAATAGATTACCTGTATAATTTTTAAAATGATATAACTTTAGAGCAAGAATTAAAACATCTGACTATGATAACTAAATCAGAAAGATTGGTATTGCTATAATAGTCACTTCCTCAAAATAAAATGTATAATAGTACCAAAGAACTAATCCATTAATTTATGACTTCTCATGGTTTGTTCAAAAGGGACATATATTAAATTCTAATTCAGATCTAACAGTTGTAACAAGAGAAGAAAAGAGGAGTATAAGTTATACTTGCAATGCAGTCCTTAATTTTTGTTAATATTCATCCTATAATGTTGAGCAGTAGGGGTGATTTTGTCCCCCAGTGGTTGTCACACTGGATGGGGGAGCAGAGGGGTACTACTGGCATCTAGTGGGTAGAGGCCAGTGATGCTTCTATTTATCCCATAATGGCATATAGGACATCCTCCACAACAAAGAATTACCTAGACCAAAATGTCAACAGCGTCAAGGGTAGTAAAACCCTGATGTAGAGAAAGAAACTCTTATGTTTCAATTATAAATCAAACCCTGAAAACAAAGAATTCTAATTCAAAAAGTCATTCCTGTCTATTTCTTTTGAAGGATACTCTAATTCGGATTTCCCAAGCATCTAAATTACCTACTTCTTTAAAATAGTTTTAAAAATAAAGGGTCCAAAATCCAAATGACACTCTTCACAGAAATAGGAAAAAAATCCCAAAGTTTATATGGAACCATAAAAGTTTATATGGAACCAAATAGCTAAAAAAAATTCTGAGAATGAAAAACAAAGTTGGAGGCACCACACTCTCTGACTTAAAATTATATTACAAAGCCATAGCAATCAAAACAATATGGTCCTGGCAAAAAAAAAAAAAAAAAGACACATAGGCCAGAGGAACAGAATAAAGAGCTAAGAAATAAACCCAAATTAATACAGTCTACCAACAGCACCAAGAGGATACAATAAGTAAATAAAGAACAGTCTCTTCAACAACTGTTGCTGGAGCCAGGCACAGTGGCACATGCCTGTAGTCCTAGCTACTCAGGAGGCTGAGGAAGGAGGATCACATGACCTCAGGAGTTCATGGCCAACCTGGGCAACATAGTGAGACCCCATCTCAAAAAAAAAGGGTGACAGAAAAACAGAATTCCCACAAGCTAAAGAAGGAAATTGGGTTCATCTTACACTATACACAAAAATCAATCCAAAATGGATAAAAGAATAGATATCGGCACAGATGTGGTGAAAAGGGAACACTTGTACTCTGCTGGTGGGAATATAAATTAGTACGACTTCTATGGAAAACAATATGAAGATCTCTCAAAGAACTAAAAGCAGATATACCATAAGACCCAGCAATCCCACTATCCTGGGTATCTACCCGAAGGAAAATAAGTCATTACATAAAAAACACACCTGCATGCATATGTTTATTGCAGCACAATTCACAGTTGTAAAGATATGGAATCAACCTAAGTCCCTATCAATTAATGAGTGGATAAAGAAAATGTGCTATATATACATCATAGAATACTACTCAGTCATAAAGAACAAAATAATGTCTTTTGCAGCAACTTCATTGGAAATGGAGGCCATTATCCTTAGTGAAGTAACTCAGGAACAGAAAACCAAATACCACAAGTTCTCACTTATAAGTGGGAGTTAACCCACGGGAACACAAAGGTGTACAGAGTGGTACACTAGACATTGCAGACTCAGAAGCAGGCAGGGCGGAAGGGAGGTGAAGGATGAAAAACTACCTGTTGGGTGCAATGTGCACTATTTGGGTAAAGGGTACACTAAAATCCTAAACTTCACTACTCGCTATACAATTCATCCATGTAAGCAAAAACACTTATACCTCTAAAGTTATTGAAAATTTTTTTTAAAAAATGTAATGGATAAAAGACCTAAATATAAGACCAGGAACTATAAAACTTCTCTAAGAGAACACAGTGGGAAAGCTCCTGGACATTGGCCTTGGCAATGATTTCTTGGAAATCACACCAAAAGAGAAGGCCACAAAAGCAAAAATAAATAAATCAGACTACAGTCAAACTAAAAAGCTTCTATACAGCAAAGGAAACAATCAACGAAATGGTAGCCTACAGGCTGGGAAAAATATTTACAAACCATATATCTCACAAGGAGTGAATATCCAAAATTTATAAAGAACTTATACAATTCAATAGTATCAAAACAATCTGATTTTTAAATGGGCAAAAGACATAAATAGACATTTCTCCAAAGAAGACATACAAATGGCCAAGACGTATATGATAAGGTGCTCAACATCATTAATCATCAGGGAACTGCAAATCAAAACCACTATGAGATAGTTCCTCACACCCGTTAGATGGCTATTATCAAAAAGGCAAAAAACAACAAATGTTGGCAGTGGTGTAGAGAAAGGGGAACTCTTGTATACCGTTGGTGGAAATGTAAATTGATATAGCCATTATGGAAAATAGGATGGAGGTTTCCAAAAAAATTAAAAATAGAATGATCACATGACCCAGAAATCCCTTTTCGGGGCATATACCCAAATGAAATGAAATCACCATCTTGCAAAGACATTTGCACTTCCATGTTTATTGCGGCATTATTCACAATAGCCATGATATGGAAACAACATAAGTGTGCATCAGTGGACAAATGGATAAAGAAACTGTGGTATATAGTTATAATGGAATATTATTATTGTATTACTATAAATATTTGTTATCTAAGAAAGAATGGGATCTTGCCATTTGCCACAACATGGATCAACATGGAGGATATTATGCAAAAGGAAATAAGCCAGACACAGAAAAAAATACATTGCATGTTCTCACTTATATGCAGAATGTAAAAAAAGCAAAACAAAACAAAACTCCAATACATAGAACAAAACAGTGGTTTCCAGGGGCAGATGGCAGGGGGAGAAAATGGGGAGACAGAATACACAATTAGAAATTAGAAGTATACAAGGATATGAAGTCAGAGTATAAAAAGTAGCAGATATGTACAATAAACAGGTCTAGAGAACTAATGTAAAACATGAAGACTATAGATAATAAAATTATATTGTATTTGGGATTTATGCTAAATGAGTAGATTTTAGCTGCTCTTGCCACAGAAATGAAAGAAAAATGGGTAACTAAGTGAGATGATGGATATGTTAATTTGTTTCACTATAGTAATCTTTTTAATACCTATATGTAACTCATAAATCATGTTGTATACCTTAAATATACATAATAAAATTTACTTTTGAAAGTTAAAATAAATAAAGCCTAAGTCTTCATCCTCAATTTTAATTCTCTGTTTTCATTTCCCTCTGTACATCTCAAAAACAAATTATAACTTCATGTCAGGAGATATAAAAATACAGCTGACCCTTGAACAACAACTGTTTGAACTGTGTGGGTCCCCTTATACGTGGAGTTTCTTCCACCTCTGCCACCCCTGAGACAGCAAAATTGGGGTTACCTGAAGAGGGGTCACCTCCTCTTTCTCCTCCTCCCCAGCCTATTCAACGTGAAGATGACAAAGATGAAGACCTGTATAATAACCCACTTAGACTCAATGAACTGTAAATATATTTTCCCTTCCTTATGATTTTCTTAATAACTTTTTTACTATAGCTGACTTTACTGTAAGAATACCATATAAAACACAAATAACATAGAAAATATGTGTTAATCAACTGTTTATGTTATCAGTAAGGCAACAGTAGGCTAATAATAGTTAATTTTCGGGGGAGTCAAAAGTTATACGTGGATATTTGACTTAAAGGAGGGGTCAGCATCCCTAACCCCCACACTGTTCAATGGTCAACTGTATAGAGAAAGTTATTCCTCTTCCTTTTGTGACTAAATCTTCTGGAAGAAAGAAAATGAAAAGGTTTCTGAATTTGAATAAAAGAAAATATAATCTAGCTGTTAAGGATTTTTATTTCAAATTAATATTTATTTTATTTTTAATTGCTTCAACTAAATAAATATTGAAGGATTTAAGGGCAAACGACATGAATAGACAATTCTCAAAAAAGGATATACAAACAGTCAACAAACATGAAAAAATGCTCAACATCACTGATTATCAGGGAAATGCAAATTAAAACCACAATGAGATATAGCACCTTATTTCTACAAGAATGACCACAATTAAAAAGCCAAAAAATAATAGATATTGGCATGGATGTGGTGAAAAAGAAACACTTTTACACTGCTGGTGAGAATGTAAATTAGTACAACCACTATGGAAAACAGTATGGAAATTCTTTAAAGAACTAAAAGTAGAACTACCATTCAATCCAGTAATGCCACTACTGGATATCTACCCAAAGGAAAAGAAGTCATTATATGAAAAAGACACATGTGCACACATGGTCATAAACATGTGTGTTTATATCAGCAATGCAATTCACAATTGCAAAGATATAGAATCAGCCTAAGTGCCCATTAACCAACAAGTAGATAAAGAAAATATGGTATATATACACCATGGAGTACTACTGAGCCATAAAAAGGAACAAAATAATGTCTTTTGCAGCAACTTGGATGGAGCTGGAGGCCATTATTCTAAGTGAAGTAATTCAGAAATAGAAAACCAAATATCGTATGTTGTCACTCATAAGTGGGAGCTAAGTTATGAGGATGCAAAAGCATAGGAATGATATAGAGGACTTTGGGGGTAGGGGGAAGGTTGGGAATGGGGTGAAGGATGAAAGACCACATATTGAGTACACTGTATACTGCTCAGCTGACAGGTGCACCAAAATCCCAGAAATTGCCACTAAAGAACTTATCTATGTAACCAAAAACCACCCATTCCCAAAGAACTATTAACTTTTTTTTAATTTTTTAAAAAAGATTAGGCCGGGTGCAGTGGCTCACACCTGTAATCTCAGCACTTTGGAGGATCAAGGCAGGGGATCACTTGAGGTCAAGAGTTTGAGACTAGCCTGGCCAACATGGTGAAACCCCATCTCTACTAAAAATACAAAAATTAGCCAGGCATGGTGGCGTGTGCCTGTAATCCCAGCTACTCAGGAGACTGAAGCACGAGAATCACTTGAACCTGGAAGGCGGAGGTTGCAGTGAGCTGAGAACTCCAGCCTGGGCAACAGAGTGAAACTGTGTCTCAAAAAAAAAAAAAATTGATGGCTGTAAGGTCCCTAAACAAATTACATAATATATTATCATTCTTGACACAGCTTTTTGAAATTTACTCATTCACTCTTTTTTGGTGCTATGTGGTTTTTAAAAATTGTGGTAAAATATACCATTTTAACCATTTTAGAATGTACAGTTCTGTGGCATTAGGTACATTCATAAGTGCATTGTGCAATCCACCACCATTCATCTCCATAACTTTTTCATCTTTCCTAAGCAAAAGTTTGTATCTATCAAATACTACTCCCCATTATCCTTTCCCAAGCCCCTGGAAACCACCATTCAATTTTGGGTCTACAAATCTGACTACTCTACTCTAAGAACCTTATGTAAAAAGAATCATACAATATTTGTCTTTTTTGTGACTGGCTTATTTCACTTAACATAATATCTCCAAGGTTCATCCATGTTATGGCATATATCAGTACTCCATTCTTTTTGTGGTCAAATAATATTCCATTGTACATATACACCATATTTTGTTTATCCACTTATCCATTGAACACTTGAGTTGCTTCCACCTTTTGGCTATTGTGAATAATGCTGCAATGAACAAGGATGTATAAATATCTTTCCTAATCCCTGCTTTTACTTCTTTTGGACATATACACAGAGTGGAGTTGCTGGATCATAATTTTTTAATTGTTTTGAGTATTAATTCTAGCCATTCTAGCCATATTTTGTATCCTTTTGTTTGTTCTATATAACATTGAAAGTAGAAGAGTTTTCTATAATCCAGCAGCACTTATCTAACACTTATCAATAAAAGACCTATCAGATATAAAATCACAAGAATGTGTAACAAAAGTAGACCTGTGTATTTGTTTAAACTCTAAAGCAGATTATCATCTAATGATCAAAAAGCCATTAAAAATCATCTCCAATGTTAATAGACAAAATTCTCCTGGAAAAAAAAAATCTCCACTATAGAGATGAGAAATTTTCCTCTTCTGGGTCACAAATTATCAAGGGGAAAGAGTAAGGATCACTTTTCAAACTGCACTGACAATCACTCACCAGTGAGAATCTATAGGTTCCCCCTCTATATCTTTTTTCCCTTAAGAATGAGAATCATTGCCACCAAGGCATTATTACTAAAGGGAGTGTGCTGTACCTTTGGCTATGTTGGAAGACAAAACCACTGAAGGTGCTTATCTAAAAACATCTTCCAGCAAATATATATACAAATGTGTGCATATGCACACACATGTGTACATATATGTATGTAAAATCAATGAGGATAAGTAAAATGTCTGTAGGTCTGCATCATAATTGGGAGTATCAATATGAACCCATAATATAGTTTACCTTTAAATACTAAGTATGTATATTTCCTAACTCTATCCACCACAACAGTGCAGAAGCAATAACCAGCAGGAGTACTGAACACCACCAGCACCCACACTGTGATCTTCAAATGCCATTTCCCACAAAAAAAAAAAAAAAAAGAACCAAGCTCCTTAAAGAAGTGGCTGATTCCAGTTCTGGGAGAGGAAATATAAAAGATGAGGCAGGAACATCTCATAATACGAAGCAAGAAAGCTAACAAAGACTACTGAAGCTATGTCAAAAGGGTTGATGAACCAACTGGGAAAAGCTCCCTTGGCTAAAGATTGTACAATATTGACATTAACAAAAATAATAACTTCAGATGAGTGCAGTGGCACATGTCCATAATCCCAGCACTTTGGGAGGCCAAGGTAGAAGGACTGCTTGAGGCCAGGAGTTCAAGACCAGCCTGGGCAACATAGCAAGACCCCATCTCTATGAAAAAATATTTCAAAAAGTTAGGCATGGTAGCAGGTACCAGTGGTCCCAACTACTTGGGAGGCTGAGGCGGGAGGATCACTTCAGCCCAGGAGGTCAAGGCCACAGTGAGCTGTGATTATGCCACGGTATTCAAGCCTGCGCAAAAGAGTGTGACCTTGTCTCAAAAAATAAATATAAACAAATAATAACAATAATATCAATAAATTGAAAGGCATCACATATTTAAATCCATTAGTTTATTATAATATGAAAACAACAACTACTAATTTGTCATCTTCAAAGGATGCTAGAGAACCAACCCTGAATTTTGAAAACAGGGAAACAACAAAGCATTTATTCTGCCTTTCTCCTAAGAATATATCTCTGGGTAACCTACTAGCTGATAAAGGGAGATTTCTTCCTTTAAATGTATTTCCGTTACATAATAAAAATTATAATATAACCATTTTAATCCCTAATAAATCAGTAGCTCTCTAGCACTGCCTAGATCATCAATGGCTACTGTTGCCTCAAAAAGAGAGACAACCAGGGAGCATGTGCCTCCTCACATAAGAATGAAACACTAGCTGTAAAGTTGTACTGCCAAAAAAATCAAACCTGAACCTGACCAGTCCTCTACATCTAACTACAAATTTACAGTAAATGTGGACAGAGGAACACATTTACAAGACACTGTGGGGATGCAATGAGCAAAATCCAGACTGTGGGACGTTAACAGGACAAACAATCCAACCTATTCGACAAGTAAGTTAGGGAGAAGATCGGTGGGGAGGTGAGGGAGAAGACAGAAGGAAAAAAGAGGGAGAACCTATTGTTAATCTATTAACATATTTTTTAAGCCAGAAAAATTTGGTGTTACTAACACATTATTTTGCCACTGTACTCTCAAGTTAAGCCTAACTGAAATGTTTGCTGTAAGAATGCTTTTAAAAGCCTGAAATGAAGTTACTGCTTTCAAATTATTATTTGCAATTACTGTCATATAAACACAACAGACAGATATAGAACAGTTAAGAATTCAGTCTACAGGGTCAGATCCACCAGGTCCAAATCTCAGCTCTGACTTAGTAGCTGTGTAAACCCAAGTAACTAATTTAACTTCTATAACCATCAGTATCCTTATCTGCAAAATGAGGCTAATTGCACTGACCTGACAACATTGTTTTGGCGATTAAATAAGATAGCACACACAAATAATTTAGCATAGTCATTCATCAAATATGTCCAATGAATGTAGTTATTAGTAGTATTATAAATAATAAATATTTCATATCAGAATTTTAAAAATACAAATCTGACTAATCACAAAATTCCCACTCAAAAAGTAAATATTATATTTACCACATTTAAACACACTGAGACCCATTTAAGGAAATACCACAGAAGATGGAAAAAAGTAATTTTAAATATACTCAGTCAACTTTCAATCTATGTTAACTGATAAGAGCAAACATTTACCAACTATAAAGTAAGAGATTAGAAAATCAAATTAGCAATTATTACTACAAAGTGGCACTAGCCTTGGAGCGGAAGCTATCTGTAAAATAGACCCAAATATAATAAATATTAAATAGCCCCTTGAGCTTTTAGGATTCCATTCATTCAACAAACACAAGTTCTATCAGGCACAGATGAAGAAATAAAGGAAGTCTTCTTTGATCTCAAGTAACTCATAATCTAGTGAAAAAAAAAAAGACAAATTTTAAAAGTGTAAGAGAGCACAGTAAGTGCTTAGAAGAACATACAGAGTATTATAGTTTCACATAAAAGACATTCCTAAGTCTTGGGGGTGAGAGGAAGGTAGGTGTAATTGGTTTCAAGGCCCTCTCCCCAAAAAGTGAAGCATGAATTCAATCCTGAATGAGCAGGAGTTGGCTAAATGAAAAACATGAGGAAAAGTGTGTTGTGCATAGGCAGAAGGGTGAGAAAGTTGTTGTTAGACAACTACTGTTTTCAGGTTCCAGTTAGAAGGAATAAGTTCTGAAGATATACTGTACAGCATGGTGACAAGAGTTAATAGTAGTGTACCATATACTTGAAAATTGCAAACAGAGTCTATTTTAAATGTACTCATCACTAAAGAGTGATAAGGATATAAGATGATAGATATGTTAATTAGCTTGAATTAATCATACCACAATGTATACATATATCAATACATCCTGTTATACACAATAAATATATAAAAGTTTTATTTGTCAATTAAAAAATTAATTTGGGGTAGAAATATTGACTGCCATAAAAAATATAAAATAAATGTATATATAATTAAAAAATTAATTTTTTAATGTATTGTGTTAAGTTGGGACCTGAAGTAAGATCAGATCAGGGGGCTTAGCAGGGCCAGAACCTTATATAAACCCTGTTATTCTTCTTACAAGTGATGGGAGCCACTAGGAATTTTTAATTTCTTTTTTTTTTTTTTGAGACAGGGTCTTGCTCTGTTGCCCAGGCTGGAGTACAGTGGCGTGATCTCAGCTCACTGCAACCTCTGCCTCACAGACTCAAGTGATTCTTTCATCTCAGCCTCCCGAGTAGCTGGGACCACAGGCATGCACCACTACGCCCTGCTAATATTTTTTTTTATTTTTAGTAGACACGGGGGTTTAACCAATTTTGGCAGGCTGGTCTCAAACTCCTGGCCTAAAGTGATCCACCCACCTCAGCCTCCCAAAGTGCTGGAGTTACAAGCAAGAGCCACCGCACCTGGCGCCACAAAAAATTTCAAGCAGGACAAAGACAAGATCAGATTTGTGATTTGAAAATATTACTCTAAAGCAGAAAAATGGAGAATAGAAGGAGAAGAAACCGGGGGAGACCTGGAACAAGATATGAGGCATACAGACCAGTAGGAATGCTCTTTCAGTAATGCACATGAGAAACAGAGAAGGCTCAAATTCAGGCAATAATGGTAGGAATGGTGATGAAGCATCTTCTTCCTTCATTTCCTATGTTATTAGAATTCCCTGTTGAAAGCCACAGGAAATCAGGGCCAACGATCCTTACCCTTTTGCTCACAGGATAAATAAAATGTCACCCATTCCATGCATTCTGCTAGCTTAGGGACTATTCTTCAAACTTTTCTCTTAAACCAACCAAAAAATCAATTTGATATCTTAGTTATAAGAGATGAAAAAATCTAAAAAGGTATAACCGCATATAACATCTATCATTTCTATCAACAGTCACATGCTTGAGACTTTGACTTCTTAGGCAGACACACACACACACTACATGAAATTTAAAAGTTTCATAGAGTTCATGCTAATAAACAAGAAGCCAAAAAATATTCAAACACATCATTGTATCTGCTATTGCTAATTATACACTGGCTTCCTTTAATTTACAAAGACCCCCTTATTTCACTGTGTGTATATATAACAGTATTTTCCTTTTAGGATTAAAGTTCTTATACTGTATTTGGTCTTTAGCCAAAAGTATTTCATATCATATATGTGTGTGTGTGTGTATATATATATATGATTTTTAAGCATTTCATATCACATATATGATTTTTTAAGTATTTCATATCATATTTTTGACATGAAATACTTTTTAAAAATGTAAACACAAACACACTTCCAAATTCAAACTTGCCACATACCTCAATGAAGAATAGCAACTCTGGCAGGGCTTGTAGGATTGTGAAAATTTTTTAAACAGTTTACAAACAATTAAAAATTCACTCTAGTATAGGAACAATATAAAACCTTTATCTTTAGTTACATGAATTGCCTGAAGTACTCTAGATTTATTCCAGAATTACAACACTTTATCATTTCTGCCTAGCAACAAAATGAGTAACTTAAAAGCAAGGGAATTGTTCTAATCAAGGACATAACCTCCCATAGTAGAAAGCAGTTTTCCCTAATTTTTTTTTCTTGTTAGAATAAAATAACCAAAGATAGATATTTTAATACTGAACTGAAATATCTTTAAATACTTTTTCCATGGAGTTCACAGTACTTGATGATTTCAGTCTCATACGCAATTTTTTTAAATCAAAATATAATTAGCACGTTCATTTATTCCAGATATTGACTACTTGCTCTATGTCTGGAACAGACTGGAACAGAGTGGACTATGTACTGGAGATTAAAAACATGAATAAAATATGATCTCTGATCTCAAGAAAGAAATGTTGAAGTCAAGAAATACTAAAATAAAGCATTACATAACACATGCAATAATTAAAGGTAAGGTATGAACAAATTATCTAGGTATAAACAAGCAGAAACAACCAACACAGCAGAGCTTCACAGAGAAAGTGACACCAGCAGAGCTGGGCCTCAGAATAGGCTTTGGCCGCAGTTGATAAGACATCAGTCTGTAAAGACAATCTAGGCAGGAGAAACTGCATGTGCAAAAAAGCACGGCTAAACCTCTAACAAACGCTTTAGATTTTTCTCTTACACTTTAGAGAAGGTACATGGCTTTAATTTTGTAGTTGTAAAACAAATTTCTTAGTATAAATTAAAACCATATAACATGATTTCTTTCTCCTTATCCTTAGCCAAGTGAAATTTTAAACTTGTATTTAAAAGGTGGGCTCAGAGTGTTTCATTTTTGTTATTATTACTCCATGTAAATGTGAGAATTAAAAAGGGCACTAGTATTTGTTTGGTACTAGTCTGTATAAGAATAAACGTAAATAAGTAAACACATGAATTGGACAATGTACAATAGGCAAATAATATATGTATAAAGGAATGTATCACATAGAACTCATTTCTTTACTAATAAAATCACAGCATGTATGCCAGAAAATGAATTATCTTCACATTTCATAAACATAAGCGTGCTCAAAACTGCTTAAATGTAGCCTTTATGTTTATGCACACATTAGGTACAAAGTAGTTTTATATACATAGCAATCACCACAATGGTGAAGACAGTCTGACCACAATAGGACACAGCAAACATCAAAGCAAATCTCAGGTGCGGGTCGACTGGAAATAACCTCAACATCGCAATCTCAGAGAGCTTCTCACATTTAGCAACAAGGGGTCAAAGTCAAAAAGAATCAGCAGCATCTGCCCTGACCATCCCTCAACATGGAAATATGCCCCTCCCTTTTTTTAACTATGCCATGATATTTAACCTTCAAACTCTTCTCATCATTTCCCCTGAAGAGTTGTTCCCAACTGTGAGGCAATATAAGTGTGAATAGTTTCCTCATCTGCAAAATAAACTGCAATTATAAGACTCTAAGAAAAATGCCTGGCACATGGTAAACACTCATGAAATGGGTGAAACTGTGTCCGGAATTGGTGGGTTCTTGGTCTCACTGACTTCAAGAATGAAGCCACGGACCCTCGCGGTGAGTGTTACAGTTCTTAAAGGCGGCGTGTCCGGAGTTTGTTCCTTCTGATGTTCAGATGTGTTCGGAGTTTCTTCCTTCTGGTGGGTTCATGGTCTCGCTAGCTCAGGAGTGAAGCTGCAGAACTTCGCGGTGAGTGTTACAGCTCATAAAGGCAGTGTGGACCCAAAGAGTGAGCAGTAGCAAGATTTATTGCAAAGAGCGAAAGAACAAAATTTCCACAGTGTGGAAGGGGACCCCAGCGGGTTGCCACTGCTGACTCAGGCAGCCTGCTTTTTATTCTCTTATCTGGCCCCACCCACATCCTATTGATTGGTAGAGCCAAGTGGTCTGTTTTGACAGGGCGCTGATTGGTGCGTTTATAATCCCTGAGCTAGACACAAAGGTTCTCCATGTCCCCACCAGATTAGCTAGATACGGAGTGTCCACACAAAGGTTCTCCAAGGCCCCACCAGAGTAGCTAGACACAGAGTGTCAATTGGTGCATTCACAAACCCTGAGCTAGACACAGGGTGCTGACTGGTGTGCTTACAAACCTTGAGCTAGATACAGAGTGCCGATTGGTGTATTTACAATCCCCGAGCTAGACATAAAGGTTCTCCACATCCCCACCAGACTTAGGAGCCCAGCTGGCTTCACCCAGTGGACCCTGCACTGGGGCTGCAGGTGGAGCTGCCTGCCAGTCCCGCGCCCTGTGCCCGCACTCCCCAGCCCTTGGGTGGTCGATGGGACCGGCCGCGGTGGAGCACGGGGCGGCGCTCACCGGGGAAGCTCGGCCGCACAGGAGCCCACGGAGGGGGTGGGAGGCTCAGGCATGGCGGGCTGCAGGTCGCGAGCCCTGCCCCACGGGAAGGCAGCTAAGGCCCGGTGAGAAATTGAGCGCAGCGCCAGTGGTCTGGCACTGCTGGGGGACCCAGTATACCCTCCGCAGCTGCTGGCCTGGGTGCTAAGCCCCTCATTGCCCAGGGCCAGCAGGGCTGGCCGGCTGCTCCGAGTGCGGGGCCCGCCAAGCCCACACCCACCCGGAACTCCAGCTGGCCCGCAAGCGCCGCCCGCAGCCCGGGTTCCCGCTCGCGCCTCTCCCTCCACACCTCCCTGCAAGCTGAGGGAGCCAGCTCTGGCCTTGGCCAGCCCAGAAAGGGGCTCCCACAGTGCAGTGGTGGGCTGAAGGGCTCCTCAAGTGCCGCCAAAGTGGGAGCCCAGGCAGAGGAGGTGCCGAGAGCGAGCGAGGGCTGCAAGGGCTGCCAGCACGCTGTCACCTCTCAAAACCTTCAACTGATAACAGTTGATTACATAAGATGTGTCAATCACCAACACAATGTGTGACAGAAATTGACATTTAACTGATGTTGGTTTCTTATATTGGTTTCTTTCCTTCCTTTGGGCTAGCACACTAGCATGTATTATCTTGTAACTCACCTAGCAAAGAGTTTCACAGAAGAAGCCCGTGGTAAATCCTAACTAACTAAAAGGCTTCTGTAACTACTTCTGAATACTCGCCTATCTCCCAATGCCACATGTGGTTAATAAGTTCTGGCTTGGCCAGTTCAGTTACCACACACTATAAAAATAATACCCTAAATTTACAAAAATGGCTTTCTTACCAGGAGCTTAAGCCACTTTTAAACAACAGTTCATTACTGACAATGACAGGGTCAGGCAAATATACAACCATATTTTCAGGGAAATCCAAGGCTAAGACTATGGACCTTATACCAACAAAGTCAGTAAATGGTAAAGCAAGGACTCAAACTCAGAAAGTTTTCCCTGAATTTGAAATTTTTTTCCAGCCCAGAATGTATTTCCTCAAAGGACAAAAGTACAATGATTTACATCAATTTTCCAAATATTCACTCAGTAAGTATGTAATCTATATACAGTTGTAATTAAACACTTGTAAAAGGAAAAATGTCAAATCTTTTCTTTATTAATCTGTACCAATATATCCTTCTCTGTAATGTCTAATTCTAAATATTTTGCTTTTTTAGGGAGGTTGGCTCTATATTAAGTACAATTATTTTTAAACCTACTACAAATAGAATTAAAATTGTATACACAATTTAATGTTTTCATCCTATGACCTTTTTATACTTCTGTTTATTTCCTTTCGCCATTTGCTTTTAATGTACAACCAATGAATAATGGTTTTTTTAATGCTTTATTTTTAAAAATGCAATCTTCCAAAAGCTCAGCCAGAAATGTCCATTTCAAAAAGCTTACTCCAGCCAGTTGGCTTGGTCGATGACATATGTGCAAAGTGAAAATGTAACCCATAGTGATTTTCTGCAGGTCAGATGGAATTACTTAGCATACTCAACATGGTTTCCAGTCCATGCCTCAAGAGGAATGTCCTTCGGCTAGCAAGTGTTTCTTTTAAACATCAGACTGGCTACTGTTGTTTGAACGCTAGTGTTATCTCAGCATGGTTAGAATATATGTGCATGCTGAGAATTATAAACATTATTCTGTATCAAAATATTGAAATGTATTTGTATTATGAACATTATATGGAGTCCACATAAAATTTAAGTAATCAGCAGGTAGTGTTTGAGGAGCTAAACATGTTTAATGTTAGTCATTTCTTCCATTTTCAAAGTTGCTTTAAGCTCAAAACACTTCGTAGATATAATTATGGCTCATGTGAGCAGAAATGCTGAATGTCAAAAAAACTTTAGTGTTAATAAAAATTAGAAACTGCAAATAATCTTAAATTATGCTATAGCAAATGATTAATAATACACAACCTGTTTAGCAAAACCAAAAAATACCATAAATACATCAACATATGAGAAAATTTCATCTAATTTTCTTATATCAAATTTCAATATATATATTTATTTAAATACATTTAAATATATTTTAAAATATAAATTTCAATAAAAAGAAAGTGTCAAATTTCACCAAATATATTCCTTGCTCTTCTATAGGTTGTATTTTTAGTTGGTTAATTTTTTTTGTTTTTGGAGACGGAGTCTCGCTCTGTCACCCAGGCTGGAGTGCAATGGTGCAATCTCAGCTCACTGCAACCTCCACCTCCCGGGTTCAAACCATTCTCCTGCCTCAGCCTCCTGAGTAGCTGGGATTACAGGTGTGCGCCACCACCCCGGCTCATTTTTTTTGTATTTTTAGTAGAGATGGGTTTCACCATGTTGGCCAGGCTGGTCTCAAACTCCTGACCTCGTGATCCACCCGCCTCGGCCTCCCAAAGTATTGGGATTACAAGCATGAGCCACCACGCCCGGCTGGTTAACTTTTTCTTTTAAGGTAATCCCAATTTTACAAAACAATGAATTTTTTGAAAGGCAATTTGGCCCATCCAAGAGACTCCTTCATACCATATCAATAGGCTAAGAAAACACAAGTATTTACAGCATCAAATAAGGTCAAGATTCTCCCACAAACTATGACTATGTGACAAAGCCAACCACTGTAAACTTTTGCTAATACTATAACTGATTTTCAATGAGTTTATTACCTGATTGCCTTTATACTTCCCGTAGATTTCTTTTTTTAAAAGATCAGGAAATGTTTTCACAATTAAAAGGCAATTCTTTTTTAGCCCACTGGTTTGTTACCTTGATTGGAATATAGTACCTATCCTTTTTTGTATGGAAAAGAATTACTTTTCTTTGTGCAGACACACTAATCCCTTTCCTTGGCAAACAGAAAACAAAGTTCGGCTTGTTTTTTTGAAGGATAGGACTGAGGCCTAGGTTTGGGAACAAAAAAAATTGTGTGTCAACCAAGAGTAAAGAATTTCTGCTACTAATGGAAGAACCATTCTATTTTTAAAGACAGTGTTTAGAAGGGAGTTAGCCTTATTAAAAGCAGAAGTAGAAATGTCATTACACTAGCCAAAAGAATAGTATGTACATTATGACATTGTATATTTAACAAGAACACAGAAAGCCCAGTGGCCTAGTGTCAGAAATATGCATTGCCTTGTAAGGGATCAGAGTTCAAGGTCATTAAACAAAGCCTTTGATCCTCAAATGGCCAAGCATAAGGAAACTAGTAACAATGAACTACAGATGGCAATAACAACCCTTCCCCTGCTGAATGGAATCAGCATTCAGACTTCTCTTTTAGGTTAGTTTCCTAAACATGATATTTGTAAGACAAAAGAAAATTCAAGAAAAGTGGCAGAGTAAAAATCTAAGTACAAAAAATCTTAGACATATTTTTACATGTTTAATCTAATCATAAAATTATTCTAGAGCTTCTCCTCTTTCAGCTTCTCTGTCATCATGAGATCTACTTTTTTAGCTCCCGCATGTAAGGGAGAATATGTAATATTTGTCCTTCAGTGCTTGGCTTATTTCACTTAAAACAAGGACTCCCAGTTCCATTCAAATAGCTGCAAATGCCGGGATTTCATTTTTATGGCTGAATAATATTCCTGTGTGTGTGTGTGTCTCTGTGTGTCTGTGTGTGTCTATGTGTGTGTGTGCATTTCTGCCCAGACCAATCTCCCAAAATGTTTCTCCAGTGTTTTCTTTTAGTAGTTTCATAGTTTCAGGTCTTAATCTATTTTCAGGTCTTAATTAAGTTCTTAATCCATTTTGATTTGAATATCATATATTGCAAGAGACAGGAGTCTAGTTTCATTCTTCTGCATATTGTTACTCAATTTTCCCAGCAGCATTTATTGAAGAGACTGTTTCCTCATTGTATATTCTTGGCATCTTTGTCAAAAATGAGTTGACAGTAAACATACAGATTTATATCTGGGTTTCTATACTCTGTTCCACTGGTCTATGTGTCTGTTTTTTATGCCAGTACTATGCTGATTTGTATACTATAGCTTTGTCATATATTTTGAAGTCAAGTAGTGCGATGCCTCCAGCTGTGTTCTTTTCTTTTCTGAGACGGAGTCTCGCTCTGTTGCCCAGGCTGGAGTGCAGTGGCACTGCACTCAGCTCACTGCAAGCTCTGCCTCTCGGGTTCACACCATTCTCCTGCCTCAGCCTCCCGAGTAGCTGGGACTACAGGTACCCGCCACCATGCCCAGCTAATTTTTTGTATTTTTAGTAGAGACAGGGTTTCACCATGTTAGCCAGGATGGCCTCGATCTCCTGACCTCGTGATCGCCCGCCTTGGCCTCCCAAAGTGCTGGGATTACAGGCGTGAGCCACTGCGCCAGGCCCAGCTGTGTTCTTTTTATTAGGGATGCTTTGGCTATTTGGAGTCTTTTGTAGTTCCATATAAATTTTGTTTTTTCTATCTCCACGAAGAATAATATCAGTATTTTGACAGGGATTGAACTAAGTTTATAGACTGCTTTGAGTGGTATTGATATTTTAGCAATGTTATCCCCATCTATAAGCATGGAATATCTTTCTGTTTTGTGTGTGTGGCCTCTTTAATTTTTCTCATCAGTGTTTTATAGTTTTCATTGTAAAGATCTTTCATTTATTTGGTTAAATTAAGTCTTAGGAGGGCAGAGCAAGATGGCAGATTAGAAGCCTACAGGCAGGCTTCATCCTCCTGGCAGGAACACCAAATTTTAACACCTATCTGCCCATGAAAAAGGACTGACACAAAATCAGATGAGCAAGCAAAGTAGTAGTTTTAACTCCATATCACTGAAGTTTAACTAGTTTTAACTTCATATCACAGTATAACCAAAAATCAGATGACCAACTACAGTAACTTCATGTCACTGAAGAGGGTCGGAGACACAGTCTTGAATCACAGATGCCTCCCCTCCCTCATACCCCAGTGTAGAGTCTGTGCACTTCATGGAGGGACAGCACAGTGACTTGAGGACTTTACATTGAACTCAGTGCTGCCCTGATATAACAGAGAGTAAAGCCATGGTGGGCTAAGCCAGCACTCATGCAAGGAGGGAGCACCTGGACCAGACGTAGCCAGAGGGGAATCGCCCATCCCAATGGTAGGAACTTGAATTTCTCAACAGGCCTCGCCATCATGAACCAAAGTGCTCTCGGATCCTAGGTACACATGAAAAGCAGTTTAGGACACAGGTATGCAATTCCTAGGCAACTCCTAGTGCTAAGCTGGGTTCAGAGCCAGAGGACTAGAGTGGCACTTGAGCTAGGGAGACACAATCCGGGGTGGCTAGGGGAGTGGCTGTGTCACCCCTACCCCAACCCTAGACAGTGCAGCTTACAGCAATGAAAGTGACTCCATCCTCTGCTTAAGGAGAAGAGAACGAGGAGTAAAGAGAACTTTGTCTTGCATCCTGGATACCACCTTAGCCACTGCAGGATAGGGCACCAGGCAGTGTCATGAGGCCCCCATTCCAGGACCTAGCTCCCAAATGACATTTCTAGACACACCCTGGACCAAAAGGCAACCTACTGCCTTGAAAGGAAAGATCCAGTCTTAGCAGGATTCATTACATGCTGATAAAAGAGCCCCTGAGCCCTGAATAACCGGCAGCAATACCCAGGTAGTACACAGTGTGCCCTGGGCTCTGAGACATGCTAATGACACATGTGACCCAGCACATTCCCAGCTGTGGTGGCTATGCTGAAACACTCTTTCTGTTTGAGAAATGCAGAGGGAAAAGTAAAAGAGACTTTGCCTTGCACCTTAGGTACCAGCTTGGCCACACTGAGGTAGAGCAACAAGCAGGCTCCTGGGGTCTCCAAGTCCAGGCTTAGGCTCTTGGACACTATTTCTGGACCTGCCCTGGGCCAGATGGGAGCCCACTGCCCTGAAGGGTGAGTCCCAGGCCTGGCAGCATTTACCACAGCTGTCTGAAGAGACCTTGGACTTTAAGTGAACATGGTCAGTGGCCTGCCAGAACACTTCTGTGGGCCAGTGGTAGTGGTGCCCACAGGAAGAGGCTCCTCTACCTGTGGAAAGATGGGGGAAGAGCAGGAAGGACTTTGTCTTGTGGTTTGAGTGCCAGCTTAGCCGCAGTAGAATTGAACATCAGGCAAATTTCTAAAATCTCTGTCCCTGCCTGGGACCTGGGGGCTCTTGCCATCCTGAAGGGAAGGGCACAAACCTGGCTGGCATCAGCACCTGCTGATCGGAGAACTCTAGGGCCTTGAGTGAACATAGGAGGTAGCCAGGTAGTGGTTACAGCAGGCCTTGGGTGACACCCAGTACTACACTGGCTTCAGGGCTGACCCAACACAGTCCCCAGTGTTGGTGGCCACAAGACTGCTTGCATCACCAAATGCCTAGTTCCAGGTGGCTCAGCACAGAGAGAGAGAGACTACGTTCAATTGAGAGAAAGTAAGGGAAAAGAATATGAGTCTCTGCCTCGTATTCCAGAGAATTCCTCCAGATATTATCGAAGGCTACCAAGGCCGTACCTCTACCAGCCTGCAGAAACCACAGCGATATTGTGCTTGGAGCTGAAGTCCCTCTGAATACCTGAAAGCCTTCTCAAGGACAGGCACAAACAAGCCCAGACTGCAAAGACTACAATAAATACCTAACTCTTCAATGCCCAGACACTGACAAACATCTACAAGCATTAAGACCATCCAGGAAAACAAGATCTCACCAAACAAACTAAATAAGGCACCAGGACCAATCCCAGAGAAACAGAGACAGAGAATTCAAAACAGATGTGTTGAGGAAATTCAAAGAAATTCAACATAACACAGAGAAGGAATTCAGAATCCGATCAGATAAATGTAACAAAGAGATTGACATAATTAAAAAGAATCAAGCAGAAATTCTGGAGTTGAAAAATACAACTGAAATACTAAAGAGTGCATCAGAGTCTCTTAATAGTAGAATTGATCAAACAGAAGAAAGAATTAGTGAGCTTGAAGATAGCCTATTTGAAAATACATGGTCAAAGGAAACAAAATAATAAAATGAAGCATGTCTACAAGATCTAAAAAATAGCCTCAAAGGGGCAAATCTAAGAGGTATTTGCCTTGATGAGGAGGTAGAGAGGGGTGGTAGAAACGTTATGCAAAGAGATAATAACAGAGAACTTCCCAAACCTAGAGAAATATATCAACATTCAAGTACAAGAAGGTTACAGAACACTAAGCTGATTTAACCTAATTAAGACTTTCTCAAGGCATCTAATAATCAAACTCCTGAAGGTCAACGATACAGAAAAAATCGTAAAAGCAGCAAAAGAAAAGAAACAAATAATATACAGTGGAGCTCTAATACATGTGGCAACAGACTTTTCAGTGGAAACTTACAGGCCAGGAGAGAGTAGCATAAAATATTTAAAGTGTTGAAGGAAAGAAAAACCCTTACCCTTCAATAGTGTGTCTGGCAAAAATATCCTTTAAGCATGAAGGAGAAACAAAAGATGAGAGATTTCCTCAACACCAGAACTGTCCTACAAGAAATGCTAAAGAAGTTCTTCAATCTGGAAGAAAAGGATGTTAATGAGAAAGAATAAATCACCTGAAGGTACAAAACACATTGGCAATAGTAAGGACACAGAAATATTACAAAACCATAGTCATGATGGGTAAACTACTCTTACATTAAGTAGAAAGACTAAATGATGAACCAATCAAAAATAATAATTACAAAAAATTTTCAAGACATAGTACAATAAGACATAAAGAGAAACAACAAAAGTTAAAAAGCAGGGGGATAATAACAATCAAAAATAAACAAAAAAAAGCAGGGGAATGAAGTTAAAGTGTAGAGTTTTCTTTTGCATGTTTGTTTTTTGTTCATGCAATCAGGGTTATACTGTCATCAATTTAAAATAATGGGTAATAAGACAGTCTTTGCAAGCCTCACAGGAACTTCAAATCAAAAACATACAAGAGATACACACACACAAAAAAGCAAGAAATTAAAACATACCACCACAGAAAGTCACCTTCATTAAAAGGAAGACAGGAAGGAAGAGAAGACCACACAACAACCAGAAAAAAATAACAAAATGGCAGGAGTAAGTCCTTACATATCAATAATAACATTAAATGTAAATGGACTAAACTCTCCAATTAAAACACAGAGTGGCTGAATGCATGAAAAAACAAGACACGATGATCTGTTGCCTACAAGAAACACACTTCACCTAAAAAGATACACATAGAATGAAATCAAAGGGATAGAAAAAGAGATTCCATGCAAATGGAAATCAAAAGAAGAGCCAGAGTAGCTACACTTATATAAAACAAAAGATAATTCAAGACAAAAACTGTAATAAGAGACAAAGAAGGTCATCATACAATGATACAGGAGTCAATCCAGCAACAGGGTATAATGATCTATACACTCAACACTGGAGCACCCAGATATATAAAACAAATATCACTAGAGCTGGCTGGGCTCGGTGGCTCATGCCTGTAATCCCAGCACTTTGGGAGACCGAGGCAGAGGAGTTCAAGACCAGCCTGATCAACATGGTGAAACCACGTCTCTACTAAAAATACAAAAAATAAGCCAGGCATGGTGGCGCACACCTGTAATCCCAGCCACTCAGGATGCTGAGGCAGGAGAATTCGCTTGAACCCGGGAGGCGAGGTTGCAGTGAGCCAAGACTGTGCCACTGAACTCCAGCCTGGGTGACAGTGCGAGACTCTGTCTCAAAAAAGAAAAAAATACATATCACTAGAGCTAAAAAGACAGAACTCAACACAATAGTAGCTAGAAATGTCAACACCCCACTTTCAGCATTGGACAGATCTCCTAGACAGGAACTCAACAAGAAATATTGGATTTAATCTGCACTATAGACCAAATGGAGACATTTACAAAACATCTCATCCAAAGGCTGCAGAATATACATTCTTCTCCTCAGCATATGGATCATTCTCAAGGACAGACCATATGTTAGGTCACAAAATGATTCTTTAAACATTCAAAAAACTTGAAATAATATCAAGCATCTCCTCTAACCATAATGGAATAAAATAACAAATTAACAACAAGATGAATTTTGGAAACTATACAAATACATGGAAATTAAACAATATGCTCCTGAATGATCAGTGTGTCACTGAAGAAATTAAGAAGGAAATTGAAAAAGTTCTTGAAACAAATGAAAATGGAAACATAATGTACCGAAACCTATGAAATACAGTGAAAGCAGTACTAAAAGGAAATTTTATAGCTATAAGTGCCTACATCAAAAAAGAATAAAAACTGCAAACAAACAACCTAATCATGCATCTTAAAGTGCGAGAAAAGCAAGAGCAAACCAAACCAAAAATCAGTAGAAGAAAAGAAATAATAAAGATTAGAGCAGATATAAATGAATTTGAAATTAACAAAACAGTAGAAAGGATCAATGACACAAAAAGTTGGTTTTTTAAAAAGATAAAATTGACAAACCTTTAGCCAGACTAAGTAATAAAAAAAGAGAAAAGACCTAAATAAATAAAATCAGAGAGGAAAAAGGAGACTTTACAACAGACAATGCATAAATTAAAAGGATCCTTAGGAGGTACTATGAGCAACTATATGCCAATAAATTGGAAAACCTAGAAGAAATGGATAAATTCCTAGACACATACAACCTACCAACATTGAACTGTGACAAATGCTGCTGAGAAAGTGGAGAAAAGGGAACCTTCTAACACTATTGATGGGAATAATTAGTACAATCACTGTGAAGAACAGTGAGGAAGTTCCACAAAAAATCAAAAATAGAGCTACCATATGACCCAGCAATCCCACTCCCAGTTACACACCCAAAAGAACGAAAATCAGTATATCAAAGAGATATCTGCACTCCTATGTTTCTTGCAGCACTGTTCACAATAGCCAAGATTTAGAAGCAACCTAAGCTTCCATCAACAGACAAATGGATAAAGAAAATGTGGTTACATATATACAATGGAATACTATTCAGCCATAAAAAGAATGAGATCCTGTCATTTGCAACAACATGAATGTAACTGAAGGTCATTATGTTAGGTGAAATAAGCCAGTCACAGAAAGACAAACTTCACATGTTCTCACTTATTTGTGGAGGCTAAAAATTAAAACAATTAAACTCACGGAGATAAAGAAAGATGATTACCAAAGTCTGAGAAGGGTAGTTGGGGGATGGGGAGGTAGAAATGGCTAAATGTACAAAAAAATAGAAAGAATAAATAAGATCTAATATTTGATAGCATAATAGGATGACTATAGTCAGTAATAATTTAATTGTACATTTTTAAATAACTAAAAGAGTCTAATTGGATCGTTTGTAATACAAAGGATAAATGCTTGAGGTGAGGATACTCCATTTACCCTGATGTGATTATGCATTGTATGCATATATCAAAATATCTCATGTACCCCATAAATATATATCCTACTATGTGCCCACAAAAATTAAAAATTAAAAAAAAAAACAGAATTTTCCTGAATTCAGAAAATAATAGTGGTCACCCACTTCCCCCTACCCTCCTAGAAAAAACATAAAACCACACTGAATCCATACTTTCTGCATTACTAGGAGAAAGAACATTTGCTGCCTTCACCATATGTAGAAGAAAAAAGAAACAAATTCCATGGCACTTCTACCATCAGCCCACTGCTACTACCACAAACTTCAGGGTATTGAAAGTGAGGAAAGAAAGGCTTATAAGATTCTGTGAAAAAGAACAGAAGAAAGCAAAGGACTTATGGAAGGCACAGACCCAACCACCCCAGAAGGAAAAGGTGAAACAATAAATGCAAAAATTCTCAACATGGGTTGGATCTACAAGTTCAAAGCTCTGGCTACAGAGAAGGAATTTGAAAGGGTGCAGCACTGGAAGTAGCAGCCTCTGGGAACACGAATACTTAGAGGAATTTGCTAGAAAAAGAAAACAGAGACAGAGGTTTGTTTATCATAGGGAAATGGTCAAAATCAATTCTGCAGCTACTTTAGATGTATTATAGACATGAGCAAATGAATATGTGGCTTGATGTTGAGAGCCAGATATTCACTTAGAAGAAACATATAAATACTGAATAGGGGATGGCAAAAAAGAATTATGTAGGAATGAACTGAAGTTGGATATAATGGTAGGAATGCATGACTTTTAAGTTATTTCTATGGGCTGGGCATGGTGGCTCACAACTGTAATCCCAGCACTTTGGGAGGCCAAGGCGGGTGGATCACCTGAGGTCAGGAGTTCAAGACCAGCCTGGCCAACATGGTGAAACCCCATCTCTACTAAAAATACAAAAAATAAGCCAGGCATGGTGGCGCACACCTATAATCCCAGCTACCCAGGAGGCTGAGGCAGGAGAATCGCTTGAACCCAGGAGGTAGAGGTTTCAGTGAGCAGAGATCACGCCATTGCACTCCAGCCTGGGTGACAGCACAAGACTCTATCTCAAAAAAAAAAAGTTATATCTATATGTAAGTGTACACATTTATGTGCACATGTGCATATATGTATATGTTTATGTACAGATATGTATATATGTATATACATGCACATATTTTCTAGCACTGTCCCTGAAAGGGGCTAAAAGTAAAGATACCATAGTAACAGGATCACACCTAGCATCTATATCTTGGTCTCTAATACTATATAGATGGCTGCAGCAGGATAGGTATCAGATTAGCCTGGAACATCTTACTATGCTAGAAAGTAAAGAAATGCTAACAAAAAAAAAAAAAAGAAGACATGTCACAAGGACACAGGAGCCAGCTTAAAGAGGCTCCCACTGGCCAAATCTGGGACAATTTAAGCATCAAAATTATTAGGTTCAGTATTGAATTAAAACTAACAGAAAAAAATTGAAATTCATGAATCCACATAATAAGCAGACAAATAAATAGGGGAGAAGAAAGATCTACTGCTTACAGTAGAAGATTGAGAACCAACTGACAAATGTGAAGGAAGTGCCAATTTGGAAATCATCATTTTGCAACTACCACAGTAAAGATTATTGCAGGCAAGAATTGCTAATGGGTTATCAATTCAAGGGGGAATGTTGATGAAAAGCAAAATATTTACATTTCCTTATTAGTTGCAAGGCATAAAACACCAGTAATTAGTAATTACACAGTGGAGAATTCAGGTAACAAGCTTAACCAGAAGATCAAAATTAATCATTAATGAGGATGCTTCTATGTGATAATATAGGAAGAATGCAATATCACCTATTCTTGACAGGATTTTGGACAACAATGTATAATCTTGATTTAATCACAGGGAAGTAAGAGACAAAATGAGAAAAAAAATTTAATGGTATGGGAGACTATATTCTTCAAAAATGTCAATGTCATAAAAGACAAAGAAAATTGGAGGAAATTTTCCAAATTAAAAGAGGCTAAAAGACATGATAATTTAATGCAATGCCTATCCCTAGCCTAGATTCTGTAATAGTTAGGATGGAAATGTAATCATTGAGATGGGAAATAATGTGCTACAGGGCACATTATTATATTATATTATTAGACCAATTGACAAAATTAGAATTTGGATGATACAGTAGATAAAAATGTTATATATCAATGTAATTTTGGGAAACTGATAACTGTACTGTGGTTATATAAGAATATTTCTATTCTTGAGAAATACATACTTTCTTTCACACTGTTCAGGGAAAAATGTACACACATGAGAGAGAGAGGGAGAGAAGGAGACAGAGCAAGTGAGAGCAAGGGACAGGAAAAAACATAAAGCAAATAAGGTAAAAATATTAACAATAGGCAAACCTGGGTAAAGGGATAAAGTTACGTCTTATTTTTAACCTCAGAGAAAAAGAAAGGAAATATAATAATGTCTTAGCTATCAGTAACAACTAGTGTCATAATAATGTAAATTTTTATGTCTATTACAGAAAAGGCCAAGCTGCTATAACAAAGATATCCCAAAATACAATGGCTTAAATTAGATAGTTTATACTTACTTTACTAACTATAAAGACAGTTTCTTCTCTTAACCATTCCCACACTTCTATAAGTAACCCCTTGCTTTAAAATCCCTTCATTTGAATCATCTGCCATGAATCTATTTCCTGCTGGGTCATTAACTGATACAGTACTTGGGGATTTGCAGAGATTTGGGGACTGGTTTGCTCACACATATTTGATGAATGCGCAGATGACCTCCCTGCCAGGGGAAAAAAATGAAACAACAAAATATAGGACATGCAATGAAATCACAATTATTAAAATGATCACTGCTGCAATGTGGGATGGAGTGCCAGTGAAGGACAAAGCTTTGAGATAGGTGACTACTGGACTTAATTTTTGATAACAATAATCATTATAAAGATGGCTGAGTGGGCTATCTGCTTTAATTAAATACTTACAAAATAAAAAAGATTGAGACTTCCAACTGTCAAATCAAGACAGTGACTACATGACCAGAGATGTCCATCAAAAAATGGGCTACTTGATCTACTGAGTCATGAAATTGGGTATGTGAAGATCAATTTAATCTATTTGATTAAATAGAAATCAAATATATGAACAGGAAAATAAGACATAAATTTAATGAGCACTAGTGGCTCAAACTCCTATAGTATCTACCCTTGCTGCTTCACTGCCTCTTTCATGCCTCATGAGGAGTTCCCCATAACCAATGAACAGAAGAAAAAAATACACAGACCTGGTTTACAGATGGGTTTGCATGATATCCTTGTACCTGAAGTCAGCTAAAGTATCGGTTTCCCACTTAGGGGTATCCTTAAAAAACAGTTACAAAAAGAAATTTTCCAGTAGATGTAAATTTGAACAATATATCTGGTGGTCAGTTTACTGGGAATGGAAGATGACCTGGGATTTAGATTTATACTGATAGGTGGGCAATAGCTAATGGGTTGGGATTAAGTAATTAGAAAGAACAAAACTGAAATACTGGTTAAAAAGGAGGTCTAGAGAGGGAGGTATATGGAAGGATTTCTCATAATGAACAAGCACTGTGAAAACACTGGAGAATATGGTTCCCAGGAAAAGAAAGCTTCCACCAAGGAATACAGCCATGGTTCTACTAAATTTGAAGCAGAGAATTCTCTGGTCGAGACTCCACCACATAGGGGTGATAAGCAGAGAAGAAGGTTAGTGTACTAAAGAATGATTGATCCTTATTTCTAAGAGGAAACTAGATGGCTGCTTTGCAATAAAAACAGGTAGGCTATGTCTAAAATCCAAGGGATTCATTGGGCTGCCTCTTAGCACAATGTTCCTATCTGATAAAATCGATGGGAAACTACAGTAACCCAGTAAAGACAGGCCCACTAAAGACTTAAATCCTTTTGGGTATAAAAGTAAAGAATTGTGACCAACCAAAGTACTGGAAAAACTAAGAGGAACATGAAATGAGTAGTGGAGAGAGGAAGTTATGATTATCAATGTCAGCCTCTTGACTAGCTACAATGGTGGAGACTGTTACAGCTAAGTATATTTTATACTAGTCAATTATTTCTCCCAATACACCTCTTTTCCTGCTATCTTGTATGAGGGTAGTAGTGATGGCTACATGCAACTTTGGTTTCAAATGGGAATATGGCTGAAATATTACCCCATGACAATAAGGTAACTGATTGGACTTCGTGTCTCATCTGTTTGGGGGTGAGAGGTTTTCATCTGAATGAAGAGTAGGAGGAAGGACCTTTCTCCATGGCCCTCTCTCTTAATAAGCCCTCAAAATAATATCATTTCCTCCTCCTGTCCCTTCACCTTAGAAGTGATAACAGCTTCCACTGCTGATAATCTGTGTGCTTCATTATTTGTTCCCTTAACCCTGCCCACACTTCTATCAGTGATCCCTTCACTAAAATAACTTTTTTTTTTTTTTTGAGATGGAGTCTGGCTCCGTCACCCAGGCTGGAGTGCAGTGGTGTTATCTCGACTCACTGCAACCTCTGCCTCCCAGGTTCAAGTGATTCTCCTACCTCAACCTCCCAAGTAGCTGGGATTACAGGTACTCGCCACCACCACCACCGGCTAATTTTTGTATTTTTGTAGAGACGGGGTTTCAACATGTTGGCCACACTGGTCTCGAACTCCTGACCTCAGGTGATCCACCTGCCTTTGGCCTCCCAAAGTGCTGGGATTACAGGCGTGAGCCACCATGCCCGGCCTAAAATATCTTTTAATCATCCAAGATATGTTGTATTTCCTGCTAGGATGCTGACTGACACAAACGTACATGTGGAAATTAGAAAAGTAGTGTTCGTTCTGGCCGGGCGTGGTGGCTCACGACTGTAATCCCAGCACTTTGGGAGGCCGAGGCGGGCGGATTACCTGAGGTCAGGAGTTTGAGACCAGCCTGGCCAATATGGTGAAACCCCGTCTCTACTAAAAATACAAAAATTAGACGGGCGTGGTGTCACACGCCTGTAATCCCAGCTATTCGGGAGGCTGAGGCAGGAGAATTGCTTGAGCCCGGGAGGCGGAGGTTGCAGTGAGCCAAGATCATGGCACTGCACTCCAGCCTGGGTGACAGAGCAAGACTCTGTCTCAAGAAAAAAAAAGAAAAGAAAAGTAGTGTTCCAATATCGTAAAAATAAATAAATAAGGATGGTTAATTTCTAATACTTGTTACATGCAACCTACAGAGCAGCATTTATCATACCATAGTCTGCTGAACTCCTGTGGCTCCTATATGAGAATTATCTAGGGTACATTAAAAATGCACATTCCTGAGCTGTACCCCAAACTTCTCAAATCTGAATTTCTGGAAGTGAGGCCTCAGAAACAACACTTTTAGTAAGCCCAGAAAAGTCTCTGTACACTAAAATGTAAGAACCACTGTTCTAGAGAGCAGGGTTCTCAAAGTGTGGTTCCCCACGCCAGTAGTATTGGCATCACCTGGAAACCTGTTAGAAATGCTAACTCTGGGGCCTCATGCCACTCCTACTGAATCAGAAACTCTGAGAATGGGGCCCAGCAATCTGTGTTTCAATAAGCCTCCCAGGTGATTCTGGTAGACACTAAAGTTTGAGAACCACTATTGTAGAGTTTTGTCTCTTCTCTCTATAGCAAACGTGTAGTTTTTATCAGCCAGCATGTATTCCCAAATTCTGTGTGATTCAAATAAGACTAACTACCTTACCAACCCCTACCACCTACCAAGCAGCTGAGGACTTAACCAAGATGTGGGCCCACAGAGTATACCATCCTCTGACACTAGTGGTGGGCTCCAGAATTAGCATATGACCCAAGCTGGGCCACTTGGAGCCCTTGGCAAATCCTTGTTGGTCAGAGTTATTGGGGGAGCCCCTTGTTTTCCACTGGAGTTACTAAGCTGGAGGTTGACAATGGGTAAGGGAAACCAAGCATGGGACTGAGTACTTTATAGACATTATCTCAGATGCTGATTCTTTCTCCAGGTAAGTTAAGTTTTGGATGATAACAGGAGAGCCATGTTGATATGGTTTGGACTTGTGTTCCCCCCCACCACAAATCTCATGTTGAATTGTAATCCCCAATGTTGGAGGAGGTGCCTGGTGGGAGGTAACTGGATCATGGGGGCAGACCTCCCCCTTGCTGCTTTCATGAAAATGAGTGAGTTCTCATGAGATCTGGTTGTTTAAAAGTGTGTACAGCACCTCTCCCTTCTCTCTCATCCTCCTTATCCAACCATGTAAGACGTGCCTGCTTCCCCTTCACCCTCAACTATGACTGTAAGTTTCCTGAGGCCTACCCAGCCATGCTTCCTGTACCCTGCAGAACCCTGAGCCAATTAAACCTCTTTTCTTTATAAATTACCCAATCTTGGGTAGTTCTTTATAGCAATGTGAGAATGGACTAACACACATGTATAATAGTAAATGGCTCATATTCTGTCACAAGATAAACCAGGCTTCCTAACTGGAGATAGAAAATTGGAGCCTGAGATTATTAACATCTCTAACAAACACTGGTTAAAATGCTCATATAGAAGAAGTTCATGGGCAAGCACAGTTTTTATCTCCTCTTCTTCCAAAAATAATACTAGAATGATAATAATCCTAGCATCTGCCAAAGTTAAGAATGCCCCCATTCTCTGAGCAAAACCAATACTATTGACAGCAATGAAAATGAAATTGTAGGAAATTGAGACAGAGCCCTATCGAACATTGCCACTCTCCTTATAATTCCCAATTATTATGCCAAGTTCTCATATATTACTCACCCTGATGCCTACCACATACCCAAATGTGGGATTACTCAACTGTCTGAACATTCACTGGGTCCCAGAAGTGAAATAACTCACTCAACTATGGAGGCAGACAACCAAGCTTTTCATCCATCACTTACAGCCGAGCTTCTGTAATCATGACCTGGCAACCATTCTGACCCCCTTTCCTTTTTCACACAGGACAGAAAATAAGAGCCTTTGGAGAAAGCCAATCACATATTCTTTTACCTGACTAGTGACTCTGGGACAAGTTTTTCTCTAATATTTTCTAGAAACATTACATCAAAAGAGCAGACACGACTTCCTGCTTTAAGGTGGTGAATTAAAGACTCTATGTCCCCTTCTCTCAAATAAAAAAAAAATGCCCCCAAACAACAAGGATAAAAGAAACAAACATGAGCTTCTTCAAAGAAATCAGACCTGTGGTAAGCCTACCCACAATCTGTGAAAATGGAAAGTGAACAAGAAGAGGTAAATGATACCGAAGAGTAGAGTGAGGTCAACTTTGAATGCTTAGAGAGAAATATACTGATTCACCCCACAGAATTCTGAAAAGTCTCGGGAAGTAAAAGCACTAGGTACCACAGAAAGTGGGATGACGTAGGATCTGAAAACAGAGGAGCTGTTTAAAAGTCTATGGAATTTGTGCTCGCTTTGGCAGCACATATACTAAAATTGGAATAATAACGGAAAGAAAAAAAAATTAACAATAAAAATAAAAAGTCTATGGAAATAAACAGATACCCAGGATCCTTCCTCCATAGGAAACAGAAAGCACATATTCTGAAGAGGGTGAACTAAACAAGGAACTCCAGATTAGGGGGACACCAGGCATAGAAGAGCATGGGAATGGGGCAGACACCTGAAAATACATGAAGAAAAAGTCTTCATCCTGATAGTCAACCCAAAACCTCCTTCCCCACCCAGGTCCAGAATACATTATGCCCATGGTCCCCAAATAGGAGTGAAAAAAACCTCTAGAGTAAGAAAACAACCTCAGGAGAAAAGACATACAACTACTGCTATTTGAGTCCCCAATAAAACAGCCAGTTATCCCCTAACTGTCCTAAAGTAAAAGTAAAGCCCACCAGTTGACAAACCCAGGCCCCTGTCTCCAGGGACATACAGCTTACAGTCAGCCTTTATTGTATGGCTGTCAAATAGAAATTGATAGCCAATAAAGCTAAGCCAGCTGTTCAAAAATCCAACCCACTTTCACAGTGCTCAATTTTTCTACTGATTCATCCTCAAATAAAAACTGATGACCAGAAATGTGAGGAAAACCTGCTATAAGAAAAGCCCAAGAAAAACAAAAGAGCAAAACAAAATTACTCCAGAACAAAATGAGATCATTAAAAGGAAGAAAATTGGGTGTTGGGGGGGATTCCTTGTCTCTAGATAACAGGAAGGTCTCCAGGAACTAGAAAAAAACTGACAGATTCAATAATATGAGTGAAAGCCAGGAAAACCTTCAGGAATTGTAAGGCAATATAAATAAATATGTGTGTTTTAAAAATCCACTAAGATCATTTTCCTTTGAGTAGCACAGGACATTGGATTCATAAAAGGACACTGGACTTCTGTGATCTTAGTACTCTACAATGAGTAATATTTACATAATTCAAACAAAGTATGTGTTTAACTTTTAGAATCATGAGAAGTCATGGAAGATTTAAGTTATAGTTACAGACCAGCATGTAAACATTATCAACTTGGACAATGTAAGAATAAAGGTAGAGCGGATAGAGGTTGAGAGACTTAAATCAGAGAGAAATAACAGTAATGATAAAGATAGCCAATGTCTTCATTTTATAAAATGTAGAATCAAGGAGCTGAAAGTTGGTAGAACAAGAAATAGAAATTAAGTATACTGTTTGAACGTGCACAGGTGACCAGCAACAGAAATGAAAACAGTGATATAATTGGAAGGAGGATAAGAAAAAGGAAGTGTCAATAATCAAAACTTCTACCACTGTGGTACATCAAAATCTAAATAGGATAAATCCAAAAATAGGGTGTGATCACACAATCTAGAGATAAGGAGTGAACCATCAGAAAAAATAAAGGCATCAGTGACTCATATTAGAGAGTAGGGAGAATAATGGGGAGAGTGAGGCCTTCATATGCTTTGTACTATTTGACTTTTTATTTTTATCAAATTAACTACACATGGTTAAAAGTTATTTTGAATGTTTCTGGGCTCTTGCAAGGCTTAAAATAAATGGTTTATTTTTAAATGTATAACAATATACTGTATCTTGCTAACATACTTCTAACATCCCTCTCCTTCTAAGATCTCGTTGCCTAAAAACTTCATCCTTATTTTTCTAGCAGCCCTGCAGCGAATTGAACCATATTTAAAGAGTCTTTTTAAATTATCCCACCTTCATTTAAAATTGCCAGTAAATGTGTGTGGTGTATAATCATTTTTAAGTTTTGAAGTGAGAGGAGGAGGAAAGGAGACTGAGTAAGTATAACATTAAAAAAAAAATAGATTGCTGAAAAGCCAAAAAGTTGAGGACTGACTTCTACACTTCTAGCTTGCTTCAATAACTGTGCGATAAATACAAAGAGCTCAACTATTCCATAATAAGCCCTATATAAATCCTAAAACTCTACCATGATATATTAGCCTTTAAAAGCCAGAAAAACATAGCTATTGCCAGTTAATCTTGAAACTGGGGGAAATTTACAGGAAATATGTTTCAGGCATATTAGAGGTCCCTAATTTTAGTGTCTTCATTAACTGAGTAACCCATTAGGCCCAATACCTACTAACCTACATCATTTGTCAAACTTACATTTATTCCAGTATAATTAATACAAACTGATTCCCCAACAGATAATCTATTCTAAATATTGACATCAAAACAATATGGTTTTCAGGAAGTTGGGCAAGAGAAGCAAAGAAAGAATAAGGGATGAATGATGGAGCCAATTTCCCAAGTTTAAAAAGAATTTGTCGCCATCTTTCAAAAAGAAAAGAACCATTGATTGGGTTCCCAAATTATATTATGTGTTGATCAATTCAAGAATAGCCTAATACTGCTGAGAAAACCACAGAATAACAGAATTTTGAATAATCTTTCATTGAAAGGCAAAAGTTAAACATCATATTCCTTTAGAGAACTAGCAACAGTAGACATATTAATAGTGCTAGGCACTGTTCCTAATATATCAGGACCCACATTAAAACCACTGCTGAAGTCTAGAAATGGTCATAACAAATCTTTCAACCTTACAGCATAAAAGTCAGTTGATAATTTCTTTGTCTAACACCTAATAAAATTCATTCTTCCAAAATTGTGGAAAAGCTAAGCACAGTCCTCCCTTATTATAAAGTTTCCTGTTACAAGGTTGCATGGTTTACACATATGTTATACTTTATTATTGAAAAAAAGTCCTCCTTATAACACCCTCTTTGTTGTAATACTCAACATACTTTGCCTCCGGGCTAGATATATAATGAAAGCAAAATGAATTCAGACAGATTGTTGAGGAAAAAAAGCTAGTTTCTTTTTAGTATTCTTTCTAAAGTCTTTTTTCTTTCCTTGTAGCTTATCATCATCTCAACATTTTGTTTCTACTTAACATTTTCCTTTTCTTTTTACATAGTTCCCTTGGTAAATGAAAGATGATAGATTGTTAAAAACAGTTTGTACCACCTTGGAAACATGCACTTTTAATATACAAATCCTGCCTTCCAAAACCTTATATAAATTTCATCTTTAGGACAATGAACTATATAGGACTTAATCAACCAGCTGAAAAAAGCCATATGAAATCTTAATTTTCCACTCACACATTTTATGTTCACAGTCTCCTAAAATCATGATATAACTTTCCAAATTAAATTTAGGATTACATCTCAGTTATTGTTTCCATATTAAATAGTACTGTCTTATTTTAGCAAAGATCTAGAAATGCTGATTTAAAAGGTTCATGTTCGCAAATTTCAATAAAAGAAAATTTGATTTTAAAATCCAGCTCACTTTTAACTTAGGTAGAAACATAATTGAAATAGTAATATAATATAGGTGAACTTGTTCTGATGCCAAGCTTTACCATTTCTGATATTCTAAGTTAGCCAGAAGTGACTGAAATTATGTACAATATGAAATACTGAAGATACAAATTTAGTATCTTTGAAGGTTGAGGTAAACACATATAATATGATTCTTCTACAAAAAGCATGCCTACCAATATTAGAACTCTATTCTCAATATTCTTGGGTGTCATAAAATTTTATAACAGTAAAAAAGATTGGGAATTTTTTAACAGTATAATTTAAAAATCATTTTACACTTGTATGATACTTATATTTTTGTATTGTCCACATAAATAATTATATAAAGATCTTAATAGCTTTATTCATATTGGCCAAAAACTGAAAACTACTCAAAAGTCCATCAAAAAAACCTCCTTAAATTTTATATATCTAGTATATCCTATAATCAGAGTACCAGTGTACTTTAAAAATATATTTGACATGCTAGTAGTCAACACAAGCAGTTGCTTTTCATATTAAGCATTAATATGTATCTTTATTTTGTGCTACAGAATTTAAACCTCAAAGCAAGTTTCCATGTAGAGACTGGAAAAGGGTGGCTGAATCAACTTAATTTAAGAGAGACCCGGGGGAAGGGCAGATTGTTCATTTCTCATGGCAATGTGTTGTGTAGATGCATTTTTGAAACTGCTGGAAGCCTTTATATTGCAGTGTCACTTGAATAAAGTAGTTCATGGTAGCCATTTTCCTTCTCAATTGAGTAGGATATTTAACAGCTTCATTACTCCACTGTTTAAAAAGAGACCACGATGAACTATATATATGGATCAAAAATGGTTGTCAAATCCTATCAAGACCACCACATTTAACCATCTTGTCAAAGGCAGTGCTGACCACAAGCATCACCTTAAAGCTTTTCCAGTCTTGGCATTTAGCTACCATGAAAGAAATTATTTTTTTTTTCAAACAACACTAAGAAACCTCAAATTTTTTTAGTCTTTCCCTCTCTTAGCAATAGCAGGCAAGGAGGTATTTAACCAAATTTTGATAGTGTATGTATAACGGGAATCAGAACTCACCTTTTAGAAAAAGTAACAACTTTAAATGATCATGTAAAAAACCAATCTGCAGACTACTGGGAACTCTCTTTATAACCTTCCCCCAGGAACTAAGGGTTTTATGCAACATAACATACAGGAAATCACTATTTGAAAGTAACATTATTTTATAGGTCTTGGACCAGAGATTTTATAAATGAATGCCATGTATATGAGAAAACTCAGCACAGGATGAGAGTCAATCCTATTATCCCCTTGATCTTCCGACTTCTCACTGTGGATCCATAAAGGATCTTAAAAACAAATGAGGGAAGTTCTCCAATATAATAAAACACCTACACTTTAATGCCTAGGCAAGGAACGGGAGCCAGTACACCACAGAGATTCTTCTCTAACATTACGCTCTAACATTTCAACCACATGTATGAGAAAATAAGGGCCATATGGTTCACTGGTGAGACAAGGGCTATCAAAACATTATCCATTGATTCCCTGTGAGGAAAACAGCGTTAATCTTTTATTAGCACTAACACCCCCACACAAAAAAAGCAAGGCTGTGTTCTGGCTGTTCATTCACCCCAGCTGAGCATATCAGTTCACTCTCTGGATGGCAATCAAAGAAACCAGACAGCTTTGGGAAGCACAGCCTCTCAGCAACCACATGTGGCCACTAATACATTTTCTTGGCAGATAAGAAAAAGGCTCCAGTTCAGACAATTAGAAGTTATTTGAAGGCTGAGGATCTGATTATCTAGGATTGTCTCAAGATGTAGCAAAACCTCAGAGTGGGAAGGATGCTTTTTTTTTAATTTTTTAAAATAAAAATTAAAAAGATGTGGCAAAAGGTGACTGACTTATCCTTCAGTTCACTATTTTCTTTGGCAGGACTTTTATTCCAAAGAATTCATGAATTTTTATTTATGTGACAATATAATCCCATACAAGCTTATAGAAGTCATTTTATGATTTAAAAAATATTCCACTATGCTCATATATATTATTGATAAAAATCCATTCACTTCCTTTACTAACAATTATAGTCCAAACATACTGAACCTTTTATATACAGTATTTTTTTCCACCTCAGTCACAAACGTGAGACTACTGTGCTGTCAGACCTTATAATCTATACCATGCCGATATTATATCTAGACTCTGACATTAAATTTTCCTTGGTAAAAATTCTACTTTTCTGAACTTCCATTTGGCTGAAAAAACAATCAAAGTAGAAAAATTGGAAGAATTAAAGGAAAATGAATTTTCACAGGACACAGAGAGAAAAGTGTTACAGATGAAAAGATGTGTCTTTTACACTAAATATTAGAGAATTTAAGTAATTTTTTAAAACAAAAACATTTTGATTTGTGGACATTATCACAAATACTCGATAGTTCTGAATACCACATTCCAAGCTAAAAAGTAGGAAGAGTAATCTATAGAAACACAGTTGCAATTAGATAAGACAGTGTATTTCTACTAGATAACTTACATACAATATGCTGCATCACCAGCATATTGAGAAATAATGTGACTAAGGGTGAACCCAGGAGGCCCAAGTTACTCACCCTCACTTTACCACTATGGGAGACAGTGACCACAATAACCCATGCCTTGTAATAGATACTTTAACATGTTTGTTAAAGAGGAAAATAAAACTTAGAAGTTGGCTAGAATAATGGAACTGAGCTAACGTGTTCTAAAAAAATAACCCCAAAGTCTAAAGTATATAACACATCAGCCCTGCCCAATCAAATGTCTATTTTGGTTCAATCATTCAACAAATACTAATTAAGCACCCACTATGTGCCAAAGACTGTGAAAGACACTAGATATGCAGTGATGAACAAAAGACACAGTCCCTGCCCTCAGGAAGCTTATAGAAAAACCTCCCTCTCATTCCTTTCTCAGAACACATAGACCTTCTCTCTAACTAGCAAGGCAATTAAATAACAGTTACTATATTAGGAAGAACATGAGCTTTGGAATCAGATAGCTCTGGGTTCAAATCAGATAGCTATGCCTGGATGTGTCTGGAGAAACACCTCTATCTCTCTGATCTCCAGTCTCCCAGTATGAAAAAATGGTGATTATGTTATCTCACTGGGCTAAATGCAATACCACAACATATAGAAGAGAATAAATACTAGCTCTCTCTCCACATAGTCTTCTCTATAAATAAATATAAAAATTCCTGCTAGATAATCAAACTCCAGGAAACAGAAACATCAAAATTCTGCATGGAAGAGAAGTTTCTAAGCTTAGAAGAAATAAAGTGTACAAGAAAAGAATGATCTGACCACATTAAAACACTTACACAGTTTAAAAGCCAATAACAATCTGGAAAAAAGATATTCACATCAAATACAATGAAATTAATCTGTACTAAATAAGTCTACCAGAATTATTCAAACAACTGAACTGCTGAATCCACAGGAATTTTTATGATGAACATTCGTTTTTCAAATCCAGCATTGGGATTAGTTTTAAAGACCCTTTAAAAAATGTAACTTCGTGGATTAAACAAATAAATAAGTAAATTATAGAAAATAGCAAACATACACCAATGGCAATGAAACCAAAGAAAGAACACAATTTCATACCACAATCTTTAAAATATGGTGACCATAAAGCAGATGTTTCCAAGAATCTTCAGGGCTGGACTTGGTGCATTTTGTGAAGCTGCTAAGACCAAACTCCACATAAGGAGAAGGAGGGGTGAGGCTGTGAATAAACAAAATTCTGAAAATTTCATTAAAACTCTCAAACTTATAGGAAGACAAATCCAGGAAGGGGAGGGGAGATGTAGACAGCCCAGAGAAATGGAAATGCCCATAATACCATAAGTTCTACCTTTACCACATTCCTTCTGGTCAGAAAAGAAAAATACAGGTTTTATCATTTTGGTATTTTTTCTGCAAAAAGAAAAAAGCAGGAAAGGCCATAGACCATAAAAAATAGCAGCCAAGCTAAATAAATATCTCCAGCAATTATGATGAGTAGAAGAAGTGGAAGACAGGCGAGAGGAGGAATTGCCATGTGAAGCCTCACACACACCCACAGAGGACCAGAAGAAAAGTAGGGGGTGGCGAATGGAAACAGCTTCTAATGAAATACAAACAAGGGAAGCAACAAATGGCACTGACTCAAGGAAAACTGATGAATAGTAAGAGAGAAGATCCAAAATCTAAGAATATCTCTCAGCCTTCCAAGATAACAGGTTACAGACCAACCAGGTAGTGTGACAGTAATTCAAGATGCTTAGCAAAATCACAAAAGAGAGGGTTGAAGCCAAATCCTACAGTAAGGCTGCTACAGACAACCCTTCTTCCTCCCCATGTCTTCTCCACTGCCCCTAGATAGGTGATAAGCAGACACACTGCATGATATCCAACCGTCAAAACAGTACGTCAGGAAGGAAAACAAACTCCTCTCTGATTGGGTAGGAAAGAAGGCAAGAAAAATTCACCAGCACCATAAAAAAGCAAACAGGCCCAAACAGAGTGGGCCAAGCTAAGCTTGATTGCTCAAGCAAGGTAAAGAGGCTGGCCTGGCAAACCCACAAACATACTACAAAAAAAAAAAAAAAAAAAGGCAGAGAGAGGGACAGGGGAAGACAATATGCGAAAGACAGATGAAGAAAAACAGAACCAAGAATCAGAACAAAGGTCTCTAAAAACATTTCACACTACTGAGCAATTTAATAAGAATATGAATTAAACAAAACAAACACACAGTGACAAAGTGATATGGGAGGCTAAATAACTAAAACAACAAAAAAAAGAACCCAAATAAAACCCTAACAGACAGATATATAGATATATATAGGAGATACCACATTATAATTGAGGGGCAGTTTGTTAACAAGTGAAAAATGGTTATGGTATCATTTACCAAATCTCCAACAACCAGTGGGTCATGTGACCACTGGGTCACAGCAGCCCAAATCCACATAATATGGATAGGATGTAAAAGGGATAGATCTAAAATGACTGTAAGAGACTACTTGCTATGGTCTGAACGTCATCCAAAATTCCTGTGTTGAAAATTAATTCCCATTGTAGTGGTATTAAGAGGTGTGGCCTTTTGGGAAGTGATTAAGTAATGAGAGCTTCACCCTCACGAATGGATTAGTGCCTTGTGAAAGAATGGAGGGAAGTAGCTTAGGCCCTTTGCTCTTCTGCTCCTCTGTTCTTCTGCCATGTGAGGACACCAAGGTGGTGCCATCTATGAGGAACAGGCCCTAGCTGCACACTGAACCTGCTGGCACCTTGATTTTGGACTTCCCAGCCTCCAGACCTGTGAGAAATAAATGTCTGTTCTTTATAAATTACCCAGTCTCAGGTGTTTTGGTATAGCAACACAAATGGACTAGGACACTACTACGTGTCAGGAAATCTCAGGTTTAATGTAACGAAAGTCATTTAAGAGCATTATTCCAAGTATATAGACTGAAAAAGTAACCTGAAAAGCAAGTTAGAAAGAATAAGCAGAAGCTTATGTGCAGTTCAAGAGGTCTTTCCCCAAATATAAAATGTGCACAGTTTTTATATTATTCTATATATTTTTGCCATCTTAAAGGAAAGACAAGTTTTGATTTCAAGTGCACGAATTGCAGGTGAAATGTATCATCACTAAATATTTAGGAATATCTTATAATATGCCACTTTTCCTATTTGCAGCTTGACCCAAATCACGCAGATTTTTTTCTGTCTTCTAGTAAATTCATATATTTTAATACAAAATAAACACCAATATTGAATAAATTACTCAACTGACTTCAAGATATATGCATATAAAGTAAAGGCTTTTCCATTTAACATTTATTGTCATAACTTGCTTGCATTCCATTATACAGCACCAGACTTGACATGATAAACATGCTTTTCACTGGTTGGGCCCTTTAGGTGGTAAGATGACTAAATTCCAGAAACTGTAAAATTACTCTAAAATTACTCTGGGTTAGCTCAAGTTGAAACATTCTGGATTATATTCTACTGTCCACATATATGTTTTCAGTGGTTGCGTTTGGGAGGTGGTGCTTAATCATTTACTTTTTTTTTTTTTACCGGTACATATGTTTTAAATATGCCTCTGTGAACAAGACTACTTTTATAACAAAAGTATATACATCCTCATGTGAAGAATACTGAAAGTGAGGAAAAGATAAAGTAAAAATCATAACTTACATTATTTCAAGTTTCAATCTCTTCTGTAAATAATTTGAGACATGCCCCCGAATTTAAATATCTATGCATACCAAGCCTAAAATCATGACAAATGATTTTGCAAAGCACTCAATTAAATTCAATTACAACAAATCCTCAAAATACACACAAACATTTCAAGCAATTATCCCCACACACTGTACCAGAATGAGGCTGCATTCAGCCCAGGACAGAGCATATCCTTTAACTGCTTAGGCCCTGCCTTCTCCAATTCATATACACACCTGAGGGCACACTCTCAAATCACCACTGCTGGCCTCTCCTGTCAGTTCTAAGGTAGTACCACAGGGAGGTCCTAGGAGAGAAAGTGAAACCAAAAGCAAGGTGGATATTTACAGTTTTTTGGCCACCCAGCACCTATTTCACTCTCTTTCATTAATGCTACAGAACCAGGTTAAAGGTGACCCCTTTATATATTGACCCCATGTTGTTTACTTCTTCATTCAGACTGACCATTAACTCAAAGCTCACGGATACCAAATTCAAATTTTTATATCAATTGCTTTAAACATAGCCCAAATAAGGATATTTTCAGCCTGTTTTGCATACCCTGAAAAACTGCACCCAACATCCACTAGCTACAGGTAAAACAAACCCTGAGCATGTAAAAGACTGTATGTTGCTGCTGCCCTCCCCAGTCCTGCTTCTCAGCAACCTGGACACCTAAGCCCCACTCTAGGTCCTCTCTCCCCAGAAAGCTCCCCTGACCTCTGCCCCTTCTGGGTTGAGGCCACCTCACTCTCTCTGGAAGGTCTCTTGCTGTAAGGGACCTCCTCTTGAATGCAATCCTGCCAAAGCACCACGCAAATAAAGCTTATTGTGTTCTACTGCCATCTGATAGCCATGTCTTTTTTCTTGATCACCTCCAAAGTCCTCAGATTCACCACAGTTAATTATTCACTGATATTCCTCTGGAAATCCACCCCTCTTCCCTCTCCACTCTTACCCTTAGTGGTAAGAGGACTTCCCACACCTGTGGCTCAGGCTCAAGTTAATCACATTCCTTTGGTGGCAATGATTGGTTCAGAGATGGCCCAACCAGAGCCTGTGAGTTGGAAACAGACTTTTGTTGAGCCTTCTACGAGAAAGGAAGAACCTCTTTTACATGGACTAGAATGTGACAAGTAAAGATTTAAAGCTGCTATAGCCATCATGTAACCAGAAGGAAATAGCCTATCCCAGGAAATGGAAGCAAGAGATGAAAAGAGAGAAACCAGATCTGATCACAGAGAAGGCTCAAGTGACGTTAGCCAGTCAACTTCCTATTCTTGCTTAAGCCAACTGTTAGTTGCAACCAAGGGAGTCTTCAGTTTTACCAAAGACAAGGTTGGAAAGAAAACAAAAGTACATCTAAATCCACATGAAAAAGCAGAATTATGGCCTCTGCAGGAAATGGGAGGTTTGGATTTTTGACGGTAACATTTAACTCTTGAGTTGTGTGTTAACAGGTAAGCTCAAAATATAAATATCCCCATGTATCCTCTACCAAAAATACAAAAAGTTAGCCGAGTGTGGTGGCGGGTGCCTGTGGACCCAGCTGCTCAGGAGGCTGAGGCAGGAGAATGGCGTGAACCCGGGAGGCGGAGCTTGCAGTGAGCCGAGATTGCGCCACTGCACTCCAGCCTGGGCGACAGAGCGAGACTCAGTCTCAAAAAAAAAAAAAAAAAAATCCCCATGTAAAACAAAGCTCTATAATCAAGAAAAGAAATTTTTTAAAGGAAAGCAAATAAGTTTAAGATGTTGATAAAGATAAAAATTGAAGAAAGAGCCAGTCACGGTGGCTCACACCTGTAATCCCAGCACTTTGGGAGGCCTAGGCAGGCATACTGGCTGAGCCCAAGACTTCAAGACCAGCCTGGGCAACATAGCCAGACCTTGTATCTACTTTTTTTTTTTTTTTTTTTAAGACAGAGTCTCACTCTGGAGTGCAGTGGAGTGCAGTGGCTCGATCTCGGCTCACTGCAGCCTCTGCCTCCTGGGTTCAAGCGATTCTCCTGCCTCAGCTTCCTGAGTAGCTGGGACTACAGGCACATGCCACCACGCCCAGCTAATTTTTGTATTTTTAGTAGAGGCGGGGTTTCACCATGTTGGCCAGGATGGTCTTGATCTCCTGACCTCGTGATCCGCCCCCCTCAGCCTCCCAAAGTGCTGGGATTACAGGCGTGAGCCACCACACCCAGCAACTATTTTTTTTTAATTAAAAAAACATTGAAGAAAGAACCAGATGGTGGTGTAATAGTGATAATTTCTAATAAAGTATTTCTTTTCCTTTTCTTTTTTTTCCAAAGGGTCTGACTTTTAATCTCATGAAGTATTAAATAGGCTTTTTCCCCATAAACCACATATTTATTATGAAAAGAAGGCAATAATTCAACAGGGCTATAAGGCACAAATTACACGATGAGAAACAATGTTTTAAATTATAGGCACATCATAATCAAAACAACATAATTTTAAAAATAAAAATGGGGCCAGGCACAATGGCTCATGCCTATAATCCTAGCACTCTGAGAGGCTGAGGCAGGCAGATCGCTTGAGCCCAGGAATTTGAGACCAGCCTGGGCAATATGGCAAAACCCCGTCACTACAAAAAAAAACAAATAGCCTGGCATGGTAGCGCACATCTGTAGTCCCAGCTACTCAGGAGGCTGAGGCAGGAGGACTGCTTGAACTCGGGAGGCAGAGGTTGCAGTAAGCTGAGATCGTACCACCGCACTCAGCCTGGGTGACAATGCTAGACCCTGTCTCTAAAACAAAAAAATAAAATAAAATAAAAGTAAAAATGTATTCAGGTCAAATTTTTTCAGCAAAATACTATCTATGAAAGGCATTTGGTTTATCAGATTAAGATTTCATGATGTGTTCTCAAAGACTTCTCCCCCCCTTATAAAACATGTTCCCCTCTGGCTATGGCTTTAATTGCACCTACCTTCATGCCCAAACCCCTTTACAAAGCACCTTTCCTTTGGGATTTCCATTTCTTCTCTATGAATTCCTCATTCCAGTGCAACATGACCAATGTTCCTACCCTTCTGTTAAAATTATTCTCCCTAAAATCACCAATGACTTGCAAATGACCAAATCCAACATTTTCTTTCCAATACTCCAGCTGCTTAACCTCTGAACTCTCAAGTCCTTCAGTGCCTCTTGGAATCTCTCCCTTCCCTCTCCTTCCATGACACCATGCTCTTCTGTCTCTAAATTTATATTCCTTAATCTCTGTGCTAGTTCCTCTTCTTATCCCTACCCTTAAATTTGTCATTCTCAACAAACATAGTCATAGTACTCTTGAAGAGCACTATATCCTTCTCCATTAAAGATCAGCTGGTAGCTAAAGAAAATAATTGTCCCTTACTGAGGGCTTTATGCTATAAGTTAAAAAGTCAATTTAGTAGCCTAAAAATGGCAAGGTTTTTAAAGCACTATAAAGTCTGAAAAGTAATCTTCTTGAGAGGAACAAACTATACCAGAAGGAATTTGAATGGTTCAACCTTTGGGCAACAAAGGCTAAAGACCATACTGAAGACCATAAAATTGAAACTGGGAATTACTAATCTCTGGATTAAAGAGGATAAAAATGAAGGGCTGGAATAAAAAAGGTAACAGCACACTCCCCACTCTCATTTACTCCCCTCGCCCCCGCCCCTCCCCCCACCCTACCCCACCCCCACCCGCCACACACACACACACACACACACACACACACATTCACTCAACTACAGGGAGCTGCTCTAATCCTAGGGCATCGTTTTGCACATATTCATCTCTATCATGATTTGCCTCATTATTTTATAGTTAACCCTTCATCTTTATTACTCCTAGATTGTGAGCTACTTGAGAACATAAACTGTCTTTTTTCTTTTTTCGAGACGGAGTCTCGCTCTGTCGCCCAGGCTGGAGTGCAATGATGCAATCTCGGCTCACTGCAACCTCCGCCTCCTGGGTTCAAGCGATTTCTCCTGTCTCAGCCTCCCAAGTAGCTGGGATTACAGGCACCCACCACCGTGCCCAGCTAATTTTTTTGTATTTTAAGTAGAGATGGGGTTTTACCACGTTGGCCAGGCTGGTCTCGAACTCCTGACCTCAAGTCTCCGCCCACCTCAGCCTCCCAAAGTGCTGGGATTACAGGCATGAGCCACCATGGCCAGCCCATAAACTGTCTTTTCCTTATCTGTCTATTCCAAGAAAACTAACACAGTGCCTGGGCACTCAGAATTCTTAGTAAATATGCATCGAATGGATGAGGGGATGGACAGACGGAGGGACAAAGAGAGATGATGTAAGGGAGGAACAACACACCAGACTTGCTTCAGTCCCTGAAAGTGCCCAAGCACCTACAACAAACCAACAATTCCTTCCCAGTGTCCCTGTTACACACTTGAAAGATTCCTATATAAGGTTCATCATCTTTTCACAGCCAACAAGGTAAATTTCGGGTAACTGAGGACTTTGGGTCAGTTACTACAGGGACTCTAAATCAGACTATCAGTGAAAGAAATTCTAGCTCAAATATCTTGATACTACATAGACTACAAGAAGTATCTTATTTTACTACGTTAAGTATATGCAGCTGTTGACCTTAAAACAATATTATTTTCTTCACCACTGGCTTTCTGTGAATCAATATTAATGCTGTCTTTTTCCAAATATTATTTTGAAATGGCAAGTTTGTCTTAACTAGGTAAAATACCATGTTAACAACCATTGGAAATTTTAGTAACACAAAGAAACAAAAGCAAGTGAAAATCTGGCAAAAATATCATTTTGTTCTTTTTTCAAAAACAAGTAGAGTTCAAATTACCAAAACAAATAAATTCCACCAATATTACTAACATATCTTAAATCTATTAAAATCTACCTTTTCAAAATTGATTTAGTATATGTCCAAACTGTAACTTGTTTGTCTATGCTTATGCTACTCACTAAATTTTGCAAGCATTAATTTGTCAAGAGCATAAAAAACAAAGATAAACTAATATTTTTTTAGAACCCAAAATCACATATTCCTTCAAAAAAGCAGCTTGGATTTAAATTTTAAAAAACAACGAACATTTTTAACTTCAAACACACTTCCCCTCTGCAAAAATAAATAAATAAAAGCCCAATACAACCAATTAATATTATAATTTTTGGAGGAATTTTAAATTTTTTTGGACTTTTCTTACAAACCAAAGCACCAACCAGAAAAATAAAACTGAAAAAGCAAACATACGACCCAGAAGTTAACATATTTCCCATAATCTATGAAGAATCAAAGATATGCACTTAACTTTAGCCAAACCAAACTACACTCCATTCTGATAGGAAAGTTTTTTCTGAATGGGGGAGGAGGTAAATTCACTCACAGCCCAATCAAGGAGGCAGTTTAGTGTGACTAATACCAGAAGCCTCTAGATGCAGACAGGCTGGGTAGAAATCCTCCCTCCACCACTCACAGTTACTTTTTCAACCTGTAAAAGCTCTTAGAACACTGCCTGATACAAAATAAGCATTTTGCAGACATAGGGCTATAGCACACCTCTAGATCACTGCAGCTTAGCATTACCTGGAATATTGTCAGAAATTCAGCATTTAAGGTCCAATTTCAGACTTACAAGAATCCGCATTTTAATCACGATCCCCTTATAATTCAAATGCAACTTAAAAGTTTTAAAAAAGTTAAAAGTTTGAGAAGCACAGCTAGAAAGCGCTTTTATATTATATTCTGTTATCTGTTATAATTAACTGTCTTTTAAAAACCCACCCTGTTGTGCAACTCAAAGAAGTTACATTTATTTTTAATAAAAGACAAAGCATTATTATGGGATCAACATTCCTCCATTAGTGATTTCTTGCCATACCTTATTCTAAAGCAGCAGCAACTAAGGCCAAAAGTTATAGAGGACTGCCATCTAGTGTTAGTTCATTTTGACGCACACACAAAATACTGCACACCTCTTCTCCCACTGCCTTTCCATAATTTAAATAACACATTTGCTTAAAACTGTGTTGGGCTTTAGTTTTGTTTAATTCCTTTATTGAGACATGACATGAATACCAAACAATAATTCCATAAGATGCCATATGAAATAGAGGAAAGTAGAAAACAAGGATTTTTAGGTTTCTTTTTTAAATAACATCAACTCCAGGGAAGCTTTCCAATTAAAAGAATCACCCACTCACTACTGGAAAGGTGCACACTAAATATACATTAAAGACATCAGGCTTAGAAAGTGGGCTTTCTTATGAAATGTACAAGTCTTGGAGTCTTACTTTCTTCTACCTAAGTTCTGAACTTTTTGCAATTTATACAGTATTTAAGGACTAAAGCTACTTTCATATTGGAAAAAAATATTTTACAAGTGTCTGACTTAATAACTCAACCTCTCCACTCTATCCTAAGGAAATAATCAGAAATGTAGATAAAGATTTATGTAAAAAGATGTTCATTCATAGCTTTGTCAGAAGCATCGGAACCAAAGCGACTCCACCGTGAATAGGGACTGGGTAAAATGAGGCTGAGACCTACTGGGCTGCATTCCCAGAAGGTTAGACATTCCAAGTCACAGGATAAGACAGGAGGTTGGCACAAGGTACAGTCACAAAGACCTTACTGATAAAACAGTATGTAGTAAAGAAGCCAGCCAAAACCCACCAAAACCAAGATGGCGACCAAAGTGACCTCTGGTTGTCCTCACTACTCATTATCACTAATTATAATGCATTAGCATGCTAAAAGACACTCCCACTAGTGCCATGTCAATTTACAAATGCCATGGCAACATCAGGGAATTACATTGTATGGTCTAAAGAGGGGAGGAAACCTCAGTTCTGGGGAAATTGCCCACCCTTTTCCTGGAAAACTCATAAATAATCCATCCCTTGTTTAGCATTTAATCAATAAATAATCATAAAATAGCCAATCAGCAGCCCTCAGGGCTGCTCTGCCAATGGAGTAGCCATTCTTTTATTCCTTTACTTTGTTAATAAACTTGCTGTCACTTTACTCTATGAACTTGCCCTGAATTCTTTCTTGTTTGAGATCCAAGAACCCTGTCTGGGGGTCTAGATCAGGACCCCTTTCCAGTAACATTCTCCTGGTGAACCATGAAAGAACGATACGAAGGAGACTCCTGACCCAAAGGAAACAGAATGCAGAACCCATTGGCCGACTATGGTTAAGTGGTGGATTAGAGGCCCAACTTAGAAGATTTAAAGTCTCTCCTAAGACAGAATGGGTTAAATGACCCTCTTAATAAAAAGTAAGGATTCTCGACAAATTTGGGTTCGAGACCCAACTTAGGAAGGTTAGAGTTCTTCTTAAGATTTAGGCGGTTAGAGGCCCCTCTCAGTAAAATCTCTTGGTTAAAAATGAATTTGGCATTATGGGATGTTAACCACTATTTTCTTTGGATTAATCTGCCTTGCGCTCTTTGCTGATGGCTGTGGGGGGATTAGGCATGTACAGGATCACCGGACATGGGGAGCTTCTTTTCTCCCCAAAAGGGGAAACTTGAAAGCTGATGGGACTGCTGGAAAAGATCCCTTAGCAAATTACAAGCAACCACCTGAACTTTGTTTAGTGTCACTGCAATGGTGGGTCTTTCTCTAGCTTCCCCTAAGCTCCTCGTCTTCCCACCCCACTGCAGGCAATGCTTTTCTCCCTTCCCTTGCCTTTCTTCTCTCACTCTCTCTCTCTCTCTCTCTCTCTGTGTGCAAACTGCTTATAGGTGTGGTAAAAATCACTACCTCTTGCAATATTTTAATTAATGAGAAAAAGGATTTGTGAGGCTGGTCTTAAGCTATAGCAACTCTGGGGAACTTTCTGCTATAAATGTTTTTTACTATATTCTGTCATAAAGAGGAGTACCTTAAGATTGAACATGGGCTTAGGACACATGGGCTTAGAACAAGCCTGCTGTTCAAGCTAGCCCAGCAAACTAGTCAGCTACAAACTTTGCTGCAGGTTCCTGAAGCAAACAAACAAAAAAAAACTGAATGAGGTTCCCCGCTTGTCTTGTTTTATGTCCTTGGGAGCTTGACCTTTTAAGTACGTGGCAGTACTTTCTCTTGTTCTCAGCCATCTGGAGGACAGGAATTTTGGAGTTTATGTCAGAGCTCTAAAAATTATCTCAAGCAGTTAAAAGCTTTTGCAAGCTCAAAATTGACTGCTCTAGGCTCTTTCTGGGAAGGGCAATGGAAACTGTCCAGTGCTGTAGCTTAGTAACTAAGGCTTATTGGTTTCACCTGTGAGGTTACTTTTGGTAACATTTAAAAGCCAGAAATATTGTCTGTTTGGCCTGGTTAAAGTAGGGTAATAAGAGGTTTATAAGGAATTTTTTTTAAGGAGCACTATGGTTAAAAGTCAGCTTACTTAAAAGCAGATATCCAAGTTATACGTACATTTTAAAGGCCTTTATGTTTTTTTTTCCTCTTCGTGGATTGTGTTTTTCTGGAAAAGGGGTTTTTTCTTCTCAGTCAACTGAATTTTCTCCATTTTGTCTTCTTGACATTCTTGATGCACACGAGAGGACCTAAGATAATATTTAACAGCTTGGGACACCTTGGGAAAAACAGAGGAGGTGCTGCAGACTCCATTTTGGGGGGAAAAAAAGACATCTGTTTCCCTCGTGGAACCCTAAGAATTGAAAATAGATCCCTCTCACATTTTTTACTTTTGGGGGTATTAGAAATTACTTCATATTATGCGAGAGATTTCATGCGTAATAACTAGGTAGGAAATACACTTTTGGGGACAGCTAATGGAAGTTATGGGGGGACACTCAGCTCTTTCCATGTTTGGATCAGAGAAGCATGCTCTTGGCCACCTAGAAGGTATGGAAATGTCCCCATCCCCTACTGAGAGATAAGACTCCCATGGGAAATGGGCTGCTACCCATCCCTTTTTTGGGATCCAGGATCTGGTATAAAAATGGAACCCTTAATTTTGGGGGATCTGTTTCGCCTTCCACCTATACCTGTTTATTAAGGCTAGAAACTGAATGCTTTAAAGGGAAACTTAGAAACTGGCAAATGAAAAATCTTACAACTATTGGATCTTCTTTTGTCTGTGTATTTATATGTGTTGTGTGTGTGATGTTTATATATATCTATATAAGTTCTGATTAATTGGTTTAAAAATAATAGGCACTTAAATATTATAAAAAAATTAAGACTATAATGCCTTTTAGTTCACGTGACTTAAGTAATCTTTGGGAAATAAAAACACAGCTTTAAAGATTATTAGTAAAATAAAGACACTTGGTCTAAATTAGGCAGGTCAGATATTAGGTTTGATAAATGCTTTAAGGTCATAAACTGCTTCTTTGACTCTTGAAAATTGTTCAACTTAACTGCTGTGGAGCCGTTAGATTTTAAGTAAGGCCTGGGGACATGTGGAGTTAGCCACATCCCCTAACTATACATGAGAGTCACACCTTATCTGCACTTCTGTCTGGTGCCCTAGGCTCCACACCTAGTACATAATTAAAATCATGTATTTACCAGATTTTTCACCAAAAGTAAGTTTCTAAGAGTTAACAGTGTAACATATAATTGAGACTACTAGAGAAAGAGTTTTATATGCAAGGTGTGTCAGGAAAATGAAATGTGCTTTTGAAAAAAGATTATAAGAAGGCATGGAAATGTGGATTTTTTTTTCTTTTTGCCTAGTTTAGAGGGTTAAAGGATAGTTTTTTGTTTTGTTTTGTTTTGTTTTGTTTGAGACGGAGTCTCGCTCTGTCACCCAGGCTGGAGTGCAGTGGTGCGATCTCGGCTCACTGCAAGCTCCGCCTCCTGGGTTCACGCCATTCTGCCACCTCAGCCTCCCGGGTAGCTGAGATTACAGGCACCCACCACCATGCCCAGCTAATTTTGTTTTTGTATTTTTAGTAGAGACGGGGTTTCACCGTGTTAGCCAGGATGGTCTCGATCTCCTGACCTCGTGATCCGCCTGCCTCGGCCTCCCAAAGTGCTGGGATTACAGGCGTGAGCCACCACGCCCGGCCAAGGATTGTTTTAAGTTAGATGGGAAAAAGCCAAAGGTTTGAACAAGTTGTGGAAGGTTGGTGAAAAATTAATCTTGTAAAAGAAATTCTGTGTGTGAACATATCGGCTAAAGTTAAAGGTGTATTATTCCATTTTTCCATAAATTGAACATTGGAATAAAAGCACAACAGGCTTTTCTTAGAGCACTGATCTGCTTTTTAACAACTACAACAAAAAAAGGTGTAAAGGGTTATATGCAAGGTTTATAAGAATCTTATCTTATGATCAAACTAAAATTGGATAGATTTGTCTATAAGGTTTTATTAAGAATTGGTTGACATCAATAGTGTACTAATGCAAAGGTGAAAATTGGCTTTCTGTCTCGAACAGCATTTCCAAGTTATATTAAAAATAATAAAAGATTTGGCTGGGCATGGTGCCTCACATCTGTAATCCCAGCACTTTGGGATTTCCAGGTACAAAGAAGTATATAGAAATGTCTCACCTATTATTCTCTAGAGGTATGCTAGGGCTGTTAGGTTCAATTTCTCATATTAGAAGTGTCCCACCTATCCTTTAGTTCCACCTGCAGAAGGCTCCTTGCACCCTTCTTGCACTTCGTCCACTCTGGCAGCTCCCCTGGGGGAGATCTAAGTCCCTCTTGGCATCGGCATGCTGGTACAAATCCTATGACAGGATCCTCCCTAAGCCATATGAGGTGACCACGGAATCGCAGATAGGACCCACTCACTCAGCACAGCAGTAGTACTTTGTACCATTCACACAAGCAGCACCTCAAGTAGGAGTGCTTGTGATCATTCACATACACATTCAGCACCCTGAATATCCCGACCGCCAAGGAAATACTTTGTCGCCTTTATGATGTTTCTTACCTCGCTCTGTGCACAGAGTTACCTGGTCGCCACGGTATGTGAGGATCCTTTTCCCCAGGTTGCTAGCCTGGGTTTATTTGTCACACCAGGTGGATCCCCAGTCTCTCACCCTGAGGCTACCGCAACAAGGCAGTGGGACATTTCTCCCTACAAGAGGCAACTGGAGACCTGTTCTCCAGGAGAGAATGGGCTCCCATACGGGCCACCAGATTGTTACAAACAAATGCTTGTCCTCGGTGCCGAAAAGAAGAACTAGTGCTCAAAGAATTTTCTCGGCCAGGTGCAGTGGCTCACGCCTGTAATCCTAGCACTTTGAGAGGCTGAGGCAGGCGGGTCACGAGGTCAGGAGATAGAGACCATCCTGGCCAACATGGTGAAACCCCATCTCTACTGAAAATACAAAAATTAGCTGGGCGTGGTGGCATGTGCCTGTAATCCCAGCTACTCGGGAGGCTGAGGTAGAATTGTTGAACCAGGGAGTCGGAGGTTGCAGTGAGCCGAGATCACACCGCTGCACTCCAGCCTGATGACAGAGCGAGACTCCATCTCAAAAAAAAAAAAAAAAAATTCTCAGCAAGGCAATTTTACATCTATAGAAGGGTGCAACTTGCAGATGGAGCAATGGTGAGAGTACACCTGAACAAGGGAGGGGAAGGGATTCTTATTCCTGACACAGGTACCCCCTACTGCTGTGTTGTTCCCCTATTGGCTAGGGTTGGACCACACAGTCTAAGCTAATTCTGATTGGCTATTTTAAAGAGAACAGGGGTATGAGCCAGAGTGGCGGGGTGAGCAGTTTGGCAGGAAAGACGGTTATGGAACAGGTAACTAAAGGTGACTTAGGTCAGAGCGGGTGACCAGGGCTGACTGAGGTCAAAGCAGGCAACCAGGATAAGTCAGGACAGAGCAGGTGACCAGGGGAACAGATGTGAACTACTGATTAAAACTGGTGGAAAAGGCTATTTACTGAAACTACAAGGAAGTTAAGCTTTAAAATGAAGGACAAAGAACTGAACATACTGATATACTGATTCTTTGAAGAGAAATTGAGAACTCAGTGTATCCAACAGGGTTAACTTGATCTGATAATAAAATAAAAAGTACACTGCAATCTATATAATAGTGGTCCCCAACCTTTTTGGCATCAAGGACCAGTTTTGTGGAAGACAATTTTTCCACAGACCAGGAAGGGGGAAGATTTCGGGATGACTCAGCACATTACATTTATTGTGCACTTTATTTCTATTATTATTACATTGTAATATATAATGAAATAATTACACAACTCGACACAGTGTAGGATCAGTAGAAGCCCTGAGCTTGTTTTCCTGCAACTAGATGGTCCCATCTTGGCATGATGGGAGGCAATGACAGATGATCAGGCATTAGATTTGCATAAGAGCACACAACCTAGATCCCTTGCATGCACAGTTCACAATAGAGTTTGTGCTCCTATGAGAATCTCATGCAGCCAGATCTGACAGAAGGCGCAGCTCAGGCTAATGCAAGTGATGGGGAGTGGCTGTAAATACAGATGAAGCTTTGCTCACTCACCTGCCGCTCACCTCCTGCTGTGAAACCCGGTTCCTAACAGGTCATGGACCACTACACATCTGTAGCTTGGGGATCGGGGATCCCTGCTATATAACATTTGATGTGACCTAAAGAACCACTGTTATGCTATCAAAAAACACTTTTATTTGGCCAAAGCACTTTTTTCTCATGTTATAATTTTTTTATGATGTATGGAATTTAGTAATTTGCTTTTTGGAGATTCAGTAGGGAAAAGTGAATTGAAAATAGCTAATTAAACAAGGGAGGCCTAGGTTCCCTAATCAGGTCAGACATTTTTTCAAAGAACAGTAAAAATCAGTTCTAAAAGCTGAGGAAGCACTTCACTGACAGACTCTCCCCTCATCTAAATTTCTCTCTTCATCTAACTCTAGATATCTCCTTATCGTTCAAGTAATCCAAACATTCCTGTTACTCAAGCAGTCCTCCAACCTAACCAAGTGTTTTGTTTCACATCACTTCAGTTATGCAAAATATTTATTTGCACATCACCACCAAAAATATCCCTGATGCTGCTTGGTATACCCAAATTCAATTATTCCTTGTCTTTATCTGTATGTATTAATAAAAAAAAAAAACTGAGTTCACACAAATGAATAATACTTCCAAAATGAAGTCATTTTCTCATGTTGCTAAGGAAAAATACAATGCAACAGTTAAACAATGAACTCATAAAACATGAGTCCAGGAAGAGCTAAGATATTATAAAATCCCTAGTTACATGCTCTGCAGGTGGCACAGGAACATAGATACATATGCACACAGAGTCACACAATCACACAGGTAAGTGTCACCACCTGGCTTCCTATCCTCAATCCAGCACCACCAGCTCCTCTACTACCCTGTCACGGTGCAGGGAGAGAAGTTGGTTTGGAAATAAGAGCCCTCCCATGCCAACAGCAAGAGTGTACACAAGCAAGCACCAAGCCTTGGTGAATCTGGAAGCTCTGGGACTGAGTGGACACAATGAAGGTGGCCTTTGTGCTAATTAGAAAAAGACACCCCTCTGCCAAGGTGGGAGGAACCCAGTCTCACTGAGCCAGTGCTAGATAAAGGTGATGCCTTTGTGAAACACAGAAAAAGCACCCCTTCCTCTGGGTAGATTTACTCCAAGCCAGAAAGCATGGCTCGATGAGCAGGATCAAGTCTGTATTTCAGACCCACATCCCCCACTCTTCCAGCTGCCCTGTGCAGAAACGACCCACACAACCCTGTACAGCAGCCCCAGATATGGGTAGAGTGGAGAGAGGTGTTTGCAGCTTTATCCTGCCTGTAGCAGGTAGAGCAGTGACTTCCTGTCAATAAGGTCAACCATTTTTTCCACTGAGAGAGACAGTCAGGTACCACAGTTCCATCACACACAAAAAGAGCTCAGTTTCAGTCAGCTTATATATAAAAGACAAAATCTGTAGAAAAGGCAGTTTTAGAAATGTTTCTATAGACCATATAAAAATATGCTGGTTATATAAAAATCAAAGACTTCCAATGTTTAAAGGTTTTTTTTTATTATTTTGATTGGGTATTTGGTCTCCTATCCAAGTACTAACCAGGCCTGACCCTGATTAGCTTCCAAGATCAGACGATATCAGGCACATTCAGGGTGGTATGGCCATAGACTTGCTTGGGCATTTGGATACAAAGGTTTCAATAAAATGTCTATTTTAACTCTTTCTGAGAGTCAAACCACTTAATCCTCTGTTTTATATGACCAAATATTCTAAATCTGTCACTTGAAATAGCATACTCATGATTAAAAGCAAATTACCTTTTACACCACCAAATGATCCATAGGTCATATTGCAGGCTGTTCTCTGAAGATTATGTTCATACATCAATTTCATCTGACATTGGTTCCCATGTTCCACATTACCCAAGGTTCCTAAGGAAAAAAAAAAAAGGATTACTTTGTATTTGTGTACACTAAAAAACATTAATTTGTTCTCATCCACTACTCCGATTCTAAGTAATTTTAGGGAAATTATAATGGCAAAGCACTAAAATATTATGTATTGTGAAAAATTAGCATACTGATGACACACAAAGCCAGTACAGTTAAAACAATTTACATCTCAGCTAAATTACACCATTAGACAAAATATTACCCTGGGGACACTTTATATTCTATTTTTATTAGACAGATTATATCTGAGTAAAGTGTAATTATTTAAATAACAACAAAACCCTCTAATTTCAGATCTGAAATAAATAAGTTCTCTGCATTTATAAACATTAATAGAGCAAAGAAATGACTCAAAGTGTCTAAGAAAAAAAAATCCCCAACACTTTCAAGCAATTAGTGTTCCTACCCCAACTCTCAAAATATTCAAGCCCCTAATTATATTCTAATTTAATTGAGAAATTTTCTAAGCTTCCCTCAACAAGTAAATAGGAAAATGTTTTTTATTTGAAGTCTGCCAAGAAGAATCTCCTTCCAAACACAGAAAAATACTCTGCATTTAATAGACTGCATGTGCTTCACTTTCTAGTTCTTTCCAAATGAGAAAAGAGTATTTATCTGTATTTTATACATATAGAGCAAGAACATTATGATTAAAAAGTGTGTTGGAAAGAAAAAGGATTCAGAAAGCAATTTTTTCCATAAAGAAGCATCACTCATTAATCCAAAATGTAAAAGTTAAGGAAAATTTTAAATTATCATAAAGCAAATGCAATAGTCCTCAAACTGGGTAGTACTCAATCACTAAAAATATCTAAAAATATATGTATGTGTACTTATTTATTTATAAATTTATATAGGAGCATTTATTTGTTTTGGGTTTGTTTGTCCAGAAGAATTTACCAACATACACTGAGATTGTAAGAATATATTTTTATTTCCGTTTTAGAATTGAAGCACCTTAAGTTCAAAACAAATTTACAGAAATTTCCCCAAAATCATACAGTATTCAAGGTAGAGAACTGAGTATTCAAACCAGACTTTTAGAACCTAAACCAAATCTTTAGAACCAGGTACTATGTATTGTATCCTGCTGCCCAGTTGTCCACCATTTAACAACTTTCAGGGAATGTGGTCCTCGCACCCAGTAAAGATTTTACTGTCCATGGATCCTGTCAACGACAATTTCCCCAAAGAAAACAGCTTCAAGAATATGTCTTTTCCACTGCAGGGTACCAGAATATGACACCTCAAACAGGACTCTTTGGCATATGGATTATTTTGAGCAAAAGGACACAGGGAACTAGCCGGAAAAGCTCTAAAAACAGGTCGTCATTTAAAAAAAGAAATCTCCATTTATAAAAAAAAGTCTCCCTCCCTTGTACCAGGAAGAGGAGTACCCTTAGCTCTTTTCAATGGAGAAGGCCTCAACTTAAATCACCATAACAAACTTTACTAAGCAACCCTTGTTTACCACACTTTTTCTGGTCACCTTCCCATAACTTGCCTTCTGTGTACAGAAGCCCAAAACCCATTTTCTTTTATTTCACCTAAAATGCTATGTTAGCCCAAGGTCCAACTACCCTTTTGAGTCACTCCTTATGGAATATTCCTATGTGTACATGAGCAATGCATATGTTAATAAATTTCTGCTTGTTTTTCCTATTGTTAATTAGTCTTTGGCCAGTCTAATTTATAGAGCCCCAGCTGGAGAACCTAAGATAAGTAAAGATTTTTTTTTCCCTCCCTTTTGCCTTTCTCAGCCTGGCCAATCATGGTAGCTGACATTCAGCCAATCGTAGGCAGCCAACTGACCAGACCATGTTCAAGTAAGGTAAATGCTAAGCTGTCAGGAATGAAGCTGTTTCTGTACCTCACTTGCATTGTCTGTCCATAAATGTTTCCTGCTCATGTTGAAGAGCAGAGCGCTCTGAACCTCCTCTGGTGGTTGTGAGGGCTGCCCAACACCTGAGGTATTCTTTGCTCAGTTAAAGGCCATTAAATTTAAATTGTCTTAAGTTTGTCTTTTAATAGTTAAAAGAGGAAAAACTATCAGGGGAGGATTTCTTGAAGGAGAATCATTTCTACTCAGTTCCATGGTCCCCACAAATGGTTAATTAACATTAGTTTTGTTGTTTTTTTTTTTATTTTTATTTTTTAAAGACAGAGTCTCACTCTGTTGCACAGGATGGAGTTCAGTGGCACAATTTCCACTCACTGCTCTGACTCCTGGATTCAAGCAATTCTCTTGCCTCAGCCTCCTGAGTAGCTGGGATTACAGGCACCTGCCACCACACCCAGCTAATTTTTGTATTTTTAGTACAGACAGGGTTTCACCATGTTGGCCAGGCTGGTCTCAAACTCCTGACCTCAGGTGTTCCACTCGCCTCGGCCTCCCAAAGTGCTGGGATTACAGGCATGAGTCACCGCACCTGGCCAAAAATAGATTTTATATACCAATAGAATAAGAAACAAACATAAAGGCTTAAATTTGCCTGCTGACCTTGATGGAGGATGAAGGCTTTCTGGATTCTAAATGGTAGTAAAATCATTGAGGTGCCAGGAAGCTGAGGAGGAATCACAACCAAACCAGCCACATGGGTGAGGGAAACACATACGGTATTAACCTGAAGAGAGTTCTAGCCTCCAAGAAACCAGAAAGAGCAGCTCCAAGAGTCACCTGGTTTATCCCTAAAGAAATTTCAAATTTCATTCTGAACTGTTAAATCAAGTTTAGCCTAAAGCTGCCTCCTTACATATTTTAAGTTCAGCCTAAAGGTTTTTCTGTACATAATGAACTATAACATAAATGGAAGTGTAAACAGACTGTAACCTTCCCTTGTGCCAATCATCGAGTTTTGGCCAAAGGCGGTCAGCTGATCAAACCATGTTCAAATGGGGTGAATGCTGAGTTGTAAACAATCCAGCTGTTTCTGTACCTCATTCCATTTTCTGTACACCTCTTTCATTTTTCTGTCTATAAATCTTCTACTATGTGGCTGCACTGGAGTCTCTCTGAGCCTACTCTGGCTCAAGAGGCTGCCCAACTCACAAATTGTTCTTTGTTCAATTAAATGCTGTTAAATTTAATTTGGCTAAAGTTTTTCTTTTAACAGATGGTGTCAGAAGTGGGATCCAAAGTAGAGGTTCTAACAACCCCCAGGAGAGCTGAGCGACCAAGCGAGGTACCCACTAGGCCTATTGTGTCCATTGCTCTCTCACAGCAACTGGGGATCATGGTAAGTTCTCTCTCAGATTCAGAAGCTCCACATATTTGTGTTTTGAGCTCTCCTAGTTTCTTTGAGCAAATTTCTGATCCAAACTGGGTTTGGAAGTCACAACAGAAACTGGACTGGGTCTAGGATCAGACTGGATCTAGGATCAGACTGGATCTGATAATTAACTGTCTTGTATCCAGTAAGGGGGCTTCTTATATCTGACTAGGTCAGAAAAAAACTGGTAGTAAATGGAAATATTGCAGGCGGTATAAAGTTTAGCTCTTGGAAATTAGCAGAAATTTCTGTGTTCTACCCACTTTGTTTCATTTTTCTTGCACACTTAGATAGGGAAAAGTCATTGGCTAGGTTGACCAAGGAGGTCTGAGAGCCAAAGCCAATATTTGAGGTAAAAATGGGAACCTTAGTTTCTGAAGAACTGAGTAACTTCCAGCTTATACGTGCATAAGTATTAGGCCCCAGAAGCAGTAAAGTCTAACAGAAATGGCAAAATATTACTAAAGATAAGTTACAAATGTGGAATGTTCCAAATGAACAACACTGCACCAAAGATGTAAATTTGAAAATGATGGCTCCCCAAATAGTCTCATCTAGGGATGGCTATTGACCTGTGGAAGCTTCTAAAATTTTTCAATTTTTTTTTTTTTTTTTTAGGATGGAGTCTCGCTCTGTTGCCAAGGCTGGAGTGCAGTGGCGCAATCTCAGCTCACTGCAAGCTCCGCCTCCCAGGTTCACACCATTCTCCTGCCTCATCCTCGCGAGTAGCTGGGACCTGCCACCACGCCCAGCTGATTTTTTGTATTTTTTAATAGAGATGGGGTTTCACGGTGTTAGCCAGGATGGTCTCGATCTCCTGACCTCGTGATCCACCCGCCTCAGCCTCCCAAAATACTGGGATTACAGACGTGAGCCACTGCACTCGGCCAAATTTTTCAATATTTTTATTAAAAGACTCTTTATAAAAGGCAAATAAAAAGCTTAAGCAACTAAAGATAAAGTGTTTATAAAAGGCAGGCCCTCAGGCAAAATAGGCTTGCTTCTTTTTCAGATGCAACCATGCTGAGTCCAGGCATAGAGGATGCTTTCTTCCCCCTATTCCTTAATGGGCTCCACTCTGAACTCAGTAATTTTAGTTAAGAAACAGTAGCTAAATTAAGAACACCTATTGAACTAAAATATGCCTTTCTGGAATTTCATTGGCTATCTTGAAACCCTTCTGCAAAAGAAATTTACATCTATTAAGGAAATCACCATTTTTAAGGATGTCTGCCTGTGTATATTAGAAACTCTTCCCATTGTTTTAAATTGGCATAAGTCACACCTTTGATTAAGGTGCCTTTCTGGCCATGTTGTCTTAACTGAACTTTTATGGGAGCACCATTTTTTCCTTGGTTTGAGACAAATGATGATACAATATTTAGGCCTAAAATCTTAGCTATGTACATATGGAATATAATTTTTTGTTGTTGTACCTAAGAGTTATTTTAGAAATGCAAATTTGTTGCCTGGTTAACAATTGCTTAGGGCAATGAAACAAGTAACTGGAAGATTAATAGACCAAATAGGGAAAAGGAAAACTATTTAAAAGCTAGCAAATGAAAATCTTTCATGTCCATGTGTGTTATGTGTCTGTGATAATATTTGGTAAATAAAGCAAATTCTAAAATTGTTGCTAAAATAGGAATAGCTTCAAAATTATCAGTTAAATATAACAAGATATTTGCTTGATTGACTGTGAGCTGTTTTTGGTTTAGAGCCTCTGGATTTGGGGGTCTGCATAGGTGGACATGACGAGGTCTAGAGTCGTGTTCTTTTCATTTTTTTTTTTTATTATTTTTTTTTTGAGACAGAGTCTCGCTCTGTCACCCAGGCTGGAGTGCAGTGGCACGATCTTGGCTCACTGCAAGCTCCACCGCCTGGGTTAATGCCATTCTCCTGCCTCAGCCTCCCGAGTAGCTGGGACTACAGGCGCCCGCCACCATGTCCAGCTAATTTTTTGTATTTTTTAGTAGAGATGGGGTTTCACGGTGTTAGCCAGGATGATCTCAATCTCCTGACTTCATGATCGGCCCACCTCGGCCTCCCAAAGTGCTGGGATTACAGGTGTGAGCCACCACACCCGGCCTAGAGGCATGTTCTTAGTGCCTAGACCATCAGCTACAAGCCAGAACCAAGCCCAATATGCTCCCTTCTCCCCTGCTTTCCTGCTTGCCTACTGGCTATTTGGGGAGGGGTTGAATCCTCCAGATATAGTCTTCACAGCCCTGTCTTCTATCCTGACCATTGCACCTGGTATGTCAGGACTCAGAGAGGCCTTGACCTTCATAAGCCTCCTGGGTACCATGAGGCTACTTGGCACCCAGAATGACTAAGGGAAGACATTAAGGAGGGTACCTGTGTCATATTTTCAAAATTATTTTCAGTAATTTAAAATCTTCAGGTCATGTTATATTAAATTAAATAATAATCATAAAATGTCTGAGTCATTTATAAGTTAAAATATTGAAACATTAATTATTAAACATGAGTTTGTCTGTATACGTTGATGTTATTTTTATATGATACAGAAAAGCTACATATATTTAGGTCTGTTAAAAAACAATAATTTGAAGAAAAATCTTTCTAAAAACTTAAAAAAATAGTTTTTATCACAAATACTGATATAAAATTAGTTCGAAATTATTTTCTAGGGTTTTAATCAGAAATTAAGGTTACTAAGAGTTAAAATTTTAGTTGATATATGTAATTAAAGCTACTAGAGATGAAACAATTTTGTATACATAGTGTATAAACAAAAGCAAGATATGTTTCAGCTTTCTACATATGGCTAGCCAGTTTTCCCAGCACCATTTATTAAATAGGGAATCCTTTCCCCACTGCTTGTTTTTCTCAGGTTTGTCAAAGATCAGATAGTTGTAGATATGCGGCGTTATTTCTGAGGGCTCTGTTCTGTTCCATTGATCTATATCTCTGTTTTGGTACCAGTACCATGCTGTTTTGGTTACTGTAGCCTTGTAGTATAGTTTGAAGTCAGGTAGTGTGATGCCTCCAGCTTTGTTCTTCTGGCTTGGGATTGACTTGGCGATGCGGGCTCTTTTTTCATTCCATATGAACTTTAAAGTAGTTTTTTCCAGTTCTGTGAAGAAAGGCATTGGTAGCTTGATGGGGATGGCATTGAATCTGTAAATTACCTTGGGCAGTATGGCCATTTTCATGATATTGATTCTTCCTACCCATGAGCATGGAATGTTCTTCCATTTGTTTGTATCCTCTTTTATTTCCTTGAGCAGTGGTTTGTAGTTCTCCTTGAAGAGGTCCTTCACATCCCTTGTAAGTTGGATTCCTAGGTATTTTAATCTCTTTGAAGCAATTGTGAATGGCAGTTCACTCATGATTTGGCTCTCTGTTTGTCTGTTGTTGGTGTATAAGAATGCTTGTGATTTTTGTACATTGATTTTGTATCCTGAGACTTTGCTGAAGTTGCTTATCAGCTTAAGGAGATTTTGGGCTGAGACAATGGGGTTTTCTAGATATACAATCATGTCATCCGCAAACAGGGACAATTTGACTTCCTTTTTTCCTAATTGAATACCCTTTATTTCCTTCTCCTGCCTAATTGCCCTGGCCAGAACTTCCAACACTATGCTGAATAGGAGTGGTGAGAGAGGGCATCCCTGTCTTGTGCCAGTTTTCAAAGGGAATGCTTCCAGTTTTTGCCCATTCAGTATGATATTGGCTGTGGGTTTGTCATAGATAGCTCTTATTATTTTGAAATACATCCCATCAATACCTAATTTATTGAGAGTTTTTAGCATGAAGGGTTGTTGAATTTTGTCAAAGGCCTTTTCTGCATCTATTGAGATAATCATGTGGTTTTTGTCTTTGGCTCTGTTTATATGCTGGATTACATTTATTGATTTGCATATATTGAACCAGCCTTGCATCCCAGGGATGAAGCCCACTTGATCATGGTGGATAAGCTTTTTGATGTGCTGCTGGATTCGGTTTGCCAGTATTTTATTGAGGATTTTTGCATCAATGTTCATCAAGTATATTGGTCTAAAATTCTCTTTTTTGGTTGTGTCTCTTCCAGGCTTTGGTATCAGAATGATGCTGGCCTCATAAAATGAGTTAGGGAGGATTCCCTCTTTTTCTATTGATTGGAATAGTTTCAGAAGGAATGGTACCAGTTCCTCCTTGTACCTCTGGTAGAATTCGGCTGTGATTACACCTTATACAAAAATCAATTCAAGATGGATTAAAGACTTAAACGTTAGACCTAAAACCATAAAAACCCTAGAAGAAAACCTAGGCATTACCATTCAGAACATAGGCATGGGCAAGGACTTCATATCTAAAACACCAAAAGCAATGGCAACAAAAGACAAAATTGACAAATGGGATCTAATTAAACTAAAGAGCTTCTGCACAGCAAAAGAAACTACCATCAGAGTGAACAGGCAACCTACAAAATGGGAGACAATTTTCGCAACCTACTCATCTGACAAAGGGCTAATATCCAGAATCTACAATGAACTCAAACAGATTTACAAGAAAAAAACAAACAACCCCATCAAAAAGTGGGCGAAGGACATGAACAGACACTTCTCAAAAGAAGACATTTATGCAGCCAAAAAACACATGAAAAAATGCTCACCATCACTGGCCATCAGAGAAATGCAAATCAAAACCACAATGAGATACCATCTCACACCAGTTAGAATGGCAATCATTAAAAAGTCAGGAAACGACAGGTGCTGGAGAGGATGTGGAGAAATAGGAACACTTTTACACTGTTGGTGGGACTGTAAACTAGTTCAACCATTGTGGAAGTCAGTATGGCGATTCCTCAGGGATCTAGAACTAGAAATACCATTTGACCCAGCCATCCCATTACTGGGTATATACCCAAAGAACTCTAAGTCATGCTGCTATAAAGACACATGCACACGTATGTTTATTGCGGCATTATTCACAATAGCAAAGACTTGGAACCAACCCAAATGCCCAACAATGATAGACTGGATTAAGAAAATGTGGCACATATACACCATGGAATACTATGCAGCCATAAAAAATGATGAGTTCATGTCCTTTGTAGGGACATGGATGAAATTGGAAAGCATCATTCTCAGTAAACTATCGCAAGGACAAAAAACCAAACACCGCATATTCTCACTCACAGGTGGGAATTGAACAATGAGATCACATGGACACAGGAAGGGGAATATCACACTCTGGGGACTGTGGTGGGGTGGGGGGAGCGGGGAGGGATAGCATTGGGAGATATACCTAATGCTAGATGATGAGTTAGTGGGTGCAGCACACCAGCATGGCACATGTATACATATGTAACTAACCTGCACAATGTGCACATGTACCCTAAAACTTAAAGTACAATAAAAAATAAATAAAAAAAAGCAAGATATGCTTTTCATGAGGAAAGTTAAAAAAGCACAAAGATATGTGTTAAAAATATTATCTGGTTTGAGGTTTCTTATAGGTTTCAAATTGAAGGAGTAAAAAAATAGAAAAAACAAGATGAATATAGAAAGCTGGAAAATGCAAAATGAAAGGTTTATGGAAATCTTGTGTGGTTAAGAGAAGACAGATTAGATAAATTTATTTATGAGATTTTATTAAAATTAGCTTTAGTATTTATAATACACTAATACAAAAGTAAAATTTAATTTCTCTTTTGAACAAAAATTTGTGTAGCATTTATTAATAAGACACAGTAAAATATTTTCATTTATGCGTTGAGTAAACTGCAAAAAGGAAAAAAAGGAGGAGGAAAAAGAGATAGGATCTGTCATGCTGTCTTAGGTCTTATAACTGAAAGACTGAGTCTCCTCTATCAAAGAGTACAGGTTTCTTCTTTTTCAAAAAAAAATTCTTGTAATTATCACTTTGGCTAAACGAATGACCATTATTTTATGGTGACCTGTGATCCTATCTTGGTCAAGTGTTATAAAACCTTGACAATTTGATGGGCTTCCCAAAACCAAATTTCAGGTCAAAATTAAGTCTCTTTCAGCCTCTAACTTTGGGATGCTACAGAGGGCACCTGAAGCAGCCAAAAGGAGATAAACAGGATTATCTGAAAGGTTAAATTACACGGGAAGCACTGTCAAACATGAAATGATTTTTAATCTTCAAGTTACATTTTAATGAATATGTTATTAATATATGTACCAAAATTGTATGGGATTTCTAAAATTCTAGTATGTCTGGGCATATGCTATCAGTCATATTTATGGTTGTTATGTTATTATAGGCCATATAAATGACAACATTTCCTTGTCAATTATGTCTTTATAATCATTTAAAGTTATTTCCACAGTTAATTGCTTAATTTTAACGCAGTTCCTGAAAACTTTACAAGCATCCAAAATCCTAGAGTATGGTATCTTTAAGGAGGTTCATGAAAGGATAGAAAGGACCCCGACAAGCACTCTTGAATACAGGTTTCTGGTAACTTTAGGATCATATAATTTGGATGGGGTAAGAATTCCCAGAATTTAAGGCTGATCGTGGTGGCTCATGCTTGTACTCCCAGCACTTTGGGAGGCTGAGGAGGGTGGATCACAAGGTCAGGAGTTCAAGAACAGCCTGGCCAACACAGTGAACCCCATCTCTACTAAAATACAAAAATTAGCTGGACATGGTGGTGGGCACCTGCAATCCCAGCCACCCAGGAGGCTGAGGCAGGAGAGTCGCTTGAACCCGGGAGGCAGAGGTTGCAATGAGCTGAGATTGTACCACTGCACTCCAGCCTGGGCAACAGAGCTAGACTCCATTTCAAAAAAAAAAAAAAAAAGAATTCTCAGAACTTTAATGAACAGACTGACTAGTTTATAAAACTGCTAACCCAAGCAGGACAAAAATATTCAATACCAAGAAAATACTTTGTCAGATTTTTATGCTAAACCAGACAGTACTGAAATTGTTTATATATACAATGTGAACGAACTCCATGATCCAAGTCAAAATACCTATAACTTTCAGTTATCAGTGCTGTGAACCTAAATTGGAGAAACAACTGTTATTTAAGAGGACATTAAGTCCAACATTAAGCATGGACTCATGGAGAACCTGGACAGCCACCTTGTGCTTCCTGAGTCCTTAAAGCTTTTGTTATTAAAAGCTCTGCATTCTATGACTCATCATGGAAGAGATAAAATTATCCAAATTAAAAATGTATTAATTGGAAGGTGGTCACATAGGAACAGCTCTGATCTGCAGCTCCCAGCGTGACTGACACAGAAGACGGGTGATTTTTGCATTTCCAACTGAGCTACCTGGTTCATCTCATTGGGACTGGTTGGACAGTGGGTGCAGCCCACGGAGGGTGAGGTAAAGCAGGGTGGGGCATCACCTCACCCAGGAAGTGCAAGGGGTTGGGGGATATCCCTTTCCTAGCCAAGGGAAGCCGTGACAGACTGTACGTGGAAAAACGGGACACTCCTGCCCAAATACTGCCCTTTTCCAACAGTCTCAGCAAATGGCACACCAGGAGATTATATCCCACGCCTGGCTAGGTGGATCCCACGCCTGGCTAGGTGGGTCCCACGCCCATGGAGCCTTGCTCACTACTAGCGCAGCAGTCTGAGATCAACCTGTGAGGCAGCAGCCTGGCAGGGGGAGGGGCATCCGCCATTGCTGAGGCTTGAGTAGGTAAACAAAGCGGCTGGAGGAAGCTCAAACTTGGCGGAGCCCACCGCAGCTTAGCAAGGCCATCTGCCTCTGTAGACTCCACCTCTGGAGGCAGGGCATAGCTGAACAAAAGGCAGCAGAAACTTCTGCAGACTTAAACCTCCCTATCTGACAGCTCTGAAAAGACCAATGGTTCTCCCAGCATGGTGTTTTAGCTCTGAGAACAGACAGACTGCCTCCTCAAGTGGGTCCCTGAACCCTGAGTAGCCTAACTGGGAGATACCTCCCAGTAGGGGTTGACTGACACCTCATACAGGAGGGTGCCCTTCTGGGAAGAAGCTTCCAGAGGAAGGATCAGGCAGCAATATTTGCTCTTCTGCGATATTTGCTGTTCTGCAGCCTCTGCTGCTGATACCCAGACAAACAGTGTCTGGAGTGGACCTCCAGCACACTCGAACAGACCTGCAGCTGAGGGACCTGACTGTTAGAAGGAAAACTAACAAACAAAAAGGAATAGCATCAACATCAACAAAAAGGACATCCACACCCAAACCCCATCTGTAGGTCACCAACATCAAAGACCAAAGGCAGATAAAACCACAAAGATGGGGAGAAACCAGAGCAGAAAAGCTGAAAATTCTAAAAACCAGAGCACCTCTTCTCCTCCAAAGGATTGCAGCTCCTTGCCAGCAACGGAACAAAGCTTGACGGAGAATGAGTTTGACGAGCTGACAGAAGTAGGCTTCAGAAGGTCGGTAATAACAAACTTCTCCAAGCTAAAGGAGGATGTTCGAACCCATCACAACGAAGCTAAAAACCTTGAAAAAAGATTAGATGAATGGCTAACTAGAATAAACAGTGTAGAGAAGAAGACCTTAAATGACCTGATGGAGCTGAAACCATGGCACAAGAACTACAAGACACATGCACAAGCTTCAATAGCTGATTCAATCAAGTGGAAGAAAGGCTATCGTTGATTGAAAATCAAATTAATGACATAAAGCGAGAAGAGAAGTTTAGAGAAAAAAGAGTAAAAAAAAAAACGAACAAAGCCTCCAAGAAATATGGAACTATGTGAAAAGACCAAATCTACGTTTGACTGGTGTACCTGAAAGTGATGGGGAGAATGGAACCAAGTTGGAAAACACTCTGCTGGATATTATCCAGGAGAACTTCCCCAACCTAGCAAGGCAGGCCAACATTCAAATTCAGGAAATACAGATAATGCCACAAAGACACTCCTCAAGAAGAGCAAACCCAAGACACATAATTGTCAGATTCACCAAGGTTGAAATGAAGGAAAAAATGTTAAGGGCAGCCAGAAAGAAAGGTCAGGTTACCCACAAAGGGAAGCCCATCAGACTAACAGCGGATCTCTCGGCAGAAACTCTACAAGCCAGAAGAGAGTGGGGGACAATATTCAACATTCTTAAAGAAAACAATTTTCAACCCAGAATCTCATATCCAGCCAAACTAAGCTTAATAAGTGAAGGAGAAATAAAATTCTTTACAGACAAGCAAATGCTGAGAGATTTCGTCACCACCAGACCTGCCTTACAAGAGCTCCTCAAGGAAGCACTAAACATGGAAAGGAAAGACCGGTATCAGCCACCGCAAAAACACGCCAAATTGTAAAGACCATCGATGCTAGGAAGAAACTGCATCAACCAACGGGCAAAATAACCAGCTAACATCATAATGACAGGATCAAATTCACACATAACAATATTAACCTTAAATGTAAATGGCCTAAATGCCCCAGTTAAAAGACACAGACTGGCAAATTGGATAGAGTCCAGACCCATCAGTGTACTGTATTCAGGAGACCCATCTCACATGCAGAGACACACATAGGCTCAAAATAAAAGGATAAAGGAAGATCTACCAAGCAAATGGAAAACAAAAAAAAGCAGGGGTTGCAATCCTAGTCTCTGATAAAACAGACTTTAAACCAACAAAGATCAAAAGAGACAAAGAAGGCCATTACATAATGGTAAAGGGATCAATTCAACAAGAAGAGCTAACTGTCCTAAATATATATGCACCCAATACTGGAGCACCCAGATTCATAAAGCAAGTTTTTAGAGACTTACAAAGAGACTTAGACTCCCACACAATAATAATGGGAGACTTTAACACCCCACTGTCAACATTAGACAGATCAACGAGACAGAAAGTTAACAAGGATATCCAGGACTTGAACTCAGCTGTGCACCAAGCGTACCTAATAGACATCTACAGAACTCTCCATCCAAATCAACAGAGTATACATTCTTCTCAGCACCACATCGCACTTATTCAAAAATTGACCACATGATTGGAAGTAAAACACTCCTCAGCAAATGCAAAAGAACAGAAATCATAACAAACTGTCTCTCAGACCACAGTGCAATCAAATTAGAACTCAGGATTAAGAAACTCATTCAAAACTGCACAACTACATGGAAACTGAACAACCTGCTCCTGAATGACTACTGGGTACATAACGAAATGAAGGCAGAAATAAAGATGTTCTTTGAAACCAATGGGAACAAAGACACAACGTACCAAAATCTCTGGGACACATTTAAAGCAGTGTGTAGAGGGAAACTTATAGCACTAAAAGCCCACAAGAGAAAGCAGGAAAGATCTAAAATAGACACCCTAACATCACAATTAAAAGAACTAGAGAAGCAAGAGAAAACATATTCAAAAGCTAGCAGAAGGCAAGAAATAACTAAGATCAGAGAAGAACTGAAGGAAATAGAGACACAAAAAACCCTTCAAAAAATCAGTGAATCCAGGAGCTGGTTTTTTGAAAAGATCAACAAAATTGATAGACCTCTAGCAAGACTAATAGAGAAGAAAACAGAGAAGAATCAAATAGACGCAACAAAAAATGATAAAGGGGATATCACCACTGATCTCACAGAAATACAAACTACCATCAGAGAATACTATAAACACCTCTATGCAAAAAAACTAGAAAATCTAGAAGAAATGGATAAATTCCTGGACACATACACCCGCCCAAGACTAAACCAGGAAGAAGTTGGATCTCTGAATAGACAAATAACAGGTTCTGAAATTGAGGCAATAATTAATAGCATACCAACCAAAAAAAGTCCAAGACCAGATGGACTCACAGCCGAATTCTACCAGAGGTACAAAGAGGAGGTGGTACCATACCTTCTGAAACTATTCCAATCAATAGAAAAAGAGGGAATCTTCCCTAACTGTTTTTATGAGGCCAGCATCATCCTGATACCAAAGGCTGGCAGAGACACAGCAAAAAAAAGAGAATTTTAGACCAATATCCCTGAGGAACACTGACACGAAAATCCTCAATAGAATACTGGCATACCAAATCCAGCAGCACATCAAAAAGTTTATCCACCACGATCAAGTCAGCTTCATCCCTGGGATGCAAGGCTGGTTTAACATATGCAAATCAATAAACATAATCCATCATATAAACAGAACCAATGACAAAAACCACATGATTATCTCAATAGATGCAGAAAACGCCTCTACAAAATTCAAGAACCCTTCATGCTAACAACTCTCAATAAACTAGGTATTGATGGAACGTATCTCAAAATAATAAGAGCTACTTATGAGAAACCCACAGCCAATATCATACTGAATGGGCAAAAACTGGAAGCATTCCCTTTGAAAACAGGCACAAGACAGAGATGCCCTCTCTCACGACTCCTATTCAACATAGTGTTGGAAGTTCTGGCCAGGGCAATCAGGCAAGAGAAAGAAATAAAGGGTATTCAATTAGGAAAAAGGGAAATCAAATTGTCCCTGTGTGCAAATGACATGATTGTAAATCTAGAAAACCCCATCGTCTCAGCCCAAAATCTCCTTAAGCTGATAAGAAAGTTTAGCAAAGTCTCAGTATACAAAATCAATGTGCAAAAATCACAAGCACTCCTATACATCAACAACAGACAAACAGAGCCAAATCATGAGTGAACTCCCATTCACAACTGTTACAAAGAGAATAAAATACCTAAGAATCCAACTTACAAGGGATGTGAAGGACCTCTTCAAGGAGAACTACAAACCACTGCTCAACAAAATAAAAGAGGACACAAACAAATGGAAGAACATTCCATGCTCATGGATAGGAAGAATCCATACAGTGAAAATGGCCATACTGCCCAAGGTAATTTATAGATTCAATGCCATTACCAATGGCATATAACCAATAACACCACACGTCTACAACCATCTGATCTTTACAAAGCTGACAAAAACAAGAAATGGGGAAAAGATACCCTATTTAATAAATGGTGCTGGGAAAACTGGCTAGCCATATGTAGAAAGCTGAAACTGGATCCCTTCCTTACACCTTATACAAAATTAATTCAAGATAGATTAAAGACTTAAATGTTAGACCTAAAACCATAAAAACCCTAGAAGAAAACCTAGGCAATATCATTCAGGACACAGGCATGGGCAAGGACTTCATGAGCAAAAAAAGAAAACTACCAGCAGCGTGAACAGGCAACCTACAGAATGGGAGAAAGTTTTTGCAATCTACCCATCTGACAAAGGGCTAATATCCAGAATCTACAAAGAACTTAAACAAATTTACAAGAAAAAAACAAACAATTCCATCAACAAGTGGGCAAAGGATATGAACAGACACTTCTCAAAAGAAGACATCTATGCACCCAACAGACACATGAAAAAATGCTCATCATCACTGGTCATCAGAGAAATGCAAATCAAAACCACAATGAGATACCATCTCACATCAGTTAGAATGGCAATCATTAAAAAGTCAGGAAGCAACAGATGCTGGAGAGGATGAGGAGAAATAGGAATGCTTTCACACTGTTGGTGGGAGTGTAAACTAGTTCAACCATCGTGGAAGGCAGTGTGGCAATTCCTCAAGGATCTGTAACCAGAAATACCATTTAACCCAGCAATCCCATTACTGGGTATACACCCAAAGGATTATAAATCATGCTACTATAAAGACACATGTATACGTATGTTTTTTATGGCACTATTCACAATAGCAAAGACTTGGAACCAACCCAAATGTCCATCAATGATAGACTGGATTAAGAAAATGTAGCCCATATACACCATGGAATACTATGCAGCCATAAAAAAGGATGAGTTCATGTCCTTTGCAGGGACATGGATGAAGCTGGAAACCATCATTCTGAGCAAACGATCACAAGGACAGAAAACCAAACACTGCATGTTCTCACTCATAGGTGGGAACTGAACAATGAGAACACTTGGACACAGGGTGGGGAACATCACATAACAGGGCCTGTCGTGGGGTGGGGTGCAGGGGCAGGGATAGCATTAGAAGAAATACCTAATGTAAATGACGAGTTAATGGTGGCAGCAAACCGACATAGCACAAGTATACCTATGTAACAAACCTGCACGTTGTACATGTACCCTAGAACTTAAAGTATAATAAAAAAAAAAGTATTAATTAGTGTAGTGACTGTTCCATGTTGCTAAAAGAGTTTACAACCAATGTTTGCTTTTCAAACCCATATTCCTGGAAAGACAACCAAAATTTCAGGTACATTTCTGCTAGCTGATGAGCCATTTAAACATTTATAGAAAGATTTCATTCAATTGTCATTTTCAATGCATGTCTTCTGGTTGTATAAAAGCTTTCCCATGCAAGAGGGCTGATGTTATAACATTAGCTCTATTTGTCAAAGTATATTTCCACCTGGTGAAGAAAGCTTTTCACAGTCTGCTGACTGAGGACAATCAACCCCTTCAAAATCTAGAACACAAAGATTGAATCTTCTGAGAATACCAGAGAAAGACTGCCCTTGCCATCTACATTGCAGCAACACTTTGGGACCTTGAAATTTTGAGTTAATAATCTCACAACTCAAAAGGGCCCCTCCACTCTTGGAACTGTACACCCATTGGCAACCTTAAAGTAAAGCTAAACAGGAAAGTTTCTCCCCAGAAGAAGATGGTATCCATGATATAGACAGCTTTTTCTCAAGATCACAGATCAAGACTTCTCTGCTATCAGGAGACTCTTACCTATTTTTTCTTGCTTATGCTTCCATGAACAATAGAAGTGAAAAGAGGGTCTATTGTGTGTATTCATAGAGTATACTTTAATTTGTGAAGGATTTTGCAGCCAGCCTTATACATGGAATACCTTATGCCTCAATAGATAAAAGACGAAGGCCCAATGCAGGTGAGAAATTTTAATGACACATTTGTTGCCTCATAATCAGTTAGAAACAGGACATTGGTCCACTCCTCTTAACCTACGTCACAGGTTAAAGAGAACATTTCCAAGAAGTCTTCATTCTTCTAAATAGACATCATTTGTTAGGTCTCCTTTTCCATGGTTTGAAGTAAATGAGGCAATAATTAGAAATGTATCCCTCATGATAGGCTTTATAGAAGATTCTACCCTAAAGGCTATGGTCACACAACAGACTTTGTATTCTCTTATGAAAGTTATGCTAAATAATAGAACTGCTCTAGATTACTTACTGGCTAAACAGCAGTATCTGTGCACTTGCTGGCACTTCTTGTTGGCCATGGAGAAATGCATCACATTGAGCATTATAGAGATTCAGTTACAGGGAACTAACAAAGAGACTGCTTATTTAAAACGAACAGACTCTTTATCTAGCTCATTCTTTGATCTATTTAATTTTAGTTGGTTTGGTTCATGGGGACCCTGGCTAAGAAGCATGCTCCAAACTCTTGGTATTATCCTCCTGATAGTCAAAATAGTAATCTCCCTAGTGTGCTATATTCTCTCAAAAGTTTTAAATGTTTGCATGCAGCCATCTCTAGAGTGCCACATGATCTCTCTTCAACTAGAAGGACAAGAGCTTAAAAAGATGTGTGACCATGAGGGCACTGTAACCTATGAATGACATCCTGAGACCAGAAACCCAAAATTGATGTTAAAAGAGAGTGGAACTAAGGCCCTAAGTTTTGGTCACACTCTCACCTATGTGAGAACCTGACTAAAAGGGGGAAGTTTTAAAATAAAATTATGGAAGGCCATTGTTTTGGACTGAACTCATGCACTAGGTCCCAACAGACAAGACCAAGCCAAAATGAAGTCACTCATGTTAAATGTGACATAATCAAACTAAGATCTTAAGGAAACACAAAGCTCCTAGAACAGACCAGGTTTTGTTTTTCTCCTCTAAACAGGACATTCCAGCATAAGGAAGTACCCTCTACTCTAACCTTTACAAAAAATAAACTAAATTCCTTGTTCCTACCTTACAAAATCCACTGTTCTGCTATTTCTCAGTGGGTTTTGAGATGAAATAAGCACATTTACAATGGTGATAGTGACATCAATGACTAGTTGTGGTCAATCTCTCAAAATTGAGAGGATGACCAAAAGAGGAAAATTGTTAAATCAAGTTTAGCCTAAAGCTGCCTCCTTACATCTTTTAAGCTCAGCCTAAAGGTTTCTCTGTACATAGTGAACTATAACCTAAATGGAGGTGGAAATAGACTGTAACCTACTCTTGTGCCAATCACTGAGTTTTGGCCAATCAAAGGAGGCCAGTTGTTCAAACTATGTTCAAATAAGGTAAACCTCAAGCTGTAACCAACCTGACCGTTTCTGTACCTCATTCTATTTTCTGTACATCTCTTTCCTTTTTCTGTCTGTCACTTTCCTTTTTCTGTCTATAAATCGTCTTTTACCATGTGGCTGTGCTGGAGTCTCTCTCAGCCTACTCTGGCTCAAGAGACTGCCCAATTCACAAATCATTCTTTGCTCAATTAAACTCTGTTAAATTTCATTTGACTAAGGTTTTTCTTTTAACAACATCTACAACCAGATCAATCCCTCTGAATAAGAAAAGCACCTATACATGCCTGCTAGCCAAAATGCAAGCAGGAACATTAGGAACTCATGTCAATGAACATAGGTGTCAGCAGCCAATATTTAAACTTGGCATGAAACGACACTAGGCTTTGTGTAAAAACTCCAAATGCACTGATACATCTTAAATGTCAGGTAATAGCACTTTAAAATTTAATAATGCAACTATGGAGAAAAAGACAATTTTCCTTAGATAACTACCTTGGAATAAAAGAAGTATTTGGGAATCTAATATTTCTGACCATTTTCTCCCTAAAAAAGCATCAGTGACATAATATTAAAATTATTTGCATAGGTTTTGCCCTGGGATATATGGACTGAATATAGCATATATGATTATAGTCTACATACATTATAAAGTTTCATCAATTAGAAAATACATGAATATTCAAACATTTATGCAACAGGCCTTACTTAAACAAGATCTGATTTAAACCAAAAAATTCTCTGGAAAATCAGAGGTCACTTTGACAACAGTTTTCGGTGCAATTTTAGGTAACTGCTGAGCAATCTAAGGATGTTAAACTCAAAGCCATTACATATTAAGTAAATCAGATTACGTAAGACTGTCAAAAGTAAAGAACCACATCTTTTTTGCCCTCCTCATGGAAACCATTAAAATTCTATAAATATGTCAGATGTTTAGTAAATGCCTCTTGAGAAGTACACATCTTTTGGAAAATAATATTTAAAACAACATAATCAGTACGGCTCACACTCACACATCTGTAACCATTTATTCAGAAACTGAAGCCCATCAGAAAGAAATCTGAGATGCCATGTGATGCTTTCTCTTTACCAGAGTATGATAAGATAGGCCAACTTCAGGTCAGCAAGACCCTGTTTTTTTCTCTATATTAAGCATACATTTGATGACACATAACCCACCAAAAAGAAGTTAGCAAAATAGCCTCTGACTATTAAGGGTTGTTAGGTATGTCCAGGAGACTGACCTTAGAAAGGCTCCTCTAGTTTGAAAATATTTGAGAAGGGAGCAGTTGAAGAAAAGGATGTCAAGTTCAGCTCACACGTTTGTCTGCTGACACTAGTGGTTTCACTTAAATTAGAAAATGTTTGTGCTTCCCCTGTGACAGTAAAAGCTAGGTAAAAGTTCAATCTGGAACTTCAAGAAACATATTCAAGAGAACAAAAACATTCCCATGCTTCTCAATTTAAGCCCAAGCCAGGAAAAATATACAAATTGTCAGCCCACATCACAAGAGGCTGAAGAAATGAAAGACAGAAGGGAAGTGAGGTGGGGCCTAAGAGAATGTAGTTTGGACAACTCCTAGTCCCCAGAGAATACAAAGCTTTTAAATGAACACAAAGAATAAAAGAGCTATAAAATCACCATTCCCATAGCAAATAACTTTCATTTTCAACACTTACTTGAAGGATATCAATATGCCATAAACAAATTGTCACCTAATATGCCAGTTTCTTTCAGTACGTTTTTCTGATAAGTACACTTTTTATCCCTTGTCTGTGCTCTAAGCCCCAGTGGAACTCCAGAGGCATCTGTCTTTTTGGCCCATAGTTCGAGCAGGACCAGGGAAGGCCTAGTGTCTAATCGAATTTCTAGCTTCTAAGATACCCTCCTCTCTGCCCTGCTTAGAGCCCCCATGGAGCTTCAGAAGGAACTAATTGCCAAAGAAGTATTCTGGGTAACTATAACTGTAGGCAAATTCTCCTCCATGGCTTGTGTAACCCACTTAGTAAAATAACAGGCTTACGGTCAAAAACAGAAGAACAACTAGATCCATGCAATAAAGTAGCCTATATCGTATGATAATACCTTCTCCATTTACTCTGGCATACTAAATAAATGCCCTGACACTAGGAGGAGCAACATGAAACCATGTCCTTTACCATAAAATCAATGAGAGCACACTTTATCAGGCCTCTGACATAAACAGAGTGGGAAATAAAATGATAGTGGTAACAGAGAAGGGGACGAAAACAGAACATGGTGAAGAGTAATAAAGAAAGCCACTGTCAATTGCCTCAGCACTACCCAGAAATTTGTTCATTCATTCATTCAACAAGTATTTACTGGATGTCTACCATATACCACGCCAGGTTACCAAGCCTGCCTTGGAAATCTAAAAGATCTTCACCCTGAAAAGAGACTGCCTAAGAATATCCAACTCAGTCAGTAAATATGCATCATTACTCAAATTGAAAGCAAAATACAAAGAAAGCCCAAATGAAGAGAATAAGTCTGAGAAATCCAAATCCTAGAAGGTAACATTTACAGCAAGCTCCAAAGGAGAGGATCTCTGGTAAAAGGAACAGCCTCACAGACACTTAGTTTTCTCATACCCATAAAAAAAATGCCCCCAACACTGACATCCATTAAAATAACTCTCAACTTGAACTAAACTTATCTAATAATTGAAATAAAAATTTTTAAGTTATATCTTACATTTAATAAAGGCCAAAATAAAATATAATAAAAACCAAACCACATACTATAATTTTAATAAAAACCAAACCGCACACTATACTTGTACCCACAGAACCATGTCAGAGAATGAAACCTGATGAAGCCTGACTGAGTGAAGACAACCAAAAACCAAGAAATTGGAACGGTAAAGAGAAAATACTTGAGGTTCACCAAAGAAAATGTACTTCAAACCACTATGACTTAGCATCTAATCAATTTTGTTATTGTAGAACATTTCTTAAGACTCAAGTGTCTTAAGTACCCAGAATTGGCCTCTATTAGTCACAGGCAATCCCGGAAACAATTCTGGAGAGGCAGGTGATTAAGAGGAATCCTCTGCTAGAAAGATACATATACACAGAAATAGTAGACCATGAAAATGTAATAGCCTAAGTATCTGAAAGAATAAATGAAAAATGGGAAAATGTTAACCAAGACAAGAAAACATTCAACTAAATGTTTTGTGTTCTCTACCAAGTCAGCACTAGGGAATATCTATTCTCATATAACATTAAGCCCAATTTGTAATATAAATTCTACATTGGTAAAAATATTTCTTACCTGAGACAGAGTAGACACAAAGTTTTCTAGAATGTAACACAGCCAAATGTAGCATTTCGGTACCTCTGAAAAACAGAGAAAGTTTTTAAAGTTTTCCAATATTAGCTTTAGACGTAACCAAAAAGTTGTAAAATAATTTCAAAAAGATCTCATAACCACAGCCACTGTGAGTAAACAAAACAATTCATTAGATAACATTCTAAACTGAAAAATAAATATAACAATAAACAGCCAATGTGACAACCCCAGAGGCTCAAGTACTCTGCCTCAAGGCACTGCCTTCAGATTGAAGCCAACAGAGCTTCCAAGAAAAAGTCAGATCTGAGGTCCTTCCCTAAGTGCTATTTCTTTCAATAAAGAAATCCAAGTTCTAGTCCTGGCTTTCTGACTAATTCATCCGTGACTTTGGGCAAGTCACTAAAATCTCCCTGAGCCTATTTCTCATGAAAAATAAGAGGTTCAATGAAATGAAATAAAATAATGTGAAACCATCTTGGAAAGGTTAAAACATCACAAAACACCAATCATTATTACAAGTAGCATATATCACTTCCATATCTGAAATTTTATTACAAGTATTGAAAATATTTCTGTTTGGACTAAATCTCAAATAGAAATAAACTACCAATATCACCACAACAATTCCCAGCCTATCTCAAGTGGTTTCCAGAAACTAGCATGGCACAGTCTAGAGATCCTAAATTCAGTTTTCAAGGATCAAGCCAGGGGTTGTTAATGAGTAAAGAGTGTAAATGGCTGTGATTAACTGGAGACTGAACCAGACTAAAGGAGGTGGCTATTACTTGGTTCTGGGCTTGGGGCCAGAGCCCCACATTTTTCAAGAAAAGCCAGAAAGCATTGGGTTTTATGTGAAATCTCTTGGTTCTTAAATGTTGACAGCTCTTTTAAATTTAAAATACTGAGCAGGCGGCCAGGTGTAATGGCTCACACCTGTAATCCAGCATTTTGGGAGGCTGAGGTGGGAGGGGGCGGTGGATCTCCTGAGATCAGAAGTTCGAGACCAGCCTGGCCAACATGGTGAAACCCTGTCTCTACTAAAAATACAAAAATTAGCCAGGCATGGTGGCACGTGCCTGTAGTCCCAGCTACTTGGGAGGCTGAGGCAGGAGAATTGCTTGAATCTGGGAGGCGGAGGTTGCAGCAAGCTGAGATCACGCCATTGCACTCCAGTCTGGGCGACGAGAGTGAAACTCCGCCTCAAAATAAAACAAAATAAAATACTGAACAGGCTCACATGTACAAGCAGGCCTCCAGTGTACAACGCCTGTTTAGAACAGACTGTTCTAAACTGCAAGGACTATAATTGAAGTCTGCAGACCTAGGTGGGGGTTCTGACTCTGCACCTTACTATATGTATGATCATTTAAACTTTCAGAGTGTTAGTATCTTATTTACAAATAAGAATCTTATTAGATAACATCTGCAAAACATTGTTACAATTAATATATACTCATCATTTGCTCTACTAGTAGAAAATGCAAATATACATGACTATCACATAATCAGTATCACCTTTGGAAATTTTGTATATGTACCCTGGACATTCAAAACAAGTTTTCCACCATGCTCAGGAAAAGAGCATGATGTCATAGAAAGGCCTAGTATACTATCTACTTAACAACGTTAACTTCCTCCCCTTCCAATGTGAGCACATAGATGAGGGCTATACTTAAGGACTACTATACAGAATGATTATTGGCTGTGTTTCACTTTTTTAATGGTAAGGTAAAAACACTTTTTAGCAGGAAGGATGCTTTTGTCTCCTTACTTTGTAAATCCATCACACCTAATATGTCCTAGGCACATGATGGGAACCTAATCACCATCTGCTTTTAGATGGAGTAGATATTTACCAACCACTTCGGTCACAAAATCTCCGCAATCCAGCCTGTCACAAAGCATAAAAGTCTCATCTCATATCCCAGCCTAAAGCATCTAAGCTACAGCTTCCCAACAGAATAAAACATATCACTAGAAGAATGTGAATGCTCATGAGTGGTTGTTTGGTTTTCAAGCAGGAGTTAGGGCCCTGACTAAATGGCCCCTGGGGCCAATAAATTATGATAAACAAATGTAGAATGCCAAAATCCAGAGCTTAGGGTACTGCCCAGATTTAAAAAGGCAAAAGGGAGCTCAAAAAGAGGAGGCAAACTGACTCTGGCTACTTGATAAGTGTTCATCGTACTTCTAAATGATGAAGAAATACAAGCTTAATTTTAAGAAAGTTTGTGTATGAAAATAAGAGGATCAGCAATATCATCAGTAAATAAAAAGCAGACATATTACCCAAAGTTCAAACTAATAAACAGTTTTCTAAAATAAATTAGATTTAAGAATAAAGTACTTTGAAACAAAGCTCTTGTAGGGGGAAGACTTACTTTGTGGGTTGAACTGACTTCTTTCAAGAAACGATAGGGCATCTCTACCCCAAATAACTATTCATTTTAAAACCTCAAAGCTATGAACCAAAAAGTAATGGTTATCTGCTACTTCATCTAATTATAAATGGACACTTATATAACTTTAAATAAGTAGATACTTCTTATTTATTTCTTTATTTGGTTATTTTCAAAAGCTTATCTCTTTGTTTTTAAGCTTCTGATAATGTCAGGCATCTTAAGTCTATTACTATTAAAAGGCCCTAAATTATTATATCTTAAATGTACAGTTTCCACATAAAAAGCATTCCATACGTGAGAAACCCCTAGGTGACAATATCCAGAAAATATATTTAATTCATGGATAGTCTTCTTTGAAGAATACACAAAAGTGACACTGTAAAGGATTGACATACTCCAAGTAAAATACCAGAATTAGTGGGCTTACTTACGAAACAAACTTTCCTACTTCCACTTGAAGTACTGGATCTCGTAGATCCACTTCTAGAAGCAAATCTTCGGCTTGAGCTCCATCTCCTGTTTTTGCAGGATGGGGGCTAAAGATCCTTAGGTATCCCATAAAGCTACCCACAATTATTTTATCTGTAGAGAATTTAAAAAAAAAAAGATAGAGGGAGAAACAAACATTAGCAAATCTCTTAGGAAATAAGCTTTCTAATGTGTAAAAGAGAAATCTAAAAATTAAAAGAATTCAGTCTTGCTTTATACACAAAGGCCACTCTGTCAAAAAAGGTGTAATTAAAGAGTACTTATTTTAATAACACACAGCTTTCATAAATAGCTTTACATCCCTATAGTCAAATGTACTAACATATTGCATTTTTTCCTAAACCTTTATTTGGTATCAAAGTCATAATTTAACTCAATCAAAGCAAGCCCCTTTATCAAAGGACTAGTACAATGTTGTAAACTGATTCCATCATAGAGGCCAACTCTATAACTGCTTGTGGCTGTCGAAAACACTGTATTAAAAAGGATTCTGAGTCGTCACTAGATAGAGTGCCTTGATAAGCAATGTTTCATCTTAAGTACAAGCAGGGGAAATGATAGAATGGGTGTTGTAAGTTAAATTGTGTCCCCCCAAAAAAAGATACGTTAAAGTCATAACCCCAGGTACCTCTGAATGTGACCTGATTTGGAAACAGAGTCTTTGCACATGTAATCAAGTTAAAATGAGGTCCAGTTAATTAGATGTGTGATCAAACTCAATTAGTGTCCTTTAAGAGGACAGAACAGAGACATGGAGGGAATGGCATGCAAAGCTGAGTGCAGTGGCATGCCCCTGTAGTCCCAGCTACTTGGGAGGCTGAGGTGGAAGGACTGCTTGAGCCAAGGAGTTCAAGGCTGCAGTGAGCTCTAATCGTGCCACTGTACTCTAGCCTGGGCGAAAGAACAAGACCTTGTCACTGAAAAAAAAAAAAAAAAAAAAAAAGGCTGGGTGCAGTGGCTCATGCCTGTAATCCTAGCACCTTGGGAAGCCGAGGCAGGCAGATCACTTGAGATCAGGAGTTCGAGACCAGCCTGGCCAACATGTTGAAACCCTATCTCTACTAAAAATAGAAAAAATTAGCTAGGTGTGGTGGCGCATGCCCGTAATCCCAGCTACCCAGGAGGCTGAGGCAGGAGAATCGCTGGAATCCGGGAAGTGGAGGCTGCATTGAGCCGAGACAGTGCCACTGTACTCCAGCCTGGGTGACACAGCAAGACTCCATCTCAAGAAAAAAAAAATCCTCATAATAACCCTATGAGAGAGGTATAATCCTGGGAACTTCAATACTGGAGGCTTACAAGGTCTCTGGAGCCATGCCCATTCCTGTCCCCACTAAAGGCTTGTTCAGTTCAACTCTGCCTGCATTGGGAAAGCTATCTTACATTCATTCCAGCACCTTCTGTACTTAAATCTATCAGTTTCCTGTCACTTGTGGCCAAAAAAAAAGATAACTGATATAGAAATGAGCACTAGAAAATAAACTGCAGGCATGCAAACATGCAAGCATATTTGGAATTGGTTCTTCTTTTTTTTTTTCCTTTGAGACAGGGTCTCACTCTGTTGCCCAGGCTTGAGTACAGTGATGCAATCACAGCTTGTTGCAGCCTCAACCTCCCAGGCTCAATTGATCCTCCCACCTCAGCCTCCTGAGTGGCTGGGAATACAGGCATATGCCTTCATGCCCAGCTAATTTTTGTATTTTTTGTAGGGATGTGGTTTTGCCATGTTGTCTGGGCTGGTCTCAAACTTCTGGACTCAAGCAATCTACCTGCCTTGGCCTCCAAAGTATGGGAATTGGTTCTTGACCTGAAATGCGGTACAAAACAGTAAGATTCCTTGTGGGGACAAGAGTAACTTTATTTTAAATGCTAATCTGCCATGTGACTCCTGACTAAACTCAAGTCCAAGAACTCCTCTAAGATCTCTAGTTGATGTATTACTCTTTATGCAGAAACATCTATTCATTTTAAGTTTTGCCTTTCCTCCAAAACAGCACTTGATGTTGCTGCATACATCATAGGCTGTGACACTCATAGCCACCTACACATTCTTCTCAGAGCATGTATACTTTTTTTCCCCAAGATACAAGCCCTGGGTCTGGGGGTTGTGGTGTGGAGAGCTGCCTGTCTTGCAACTGCCCAGGACATTTCTGCCCATAAGTTCACCTAATAAATCACTGTATACTGACAAACTGGATTTGTCTGCCTCAATCTTTGGTTCTCAGCTCCTTCAGTATTTGAGGGCCACTTTGCGTATATGCCCTTTCACAGAACACTCCCATTCATGTTCTAGGTGGGGTTAAGTATCACTTTACATTGTAACAGAACAATTAATCAAGTTATCATCTCTAGTCATCTGGGACCCTGTGCCCATTGCAGGTGAAACTCTAGTAGACTGGACAGCTGCTGCCATAGCCAGCTGAACAAGGAGGAACACCAAACCACATGTAAGATAGCTTTATCGAAGATAGCTTTATTTAAATTAAATTGGATAATTTAAAATAAAAGAATGATAGGTTTAAATCTCAAAATTGTCATCTAAGGGTAAAGAATAAAACTCAGGGTCTTTGGTACTCTGCAGAAACATTTCTCACCACTTACTACTCAGATAGTGGGGCTTAATCACTGAGAAGCTCATTCAGAGACTGATTCTTTAAGTTTTAAATTACAATAACAAATGACCTGACAAATCTCTCCAGCCTTCTTAAGTAAAAGTAAAGGCACTGATCAGGAAGAATGGAATTATACTGTTATAATGGAGTCCAGAAGGGTTGGAGAAGACTTAAACCTTTAAACCTTCCTAAAACATTCCCCGCTGAGCTTCCCATGTATCCTGTCATGCCCTAAATCCCCACTTTTACTCACTAAATAACCAAGATTCATGGATAGGTCAATATAGCCCTATCTTCAGGGATAAGAGGAGGTCAGGATGGCCAAGTCCACATGGTAACAAGCTAACCCACTGAAACAAAATGTATATGTACGACTATTAAAATACTTTGCAGGACTAGTATAGTAACCAGATCTCAGATAAGTCTGACTCTCACAGATTTCAAGCTACAATTAAATATGGGATTCCCCAGGAATTAATGAACATGCAGGCATTAAATGAAAAGCCATTAGTCAGTCTTATTTGCTCTCTACTCCAATTCTAGAAATAAACTTTCCCTCCAGGCCACAGGTTGGCATGTAATCTAAATTGTATTATTCAGATCCTCTCTCTCTCCCTCATTCTCACTATCTCTCTCAAGAGTCTGAATCTTGAGTTGAGAGAATTAGGAAAGTAAGTGCCATTTAAATGCATGGGGTGTTCAATTTCAATTGTACTATCAAGATTAACAAGGAATCCTTCTGTGTTTTACTCGGCTTCTTCTAAAGAATTTCAGGATCCCTGTAACTCTTCTCTCACTGTCTGATCACCTAAAAAAAAGTAGAGGTCAACTGACATTACTGTTTCAACCTCCCAACTTGACCTGCAAATTTCTCTACATCGGTATACATTCTTACCTTCTTTCCTCTGGCACTGTGGAAAAAAGCTTCCACATCTGTCCAAGGTTAATCCTTCCATCTGCACACCTGATCCCATCTCTGACTGTCCTCTCTGGGTCCCTGCTCCATCAATGAAAGCCTCTATTCTACACATTGAATTTTTCCCACTTCCCTTGACCCTCCATGGTCTCCAAATCATCATCCTCCCTTCTTCAATTCACAGCTAAGTTTCTTTAAAGAGCCATAAATAGTCTCCCCACCTCCCACTCACTCCCCATTCATACATTGCAAATCTAGATCTCATTACCATTGTGCCCACACATCCACTCTTGTCATGGACACTAATGAACCACTTGCTGCTAAAGAGCATGAAAACTTTTAGGCCAGGCTCAGTGGCTCACGCCAATAATCCCAGCACTTTGGGAGGCCAAGGCAGGAGGATCACTTGAGCCCAGGAAGTTCAAGACCAGCCTGGGCAACACAAGGAGACACTGTCTGTACAAAAAAAATAAAAATAAAAATTAGCCAGGCATGGTGGGGCACACCTGGGAGGTTGAGGCTGCAGTGAGCCATGATCATGCCACTGCACTCCATCCTGGGCAGCAGAGCAAGACCTGTCTCCATTAAAAAAAAAAAAAAAAAGGCCAGGTGCAGTGGCTCATGCCTGTAATCCCAGCACTTTGTGAGGCCGAGGCAGGTGGATCACCCAAGGTCAGGAGTTCGCGACCAGCCTGGCCAACATGGCAAAACCCTGTCTCTACTAAAAATACAAAAATTAGCTGGGTGTGGTGGCAGGCACCTGTAATCCCAGCTACTTGGGAGGCTAAGGCAGGAGAATTGCTTGAACCCGGGAGGTGGAGGTTGCAGTGAGCCAAGATCACACCACTGCACTGCTTCCCAGTTACCAGCCTAATTAGTTTTCCTGCCTCTCTGCCTGCTCTTTTCAGAATCTACTACTCTTCCCACACTTCCCCTGTTGATCCTCATATTCTCCAGGTTACAGTCCTATACCTCCTCCCCTCTTATTTCAACTTCTCTCCCTGTGCATTTTCACCTGTTCTCAGAGCTCCAAATATAAACACCATATTGTTCATCCCCAAATCTCTACCTCTATTCTGTAAACTAGACATTCCTATCTTAAACAGAGCATATCCAAAACTGCTCTTGTTAACTTTCCATTCTATAAGATCAACAAAAATAATTCTCAAACTTGAGAATGCCAGCATTCAATTTTGGAACTTATCAAAAATTAGGAAACCTAAGTCACATCACCCCACCTACCCCTGGAGAATACAATCTTATAGCATCTCATGTGTCTGGGATAGAAAATCTCCATATATAATAATCACCCCACAATATTATGACACAGGCTTTGGAACACAATGATGAGTGTTGTCTATGTGGAACACACATATGTAATGATTTTTGTATAGCAAGCTTCGGAAAACAGAGGAAGCTGCTCACAGCTCACCACAAACTGTGAGGGAAGCAGTATCTCAGCATATTCGTAACCTACTGGTAGCACCCCAGTAGTGAGCTCTAATAGAAATGAATGAGTGTACAGTATGTTATTCAGATAATCAGTAAGTATAGTTTCCAACCAAGCTGAACTTTAGATAGTTTAGGCAGAAGTGGGTTTGAAATTGTTCTCTCTGGCAGGTATTTCTGTGGCATGACTCTTACATGGCCAAATAACTGGGGCATCACATGCTTTAACAAATAGCGGGGGCAGAGGCAGGGTTGAGGAACCTTCCAATATCCTCTGAATAGAAGGCCTTCCCATCTCCTATCAGTGGAAAATCAGGGACCAAATTTTCCTTCAAAACAACTTAGTAGGTGCTCTGTGCAGTTTAGTACTCCCACTCTTCTGCTTTACCAATACAATTTTCTCCTTTCACATTTTCCTGCAGATCCCACTGTTTTAATTATAGGCAAGAAAAACAATTTTTAAAAAATGTAAGGGGATAATATTTATATGCAGTAAACAAAAGAATAGTTATAATAAGTTTTCTTTTTAAGAGGGTAATGACTAGATCACAAAAAAAAAGCCCATGACTATAAACCAAATACAAATTTCAAATAGCAATGATACAATAATACAGAATTAAACTGTTTGAAAGGTCACTTAAAAAACATGAAGATGCATAAGAATAAGCTAGAATGTAGGTTTTAGTATTATAATATGATAATGAAAGCAAGGATTTAACAATTGTTTTCTACCACCAAATAGAGCTAGTGTAATTTCATTATGGTATGAATGGTTTCCAGGTCCAATAAATTTATTTTTCTTGTAAAGAATTTCTACAAAAGGAAATTTTTCAAAATACAAAATATTTTACTAACTGTCCCCTACAAGACCAAATTTTGATACAAATGAAGTGATGTCATATAATTTTTACTAAATTCCAGCAAACAATATGACAGAATCAGTACAAACCAGAACATAAACAAAACAGAAAGACTATAGTTATCAGTCTGATACCTAAATATTATTAAAAAAAACTACCTTCAAAATTAGGTACAATTATGATAGTTCAATTAAGTTCTAAAAAGTACACATTTTCAAAAGCAAGTCATTTTTATCTCTTTTTTTTTTTTTTTTTTTTGAGATGGAGCCTTGCTCTGTTGCCCAGGTTGGAGTGTAGTGGCACTATCTCAGCTCACCGCAACCTCTGCCTTCTGGGTTCAAGCGATTCTCCTGCCTCAGCCTCCCAGGTAGCTGGGATTACAGATGCCCACCACCAAGCCCAGCTAATTTTGTATTTTTAGTAGAGACAGTGTTTCACCATGTTGGCCAGGCTGGTCTCGTACTCCTGACCTCGTGATCTGCCCACGTCGGCCTCCCAAAAGAACTGAGATTACAGCAGTCGGCCACCGTGCCCAGTCTTATTTGATCTCTTTAAAACTTTCATCCAAGATGTATGGTTGTAAGTTGCTTACCTTGTCCATTTCCACTATTGTCAACATTAGCCAGACACAAACAGCCTTGATCAAATTCTTCTTTATCTCCCAGAATAGTAGACCACCAATCACGGGCTTTAAATAAAGACATTTTCTTTCACACTAAAAAGAAAACATTTATAATAATCTACTTCACACTATGAACTAATAATTATGTCTTAAGGCATAGCAAATTAAACTTGGACAGATCTGAGAAGGACATTTCTATATTAACTTTTTAATATTTTGTACACATATTTGAAACCACAAATCCAAATGGCTGGAAGCATTAATCAGATATTTTGCAACACCGTTAGTAAATTGGGCTGAGAAATTATACATTTATGTTGTGCTAATTCTCTCTTCTAAAACATTTAGGAGAGAACTGCAGAAAATAACAAAAGAACAGATTCTTTGGAGGATCAAGATTCAAATTCCATCAGCACTATTTAACATGTAAGTCTTCAGTGAAATACCTAACTTCCTTTCAGTCTAGTCATTGGCGAGACTGCACTAGAGTTGGCCCTTTGTACCTGTGGAAGATTGGTTCCAAGACCCCACAGATGAAAAATCCCCAGATGCTCAAGTCCCTTATTATATATAATGACCTAGTATACCTAGTACAGTCAGTCTTCCATATCCACAGGTTTCAATCTGCAGTTGGTTGAATCCATGGATGTGAAACCCGGGGACACGGAGGGCCAACTCCATCTCCTATTACAAAGAGTTGCTGAGACAAATGAGATCAAATGCATTAGTGACTAGCCCTGGAACTGGTATGCTATAGGTACTCAAAAAGCATTCACTTCCTCTTGCTATGTTAGTTATAGAAAGGCAAGATAGAAGAGGGAAATTCACACCAAAAAAGAAGCAGGAAAATTGGGCTGCAGGACCATTTATACCACTAACTATCCGTGTGTCCTTGGGCAACCCAAACAACCTCTCCTTACTTTGATTTCTTATCTAGAATGAGCATATACCAGCCCTACCTACCACTGAGTTGCTGATATGGCAGATGTGAAAGCACTTGGACCTTTTGAATTACAACACAGCATCACATGCCCTGGGACTCTACAACAGTTCATTTATTTAACATAAATGAGGTTTTCCTTCATGTTACACCGATTTAAATGGTAGCTACGAAGTGCAGTCAATTCTCCTTATTCACGAAAGTTATTCTGTATAAGGCCGCCATAAACAATGAATTAGCAAATACTGAACCATTGCTCCTAGGAGAAACACAGGGTTAGACAGATTCCTGCAAGCTTCTAGTAACAACATTTTCTTCAACCAATCAATACATAATGTAGTTTTTTGTGTGTTTCTATTTAAAGATACCTTATTTAATATGTATTGCTGATTCATTACTATGGGAATCATGCCCACCAGCACTAGAACTCAGGCTGAACTAACCTTATCTAATTTCATGTACAGATGCTTTTCAATTTATGATGGGATTACATCTCAATAGATCCATCATAAATTGAAAATATTTTAAGTCAAAAACACATTTAATATACCAGGGAAAAAATCAAAATTCAAAATTTGAAGTATGGTTTCTATTGAATGTGTATCACTCTCACAACATCCTAAAGTTGAAAAATCATAAGTCAAACCATGGTAAGTCAGGGACCATCTGTCTGTTCTCCACAAGATACATCACAGCCTTCTTGCTTTTAGGAACATTAGACAGCACTTCAGTATTACATTTGCAGACCATTTTAAACAGTGAAAACACCACATCCCCCTCCAAAAACAACCTACGAAAATGTGGGAGAAAACATGACACTAAATACTGTAGACCATGAAAGGACACTTGTTTACGGTATGAGAACTGAAACAAGAAAGCCATTGTTTAACATCAGCTGGGAACATGTGCATCAGGTGACTCAATTTTTACTCCTTTGCACTTGATCACAAATGACCACAAAAGCATCGCAAGCACTGATTTGGGGGTTACAAATAAATTTTAGCAAGTAGGCAAATTCACAAATGATACAGAGTCTGCCAATAATGAGGATCAGCTCTACTTTTTTAAAATGTAGACCAACCTGCCTCTTAAAGTAAGCATTCCACATGAGCTAATCATAGAAACCAAGGTCATTTGTTTTTATACAAAGTTGGCCAAGAAATTGGCTGTAAATAATGTGGTGGGAAAGTATAGCCTCTAGAGGCAACCTGTGTGAGTTTGAATTCCTGTGCCACCACATGTTAACCATGCAACCAGTGGAAGGTTACTAAAAGTTACTGAACATCTCTGTACTTTCGCTTTCTCATTTACAAAATAAAGGTAAGAGTGGTGTTGTGATGATTAAATAAGAATGCAGTTTCCTACAGAACTGGAAAAAATATGTGCAAGTCATATATATGATAAGGAATTAATATCCAGGATACATAAAGAACTCCTACAACTCAACAACAACAACAAAAACAAACCATCCCATTAAAAAATGGGCAAAAGAACCTGAACAGACACATCTCCAAAGAAGATACACAAATGAGCTGGGTGCGGTGGCTCATACTTGTAATCCCAGCATCTTGGGAGGCAGAGGCAGGAGGATCACTTGGGGCCAAGAGTTCAAGACCAGCCTGGCCAACATAGTGAAACCTCATCTCTACTAAAATACAAAAATTAGCCAGGCATGGTAGTGGGCACCTGTAATCCCAGCCACTCAGGAGGCTAAGGCAAAAGAACTGCTTGAACCCAGGAGGCGGAGGTTGCAGTGAGCCAAGGTCATGCCACTGTACTCCAGCCTGGGTTACGGAGTGAGGCTCTGTCTCAAACAACAACAAAAAAGATATACAAATGGCCAAGGAGCATATGAAAAGATGCTCAAAATCACTAATTTTGAACTGAAAATCAGTTCAAAATTTTTGATTTGCATATCAAAACAATATCACCTCACATCCATTATCAAAAAAAACAAAAATATATTCGACCTAAGAATGATGATTGCAAGAAGAAAAAAACACAAAATAACAAGTGTTGGCAAGGACATGGAGAAATTGGAATCTCTGTACGCTGTTGGTGGGAATATAAAATGGTGTAGCTACTATGGAAAACAGTGGGTAGGTCCCACAAAAAATTAAACATAGGGCCGGGCACAGTGGCTCAGGCCTGTAATCCCAGCACTTTGGGATGCCAAGGCGGGTGGATCATGAGGTCAGGAGATCGAGACCATCCTGGCTAACACAGTGATACCCCGTCTCTACTAAAAATATAAAAACTTAGCCAGGTGTGGTGGCAGGCGCCTGTAGTCCCAGCTACTCGGGAGGCTAAGGCAAGAGAATGCCATGAACCTGGGAGGCAGAGGTTGCAGTGAGCCGAGATCGCGCCACTGCACTCCTGCCTGGGCGACAGAGCGAGACTCCATCTCAAAAAAAAAAAAGTTAAACCTAGAAATTTTGATCCAGCCATCCCACTTCTTGGTGGATATCCAAAAGAATTAAAGACAATCTCAGAGAGATATTTTTACACACGGATTTACTGTATCATAATTCACAATAACCAAGAGGCAGAACCAACCTAAACATCCATCAATGGATAAATGGATAAAGAAAATGTGGTATACCCATACAATGGAATATTATGCAGCCTTAAAAAGGAAGGAAACTGACATCTGCTATGTAGATGAACCTTGAGGACATCATGTTAAGTAAAATAAGCCAGTCACAAAAAGACAAATACCATATGATTCCACTTATGTGAGGTACCTAGAATAGTCACAGAAACATTAAGAATGGTGATTGTCAGGGGCTAGGGAGAAAGGAGAACTGTTAATAGGTATATAGTGTTGACTTCGCAAGATGAGAAGTTCTGGAGATTGGTTGCACAATAATGTCAATTTACTTACCATTACTGAACTATATAGTTAAAAATGGTTAGATGTTCAATTTTATGTCACATTATTTTACCACAATTAAAAATAAAAAATATACAGTTTTAGTTTTTTACAAAAAGGAATACAGTAGACCACTTAGTACAATACCTGGCACATAATAAGCACTCAATAAGTGTTAGCCATTGCTCTGGTTTTGATCCCCTTTTATGATGTTTTAAACTTACATTAAAGAAAAAAACTCAGTGTTCTGGTTAAACACACTATGGTACATCTACACCATACCAATATAACTTGAGAATTTAGGCCAGGCGCGGTGGCTCACACCTGTAATCCCAGCACTTTGGGAGGCCGAGGCGGGCGGATCACGAGGTCAGGAGATCAAAACCATCTTGGCTAACACGGTGAAACCCCGTCTCTACTAAGAATACAAAAAATTAGCCGGGCGGGTAGTCCCAGTTACTCGGGAAGCTGAGGCAGGAGAATGGCATGAACCCGGGAGGCAGAGCTTGCAGTGAGCCGAGATAGCACCACTGCAGTCCGGCCTGGGCAAAAGAGCGAGACTCCATCTCGAGAAAAAAAAAAAGAATTTAAAACATAACTGACACTTGCAACTTGGATAGACTGCAAGAGCATTATGCTGAATGAAAAAAAAATCCAAAAAGCTAAAATATTAAATAATTACATTTCTAACTCTCAAAATGACAAAATCATACTAATGTAGAACAGATAGGTGGTTGCTAGGTTTACAGGAGGGTGTAACTATGAGGAGCTAATAATAAAAGGCAATTTCTTTGGGATTAATTTCTTAGAACTATCTACAAAAAAAAAGTGCATCTAACATAAAACCTGGTAAAATCCAAATCAAATCTATAGTTTAACTTTAGTATTATACTAACATCAATTTAATGGTGGGCTGGGCACGGTGGCTAACATCTATAATTAGCCTGGGCAACATAGGGAGACCCCATCTCTACAAGGAATAAAAAAATTAGATGGGCATAGTGGTCCATGCCTGTAGTCCCAACTACTGTCAGGAGTCTGAGGTGAGAGGATCAATTGAGCCCAGGAGTTCGAGGCTGCAGTGAGCTTTTTTGGGGAGTGAGGAATGGAGTCTTGCTCTGTCACCCAGGCTGGAGTATAGTGGCACAATCCCAACTCACTGCAACCTCTACCTCCCAAGTTCAGGCGATCTCCTGCCTCAGCCTCTCAAGTAGCTGGGATTACAGACACCTGCCAACACGCCCAGCTAATTTTTGTATTTTAGTAGAGATGGAGTTTCCCCATGTTGACCAGGCTGGTCTCCAACTCCTGACCTCAAGCAATCCACCCATCTCGGCCTCCCAAAGTGGTGGAATTATAGGCGTGAACCACCATGCCAGCCTGCAGTGAGCTTTGATCAAGACACAGCACTCCAGCCTATGTAACAGAGACCCAGTCTCTACGAAAAAAACAAATTTGATGGTTTTGATCACTGTACTGTTTTCATTGGGAAACCATTATTTTTGCAACTTCTAAGTGAGTCTAAAATTATTTCAAAATGATTAGTTTAAAAAAACAAATACCAGGAGAAAAAAGAAAGAAAATTCCATCCATAGTACTCTGCTTATGCTAAGAAAGAAGTTAGATAAACACTGGGAGTTGATGGAAGTGAACAAATATCTAACAGGTAAACAAATTTATCATGAGTTTCAAAATATGTGGGAGACTTTCTGAAAAATATTTGCACCATTTGTTATTACTAATGACATTATATAACCATACAAATTGTCAGATTACTAAATTTCAAATCTGGTAGCAAGCATTCAAAAAACATAATAATATCTGTATTACACTTTTATTGGATTTTTGAGAGGAAAGTAACAGTATTCAATAAATCCCATATATTCTCACTATATATGCCAAGTACCTAGGAGAATTGTAATATGCCATATTACTGGACTATGAGAATGAGGATACATCATTCACTTGCAGCTCAGAGCAAAATATTACCCAAATTCACACTTGAAATGCCAATGATTCCCTAGGAGGACTCACAGGACACAGCATAGTCATCTTCATGGCTATGAAGGATGGCTACGATAAAAGGATGAAAAGCATAATCAGGAAAGGGAAAAGGTGCATGATGGGATATCTGAAGAAAACCAGACACAAGCTTAGAAGACAAAGGAGTGGTACAGAGGTTAAGAAGAGGAGGAATCCGGCTGGGTGCGGTGGCTCATGCCTGTAATCCCAGCACTTTGGGAGGCCGAGGCAGGCAGATCACGAGGTCAGGAGATCGAGACCATCCTGGCTAACACGGTGAAACCCCATCTCTACTAAAAATACAAAAAATTAGCCGGGTGTGGTGGCGGGTGCCTGTAGTCCCAGCTACTCGGGAGGCTGAGGCAGGAGAACGGCATGAACCAGGAGGTGGAGCTTGCAGTGAGCCAAGATCACGCCACTGCACTTCAGCCTGGGTGACAGAGTGAGACTCCATCTCCAAAAAAAAGAAAAAGAAGAGGAATCTACCAGAAGCTTAACAGGGGCATTCACTGAGATCAAAACAAAGCCAGAAGTGAGTTATCTCGAAGGAAGTGGAAAAAAAAAATGTATCTAGAAAAAGGGAGTGACCAACTGTATCAAGTGCTCCTGATACACCATAAAGGATGAAGACTTGGAGGCATAAGCTCTATTGGGAGACATAGCTAAGGACAGAAATTAGTAGTAACCAACCAAAGAGTAAGTGATCCTCTGCTCACTCCTGCATCAGCCGGTTCAAAAGTCTCAAGGAGAGAAAATAAGAAAGTAAGAACTATACAACACTCAAAGGGGGTCTTACCTTTGCCTAACACAGACAGAAAAGAAAACTTCATGGGGCCTGCCTAGAGAACATACTAAACCAAGTAAAGGAGAAAGAGAAGAGATTTTTCTGTCAATGATAATGAATGATACATTTTTAAAAAGTCAAAATCCTCAGATAAGTGACCACAAGAGACAAAGCTGGAGTTTGAATATAAATACTGCATCAAGTCAAAGTAGCTATCCTATGAAAATGGCCTTAAAAACCTGTGAGTCAATAAATTTTTTCAGCTTGCTAGAATGAATACAAAAAATCCTCCAATATTATGATCTAGTGGGCTGTTAAAATAAAAAAGACAAAAAAAGAATCAAAAGAATCCTCCAATATGAAAGAACTTTCCAACAATGTCTACAAATAGGAATGCCTATAGAAGACATTCATTTCTCATTAACTTGTTTTTTTGTTTTGTTTTGTTTTTTGTTTTTGTTTTTGAGACAGAGTTTCACTCTTGTTGCCCAGGCTGGAGTGCAATGGCACAATCTCAGCTCACCGCAACCTCCACTTCCTGGGTTCAAGCAATTCTCCTGCCTCAGCCTCCTGAATAGCTGGTATTACAGGCATGCGCCACCACGCCCAGCTAATTTTGTATTTTTAGTAGAGACGGGGTTTCTCCATGTTGGTCAGGCTGGTCTTGAACTCCTGAACTTAGGTGATCCGCCGACCTCAGCCTCCCAAAGTGCTGGGATTACAGGCATGAGCCACCACACCTGGCCTCATTTCTCATTAACTTCTAACCGAAAATTAGAAATCTACTTGTACTGACAAAATAACAAAGGCATCATTTACATCCTTCTTGGCAAGGCACAGTGGTTCATGTCTGTAATGCCAGCACTTTGAGAGGCCAAGGCAGGAGAATCAGTTCAGGCCAGGAGTTTGAGACGAGCCTGGGCAACATAGCAAGACCCCATCTTTCCCCCCCACCAAAAAAAAAATATTAGCCAGTCTCCACTAGAGCCCAGGAGTTGAGGCTACAGTGAGCCATGATTGCACCCCTGCACTCCAGCCTGGACAACAAAGCCAGACCCTGTCTCTTAAAAATATATATATCATTATTGTTTCTCCTGCTCTATCAATTTTTCCTTATTCACCCACCACTTCGTTAGCTCCTGAAATCCCCCTTTTCACAGAGTTTGGTCCCTTGCTACTCCAGGTGTAATCCCTGGATCAGCAGCATCTGTATCACTCAAAAGCTTATGAGAAATGTTGAATCTCATCCTCCCCAAACAGTATCTCCAGGTGAATCACATGCACCTTAAGGTTGAAGAGGCACTGATGTAACTGATACCTGATTGCCTAAGTGGATATTTTCTTACAGCAGAGCTCCAGTTTTCCCCTTCTTTTTCAGAGGACCTCTGCCGTCCGTTACCTTTTGAGGGCTTAAAAAAAATCATTTTTCAAATCAAAGACCTAAAACAGCTGGAAAGTATCCATCAATCAGCTGGTCCTCTCATTTTATAGGAGAGGCCCAGATAAGTTACATGATTCCCATACCTCACACAGCTAATTGCAGGACCTTGCTTCTGCATACTCTCTCCCTCGTCTCTAGTCCCCTGCCTCATTAGGCTGCCAATAATCTGCAATTTAATATCAAAAAACTGAAAAAGCATGTGGATAGAATGATTTTTGTGTTGTTTGTTTGCTTTATTTTAATCTTTAAAGACTGTGGAGGAAGGGCTAATTTTTAAACCTATGTCCAACAAATGGCTCTTCCTCACAAGACCATGGCTACCTTAATTATTTCAGAACAACAATATTTCAGAGCAACAACAATGACTTTCATGCCAGGGCAAACATAAGGTCATGCATAGCAGAATTTCATAAATTCCATTACATAAACATCTTGTATGTTTGTTCCCCCAATGTCCGAAGTGTTATCATGCACCATTGTAGACGATAATTTATTGAACAATAAGGACTTACATCTTTAAAGAATTAATGAACAATAGAAAAAAACAACAATTTGGGCTGATAATCAATAGTCATCATTTGTTTCCCAAGTGCGTCTCTCCAGTTTCAAAGGTAGAAGCAGAGAAGGAGCACTGCCCACTCCCAAGAAATTAAGAAACCACAAACTCTCATCAGTACAAAGTTGGGATACCACTAATTTCCTTTGATAAAAAAATGGGTGGATTTCAAAAGACAACTTAGGCAGCAGTGATGGCAGCCACTGCGAAGACACTGGCTGCAGCGGGGGAGGCATGGCAGGGGCTGCCCACTCTGCGGAGCCAGTGGGGGCTGGGAACAGGCAGGAGCCCCGCCCCCTACCAGGTTGGAGGGCCAGGAGCCCTGCGCTCCTGGGCACATCTGCAGCTACCCAATCACAGCTCCAGACCCAAGCATCCCTGCACTGTCGGGGGCCCGGGAAGCACCCCTGCCCCTGCAGTTTGGAAGTGCCCACTCCCGCTCCCTGGCCTCTCCCAACTCCCAGTGCCCACTCCAATTTCGAACCAAAGTTGAAGCCGAGCCCAGGTGCTGTCGCAACCCGGCCAGGTGTGTGTGCGCTCAGGGCAGTGCTGATACACCAGTCCCCTAACACCTCGGTCCCCTCCGGACTCTGGGCACCGACAGCACAGGAAGGACACCCAGGAGGAGCTGAGGGCTTGGGTATAATCCACTGATACACCCAAGAACAGAGGAGACCCTCTGCTGACTCAAGAAGAAATAAAAAATCTAAATAGATCCATAATAAATAAAGAAATTGAATTAGTAATCAAAAAACTATCCACAAAGAAAAGGCCAGGCCAAGACAGATCCACTGGTGGACTCTACTAAACAATTAAAGCAAAATTATCCCAATTCTTCAAAAACCACTCCAAAAAATAAAAGAGGAGAGGATACTTCCCACCTCATTTTATAAATCTAATTACCCTGAGCCAAAACCAAACACATCACAAGAAAACAATAGACCAATATCCCTTATGCATATGGATGCAAAAATCCTCAACAAAATACTACTAGCTAATTGAATCCAATAATATATAAAAAGTATTATATAACATGACTAAATGGTGTTGCCTGAGGAATGCAAGGTAGGCATCCTTAACATCCAGAAATGAGTTAATGTAAAATCAATACAATCTAAATCAAAAGCCACTTGATCACCTCCATAAATCCAACTCTTCCATTATAAAAAAACACTCAAAACACTAGGAATAGAAGGTTCCTCACACTGATAAAAGACATCTATGCAAAATCCACAGCTTACATCATACTTAATAGTGTAAACCGAACACTTTCCTCCTAAGATCAGGCACAAGACAAGGATGTCTGCATTCACCACTTCTATTCAAAATCATACTGGATGCTCTCAACTATAGCAATTAGGTAAGAAAAGGAAATAAAAGGCTTCCAAATTGGAAAAAAAGAAGTAAAACTATCTTTACTCACAGATGACATAATCTTGTATATAGAAAATCCTAAGGAATTTGGGAAAAAACTATTAGAACTAATAAATGAGTTAAGCAAGGTTGCAGGATATAAAATAAATATACAAATATCCATGATATTTCTATATTCTTGCAATGAACAATCCAAAATGAAATTTTAAAAATAATTACATTTACAATAGCACCCAAAAGAGTAAAATACATAAGTTAGCCAGGTATGCTGGTGCGCACCTGTAATACTAGCTACACAGGAGGCTGAGGCAAGAGGATCACTTCAGCTCAGGAGTTCAAGATTACAGTGAGCTGTGATCACACCACTACACTCCAGCCTGGGCAACAGAGAAAGACCCCATCTCAAAAAACAAAAAAAAAAAGAATACTTAGGAATAAATTTAACAAAAGAAGTGTAAAACTTATACTCTGAAAACTATGAAAACATTGTTATAGAAATTAAAGAAGATCTAAATAAATGGAAAACATCTCATGTTCATGGATCTGAAGACTCAATATTGTTAGGACGGCAATACTTCCCAAATCAATCTACAGATTCAATGCAATCCCTATCAGATTCCCAGATGGCTTCTCTGTAGAAATCAACAAGGTTATTCTAAAATTTGTATGGAATTTCCAGGGACCCAGAATAGCAAAAACAATCTCAAAATTAAAAAAGAACAAAGGTAGAGAACTCACACTTCCCCATATCAAAACTTACTAAAGCAACAATAATTAAGCCAGTATGGCACTAGCATAAGGATAGACATAAACATAAATGGAAAATACTGAGAGTCCAGAAATAAACCCATACATCTATGATCAACTGATTTTCAACAAAGGTGCCACGATCATTCAAAGAGTAATTGCAACAAATGGGTCTAAGATGACCGAATAGTGACATGCAGAAGAATGAAATCGGACACTTACCTCGAATAATATTTTTAAAATTAACTCAAAATATGTCAAAGATCTAAGTATAAGCTAATGTATAGCTAAAACTATAAACTCTTGAAACTCTTAGAAGACTATATAAATAAATCTTTATGACCTCAGATTTGGCAATGGATTCTTAGATTTGACACCAGAAACGTGAGCAATAAAAAATAAATAAGGGCAAGGCATGGTGGCTAATGCCTGTAATTCCAATACTTTGAGAGGCCAAGGCAGGAGGACTGCTTGAGCCAGAAGTCTGAGCCCAGCCTGTGCAACATGATGAGACCCCATCACTACAAAAAATATAAAAATTAGCCAGGTGCAGTGGTGTGTGCCTGTAGTCCCAGCTACTGGGGAGGCTAAGGTGGGAGAATTGCTTGACACTGGAAGGCTGAGGCTACAGAGAGCCATGATTGCACCACTGCACTCCAGCCTGGATGACAGAGCAAGACCCTGTCTCAAAATAAATAAATAAAGCCAGGTGCAGTGGCTGACGCCTGTAATCCCAACACTTTGGGAGGCTGAGGCAAGGAAACTGCTTAAGCCTGAGAGATTGAGAAGAGCCTGGGCAACAAAGCGAGACCGCATCTATACAAAAAAGAAAAAATAAGCTGGGCATGGTTGTGTGTGCCTATAATCCCAGCTACTTGAGAGGCTGAGGCAGGAGTTTGAGGATTGAGCCCAAGAGTTTGAGGTTGCTGTGAGCTAAAATCATGCCACCACACCTCTCAGCTTGGGCAGCAGAGTGAGACTCTATCTCAAAAAAACAAAATAAATGAATAAAGTAGACTTTATCAAAACTAAAAACTTTTAGGTTTCAAAGGTCACCATCAAGAAGATGAAATGATGGGAGAAAATATTTGCAAATCATGTATCTGATAATATACAAGAACTCATACAACTCAGTAATTTAAAAAAGTCAATTAAAAATGAACAATGGGTCTGAATAGGTATTTTTCCAAGTAAGATATACAAATGGCCAATAAGAACATAAAAAGATGCTCAAGGCCAGGCGCAGTGGCTCACGCCTGTAATCCCAGCACGTTGGGAGGCCAAGGTGGGTGGATCACCTGAGGCCAGAAGTTCGAGACCAGCCTGGCCAACATGGTGAAACCCCATCTCCACTAAAAATACAAAAAAAAAAAAAAAAAAAAATAGCCAGGCGTGATGGCAGGTGCCTGTAAGCCCAATTACTTGGGAGGCTGAGGCAGGAGAATTGCTTGAACCTGGAGGCAGGGGTTGCAGTGGGCCAAAACCACACCATTGCACTCCAGCCTAGGGAACAAGAGCAAAACTCCGTTTCAAAAAAAAAATGCTCAGCATAATTAGTCATTAGGGAAACACAAATCAAAACTATGAGATATGACTTCACACCTACTATGACAGAATCGAAGTCAGATAGTAATAAGCATTGGTGAGGATGTAAAGAAATCAGAGCCCTCATATACTGCTAGTGAGAATGCAAAACGATGCAACCACTTTGGAAAGGAATCTAGAAGTTCCTCTAACACTTAAACACAGAATTACCATATGACCCAGCAATCTGACACTGAAGTATCTATCCAAGGGCAATGAAAACATATGTGCATACAAAAAAACTTACACATAAATGTTTATAGTAGCATTATTCATAATATCTAAAATTTGGAAACAACCCAAATGTCCATCAGCTGATGAATATATAAACAAAAGGAAGCATCCATACAGTGGAATATTATTTGGCCATAAAAAAGAAAAGAACAAAATACTGATATATGTTACAACATAAATAAATAAAAGCATATAGGTTTTAGAATCAGACATATCTGGCTCTTAAAAACATGCTAAGTTAAAGAAGCCAGTAACAAAAGGCCACCTATTATATGATTCTGTTTATATAAAATATCCAGGATAGGCAAATTCATAAAGACAGAAAGTAGATTCTTAGTTGCTTAGGTCTGGGGGTAGGGGAGAAGGAAGAGAGAAGGAGAGTTATAGCTAAGGGATGCGAGGTTTCTTTTTGAGTTGATAAAAATATTCCAAACTTGGCTGTGGTAATGGTTACATGTATCTGTGAATATACAAAAAAGGAACTGAATTTTATGTGTTAAATGGGTGAATTGTATGGTATTTGAATTGTATTTCAACAAAGCTGTTTTTTTTTAAAGATAACAAATGATGATGGATACATGGGGGTTCATTTTGTTATTCTTCATGCTTTTGGTTATGCTTCAAATTCCCCATAAACTTTCATTTTTTTTTAAAGCAGAACACTCCTGTATTTTGGCCACATTTACCATTAGGCCAGGTGTGGTGGCACACACCTGTAATCCCAGCACTTTGGGAGGCCAAGGCGGATTGATCACTTGAGCTAAGGAGTTCAGGACCAGCCTGCGCAACATAGTGAGACCTCATCTTTGCCAAGCATGGCAGAAAAAATAAAAATTATTACAACTTTTTTAAATATTAAAAAAAGAACAATAGCAAATTAAATTCAGAAGGTCAGCAAAATAAATTCTGCCCTTTCTCCTGGAAGACATCCCAAGTCATCAAGAAAATGAAAAATTAGCCATAAATTGAGACACAAATAAAATGCTAATCTGTATTCCAATCTAGGAAAGATATAGGCCTTGACATTGAGATATTAAGATAAGCAGGTAGGTGTGGGAGGTCTGGTACTGACAGGTTAGGAAAGATGGTAAGGAACAATAGTAATAAAACATTTTTTGGTCATGAAACCTGGCTTTTGGGTTACAAAATAAACAAAAAGTGTTTTAAATAACAAAAAATAAAATATGTATACAATGTTTTTTTAATTCAGTTTAGTTAACTGTCTTGAATAAGGAACCGAGGTTTGCATTTTATCCCCTTTTCATTCAGTGTTGATTTCCAGTTGCTCACTGATTTGTCTTTAAGTAATTGGAAAATAAAAACCAGGTTTTTAATGACTTCGCCTTAAAGGAAAGTATCTACTAATCATTTACTAAAGCCAGTCAGGATTCTAAATGCTTTGCAAGCATTCTATTTTGATATTCATAACAAAACTACAAAGTAAATTGTAGATACTATTATTCAGGTATCCTTGAATACAGAGAAGTTAAGAAATCCGTGCCAGTGGTCTCACTAGTTAAGTGATGTGCGGTACCTAAACCCAGACTGTCTACTCCAGAACCCTAAACAAACGGCCTATGCACACGCCCCTCCATGTAGACTATAAAAGCAATAGCTCTATTCACACTAATTCTAAACACTACAAGTTCAAACTACAGGCAAGTATGTCATAAATTTGATTAAATTGTTAAAGGATGATTAGAAGACAATAATTTGAAGGTTGTAACAGGTGCAGTCCTATAAACAGGCATAACAGATTAGTTTCTAATGCCTTATTAGAATAATAAATGGGAGATAATCTCCTTATCCCCTAAACTCCAGAAATTCTCTTCTATACTCTTCACTTGACACTTTTTTGTTTTGAATACTTTTTTTTCTACAACAAGTTTACTCAGATTTAGGTTTCATTTAAGAGGTGGCTGACCTTTTTTTGCTGACCTTCTGAATTTAATTTGCTATTGTTCTTTTTTTAATATTTTAAAAAGTTTTAATAATTTTTATTTTTTCTGCCATGCTCGGCAAAGACGAGGTCTCACTATGTTGCCCAGGCTGGTCTTGAACACCTCATTGACCTAGTCCTACAATATGATCAGCTGTGAAAACAATAACCCCAAAGAATGCTGTGGAAAAAACATACAGGTTTGAAGGTCAGTTCTGGAAACAGACCTTGCAGCTGTTGTTCATTTTCAGAGCTTTGCTTTCTCCAGGTTATGCCAGTGTCACACCAAATTTAAGAAAGTAGAAATCAGGTCTTCCAGTCAAAGAAAGATGACAAATGCATGTAGTGTTCAAAAGAAGTATACTGCTTTTGAAGGCAATAATACAAGGGCTCACTGTTGGAATTTTCAACAAAAGACTCAAAGGGCAAAATAACACAAAATTTGGAGTAGGACAGCTCTGGGTGCACTTTCTGACCACGTTACACTACATGATCTTAAACAAGTCCCTTATCCTCTAGTATCTCAATTGTTCTAGGGTGGAGGAGGATAAAATGGCTCAACCCATAGCAAGTACTCAATAGATGTCAGTAATAACCCAACAGTAGAAACAGTGCTAGTAGGAGAGACAGTGGTAGTAGTGGTAGTTGAAAGAGACGGTGGTAGTGTGTTCTGTGCAAGACACAATTACGAATGCCAAACTCACCCTCTGGACCGAAATTTTAAATGGGACTCACAAAGACTGATAGTAATCACTAATGGAAATGTTATTAACCAGCAGGGATGTTTTATAATAATTTCATGTATTTTAATAATTTTCAAAAATATTTCAAAGTATTCTAAAGCGTAAGACTTACTACATCCCTCAAAAGGTGTAAAAGTTTTAAAATTACTATATATACTATTGCTGTTGGATTTTTTCCCTTCAGTGAGCATTTCTATCAAGAAGTTGTACCATAAATATAAGTGTATAGTTGTAATTTAACCACGACAATTACACACAAGGAAAAATCCCTTAAACTCTGACAAATAACTTGTAACTTATTTTCAAAATAAAGTTTTTTAAAATTCTTCTTTAAAAACTTCTGGGTTTTCTAGTTTTTTTTTTAATTCTTCCGTATATTCATGAAAAAAATCTCAGTAATTGTTTTCTTTATAAAATGCTAATAAGTTAGAAAATCTTTCTCTGAATGCTGGCCAACTTAAGACCCATAGCTTATCCTGCAGCATCTTTCAAGTTGTTTATCAATGAGGACATGTAAGATGTGTATACCTGTAAGATACGGTTTCATTTTTAAAGTAAAAGTGAGATACCCAAAAAAATACATTTCTCCAGGAAATTGAAGTCAAAGGCAGGATTTGACTGGCAGGAGGTGCTGATAAAATCAGCGCAGCTCATCTAAACTGTTGTGGTCTCCAAGTAACAAGAGGAGAAACAATAATCCTATTACTAGAAGGATTGGGGGTATTAGTACATGCATCCTACTTCAGTCGTAGGCTGGGAACTGCTTTGCCCATTTACTCACAGACCTGTTGAAGTGTCTCAGGAGGATGCTCATGCTCCAAGTGACATTCCTCAATGGAATCCTTAAAAATTCTCATCCCTTTTTTCTCAAAAGTACTCACAGAATCTCATACACTTTGTGCTCCTAGTGTTTGTTTATTTCAGTGCAAACATCTAAGAAATCAATCACCTTACAGACTCCAAACCATTATACTGCATTAGAGAATCTTGTTCACAAAATAAAACATGGAAAGGGTATTCATGTACCCGAAGTTTAACAACAGACATACCATCTTACCTGATGCCACGTCAGATGAGCTCTGCCCCACCTTTCTGCGAACCCTCGTTCGGCAAATTTTGCTTTATGAACGCCTGACAAGGTCCCAGTGATGGAGCAGAGGGAGCAAGAACGGACGGTGCAGAGAAAAGCAACCTTTAGCTTCACTATTCCCTCTCGTCCTCCAGCTGAAAGTTGTTCCACGTCCCGGGCAAAGAGAGAGCCCCACCAGGCAGCACCACCAGCTCCACAGAGTTGGAGTGATTCCCCCAAGAAGCTCCCCTGCGCCCCCCGTCACCCCCAGAGACCAGCAGAGGAAACGGCATCTATCCCTTGGAAGACACTAGGCAGGCGAGAACAAATGCAAGTCCTGCTGCTCACACCGAGGAGGAAAGGATGGAGGAGGCGGTGAATGGGATGTAGCAGAAACCCGACGGCCGCAGCGGAAGGGACACCTCCCCTCTCCAGCCTAACTCTGAGCCATCTTCGCCCTGTTGTCATAGCACTTACAACGGACGCCACTGCGCAGGTCACGCCGTGCCGCGCCGACTTCTGGGGGCTGGAGTCCAGAGAGGCTGAGGCGCAAAGGCGGGGACCGACTTCTGAGAGGGCCGCGGTTGGAATTAGATTGCTACTGGGGCGGGGCTCGAGTGAACCACGGCCTGGTCCTCATTAGCAGAGAGTGATAATTACTGCAATCCTCTGCCCTGTCCTGGCAGCAGTTCCTTAAGGAAGACCCTCCTCCTGCCTGGGCTCCGGGGGCAGGCCACGCCCCCCCGGCCGCGTGACCGCCCTCTCCCCTCGGTGCGTGTGGGTGGGGCCTAGTGGGGGCGGGGCGTCACTGGCTTGTCCATGGTGCTCTGGGATCCTGCGCTTCTGAGAGTCCCAATCGCGGTGTTTTTTTCCTGCCGGGACACTCATGAGGGCCCCGTCCATGCACCGCGCGACCGTGGCGAGGGTGGTCGCGGTAGCGAGCGCCAGCGTGTGCGCCCTGGTGGCGGGGGTGGTGCTGGCCCAGTACATATTCACCTTGGAGAAGAAGGCGAGGCGGAAGACCAAGATCATCGAGATGATGAAGCTTTTGAACAGTTTCCAGTTTTTCCTTTTTTTACTATTTGAAACAGCGCTGCTTTGAAGTTACTTGTGCCTGCGTCCTGATACACATGTGTTAAATATATTTTCCGTATATACCTTAGAGTGCATTTCCTGGTATATGGGATTGGATCTATGTCTTCTTTTGTTTTTTACTTATTTTTTTTTAATCTTTACATTCAAATTCAATGTAGCCAACCTTGAAGTTTTTCTTGTTTGCTTTTTTCAATGGATTCTAGTGTAGGCTTTAAATTTCCAGTATTTCACCATCAATCCACAAATCCACATTCCCAGTAGAAAATACCATTCTAGTTTTAGTTTTTTGGGTTTTGGGTTTTTTTTTTTTTTTTAACTGAGACTGGGTCTCCCTGACAGGGTCGCCTAGACTGGAGTGCAGTGACAGGATCACTGCTCACTGAAGCACTGAAGCCTCAGCCTCCCGGGCTCAAACGATTCTCCCACCTTAGCCTTCCTAGTAAGCTGGGACTACAGGCACAGACCACCACACCTGGCTAATTTTTGTATTTTTTGTAGAGATGGAGTTTCGCCATGTCCAGGTTGCTCTCGAACTCCTGGGTTCAAACGATCCACCCACCTCAGTCCCCCAAAGTGCTGGGATTGCTGGCGTGAGCCACCGCGTCCGGCCTCAATATTTTTAAAAATGACCTTTCAGTCAAAGCCTTGGTAATATAACCAGTTTCCAATTGTATTCTGCTATACAGAGAGAGCAGATTTTTATTAGACTTATTGAAATGACCATATTACCATAAGAAGACTCACAAATGGTTTTCTAATTATGGAGGAATCAAGTAAAGAGAAAAAAAGTTTTTATCTTTTTTTACACAAGTATACTCTATCAAATTGCTGTAAATTATAAATAGCTTAAAAGACAAGATTTTCTTAAATCTGGAAAAAACTATTTGAGTAAAGAACCAACAACATTTGAAATAATATCATAAAAACATTGTCTTCATTAGTTAAACTCACGTAATTAATTCTTGTTCTGCCTGATCTTGATTAATAGTTTCATGAACCCACTTTTTTATTACAGTTCTGGAAATTGTTATATTGTCCATTGATCTTCAAGTTGTTAGAAACCCAAATCTAAGAGTATATTTTAGGGCCAGGCACAATGGTTCATGCCGGTAATCCCAGCAATTTGGGAGGCCAAGGCGGGAGGATCATTTGAGGCCAGGAGTTGGAGAAAAGCCTGGCCAATATAGTGAAACCCCATCTCTACTAAAAATACAAAAAATTAACCCAGCGTGGTAGCGCATGCCTGTAATCCCAGCTACTCAGGAGGCTGAGGCATGAGAATCACTGGAACCAGGGAGGCAGAGGTTGCAATGAACCAGGATCGTGCCACTGCACCCCAGCCTGGGCATCAGAGCAAGATTGTCTCAAAAATAAATAAATAAAAATAAAAGAGTACTTGTTAGAATATTTTCCAGGAGTCTGTTTTTTAAAAAAGAATTCAAAACAATAATATGGATGACAAAAACTTAAAATAGCCATGGTTAAAAATCTGATGAAGTTAACAACTGAGAAGAACATTTATTTATTGCTATTATATACAGTATTTTAAGATAACCAGAATTATGACTGGTAATATAATACATTTGTACGAATTTTTTTTAAAGATGGGGTCTTGCTCTATTGCCCAGGCTAGAGTGCAGTGGCACATTCATAGCTGACTGCAATCTCAAACTCCTGGACTCAAGCAATCCTTCTGCCTCAGCCTCTCAAGTAGCTGGGACTACACGTTTGTACCACCATGCTTGGTTTTTTTTTGGTTTTTTTTGTTTTTGTTTTGTTTTGTTTTGTTTTAATAGAGACAGGGTCTTGTTTTGTTGCCCAAGCTGGACACAAATTCCTGGCTATAAGTAATCCTCTGACCTCAGCCTCCCAAAGTGTTGGGATTATAGGCATGAGCCATCATTCCCAGCATACTTGTATGGACTTATATAATTTTTCAAACATTCATATAAACAATATTCCCATAAATGCAAATAAAAGAAAAATCTAGTATCAGTTATCGTTTGACAATATTTCTTATAAAATTTACCAAATAACCCAAATCATTTAATACCTCTAAAAGATGAGAAAGATATGTTTTAATGCTTTCCAGGAGTCCAACTGGAAAATTCCAAAGTTAATTCTACATTTAAAAAACTTAAATTGGAATTTGATTTTGAGGAAGTTTTTAAAGGGCTCAAAACACTGTATCAATACAGAATCACAAGTTACTTGTGAAATAAGTCATTTATATAACCAGAGTGATAATCAAAAGGCTTAAAAAGCCATACAAATAATTACATTAAAACTATCTTAACCATTTTAAACTTCAGGTTAAAAAAAAATCAAATCTAATAAAAGCAACACAGGAAATTATGTTGATAAAATGTATAATCTTCCTTAGGCCAGGTACCAAAAAAGTAAAGAAAAACTTTCTGCAATGTGATTGTTTCTCCTTTTGGGGAGCTCATTTAGATAACCTGGAGGTCGAATCTGATGAAAAGGGTACTTGAATTTAATCAGATACAGGAAGATGTGTCCCAGGTCATGATTATAACAATTCACATGTATCAAGAAAAGCCAAGAGTACAGAATCAAGTTATATTGAAAAAGAGCATTGATTTCTAGGCCTTCAGGATAAACCTTTAGTGTCAGGCCATACCAGCAATTAGAACCAAAAAAAAAAAATTGTATAGCAACTGATGAAAAAATTGAAGGAGAGAGTTACCATCCCAGGCTTTCTAAAGAGGAGAAAACCTGAATGCAATGATATATGACCTGGAAATCAAATAGCAAGACATGGCAAATTTGAACCACTGAGATACGAAATCTGAGAAATTTCAAAAGCAAAACTCTACCTCAAGAAATGATATTACCAGACGGGTGCAATGTCCATAATCCAAGCACTTTGGGAGGCCGAGGTGGGCAGATCGTTTGAGCCCAGGAGTTCGAGACCAGCCTGGGCAACATGACAAAATCCTGTCTCTACAAAAAATACAAAAATTAGCCGGGCGTGGTTACGTGTGCCTTTAATCTCAGCTACTAAGGGGGCTGAAGTTGGAGGACTGCTTGAGCCCAGTAGGTCAAGACTGCAGTGAGCCATGATCGTGCAACTACACTCCAGCCTGCATGACAGAGTGAAACCCTATCTCAAAAAAAAAAGCAAAGAAATTATTATTTTAAATGAAGAAGACAGCATTTTTAATGTGAAACTAGGGAAATTAAATGAATCTCAGTGAAAAAAGGTGGCAGAAATAGAAACTGCCTGCAGTTTAGGGGATAGCAGTTAAAGAAATAGATTTTAGAATTCAAAATGAAAGCTTCTTACAATTTTATCAGGAGCAGATCAATACTTCAAGAAAATGTTGTTTTAAAAATGGAGGACCAGGCTCTGGTCCTGTATCAGTGCACCTCCAACATTAATGTTTAAATTTTAGAAAACCACTTATAAACTATTTATTTTTAATTCTGGCCAACCTGATCATTCATAAAAGTTTTCTCACAGGCCTATTATTCATAAATGCTCTTTGACTTGCTTAGACATTTTCTCATTTTTTTAACCCCCAAGTCTTTGTCCTACCATTTTTCATTTTTTAAAAAAGCCAATTATTTTATAGGACTAAAATTTACTATTCAAGATTATTTATCATACAAAAGTATTTTTTCCTAAATTCATTTTTGATTAATAGATATAAATATATTTATAATTTTATAAACTTTAAAAAGCCAAAAATGAACTTATATTTATTCAGTGGTTTGTTTCCATTTTTATCTTATTTGGATGTGATCCAGACATCGTATCTACTATTTAACATAATATAACTTCAGGATTTTAAATTACATAAAAATTTTATTTATAAATATTTATTCTATTTACAATTAACTAATTTATTTTTTATCAATTACATCTAGATTACTTCTTAAAACTGAAATATAAGACAAAGCTAGTCATTGTTGTGTTTATTAACAAGTTTCATATCTGTTAATATCAAGTATTTATCTAAGTAAAAACTTTAAAGTTAAATACATGGGTATCCTGTTGATAACTCAGAAGATATAGCTGTTTTAAGTATATCAACAACATTAAATTAATCTTATATATTAAGGAATTTCACAACAAGGTCATTCTGTTTTAGACTGGGTTTATAGCATCATGACCTTAAAACGTCTAGCAAAAACAAATATAAAATGATCTGACCAGGCCGGGCACGGTGGCTCACGCCTGTAATCCCAGCATTTTGGGAGGCCGAGGCGGGCGGATCACAAGGTCAGGAGATCGAGACCATCCTGGCTAACACGGTGAAACCGCCTCTCTACTAAAAACACAAAAAATTAGCCGGGCTAGGTGGCGGGCGCCTGTAGTCCCAGCTACAAGGGAGGCTGAGGCAGGAGAATGGCGTGAACCCTGGGGGGCAGAGCCTGCAGTCAGCCGAGATTGCGCCACTGCACTCCAGCCTGGGTGAAAGAGCGAGACTCCTTCTCAAAAAAAAGATCTGACCAGTAAACCTAGGCAAAAATGTATGTTGACAATTTTAAAACAAATTAATTAATGAAATATTTAGTTAAGTCACATAAACTAAAAAGGGAGGGTTATTTGCTATATATTTTATATGAGCCCTCATTTTTCTCACTTAATAAAATGTTCATGGATTTTTGGCTATGACAGACTTTATTATGTAAACACACCACATAACACATGTAGACATGCATAAACACATTTAAACATGTTTCCATAAGTAGAAATAAAGTTCTTATAGCTTTTATTTTAGATTTTTAATCATGACATAGTAAATTATATAAACTCAGATGAGAGGTGGAGCAAGATGGCAAAATAGAAGCCTGCACCAAGCATCCCCCAACAAGGACAGCAATTTAAAACTCCCTACACAGAAAAAAGCACCTTCACGAGAAGCAAAATCAGGTGAACAGTCACAGTACCTGGTTTTGTTTTTGTTTTGTTTTGTTTTTGAGACAGAGTCTCACTCTGTCACCCAGGCTGGAGTGCAGTGGCACAAGCTAGGCTCACTGCTACATTCATCTCCCAGGTTGAAGCGACTCTCCTGCCTCAGTCTCCTGAGTAGCTGGAATTACAGGCACATGCCACCACGCCCCACTAATTTTTTGTATTTTTGGTAGAGACGAGGTTTCACCATGTTGGCCAGGCTGGTCTCAAACTCCTGAACTCAAGTGATCCTCCCACCTTGGCCTCCCAAAGTGCTGAGATTACAGGCGTGAGCACCACACCCAGCCAGTACCTGGTTTTAACTTAATATTGCTGAAAGAGGCACAGAAGAAGTAGAAAAAAGTCTTGAATTGCCAACACCACTCCTCCCACACTCCCCAGCAATGGTTGCATGGTGTAAAGAGCATTTCTGTGCACTGGGGAAGGGGGAATGCAGCAAATTTAAGGCGCTGAACTCAGTGCTGCCCTGTTATAGCAGAAAGGAAAACTGGACAAAACTCAGCTGACACCTGCCCGTGGAGAAAATACTTAAAGCAGCCCTAGCCAACAGGAAATCACCAATCCCAGCAGTCAGAAGTTGAGTTCCCTCAAGTATCATGACAATGATCTAAAGTACTTTGGGGCTGTAAGTAAACTTGAAAGGCAGTCTAGGCCACAAGGACCACAACTCCTAGGTGAGTCCTAGGGCTGAAATGGGCCCAGAGCCAGTGGACTCAGGGGGCACATGGCCTACTGAGACACCAGCCAGGGCAGTTGTGGGAGTGCTGGCATCAACTCTCACCTAGTCCAGGCTGCACAGCTTGTGGCTTCAAAAGAGACTCCTTCCTTCCACTTTAGGAGAGGAGAGGGAAGGATGGGGAGGACTTTGTCTTGCACCCTGTATACTAGCTCAGTCACAGCAGGATAAGGCACTGGTCAGAGTCATGAGGCCACCCCCCATTTCAGGCCCTAGTTCCCAGATGGTGTTTCTACACACAACGTGGGCCAGTAGGGAACCTGCTGCCTTGAAGGGAAGGACCTAGTTCTGGCAGGATTCATCACCTGCTAACTGAAGAGCCCTTGGGCACTAAACAACCAGCAGTAATACACATGTACTACATTGAGGGCCTTCGGTGATACTCTGAGACTTATATGGCTTCATTATTGGCTGAGGTGAGACTCAGCACATTGCAGATGTGGTTACTATGGAGCAAGAGTCTTCATGCTTGAGAAAAGCAGAGGGAAGAGTAAAGGGACTCTGTCTTGCACCTTAGGTACCAGCTCAGCCAGAGGTGAGTAGAACCCAAAGCGGGCTCATGGGGTCCCCAATTCCAAGACTTGGCTCTTGGATGGTATTTCTGCACCTGCCCTGGGTCAAAGGAGAACCCACTGCCCTGAAGGGTGAGACCCAGGCCAGGCAAATTCACCACAAGCTGACTTAAGAGCCCTTGGGCCTTAAGGGAACATCAGCGGTAGTCTGGCAATACTCTCCACGGGCCTGTGGTGGTGGTGGCCACAGGGTGAGGCTCATCTGCCTTTGGAAAGAGGAGGAAAGAGTGGGAAGGACTGCATCTTGTGGTTTGATGCAGCTCAGCCACAGTACAATAGAACACCAAGTAGACTCTGAGATTTTTGACTGTAGTCCCTATCTCCCTGACAGCACCCTCACAAGAATCTGGGAGAACTCATTGCTCTGAAGGGAAGGACATAAGCCTGGCTGGCTTTGCTACATGCTGACTGTAGAGCTCTAGGGTCTTGCGTGAACATAGGTAAGTAGACAGGCAGTGGTTATAGCAGGCCTTGGGTGAGACCCAGTGCTGTCCTGACTTCAGGTCTGACCCAGTGCAGTCACAGTGGTGGTGGCCACAAGAGTGTTTGTGTCACTCTACCTCCAGCTTCAGGTGGCTCAGTTAACAGAGAGAGAGACTTCATTTGTTTGGGAAAAAGTAAGGGAAGAGAATAAGAGTCTCTGCCTGGTAATCCAGAGAAATCTCCTGGATCTTGCCCAAGTCCATCAAGGCAGTACCTCTACAAGTCTTCAAGAACCACAGGATTACTGTGCATGAGTTGCCGCCTAAAGCAAATAAAGCTTAAGATCACAACACACCCAAGTCCTTTCAAATATCTGGAAAGCCTTCCCAAAAAAGATGGGTACAAACAAGTCCAGACTATAAAGACTATAAGAAATACCTAATTCTTCAATGCCCAGATACTAAAGAACATCTACAAGCATCAACACCATCCAGGAAAATATGAACTCACCAAAAGAACTAAATAAGGCACCAGGGACCTATCCTGGAGAAAAATGGATATGTGAACTTTTGGACAGAGAATTCAAAATGGCTGTGTTGAGGAAACTCAAAAAAATTCAAGAAAACAGAGAAGGAATTCAGAATCCTATCAGATAAATGTTACAAAGAGATTGAAATAATTAAAAAAGATTAAGCATAAATTCTGGAGCTGAAAAAATGCAATTGGCATACAAAAGAATTTATGTCTTTTTATAGCAGAATTGATCAAGCAGAAGAAAGAATTAGTGAGCTTGAAGACAGGCTATTTGAAAATACAGTCAGTGAGAGAAAAGAAAAAAAAAGGACGCCTACAGAATCCAGAAAATGGCCTCAAAAGAGCAAATTTAAGAGTTATTGGCCTTAAAGAAGAGGTAGACAGAGGGACAGGGGTAGAGAGCTTATTAAAGGGATAATAACAAAGAACTTCCCAAACCTAGAGAAAGATAACAATATCAAGTACAAGAAGATTATAGAACACCAAGTAGATTTAACCCAAAGAAGACTACTTCAAGGCATTTAATATTCGAACTCCCAAAGATCAAAGATACCTACTAAAAGTAATACAAGAAAGAGAGAAAGATGGAAGAAAAGATCATAAAACAACCAGAAAACAAATGACAAAATGGCAGCAGTAACTTATCACTTATCAATCATAACATTGTACAAATATTGGGAAAGAAGTAGAAAAAAGTAACATTGAATGTAAATGTACTAAACTCTCCAATCAAAAGATATAGAGTGGCTGAATGGATTAAAAAATCAAGATACATTGATCTGTTGCCTACAGGAAATAGTCTTCACCTGTAAAGACACACGAAGACTGAAAATTAAGATAGGGAAAAAGATATTCCACGCCAATGGAAACCAAAAAAAAACAAGAGTAGCTATACTATTTTGTCTATTACATTAGACAAAATAGATTTATATATCAGACAAAATAGATTTCAAAACAAAAACTATTAAAAAAGAAAAAGAAGTTCATCATATAATGATACAGGGGTAAATTTGACAAGAGGATATAATAATTTGTAAATATATATATGCCCCACACTGGAGCACCCAGATATATAAAGCAAATATTAGAGCTAAAAAGAGAGGTAGATTCCCCAAAAATAACAGCTGGAGACATCAACACCCCACTTTTAGCATTAGACAGATCATCCAGACAGAAAGCCAACAAAGAAACATTGTACTTAATCTGCACTACAGACAAATGAACCTAACAGATACCTACAGAACATTTCATCCAATAGCTCCAGAATACACATTCTCCTCCTCAACATAAGGATTATTTTCAAGCATAGACCACATGTTAAACCACAAAACAAGTCTTAAAACATTTCAAAAAATTGAAAATGTATCAAATATCTTCTCTCAACACAATGGAATAAAACTAGAAATCAGTAATGAGGAGGCTGGGTGTGGTGGCTCACACCTGTAATCCCAGCACTTTGGGAGGCCAAGGCGGGCGGATCACAAAGTCAGAAGATCAAGACCGTCCTGGTTAACACAGTGAAACCCTGTCTCTACTAAAAATACAAAAAATTAGCCGGGTGTGGTGGCAGGCACCTGTAGTCCCAGCTACTTGGGAGGCTGAGGCAGGAGAAAGGCATGAATCCAGGAGGCGGAGCTTGCAGTGAGCAGAGATCACTCCACTGCACTCCATCCAGCCTGGGTGACAGAGCGAGACTCCATCTCAAAAAAATAATAATAATAACAATAATAATAATAATAATGAGGAATTTTGGAAACTAGATGAATACATGAAAATTAACCAATATGCTCCTGAATGACCAGTGGGTCAATGAAGAAATTAAGAAGGAAACTGAAAAATTTTTTGAAACAAATGAAAATGGGAACACAGCATACCAAAACCTATAGGATACAGCAAAAGCAGTACTAAGAGGGAAGTTTACAATAAAAAGTGCCTACATCAAAAAAGTAGAAAAACTTCAAATAAAAAACCTAATGATGCATCTTAAAGAACTAGAAAAACAGGAGCAAACCACCCCCAAAATTAGTAGAAGAAAAGAAATAATAAAGATTAGAGGAGAAATAAATGATTTTGAAATGAAGAAAACAATGCAATCAATGAAATGAAAAGTTGGTTTTTCAAAAAGATAAATGAAATTGAAAATCCTTTAGCCAGATTAAGAAAAAAAGAGAGCCATCCTCGCTAACATGGTGAAACCCCGTCTCTACTAAAAATACGAAAAAAAAAATTAGCCGGGCATGGTGGCAGGCACCTGTAGTCCCAGCTACTCAGGAGGCTGGGGCAGGAGAATGGCGTGAACCTGGGAGGCAGAGGTAGCAGTGAGCCAAGATAACACTACTGCACTTCAACCTGGGAGACAGAGCGAGACACTGTCTCAAAAAAAAAAAAAAAGAAAAAGAAAAAGAAAAAAGAGATTAGACCCAAATAAATAAAATCAGAGAGGATAAACAAGACATTACAACTGATGCTGCAGAAATTCAAAAGATCATTAGTGGGGCTTCTTTCTTCTCCCTTCTTTCTTGCCTATTAAACTCTCCACTCCTTAAAAGCAAAAAAAAAGATCATTAGTGGCTACTGTGAGCAACTATATATGCCAATAAGTAGGAAAACCTAGAAGAAATGTACAAATTGCTAGACACATACAATCTATCAAGATTGAACCATGAAGAACTCCAAAACCTAAACAGACCAATAACAAGTAACGAGATTTAAGCCATAATAAAAAAGTCTCCCAGTAAGGAAAAGCCCAAGACCCAGTGGCTTCACTGCTGAATTCTACCAAACATTTAAGGAAGAAATAATAACAATCCTACTCAAGGTATTCTGAAAAATAGAGGAGGAGGAAATACTTCCAAACTCATTCTATGAGGCCAGTACCCTGATATGATAACCAGACAAAAACACATCAAAAAAAGAAAACTACAGGCCAATATATCTGATGAATATTGATGTAAAAATCCTCATCAAAATACTAGCAAATCAAATTCAAGAATATATTAAAAGATATTCATCACGACCAAATGGGATTCATCCCTAGCATGCAAGGATGGTTCAACATATGCAAGTAAAACAATGTGATACATCATATCAACAGAATGAAGGACAAGAACCATATGATCATTTCAATTGATGCTGAAAAAGCATTTGATAAAATTCAACATCCATTCATGATAAAAACCCTCAAAAAACTAGGCAAGGAAGAAACATACCTAAACATAATTAAAGCCGTATACGGCAGACCCATAGCTAGTATCATACTGAATGGGGAAAAATGGAAAGCCTTTCCTCTATTATCTGGAAAACAGCAAGGATGCCCACTATTATTCAACATAGTATTGAAAGTCCTAGATAAAGCAACCAGACAAGAGAAAGAAATAAAAGGCATCCAAATTAGAAAGAAAGAAGTCAAATTACTCTTGTTTGCAAATGATATGACCTTATATTTGGAAAAACCTAAACACTCCACCAAAAACTATTAGAACTGATATATTCAGTAAAGTTGTAAGATACAAAATCGACATACAAAAATCAGTAGGATTTCTATATGCCAACAGTGAACACTGAAAAATAAATTCAAAAAGGAATTCCATTTATAATAGCACACATAAAATTAAATACTTAGGAATTAACTTACCCAAAGTGAAAGATCTCTGCAATGAAAACTATGGGCCAGGCGTGGTGGCTTATGCCTGTAATCCCATCACTTTGGGAGGCCAAGGGAAGTGGATCACCTGAGGTCAGGAGTTTGAGATCAGCCTGGCCAACATGGTGAAACCCCATCTCTACTAAAAATACAAAAATTAACCAGGCATGGTGGTGTATGCCTACAGTTCCAGCTACTTAAGAGGCTGAGGCAGGAGAATCACTTGAATCCAGGAGGTGGAGGTTGCAGTGAGCCGAGATTGTGACACTGGACTCCAGCCTGGGCGACAGAACAAGACTGTCTCAAAAAAAAAAAAAAAAAAAAAAAAAAAAGAAAGAAAGAAAGAAAAAGGAAAAAAAGAAAAGAAAAAGAAAACTATAAAACATTGAGGCAAGAAATTGAAGAGGACAGAAAAAAAATGGAAAGATATTCCACATTCATGTATTGGAAGACTCAATATCGTTTAAACGTTCATATTACTCAAAGCATTCTACAGAATCAATGCAATCCCTATCAAAATACCAATGTAATTCTTTACAGAGATAGAAAAACAATCCTACAATTTACGTGGATCCACAAAAGACCACAATGGCCAAAGCTATCCAGAGCAAGAAGAACAAAACTGGAAAAATCACATTACCTGACTTCAAATTAAATTACAGAGCTATAGTAACCAAAACATCATGGTACTGGCCCAGAGACACACAGACAATGGAACAGAATAGAGAACCCAGAAATAAACTCATACACAGTGAACTCATTTTCGACAAAGGTGGCAAAAACATATACTGGGGAAAAGACCATCTCTTTAATGAATGGTGTTTGGTAAACTGAATATCCATATGCAGAAGAATGAAACTAGACTCCTGTCTCTTGCCATATACAAAAATCAAATTAAAATAGATTAAAGACTTAAATCTAAGACCTCAAACTATGAAACTACTACACAGAACATTGGGGAACATACCTAGGACATTGGGCAAAAATTTCTTGAGTTAACTCCCATAAGTACAGGCAACCAAAGCCAAAATGGAGAAACAGGAACACATTAAGTTAAAAAAAACTTCTGCACAGAGAAGGAAACAATTAACAAAGTGAAGAGACAACCCACAGAAAGGGAGAAAATATTTGCAAACTACCCTTTTGACAAGGGATTAATAAGCAGAATATATAAGGAGTTCAAACAACTCTATAGGAAAAAATCTAATAATCCAATTAAAAATGGGCAAAAGATTTGAATAGACATTTCTAAAAAGAAGACATGCAAATGGCAATCAGGCATATGATCATCAGAGAAATGCAAATCAAAACTACAATGAGATATCATCTCACCCCAGTTAAATGGCTTATGCTCAAAAGACAGGCAATAATAAATGTTGGCGAGGATGTGGGAAAAAAGGGAACCCTCATATACTGTTGGAAGGGATGTAAATTAATATAGCCACTATGGAAAACACTTTGGAGGTTCTTCAAGAAACTAAAAATAGAGTTACCATATGATCCAGCAATCCCACTGCTGGCTATATACCCAAAAGAGACGAAATCAGTATGTCGAAGAGATATCTGCACTTGCATGTTGGTTTGCAATAGCCAAGATTTGGAAGTAACCTAAGTGTCCATCAACAGATGAATGGATAAAGAAAATGTGGTACATATACACAATGGAGTACTATTCAACCATAAAGGAAGAATGAGATCCTGTCATTTGCAACAACATAGATGGAACTGGGGACCATTATGTTAAGTGAAATAAGCCAGGCACAGAAAGACAAACATCGCATGTTCTCACTTATTTGTAGGATCTAAAAATCAAAGCAATAGAACTCATGGATATAGAGAGGAGGGAAGGTTACCAGAGGCTGGGAAGCACAGTGAGGTGGTGGAGATAGTTAAAGGGTAAGAAAAATAAAAAACAAAAAAAAATAGAAAAAATGAATAAGACCTACCATTTGACGCCATAACATGGTGAGTATAGTCAATAACAACTTATTTGTGCACTTTAAAAGAGTTTGTAACACAAAAGATAAATGCTTATGGGTATGGATACCCCATTCTCCATGATTTAATTATTAAGTTTTGCATGCCTGTATCAAAACATGTACCCCATAAATATTAACACATATTATGTGCCCACAAAAATTAAAAATAAAAATTATATATATATATATATATATATGGACTCACAAGTTTATAAAAGACAGTTGGATCCAAATCATGTTTCTGAAAAAATCAGATAAGGCTAACCTTTAAGACTTTTTAAATAGGTAATAATATGAAGGTGGAGAACCAAATTTTGCGTAGAGCAGTTTAAGTCAATTACCAGATTGGACAAATAAAAATTAGCTGTGAAACTGTGACTGGATTATGTCAGAGGCCCAAAAGATAAGAGTTATTCTAACAAGGTCTGCACAGCATATTATTTGTCCTTGAAGATGAGAATGCTGCCATTCCTCAACCTTTTTGTAGTTCATGATGATTGCGTGCTCACACAGGTGTGTGAGATGTGCCACCCGTTGCCAGTCTGAGGTTTTAAAAAAAAAAATGTTGCCATTCCTTTTAGTATAGGGAAGACTTCCTTTATATGGGAATTCCATCTTTTGTTCTTAAGAAACAGCACAAGGGTCAAAATGATTTTCTTTTGAATCTGTTGGTTTTCTTGTGTTGTTACTTAAATAGTATGTCACAATAGCTGAGGAGTTTTGGAAGAAACAGTTTAGTTTAGAGAAGGATAGAAGCAATTGTAGAAAAAGATCCTGAAAAAAAAAGTCTCTGCCAGTTTTGTGCCAGTGTTTTATAAAAAGGCAATCTTTGAGTCATGAGAATTTTTTGAGCCTCAAGATATCAATTGAGATATAAGTATTATTTGAAGTGTATGATTTTATTGCTGGTGTCTTAGTTTAGTTTGAAGAATAATAGACTGTCTGAATGATCCCATAATGTTTCAACATGTTACCAGCTGGAGTCCCAGATAATATTTTGGCATGCTGTGAAACTCTGACTTCCCATTTCTAACTAAATTGATCTAGATGATTCATTTTATTGCCAAATGCACAAAAACAAATTAAAACACAAGGACTGAATACACCAAAGCCACACAGACAGAAAATAAAATACATACTTACCAAGAAGGACAATAAGCCGCCTTCTCCAAATAAGGGGAAATCCCTACACCTAAACCTCCCAGCTGAGACTGACAGGAAGATGATGACCCCTCCCAGCAGGAGAGCTCCCAAACAGAGGAGGAAAGATGCCTCTCGGAAAAAAAGCGGGGAAGGCTCTCTTCAACCAAATTCCAAATAAAACACCATTTGACCAAAGTCAGAAGTCTGGTCAAAGAGAGACTCACCAAAGGGAAAAGAGGCAGCTTAGGGAAGCAGGAGGCTCCAGGGGTTCGAGTGTAGGCACATCTCATCATAGTCCAGAGGCTGGGATTTTCCCCAAGGCAAGGCAGCTTTGGATCCATGCTTCTGACACCAAGTATGTTTAAGTCAAATATTATAGACAGATGAATCTCTAAGGTTAAAACGTTTTATTAGGGAAGCAATAATCACAATTCGGGGCATACACATAGACCAGGTGGTCTTTGGTATGTGAGATGAACAAAGAGAAGGTTGAAAGTTTTATCAGAAAGAGAAATGTTGACCAGGCATGGTGTCTCATGCATGTAATCCCAGAACTTTGGGAGGCTGAGGCGGGCAGATCACGAGGTCAGGAGATCCAGACCACCCTGGCTAATACGGTGAAACCCCGTCCCTACTAAAAACACAGAAAATGAGCCGGGCTTGGTAGCGGGTCGCCTGTAGTCCCAGCTACTCGGGAGGCTGAGGCAGGAGAATGGCGTGAACCTGGGAGGCAGAGCTTGCAGTGAGCCGAGATTGCGCCACTGCACTCCAGCCTGGGCAACAGAGCAAGACTCCATCTCAAAAAAATAAAAATAAATAAATAATTAAAAAATAAATAAATAAGAAAGAAAGACAAATGTTATGTAGTGTTTTGAAAGAAATCTCAGGCCGGGCGTGGTGGCTCACATCTGTAATCCCAGCACTTTGGGAGCCTGAGGCAGGCGGATCACGAGGTCAGGAGTTCAAGACCAGCCTGGCCAACATGGTAAAACCCCATCTCTACAAAAAACACAAAAATTAGCTGGGCATGGTGACACGCGCCTGTAGTCCCAGCTACTCGGGAGGCTGGGGCAAGAGAATCACTTTAACCCAAGAGGCAGAGGTTGCAGTGAGCCAAGATTGCGCCACTGCACTCCAGCCTGGTGACAGAGTGAGACTCTGTCAAAAAAAGGAAAGGAAGGAAAGAAAGGAGAGAGAAAGGGAGGGAGAGAGGGAGAGAAGGAGGGAGGCAGGAAGGAAGGAAGGAAGGAAGCTCATTGGCACTAAACAAGCTTTTGGGAGCCGGCAAGCTCTGATAGACGAGTGACTGCAGCAGTTAAAACCAGTCGCAGAGCCAGGGCAGGCCGTTTCAGCAGCTACCAGGTAAAACTGATCTTAGAGTTACAGCAGTCCATTTTAGCGGCTGGGCTTCTGGAAAATTTAATTCTTGGAGCAGGTCCTGTGACCACAAGTGCTTTTCCCCCCTGACCCCTTGATTCTCTTTTACTTGAGTATGACAAAAATTACCCAATTTGTATAACTAACTTTCACACAAACGTGAGACAGGGACTAGAAGGAATGAAAGGTTATCGGAATAAGAAAAAGAGGGGAAATGAGAGAGAAAGATGGCAGGGAGAGAAAAACAAGATAACAATCAGTGAGAGAATGCAGAGGCAGGGACCAGAAAATGTGGTAAAATCAGACAGAAGGACACAATGAGAGGAACAGCAAAATCTGAGGCCAAGGTGGGCATGGGAAGCAGCATGGAAGAGCGGGGAGAAAGGGATCTGAAAAAAGGACTGGTCTGAATCAAAGTCAGTAAACCAGGTTCTGTCAAATGCCCCTCAGACAGTACAGGAACCTCAAGTGTTAATGGTAAAATCCAACGTAATCCACTAAGGCCAGGCCCTAAAAAAAAGGTTTCCACCTTTCATTGAGTCTGAAATAAAGGCAGTTTTGTGAATCAGAAAACTACTGTGGTTTTGAGAACAGTAAACCCTGGAGGCTAAGCTATGCCAGTTGTTAACTTTTGCTTGGCACACACAGGATGGCTAAAGAAATGACCAGCCTTAGTCAGATCAGTTGAGGTCAGGAGTTCGAGACTAGCCTGGCCAACATGGTGAAACCCCGTCTCTGCTAAAAATACAAAAATTAGCCCAGCGTGGTGGCGCACGCCTGTGGTCCCAGCTACCTGAAAGGCTGAGACACGAGAGTCCCTTGAACCTGGGAGGCGGAGGTTGCAGTGAGCAGAGATCGTACCACTGCACTCCAGCCTGGCCAATAGAGTGAGACCCTGTCTCAAAAAAATGAAGGGAAGGGGAGGGGAGGGGAGGGAAAAGGCCAGCTGAGGAAAAATACCTCCTCACCCCCATCAACATAGCAGGGCCCCATCTGTATTGTTTTTAATTATTAAATAAATAAATTGAATGAAAAAACATCCCCAAAAGTCCATCTGAGCCGATTTGAGGCCAATGGGACATCAGGGAAATTTGTTTCCAGCAGCTTCCTATCCTCTTCTTTACCAAGAGATTCTCCAAGGGTTTCCAAGAGATTCTCCCACTCCCACTATTCCCACACACCTAAATTCATGAGGGTTGATGAAAAACTCTGGACTAGAAATCAGACCATTTTGGTTGCAGGGCCACACTCTCCTTCTGAGCCTCAATTTCCTTATCTTACATTGTCTTGCATGCCCCCATAGGGTTTCTGTAAAATCAACTGGGAGAACATATGGGGGCAGGGGGAGATCTGCATGGCACTATATAAATGTAAAGAATCATATTTATCTGTGAGTAATAGAAGACCCAACTCAAAATCACTTCAATAATAAAGAAATGTACTATCTCCCAGAATGAGAAGTATGGATAGGTAGCAACACCAGGACTGGTTGATCAAATGTCTCTATCACATCCCCAAGGACCCAGGGGTCTCCTTCTGTCCTCTGCCATCCTCTGGGGGTTGCAGGCAACAACATCTGGAGGCAGAAAGGGGATCTTTGACACTCCCAAGCATCATTTATTAAGAGCAAAGACAACCTTACCCTGAAAGCCACCTCCATCCGACCTCTCCTCATACCTCATTGGCTAAAATTGCACCACAGGTCCATTGCTAAAACAATCAGTGGAAACGAGAACAAAATTACTAATGACTGGCTTAAGACAAGTCAAGACTCACCTCTAGAGAGGCATGAAGAGGCCTCCACTCTCTAACCAGCTTCCTGTATGATTCCTGAACAAAATCAAAGCTGGTAGCAAGGAAGAGAAGGAGAAATGTCAACTCAGTTGCCAAATATTTGCCCCAGAATACCAATTAAGTTTGGTGTCTGACCTTCCTCCCTCAGTCTTTCGTACCTGCAAGCCTAAAGTAAAGCACGTTGCAATTTTCCCTCCGATCCTACTGGTTAGCAACTATTGATGGATAGAAATAATTTTTCTTTTTTTGAGACAGGGGCTCACTCTGTCACTCAGGCTGGAGTGCAGTGACACGATCATGGCTCACTGTAGCCTCCACCTCCTGGGTTCATGCAATCCTCCCACCTAAGCTCCACAAATACCTAGGACAACAGGCACAAGCCACCATGCCTGGCCCTAGAAGTAATTTTAACAGCTGTTTTTAGTGCATGACCAAAGGGATTCTCATGTTTCTACTGCGCTGCAGAAGACCATAGACATGCACGCCTGAGGGTCCACTTCACCATGAGAGTTCCTTGAAGACTTGTATTTTGGGTAGGAAAAAAAGAAAGATTTTGCATTGTACTCTCTAATCTAGCCATGTGATCTTTCCCTTCTCCTACTTTTTTCCTCTCCTCATCTCCCCAGTGGGGAAAGGTCACTGGTAAGATAAGAGCTTGTAAAAATACACCTTAGCAGCAAAACAATGGTGTCAAGATTACACTGTGAAGGGTGATCAATACAAGCAGGAGAAAATCTATTCTTTTTTTAGTTGCTCCATTCTGAAAGGTTTAAAACCTGTCCAGTAGCACAGACTAAGGACCAACTGCAGCTGCCCCACCAGTGGGCCAACACCAAGGCTGCTTGACTGGCCTCAAGAATGAATCTCTGGTGTCTTAGGAGGGGGCAGAAGAATAAAATGAAAAACAGAGGGGTTCATGGACAGGAGGGTACAACAGAAAGAAAGCACAAAGAGAAGTCAGAGAATATCAAATCACAAAATAATTTCATAGTCAGGTGCAGTGATTCCCACCTGTAATCCCAGTGTTTTGGGAGGCTATGGCAGGAGGATTGCTTGAGGCCAGGAGTTCAAGGCCAGCCTAAGCAGCATAGCGAGACCCCGTCTCTACAAAATAAAAAACTTTAAAAAGTTAAAAAGAATTTTGGAAAGAGCAGTATCACATAGAAAATTAATGAGACTGTATCATCGAGGAGAGCCATGTCCTAAAAGAAAAAAAAAAAAGCTATTCATCATGATGCAAGACTTCAAAATATGTTAATCATCATAAAAGTTGGGCAGTTCATGTGGACAATCGCCATGCAATTGCCCATAATCTATCCCTGCAATACACTTTTTCTATGTTGAATTTTCTTTTTAGTTTGCTTTCGTTTTTCTATTTTCTCTTTTAGCTTTTTCATTATTGTAAATTGTCAGCATTATGTTTTACAATTCACTATGCTATGTATTACATCTTAACATCATTTCTAATACTGGAGGCATCAACTATATAAAGACTTTTAGAGAGTTCAAATTTGTTTTATGCATTTTTTGCAAATATGACTCAATCAAAGCTCATTATTACAATGGTGACTGTGTAAGCATTCTACATATATGCAAAAATGTAGAAATTTCCTCGATAAATAAATAAGTGTCTTTTCTGTACATCTGCATTTGTGAAAGATGAAATTTCTCAGGATCTTGGCTCCTCGGGTGACTGGCACAGTGGTGACGTCATGGTGACCCATCCTGTCAAAAGAGTTAGGTTGTCTCTCATGGTATATCAGATGACCGCAGTTATAAAGCTGGGTGCACACTATTACCGAACATAATTATATGTTTATACATTTCACTTTTTGAACACTTTTTTTTTTTTTTTTCTGAGAGACAATCTCGCTTTTTCGCCCAGACTGGAGTGCAGGGGCACCATCTCGGCTCACTGCAACCTCTGCCTCCTGGGTTCAAGCAATTCTCCTGCCTCAGCCACCCAAGTAGCTGGGACTACTGGCGCCCGCCACCACGCCTGGCTAATTTGAACATTTTTTTATGAATACATTTCATCTGCTCATCCCTATGTGACTGTTGCTAGTATACCTGAGGTGGGTGTGGCCGGGCGGGAACCTCCAGGCTCCCAACTAGCGCCTCGCCCCGCTTCGGCTCCAGCTAGGCGGCGCTCCCCACCCACCCGCAGCAGCCCGCCTGGCGGCTGGGCCCGAGACCCGGAGCCCCTGACTTGGGGCCCGACGCGGGGAGGCGGGGATCGGGTGGCCGAGGCTGAGACTTCGGGGCCGCCGGGGTGAGTTGCGGGGCGGCGGCGGGAGGGGGCGCTGCGAAGCCCCGCGACCGCCGCGCGGAGGAAGTGCTCTCTTGGCTGCCGCCGCCGCCGCCGCCGCCGCCGGAGCCGCGCCGCGGGGGTTGCCCGAGCGGCGCTGCGGGGGCTGACATGTCGTCCCGGCCTGGGCGCGAGGACGTGGGGGCTGCGGGCGCGCGGCGGCCGCGTGAGCCGCCGGAGCAGGAGCTGCAGCGACGTCGGGAGCAGAAGCGGCGGCGACACGACGCGCAGCAGCTGCAGCAGCTCAAGCACCTGGAGTCCTTGTGAGTCCCGAGCTGCCGTCCGCGCGCGGCCAGTCTTCTGAAGCCAGGGGCCCGGGGCGCGGGACGCCGCGGTGGGCGCTAGGCCGGGTCCTCCGAGCCCCCGCGAGCAGGCAGGGGGGCTGGGCCCGGCAGGAGCCTGGTGCGGGCGACCGATGTCGGGCGCCGCGGTCAAGGACTTGAAGTCCATCCTCCTGGCGGGGCGTTCAGGGAGCCAACTGCCGCTCGGCACCAAGCAGAATCTGACTTGGGAGGCCCTGCGCTTCCCTAGCTCCAGGGGGTTCCAGGAGAGTCCAAATGACCCGGGAGAGTGTGGTGTAAAGAAGATTCAAATGTAGGGGAAGGAAATATGGTTTCCCTCTACCCTTCTAAGTTCTTAAGCTGGGCCACAAATTAAATTGTCATAAGACAGATTAACAGGAGAAAAACTTTTAATTATGTACCCGTGCACTAGAGGGCCACAAAAGTGGGAGACAAAGAAGGGCCAGGGAATAGGGGCGTGGGCCTTTTGGGGCGTGGTGGAGACCTTTTGGAAGGGTGATGGGGGAAATGTATGGTGAATAAAGGTTGCTTTGTTATCCCGATGAGGCGCTCAGGCGATAAAAGTTGCCCCCAAGCAGCTGTCTTCCTGATACAGATACATTTACTACAGAAAATTTCCTTTATAGGTGTAAATTTCTGTTTACAACAGGCGAGTCGAAAAATAATAAGAACAAAAGGAAAAAAAGCAGTCATACTTTATTTTAGGCAGTTGAGGGGTAGCTGAATAAGTTATCCTGTGTTGTTTGGTTCTGTTACTTATAGCTCAAAGTCATCAATATGCCAGGGTGGCATGTTTGGGGATGGTGCATTCTTGTCTTTTGCAGTCATTTATCAGGGTGGCGTTTCCTAAATTCTAACACAGACCTCGAGTGGAAAGTTCAGGCAGCAACTCTTTCAGTTCTTGTCCGTGATTCTATAATTAGCTGCATAAAACAACCTTTTCTAAGTGTGGCATTCACTCAGTTATTCAAGAATTCGTTTCTGTTTTAGCCACTTCTAGTTACCTGTGCTAAGTAGGTGTTAAGTATAGCCTAACGCTGCCTCCTTGAATATTTTAAGTTTAGCCTAAAAGTTTCTCTGTACTTAGTGAACTGTAACCTAAGTAGATGTGTAAACAGACTGTAACCTACTGTTATAAGTACCTGAGTCTCAGACAATCACAGCAGCTGATTTTCAGGCCGTCACAGGTGGTCAGCCTTTGAAACCCTGTTCAAAGAAGGCAAACGCCAGGCTGTATGGAATCCAGCTATTTCTCTACCTCATTTGCTTTTCTGTACATCACTTTCCTTTTCCTGTCCATAAATGTTATCCCACCAGGTGGCAGCCTGAGAATTGCTCTGGACCTATTCTGGTTATGGGGGTGCCCTCTTTGAAAACAGTTCTTTGCTCAAGTAGAGTTTAATTTGTCTACTTTTAAAAAACATAATTCATATAAGAAAAGTTCCTCAAAGAATTAAAATCCTTTTTATAATTAACCTTCTGGGAGGTTTGATGTGAGATAAATTCCTATGTTGGGACCTGGCCTGCTCTTTTTCCAGTGTGGCCCGCTCTGAACGACTTTTCCCCTTAGCAGGGCAGGGGATGCAGGATAGAGACCCTGCATTGTGGGCATCCATGTTACAGGGCAGTCCTGGCCCTTTCAAGTCACTGTGTGGCGCTCTTGGTCTCCCAGGGAAGTCAGGTGTTCAAAGATCTTCCCCTAGCGTAAGCATCAGAATGCCTGGCCCTGCCCAGCCCTCAATATATTTAGCTATAGAATGCTAGAGGATGGTTAATTCCACTTATTTGTAGCTCAGAGAGCTTTTTCACAGATGAGAGAGATTATAACCTACTTTTACAGATGAAAAAATGGAGGAACAGTGGTTAAGTCATGTGATCAAGCATACATTGACCAGTTAGTTAACCAGCAAATCTAGAGCTGAACCCAGGTGTCTGATTGACTGGTGGGATTTTTCCAGTTTCTGAGATTTAAAACTGAATGAGCCGTTGAGACATTTGCTTTGGCCAGTTCAGAATCTTGTTTGAGCTTTAAATTGTATTTATACCACAGTAATATGTAGTTTTAAAATTCAAATAGTACTAAAAGTGCTACCAAAAAATAGCAATAGGCTGCCCAACTCCTCAGTAACCACTCATATTCCCTGTGTCCCTCTTCCCCCTCCCAAACCAGGCTTCTCTGTGTAAACTTTTAGGTTTTACTTCTGGGATTTAACTGTTTGGTTTTTGTTTTTTTTTTTTGAGATGGAGTCTCGCTCTGTCACCCAGGCTGGAGTGCAGTGGTGCAATCTTGGCTCACTGCAGCCTCCACTTCCTGGGTTCAAGCGATTCTCCTGTCTCTGCCTCCCAAGTACCTGGGACTACAGGTGTGCATCACCATGCCCAGCTAATTTTTATATTTTTAGTAGAGATGGGGCTTCACCATGTTGGCCAGGATGGTCTCGATCTCTTGACATAGTGGTCTGCCCACCTCAGCCTCCCAAAGTGCTGGGATTATAGGCGTGAGCCGCTGCGCCCACCAACTGTATATTCCTAAATTGTATATTTATACTGTTTACATCAATTCAACATCTTAGACATACCTCTTAACTTCTTGTCACAGTAAGGATTTAGTTCTTTACCTACCCTTCTTGTTTCCAATCTTCCAGTATAGTTCCATCATAGCAATTTTTGCTAAACGAATGCTTAGTATTAACATTATTATAACTAGGCTGGGCTCTGTGGCTCACGCCTATAATCCCAGCATTTTGGGAGGTAGAGGTGGGAAGATCGCTTGAGGCCAGAAGTTCTAGACCAGCCTGGGCAGCATTTATAGACCTTATCTCTGCAAGAAAGAAGGAAAAAAGAAATTAACCAGGCATGGTGGTACATGCCTGTGGTTCCAGCTACTTGGGAGGCTGAAGTGGGAAGATCTGCTTGAGCCTGGGAGGTTGAGGCTGCAGTAAGCCATGGCTGCACTCCAGGACTCCAGCCTGGGCAACAGAGTGATATCCTGTCTCAAAAACAAACAAACAAAAAAAAAACAGCAATATAACTATGAATTATTACTCACTTTGAGCCAGGTAGTGTACTCTGATTTATTTTGCTTTCTATACTATTGTTAACTTTTAAGTAGTTAATAAGAGCCTTTGTTTTTCACTTACTTAATTTTCTACTGCTGTTTTTCCCCCAATGTCTCCAAAATCTGAGTACCATAAAGGTGAAAAGGTATCTTTCCTTACCTATCATAGGAGTCACAGCAGATACTCCTATAACAAAAAATAGGTCAACAAGAAAAAAGCATAACAAATGTATTTAATCAAAGTTTTATGTGACATGGGAACGTTGACAAAGGAAGACCCAGAGACCCAGAGGAAACTATTTTTATGCTTAGTTTGGATGAAGAATGTATAGCAGTGTAGAAATATGATTAGACAAAAAAGGGTATAATACAGTGGTCATAGGGAAAATCCAGCAAGCCCTGTCTATTCAGATTTTTCAGGCCTCTCTGTGTACGATTACTTCCTCCCAGATATGGGGCAGGACCCTTTCTGGAATGAGGGGTCCTGATCTATCAAACAAGGTAGGTCAGCTCATGTTTTTATGGCCACCTCTGACACAGAAAGGCAAGGAAATGTTAGGGTAATATTTGTAGGAGTTTATTATTATTATTTTAAATATTTTTTTAAAAGTTCCACTGAGATTTTATCTTCTTTAAAAAAAAAATTAAAGTTATTTGTAGGGCTTCTGGCTTGCTTTGTGGGAGACTTGTTCTAGTTTTTATGGCCCACTTGTGGAAAAGAGGAATTCTGGCCTCTCTGACTGCTTTGGGGAAGAAAGAAGGGCAGGAGACAGGAGGGCAAGAGAAGGTCAGAGAGCAACTGTCTTCTGAGGCCTTCTCTAATCTCATTTAGTTCAAAGTACTCAGCATGCCAAAGCACCATACTTTGGGGTATCATTTTCTGAGCCCCAATAGTACTTTTTCCACACATAACTACATATCAGGTAGTCAGTTCATTTTTTACCTAGACTCTTCAATCTGTTGTCCTTCAGTACACTGGTTACTTTTTAGACCTGGTCCAGCAGTGGTCCTAGGGCATCCTTTCCCACTCTCCTATCTTGCATCTCATTCCTGGATTCCATGTCTTCCTCTTTATAAGTTTACTCTCACATTTTACCAAAGCCAATTCTGCAACTTCCTATGAAAGAGTGCATTGGAGGTAAAGTTTTTGACACCTTGCATATCTGAAGATGTCTTTATTCTATCCTAAAACTTGGTACATAATTTGACTAGGTATAAAATTACAGGTCAAAAATCATTTTGGGGCTGGGCATGCTGGCTCACACCTGTAATCCCAACACTTTGGGAGGCCAAGGCAGGAGAATCATTTGAAGCCAAGAGTTCAAGACCAGCCTGGGCAACAATGTGAGACCCTGTCTCTACAAAAAATTTAAAAATTAGCCAGGCACAATGATATGGACCTGTAGTCCCAGCTACTCCAGAGGCTGAGGCAGGAGGAAAATAGTAACAACAATTTTCACTCAGTTTTGGCGATAGTACATCACTATCTTCTAGCTTCCAAAACTGCTAAGGAGTTTGATGCCATTCTGAGTCCCTTTCTTTTATAAGTTACCTGTTCAAGTTCACCTCACCCTTAAACGTTAAGAAACTATTCTTTATTGCTGCCATCCTGAAGTTTCATGATAATGTTAGTCTTTTCCAATTGACTTTTTTTTTTTTAACTTTTATTTTAGGTTTAGGGGTACCTGTGTAGGTTTGTTATACAGGTAAACTCATGTCATGGGGATTTGTTGTACAGATTATTTCATCACCCAGGTACAAAGCCTAGTACCCAAGAGTTATTTTTTCTGATGCTCACCCTCCGCCTGCCCTCCACCCTCAAGTGGGCCCCAGTGTGTGTTGTTCCCCAGTTTGTGCAGTTGACTCTTTTTTTCTTGACATGTCATGAATGCATTAACTACATATATAAATTTATGTCTTATTTCCTCTCCCCAATTTTGTTTTTTCCTTCTGTTGATTTTCTGTTGCTCTATCTCTTCTGTCTTTGTATTTTCATTGTACTTTGTAGATGTATCTTTTTCTCTACTAAACATATTTGTTATATTTCTAAATCAAAAAGCTTTTTCTCATTCTGCAAGTTGTTTTTTATATTATCCTGTTCTTGTTTCATAAGTGAAATATCTTCACTCATCTATGAGGATACTCACTCGTTTTTCTTTTTTGTTGTCTTTTGTTCCCTACATTGCCTCTATTTCTTGTTTGCTTTTTATTTTGATTGCTGTCTTACATTTAGTAATTTTTTTTTCTCTAATATCTGGGTATTCTTGAATCTCAACCATATTTTGTTTTGTTTTGTGTTTTTTAGAGACAAGCTCTCGTTCTGTCACCCAGGCTGGAGCACAGTGGCACGATTATAACTCACTACAGCCTCGACTTCCTGGGCTCAAGTGATCCCCCCTGAATCAGCCTACAGAGTAGCTGGGACTGCAGGTGCACACCATGACACCTAGCTAGTTTTTTTACACTTTTTTTTTTAGAGATGGAATCTTACTATGTTGCCCAGGCTGGTCGCGAACTCCTGGCTTCAAGGAATCCTCTCACTTAAGCCTCCCAAAGTGCTGGGATTACAGGCATGAGCCGCTGCTCTGGCCTCAACTCATTTAAGAGTAGGCGCTATACAGCTCTTGTCAAGGGCAGCTGTGTGTGGGAGAGAAAAAAGAGAGAAGGTGTTGTTTGTTGATCAGATAGCTTCATGATAGGGCGCTCATGCTGCAGGGTACCCTTTTTATCAAGAGACTTCCAAATGTCAGTAGTTGGAGATTTTTTTCTGGGGCTCCTAAGTTCCTCTAGAGAAGGGTCTTGAGTCCTCTGCCTGGGGGCCAGGGATCTCTGCCTGGCTGCCAGTGTTGCTGAATTGGAGAGGCTAACCCTGCAGCCTCCTTCAAGTGTTGGGCAGGCAGCCTCCTGGCTATAGGAAGGAAGCCTCATCTTCTGAAAAGTGTTACTTCTTCCACCCCAGGAAATCCATTGCTATTTCCACTTTCCCAAATTTGTTGAAAACTTCCTCTGATGTTGCCTCCTTTTGGGATATCTTTATGGCCTTTTTATTTTTTCACTGTCATTTTTAAAGCATCTGGGGAAGGAGATAGATAAGCATGTTGGTCAGTTGGCCATGTTAAATGGGAAGCCCCACAGTGCTCTTTTATAAATTGAATTCAAATCTTTTCATCCCTGATGTGATGGAGTCTCCTGAGTCTCCACCACAGTTTTCCCTCGGTGACCCTGCCTGCCAGGCCCCTGAGGGCATCCGAGGCTTCCACCTGCTCCAACACTCTCTGTCACTTAATAGCTCCTGGGCTGCCAGGCATAACAGAGTGGACCTTCTGGGTGTATGTGGCAGTTTCACCTCTGCCACGCAGCCCCTTGGATGCAGCTGCAGGAACAATTGTGTGGAATGGAGTACACTTGCATTAGGGACTCTTCTCAAAGAAAACCCATCTCAACAGTCAACAGAAAGAGTAATTTGAAACACTTAACAAAAGATTTCTTACTCTGTACACACTTGAGAAGACAGCGTGTCTCAGACATAACTGGTCTTCTTCCTACTCAGAGAAAGTTAGTACAGTCTGAATGACTAAGTAAGGCTTTTCAGATGGCACAAAATAATGCATCTCAATCAACTTTTTTTTATCTTGAGAATTAACTGCAGCTGGACACGGTGGATCATGTATACAATCCCAGTACTTTGGGAGGCCAAGACAGGAGGATTGCTTGAACCCAGGAGTTCAAGGCTGCAGTGAGCTGTGATCACGCCACTGCACTCCAGCTTGGGTGACAGTGACTGCAAAGATAAATGCATACCTCTTAACTGTCACACTGTAGAACCTAAACTGTGCGTGAACATACTTCAGTTTTCTAATCTGTATTTAGTAGTTAAATACTACTTTCAGAAATATATTTTTGAGTATACTACATTAATGAATTGTTCAGCCCCGGGAAACAACATGAACCACCCTTCTTTAAACTTGTGAAACCACTTGTAAAATGGACTTTGGGAATGCCATTGCTGATAATATTATATTTCCAAATGTGCAATTGCATCACACTCATTTTCATCTTGGCAAGAACAGTTACTTTTTTTTGAGAATTTGGATCTCAATTCGATTGGCCATATATTTTTTGTATAATGCTTGTGGCTCAAAAGGATTCATTTATTGGATTTTTGGATTTATAGACTTTACTGTCAAGCTCCTTCTAGTCTCTATGCATAAGGTATAGCATTAATGTTTCTAATGAATGGCTACAGATAAACTATCATCTTCACAAGTTGTGCAGATTTCCATTGTTTTTGCTCCATTAGGCCTATGTCATGCCACAGCTTTTTGTTAGAAATATTTTAAGCACCTACTTTGGGAAAACACTGTACCACACTTACAAAGCTAATCCTGTTAATACACAGTTGTTTACTATTTAATCTTGAGGGAACAGATCTGGGATTAGTAGTATTTCTCATCCATTGTCCATCAAGTTGCTTTCTCCCACATCTTATAGAAGGGGAGAATGAATTTTTTTTTTTTTTTTTAAGACAGAGTCTCACTCTGTCTCCCAGGCTGGAGTGCAATGGTGCGATCTCAGCTCACTGCAACTTCTGCCTCCCAGGTTCAAGCAATTCTTCTGCCTCAGCCTCCTGAGTAGCTGGGATTACAGGCACCCGCCACCACGCCCAGCTAATTTTTGTATTTTTAGTAGAGACGGGGTTTCACCATGTTGGCCAAGCTAGTCTCGAATTCCTGACCTCAAGTGATCTGCCCGCCTCAGCCTCCCAAAGTGCTGGGATTACAGGCGCGAGCCACCACGCCTGGCCAAATGAAAATTTTTTCACTTTTCCCTTTGTCTATTCTTGACTCCCTTTTCCAATATTCATTGTCTTCTAAAGGGTCCCTTAAACTATGCATAAGACGAGAGTCCGAATGAAGAAAACATTAAATCATTAAGTGTTTCTCTATGTTGCAGCCATTCTGAAGTATTAAAATAAGAGAGCCAGGTGTCATGGTGCCATGGTACACAACTGTAGTCCCAGCTACTCAGGAGGCTGAGGTGGGAGGATTGCTTGAGGCCAGGGGTTTGAGACCAGCCTAGGCAACACGACAAGACCCTGTCTCAAAAAAAAAAAAAATACTTCCCTAAAGGTTTAAAGGGTCAAGGGACAGACCTGAGCTAAAAATATTTGCATATTACTCTTTTGGGAGGAGGTACAAATTGCTTTAGGAGCCTGAGAGTTGCTCTTTGAGTGCACAAACACCTCGCCTTCAGAATTTCCTTCCCATCTTGCTGCCTGTCCCATCTGGAGACTTGCGTGCTCAGCATTCTGGGTCTCCTCTGGGTTCAGTCCCTGGATGGAAATAAGGAAGGCCTGGCCAGTCTTAGATGGCAGGTGCCGCTCAGCACAGGGAGGAGAAGCATTCTGCTCTTCTCAGGTGATTGCTTGTCTGCAAACCAGTGATAAAAGCTTATTGTTGCTAAAATCTCTGATTAAAAATCCTATAGCCCCTTTTTTGCAGTAACTTGATGTGTTATGTTTACATTAACATGGTTGATAAGGTTTTGTTTTTTGTTTTCCAGTTACGAAAAACCTCCTCCTGGGCTTATCAAGGTTAGTGTGAAGTTTGTACTCTTGGTTATTCCACAAGACATACTTGTAGACTCAGTAACTTGTTATGAAAAATAATTGCATGATGTTAAATCTCCTTTTACCAAAAGCCTGTTTCTTTTCCTGCAGATGAATGAGGGGTCATAATTTTTAGTTTTGTCACAAGCCTCTGCCTTTGCAGAAATTTCATCAGCCATGTTTCCCTTCCCTGAAGAACCAGTGCAGGCCCACGTGGATTCCTTGGCCATGCCCCTCTTCTCTCTTGCTGGGGATGGCATCTCTAAGCTCCTTTTCCTTGTCGGCCTCACCCGGCTCAGCCCCTCGGTCCATCCTCTGCTGGTTTCTTGAGCTCAGCAGCTCAGAGAGCAGTAAACTCTGAGGAGATCTGACAGCTATCCAGTCCCGCTCCCTGGTACAGGCATCCCTCCTGCAGCTCCCTGGCCAAGGTGCCAGGGTGTGTGTGCACGAGGGAGACTTAGAGTGGCAGGCCACGGCCAAGAAAACTTGCTGTTTCATAACTCTCAGCGAAGAAATATTCTTTAAAAACATGAGTCTATTGTAAATTTAATATTCATAGAAACTTGAAAAAAATCCAAAAGTTTGAAAACACATTAATTGTAAATGCAGTTATTGAGTGGTAAAAATGTACATCAGAGATATAGCATGTGTGTGACTGTAAAACATGACAGGGCCTTCAGGGTATAATAAACTATTCTAGCATAACAGGCCATTTCTATTATTCCAGGAAGCCTGGTTTACTTTAATTCTATATTTTGAGGTAGTGAAACTTTTTTTTTTTAATCTCAGAATCTTATTTGGAGCTCCCCAGTCATTGCTATATAAGGACAGATTTTTCTGCTTCACCAGTAACTTTTCTCTAAGAACAGCTACATTGTTTTTGGTATAGTTCTTCTGGTACATTTGTTTCCTGTTTTTTCAATCAGGTGTAACTTGTCTTTTTTTCTAGTTTTGAGGGGTAACTAAGATGATGTTGGCACCGGAAGCCCAGGAAAAAGCCAGGCAAGGGTGGCTCCAAGGGGAGCAGGAGAGAATCCCAGCGCTCTTGCCATGCTGTTTATACCTGTTCCCTTTTTTAGGAAGATGAGACTAAGCCAGAAGATTGCATACCAGATGTACCAGGCAATGAACACGCCAGGGAATTTCTGGCTCATGCACCAACTAAAGGACTTTGGATGCCACTGGGGAAAGAAGTCAAAGTTATGCAGTGTGAGTGTGGGAGAGTTTCCCTAATCCATGCAACTTACATGCCTCAATTTACAAAGAGTGTTTACTTCTTTTATTTAACTTGTTCTCATCACAGCCCTCTTACAGCCAAGGCACGTTCTCCATCTTCTAGATAAGGAAGCATCCACCCCACCCCCCACCACCGTGCCATGTGAAGAAGAAAGAGGGCTGTCATCTTAAGCCAGGAAGAAAGCTCTCACCACAAACCCACCTTGCTGGGACCCTGATCTCAGATTTCCAACCTACAGAATGAATGAGAAAACCAGTTTCTGTTGTTTAGGCCACCCAGAATACGGCATTTTGTTATGTCAGCCCGAGCTGACTAAGACACCATCTTTCTGCAGGTCCCCTTAGCCTCTCTCCCGTGTTGGATCACCCATTTTCCTGTGTCTTGAGTCTTCTTTATTATCATATTCTCTCCTTATGGTGTAACAAATCCTATGGCTGTTACCTTCAAAATGGGTTTATAGAAGATAAAAATGTTAAGACCTTTACTTTTCTGGAATCGTCTTTAACAGATTTTTAACTACCAGGATATTGAATTCTAATTTAAAAATCAGTTTCCTTGAGAATTTTGATGGGAATGCTTCATTGCCTTGATTATTTGTTAAAAGCAAAGACAACGTGCCTCAGAGTTCAGTATCTATCGGTTTTTCTTCTTTGGGTGGGTTATATTTTCCCAGAGAAGGCTCCCACGTGGAGGGAAAGCCATACTATGAGTGTTCTGGGAGCCGAGTGGAGGGAGTCTGGAAATGTGTCCATCTGCTTTTCATTCATTCGTGTGACCCTTTGTGGCTATTGCAGCAGCTTCCTTCAGACCTACCTGATGTCTCCCTGGTCTCCCTGGCCAGAGACCCTCTGTTTTACCTTTTCCACACATTAAACAACCTTCTACCAGGGTCAGGAAAACAGGGTCTCACTCTGTCACCCGGGCTGGAGTGCAGTGGTGTGATCACAACTTACTGCAGCCTCAACCTCCCAGAATCAGGTGATCTCACATCAGCCTCTGAGATAGCTGGGACTACAGGCATGCGCCACCAGGCTTAGCTAATTTTTTTGTACTTTTGTAGAGATAGGGTTTCACCATGTTGCCTAAGCTAGTCTCGAACTCCTGGCCTCAAGCGATCTACCCGCCTCTGCCTCCCAAAGTGCTAGGATTACAGGTAGGAGCCACTGTGCCCAGCCACCATTAATATTCTAAGAGAACTTGTGATTTTATTTACTTAAAAGTGAGAGTTTTGAACAGACTCAACCTGAGAAAGAAGCTTTTATAGTGTCTAAAATAGTAAATGAGAAGCAGAGATACTTTATGAAAACATTTACTCTGAAAAATATACTGAAACACACTTTAAAAAAAATGTACCTTTTGGGCCGGGCGTGGTGGCTCACGCCTGTAATCCCAGCACTTTGGGAGGCTGAGGCGGGCGGATCACCTGAGGTCAGGAGTTGAAGACCAGCCTGGGCAACATGGCAAAACCCCATCTCTGCTAAAAATACAAAAATTAGCTGGGTGTGGTGGTACGCACCTGTAATCCCAGCTACCCAGGAGGCTGAAATAGAAGAATATCTTGAACCCAGGAGGCAGAGGTTGCAGTGAGCTGAGATCACGCCACTGCACTCCAGCCTGAGCGACAGAGCAGGACTCCATCTCAAAAAAAAAAATTCACCTTTTGAAGTAATTCTCCATTGGATTGCTTCATAAATACTTGGTGATAGAATATTATTCCTAAAGGTATAAGACTAAAGGATGCTTGGGGAAGCAATTAGTTTACCTCTGTTTCTGGGATCTTACATGGCTTGTCCATAATTATATTTTGTTTTAGAATTAGAGTTTAATGAAGAAAAACTTGAATATATTCTGCTGATTCTTTATCTTGAGTAGGTGAAACTGTTATCTTACAGAAATATTTCTCTTTTCGTTTTTAGGTTGGCGTTGCAAACGCTATGGTCACCGAACGGGTGACAAAGAATGCCCTTTCTTTATCAAAGGCAACCAAAAGTTAGAGCAGTTCAGAGTGGTAAGTAAAGTCCAAGAGTGTCAATTTACATTTATCAGAGATAGTGAAAATCAGTGAAGCAGAAAGTCACCAGTGAACTTGAATGGTCACATAAAATACATTCCCAGAAGCCCTTTGACCAAAGTGTGTGCTGTTAACTACATGCTTATTAAATTACATTTGTATGACAAATTAGCTCTTTTACAAAAAAAAGGAATTCTTATTAAAGTGATCTTTGTTTGTAACTTGGAACAGTGATTTTTTTTCTGAAACAGACATTGTTATCTATTCAACCGCACTTTTTAAAATTTACTGTGTAAAAAAGTCATGTTTCATGACTGAAATCAGGGATTTAATTTCCCGGTCTTTAAAGAGTACATGTCTTTAAACTGTAAGATTAAAGTGTCCGTATATTTTTTCTTTAGATGACAGTTATTCCCTGTATTTTTCTTTGTTTTTGAGGTGGCAGTGTTATAGCTCTGTGATTGCTCCTGCAGAGCAGGGCTACCCCAAAGACAGTGTGCTGAGAGTAGCCATTTCCTGTATTTTTCTAATTGGAAAATCCATTTTTTAGCCTTAATGAGTTTTCAGTGATGTGACCTAGAACATGTTGAACATGCAGCTACATCAAACAGTAAAAAAAAAAATAAACTGGTTTTCATAACATAGGCATTTCATTGTATTTAACTTGTGATCCATGAAGCCTAACCAAACCTTAACCTTCTCTGACCCTTAAGGCACATGAAGATCCCATGTATGACATCATACGAGACAATAAACGACATGAAAAGGACGTAAGGTGAGGTCGTCCTGATGATAACAATATCCCCTTAAAGTTTTAAAATTATATAAAGTTGGAGAAAACCACTCTAGTGTTAGAGGAATGGTGCAGTAAACATGGTACTTCAATTGTGAAAATATGTGGAGTGCAGGAGTCATGGCTGAAAAGGCCAGTGTTGGGGAATGAGCAGGCCAGCCTCCTCCTCCTTGGGTTAACTTAAAGCCATGGGCTTGGTCCAGCTCTCTGGCCACTGCAGTTGATGTTGGCAACCCATGTTGTGCTGTCTACTTGTACAGTATAATTGATATTTTCATGTGATTCAGTTTATCTTCTCCAGAGTCTTTAGGGATGTGAGCTTTTGTTAAAAATTATACTTAGGCCAGGCTCAGTGGCTCACACCTGTAATCCTAACACTTTGGGAGGCCGAGGCCAGCGGATCGCTGAAGTCCAGGCGTTTGAGACCAGCCTGGGCCATACAGCAAAACCCCATCTTTACAAAAAAATATAAAAAGTAGCCAAGTATGGCAGCACGCACCTGTAGTTCCAGCCACTCGGGAGGATGAGGTGGGAGGATCTACTTGACCCCAGTAGGTTGAGGCTGCAGTAAGCCATGATTGCACCACTGCACTCCAGCCTAGGTGACAGAGGAAGACCCTGTCTCTAAAAAAAAAAGAAAAAAATTAGACATGATTAGAGAGAGGTGGAAAAAATTGGAGGGTTTGTTTTTTCAAATTGGTGGCATTATAACTGTTAAAGATGTAGATTAAGAAATTGAGCAGTAGGGGAATGGTTTAGTAAAGTATGCGTCTGTTAGAAATTACAATTGTAAGGACTGTGGAAACATGCAGAAATGTCTAGGACAATAAAAAGAATACAAAGTGGCTTGTACACTGGTTTCAGTCACGTAAAGTAGGCATTCAGGTGGAGAAGAATGAGAAAACAGGTAAAAATAAAAATACTGTCTTTGTGACATGGTTATTCATCATCCTATACTGCTTTTGAATGACATATTTATCTAAGCAACTGTTGTAAGTTAAAGCTAAAACTCACTGTTCTTTGATCAATTTTGAATGTTTAGGATACAGCAGTTAAAACAGTTACTGGAGGATTCTACCTCAGATGAAGATAGGAGCAGCTCCAGTTCCTCTGAAGGTAAAGAGAAACACAAGAAAAAGAAGAAGAAAGAAAAGCATAAGAAAAGGAAGAAAGAAAAGAAAAAGAAGAAAAAACGGAAGCACAAATCTTCCAAGTCAAATGAGGGTTCTGACTCAGAGTGACAAGGATGTGACTTGTTCAACATTCTCTTCTCAAACACTGACCAAGGAACAGAGGAAGATGCAGTCAGAGAAAGCAGCAGGATAGAGACGCCGAGAGAGGAGTATATGTGGGTCACAGCAGTGAGCTCCCACCCGCCTTGCAGTGAAGATGTGACCCCAGGAGAGGGAGTGTCTCCTTCCAGGTGCTAGCTCTGGACAGCAGCTGATTTTAGGCAGGAAAGTTTCTTCATCGTTGTCCTCCCTGCTGGTCACATGAGTTTACGATTCCTTTGAAGTGTCTCCCACAGGGTGGCAGGACTGGGAGAATCTCTGAGGCGTGTCTTCCAGGCCCTCCCACAGCTTGTGCCCTCCACAGTGTGGACTCAGGTCCCATAGACATCAGGCTGGAGTCTTCTCTGTTGTTGAGAATAATAAAAGCTCATTATTTATTTTTTAAATGGAATGTATTTATTTATGAATAATACATAAGTACAAATAATACCTAATACAAATTTAAAAGGTACATAATATTTAATCATGAAAACTCTACTTTCTTCCTTTCCACTCCAGTTACCTTCCCCAATGTCTACCAGTGGTACTAGTTTCTTGTGAATATTTTATATATCACAAGTAAGTACAGGGCTTTTCTTAGCAAATGCTATCCACATTCACTCACACATAGTTACATTTTAAACTTAGAAGTATGAACCTTACAGTGGTCAGTATCTGAGGGGGTTGGATCCAGGACCAACTCCCTCAATCCCTCACAGATACCAAAATCCGTGGATGCCCAAGTCCCTTATATTAAATGGCGTGCTATTTGCCTGTTCCCTACACACATCTTCCCATATACTTTAATTCATCTGTAGATCACTTCTAACACCTAATACAATGTAAATAGTTGTTATAATGTATTGTTTAGGGAATAAGGGCAAGAAAGAGAGTCTGCACATGTTCCATAGAGACAGAACCATCCATTTATTTTTTTGAATATTTTCTATCTGTAGTTTGATGAATTCACGAATGTAGAACCTGCTGATAGGGTGGGCCCACTGTTTTTATATATCAAGTACATTTGGCTTTACTGCCATATCAGCAGTGTGCATTTATATTTACCCGACATGGTTTGTTGATTTGGGGGCTAGGGAGTTCTTAAAACAATGAAAAACCTTGTATGGCTGCATTCTAATTCTCTTGCTTTCTACTGCCAAAGTCCCACAATTTTCACAGAGTGACTCAGAAAAAGTTTAAGAATATACAGGGATTTCCATACTGGGTCAGGTACCCACATCCCAAAATCTCTCTCCCTTTCTTCCTCTTCCTGTTGCCTGACCACAGCCCACACATGCTCCTGTAGCTGAGACTAGGCCACAGTAGAGGCATCTCAGGAGGCCAAGGTGTTCCTGCAGCTAGAGGAGAGGAAGTCCATCGTTTGCTGAGCCAAAGTGAAGCTGGATCTTGCTCATAGGCAAGCGTGTCCCTCTGTGGCCAACACTGGTCTCTTGCTGCTTTAGGCACTCAGTCAGGGTCCCAGAAACTCACTCCCATTTTCTGCCACTTTTCCTGGGGTTTGGATTCCCTCCTTTTTAAGGAACAGCCAAGCCAGGCCCAGACTGACCCTTCTCCAACTCTCATCAGTCAATGCTACTATTCTTGGCCTTGGAATACAACCTCACGAACACAATCAAGAATGGGATGGCCAGGACTTACTATTTCTGAAAACTGTAAGTCCAGTGATTCAGCCTTGCCTTACACTTACCCTTGTCATGCAGAACACAGGCCATCTGTCCTCTGCCATATGCTCAGCATTTCCCACCCAGGTAGAGCTGGTCCTCTTCTTCCAGGAATTGGCTACTGTCCCTCCGCAATCCCATTCATGATAAAAAGCATTCTTACACAACACGAGAAATGCTGCATCAATAATTCTCAAGCCTTCGAGGCATCCAAATCAACTAAAGATGCAGATTCCTGTGCTCCATTCAAAAACTACCAGAATTTTCCATTTCCTAGGTCTGGGGTGAACCTGGGAATCTGCCTTGCTAACAAGTGATGTGGACACTGTTGGTTCAGGAACCCCACTTGGAGAACCTGTGCTCTAGATCTCTACCCTCTTACTGAAGCGTTCTTCCACTTCCTGCTTTAACTGGAATCCAGCCGTCCACCCCTGCAGCCCTTGCAAGTAAATTGCTATCCCTTCTCTCTCACTGGTTTTCTCTGTCTTGTCTGTTTCTGGCCTAGATTCTGGGGAACATCACTTCAGCCTGTCATCTCCTCTGACCTGTCATCCTTTTGTCCAGCTTTCCCAAAAGAAACTTCAATTAAAATCTTTCACTTCTGCTTGTATATACAGACTACACGGGGAAAACACATGCCCATGTGGATTGATGTCCCCACAAATTCATTATCTCCAAACTCAAATTTAAGAACTGACCCCAGCATGCTGACTAGCAAACCAAAAGCTTGTTAGTCATCTATTTAAACCTTCATTCTCAGGCATTTCCTTCAGGTTCTGCATTTTCTACTCCTATCCAGGAAGACAATATCAGCCCTCAGACCTCCCCTTACTAATGCATCCTACCATCTCACCATCATGGTGTGCAAGTTAGGCAAAATTCTAAAATGACCCATGATCTCTCCCCCTAATCTTCAGTACTGTTAATAGGATGCATTTTACTCCTGTGACTGGATTATGTTACAAGCACAAGGAGAGGGAGACCATCTGGGTGTTCCTAACCAAATCATGAGAGCCGTATGGAACTCCAGAGTGGTCTATGGCTAATAATCAAAGAGAAAGTAAGAGAGTCCAAGCCTGTGAAAGATTCCACACATCATCACTGGCCTTAAAGTTGAATGGGCCCACATGGTGAGGGATGCAGCAGACTCTCATCAAAGGTTCCTGACTAACAGCCAGCAAGGAAATGGAGCTCTCAGTCCTACAGCCGAAAGTAAATGAATTCTGCCACCCTCAATGATTCTGGATGCATATTCTTCCCCAGAGCCTCCAGATGGAAGCCCACCTCTATTGACACCTTGGGTTGGGGCTTCTGAGATGCAAAGTCGAGAGCCCAGTTGAGCCTGCTCAGGCTTCTGACCTACACCACCGTGAGGTAATCAATGATGGTGGTTTTGAGCTTTTACGTTTGTGGGAAAGTGTTAATACAGCAACAAACTGATTCAGAGGTTTAATGAGCTTTCCCTCCTCCTCTCAGGCCAGTCCATCACCTGTGCTCTGGATCCCACCATCAGCCAGCAGTAGGGGGCAGTGGCTGGAGCACTGGCCCTGCATCCAGACTGCCTGGCTTTGAGTCCCAGCTTTGCTAGCTGTGGAGTTGCTCCATCTCTCTGTGCCTCCATGTCCTTGACTGATCATATCCACCTCCTAGACTCCTCGTGAGAATGAGGGTACTTGATATGCGTAAAGCATTTAGAGCAGGGTGTAGCATATCTCAACTCTGAATGTTACCTGCTCCTGCTGCTACTGGTACTGCTGTCACCATCATCTGTTCCTTGGGGAGCTTCCTCCTTTATCCCATGTCACTCACGTCTTGAAACTCTTCCTTTCTGTTGTGATCTTGCCACTAGTATTTAAAAACTTTTAAAATTGTAAAATACATGCTCATAAAGAATTCACAATTCTGAGCCATTCAAGAATAAAAAGTGAAAGAGGAGTCTACTTATGATGCTTTGATACAGCACTCCAGATCCTGATCAAAATGCATCAGCAAACAGACGTACAGGAAAGGTTTTGAATTGTTAGTTTCACATAACTGATAAACACCAGGAATGCTGTTCTGTGACTCCATTTCACTCTATGTTGGTAATCTTACTGCTCACTACAAGCTTCAGGTGGCTACAAAATTCCTCAGTTTGAATGTGCCATGATTCATTTAACCGTTAATCTACTTATCACAATTCATTTGTCTCCTATTTCTCATTCCTACAAATAAGACTGAAAAGAAAATCTTGGGTAAATATCTCAGTGTACATGTGCAAGTATTTCAATAGAATAGTTTCATAATGAGGCAACTGCGTATTTTAATTGTTACAGATACTACTAAATGAGTCAATGCTGTGGTTTGATTATGTCTCCCAGAATTCCTGCGTTGGAAACTTAACTCCCAATGCAAAAATATTAAGAGGTGGGGCCTTAAAGAAATGATTATGGCATGAGAGCTCTGTCCTAACAAATGGCTTAGTGCTATTATCTCGTGAGTGGGTTACTTATCTCTAGTGGGCTTGTTATAAAGTGGCCCTGTGTTCCACATGCTCACAATTCCATGTTTTCTCTATTTTTTTTTTTTGATACGGAGTCTCCCTCTGTCAACCAGGCTGGAATGCAGTGGCGCGATCTCGGCTCACTGCAACCTCCACCTCCCGGGTTCAAGCAATTCTCCTGCCTCAGCCCCCTGAGTAGCCGGGATTACAGGCGTGCACCACCACGCCTGGCTAATTTTTGTATTTGTAGTAGAGACAGGGTTTCACCATGGTCAGGCTGGTCTCGAACTCCTGACCTCGTGATCCGCCCACCTCAGCCTCCCAAAGTGCTGGGATTACAGGCGTGAGCCACTGCACCTGGCCTCTCCCTTTAAAAGCAGTCCTGTCTTGGCCAGGTTCAGTGGCTCACGCCTGTAATCCCAGCACTTTGGGAAGCCAAGGGGGGTGGATCACTTGAGGTCGGGAGATCAAGACCAGCCTGACCAATGTGGTGAAACCCTGTCTCTACTACAAATACAAAAAATTAGCCAGGTGTGGTGGTGGGCACCTGTAATCTCAGCTAGTCGGGAGGCTGAGGCAGGAGAATTGCTTGAACCTGGGAGTTGGAGGTTGCAGTGAGCCAAGATTGTTCCATTGCACTCCAGCCTGGGTGACAAAGCAAGACTCTGTCTAAAAACAACAACAACAAAAAAAAAAAAACAAAAAAAAAGAACACCATTTCTATTAATTAGGGCTGCACTCTCATCACCTCATTTAACCTTAATTACCTCTTTAAAGGCCTTAGCTCCAAATACACATTGGGGGTTGGGACTTCAACAAATGAATTTGGGAGAAATACAATTCAGTCCATAACACACCCAGCACCACCAAAAGAGCTCTTGTGAGCTCATTACCTCATTGTTATCAAATCTACCAGATCCTCTCCAGTCCTTTCTTTGACTTGTTTGGCCTTTGACTTTTTGGGACACTTTTTCTTGAAAGATCCTCAACATTGGATTTCATGGTTCCTCTCTTCCATGTTCTCCACCTAACTACTTCAGTGGCTGCTCCTTCGTAGTCTCCCTTATAAGTCTTGGCCTCCATCCTTTAAATATCAATGTTTCTCACAGTTCTGGCCTAGGCCTTCTATGCACTCTTCTGTGATCTCATCCATTTTCATGGCTTCAAATATCATCAATATTCTGATGACACCATCCCAGAACTCCCTCGAGCCTTGGGTGTATCCACTTAGATGTCCCATGGGGACCACACCATCTATCCCCCTCACAAACATATTACCCTCAGCATCTTTTCATCTAACAGCCACCTCAGTGCCTGAGTCAGAAACCTACCCTGGGCTCCCAGAGGTGGTCAGGTGCCCCTCGCCTGTGCTTCAATATCCAGAATAGCCAGCACACTAGTGCAAACATTTCCTTGCCTCACTGCCCACAAGTCTGGAAGCTTCTTGAGGATACAGATTATTCTGTGTTGTATGCTAAGCTTCTAACACAATGCATAGCACATAGTGGTTTTCAATACAAAGTTATTGCATGTATACAGAAATGGTCCAGTTGGAACACAACTTTGAAGCAGTAGTAGATGCTATGTCGCCCCACCCTTATCTAACCCTACCCCACTCCCACTTTAGTATGCAAATGCTTACTCTCCCAACAGCCAACAGTTTGCACTCACTTCCCATTTCTAGATATCACCCGCCCATGCCTGAAGAGGAAGAGGGATGCCTCCCCACCAAGGTCACACTCCCCTTTCAAGGGCATCATACATCTCAATGACAAGGCAACACAGAGGTATAAAATGTGGCTTGTGGCCGGGCACGGTGGCTCACGCCTGTAATCTCAGCACTTTGGGAGGCCGAGGTGGGCAGATCATGAGGTCAGGAGTTCGAGACCAGCCTGGCCAACATGGTGAAACCCCGTCTCTACTAAAAATACAAAAATTAGCCAGGCATGGTGGCACACCAGTGACCAGCCTGGCCAACATGGTGAAACCCCGTCTCTACTAAAAATACAAAAATTAGCTGGGCATGGTGGTGCACACCTGTAGTCCCAGCTACTCCAGAGGCTAAGGCAGGAGAATCACTTAAACCCGGGAGGTGGAGGTTGCAGTGAGCTGAGATGGTGCCACTGCACTCCACTCCAGCCTGGGCAACAGAGCAAGACTCCATCTCAAAAAAAAAAAAAATCACCATTCCTCATGGTGATTCCTCAAAGACCTAAAGACAGAACAACGATTCAACCCAGCATTCCCATTACTGGGTATATACCCAAAGGAATAGAAATCATTCTATTATAAAGACACATGCACATGTATGTTCATTGCAGCACTATTCACAATAGCAAAGACATGAAATCAACCTAAAGGCCCATCAATGGTAGACTGGATAAGGAAAATGTGGCACATATCTACCATGAAACACTATGCATCCATAAAAAAGAGTAAGACCATGTCCTTTGCAGGGATATGGATGCAGCTGGAGGCCATTATCCTTAGCAAACTAACGCAGGAACAGAATACCAAATATTGCATGTTCTCACTTATAAGTGGGAGCTAAATGATGAGAACACATGGACACACAGAAGGGAACAACACACACTGGGGCCTATTGGAGAGAGGAGGGTGGGAGGAGGGAGAGGATCAGGAAAAATAACAAATGGGTACTAGGCTTAGTACCTGGGTGATAAAATAAATAATCTGTACAACAAATTCCCATGACACAAGTTTACCTATGTAATAAGCCTGCATATGTACCCCTGAACTTAAAAGTTAAAAAAAAAAGAAAGAAAGAAACTCCATGACTCTCATTTGGATGCAGCTAGACAAAATTTGAGGCTGTAAATGCACTTTCCCAATGGTCCCACAGCAACCCTGCCCAGTTTAACTTCCAATTCAGGGATTTAGGCCCATGTAACCTCCTGACTAACAATCCTACGTAGGGTCAACTCTACATCTCTGGCCAACAGGAAGCAGTTGGAAGATAAGACCTTCACCCACAAGCCAAAAATTTGTCATTGTTGCTCTGTCAGAGGTGAAATGTGGAGTCCTAATTATGGAAAAGGAGTCAGGCTGGCAGGACTGAGGGAAAGCAAAAAGAGAAAGCAGAGAAGCTATAAGTGGGCCTTTCTTCATGTTCTGGGATACGTAGCACTCCTGCACCTTACTATCTCCAAACACCTGCAGGTTAGCTCATGGCAACCTTGGCATTATCAATACTCAAAGTAGCACTGTGCAGCCCAAGAACTATCCTATAGAGTCTCCAGCTAGCCTTTGTTTCTTTGCAGTCAACTCTTTTGTTGGCTGCCCATTGCAACCTTGCAACATATTTTCATACTTTCTTTAATAAATCTGCCTTCTTTACCTACAAATGTCTTGGTAAATTGTTTTATTCCTGCACCACTGGCCCAGATAGTCATTGCTCACCTGTGACAATATACCCTTGGATTCTGTCAACCAAGAAGCGGCAAAATTCCAGACTGCAAAGCAATAAGACAAGACGTTTATTGGCATCTTAGGAATTCCAGACTTGGGAGAAACAGATTAGGTTAGAAGTCAAATTGTATTCCAAAGTACTGAAGTAAAGTAGGAATTTTTTAAAGGACACTGAAAGTGATTATACAAGTTGTTTTGAAAGAATTATCATTGATGGAAATGGCTGGCTTAGTATACAACTCCATAGTTCATTGGTTGTTACTGTTTAGGAGTTGCAGTGCTGGACAAATTCAGTTGTTTTCCAAGGATGTTATGGTCCTGGAAAGTGGCAGTTTGGCCCTGTTCAAAGGTTTGAGGCAAGGCAAATTCCTCAGTGGTTGTGGTTTTTGTTTTTGTTTTTGCAAGGTTGCAGGTCATGCAGGTAGTCCTTCTTAGTATGGCTTTCCAACTCCACTTTAGGGCTCTGAACCAGAGTGGTGCCATTTTTGTATATCATATTTCACAATTTTTATTATTATTATTTTTTAGAGCTTGGATCTTGCTCTGTTGCCCAGACTGGAGTGCAGTGGCACAATTATAGCTCACTGCAGCCTCAAACGCCTGGACTCAAGCAATCCTCCTGCTTCATTCTCTTTAGTAGCTGGGACTATAAATGGGTGCCACCATGGGTAGCACATTTCACAATTCTAAAATAATTTGAAACAATACTTCAATAACCTCTAAACTAAAACTTTTCTCTTTTCCAAAAGCCATTCTCATGCCTTATTTATAACCTTACTTTCCAAAAACACATCCTACTTTTGTTGTACACTTTGCAAATGTGTTTCTCTTATATCTAACAGTTTTAATTACATATATTAATTACATTGTTAACTCTTTTTTTTTTTTGAGACGTAGTCTCGCTCTATCGCTCAGGCTGGGGTACAATGGCGCAATCTTGGCTTACCGCAACCTCCGCCTCCCAGGTTTAAGCAATTCTCCTGCCTCAGCCTCCTGGGTAGCTGGGATTATAGGCGGGCACCACCATGCCCAGCGAATTTTTGTATTTTTAGTAGAGACAGGGTTTCACCATGTTGGTCAGGCTGGTCTTGAACTCCTGACCTCAGGTGATCCACCCATCTCGGCCTCGCAAAGTGCTGGGATTACAGGAGTGAGCCACAGTGACCGGCCAACAATGTTAACTCTTAGTAACCATAATTTTCAGTGAAAACCTAGGCAATTAGCAATTATAATTGTTATGTACCAGATGAAGAGCCCAGGACAATGAACAGAGCTTTGAAGACTGCCTAGAGAATCTGACCCCTCCCTGCGTGGCCAAGAGGCACAGCGGGTCCAGAGAGGATGGGGCCTGGGTGCTGGGGACACACACGTGACCCCAGGCCTTACAAAGGCCACTTGTCTAGACTCCAGAATCTAAAGGCTCAAAACCAAAACATAAGCTCACAGACAAGTAAATATTAAAAAAATCACAGAAGTAACAGTTTAAGTACCTTAAAACATGTAGTAGAGACAGTATAAATCTGCTTGACCAATACACCCAGGCAAAAATGTCTGAATTCTTGGGACATTTCTATTTTATTTTACCAATAATTTTTAAATTAGTGTTACTTATCAAAGGTTACTAAAGTCACATGAACATGAAAAGCATTTGGGCTTATTAACTTAATTTATGAGTATTTATAAATCAATTTGGTACCATGTAGACAATATTCAGAGACATATACACATGTATACAAAAAAAAAACAGACACAAGAATCTTACAGCTTTCATTTTAAATTTTAGCCATGAAACTGGAAAAACTCACTACTTTAAAAGGAGAGTTGGATTAAATTGTGCCTCTGTAAATGGAACAAGCTAAAGTGTATCTATCCCACATGGCTGAAGCCCTTGCCAAGTTTTGGAAAAAACAGGGTAGGGGACAGGAACAGTGGCTCATGCCTGTAATCCCAGCACTCTGAGAGGCCAAGGCAGGCAGATCACTTCAAGTCCAAGAGTACAAGACCATCCTGGCCAACATGGTGAAACCTCGTCTCTACTAAAAATACAAAAATTAGCTAGGCATTGTGGTGGGCACCTGTAATCCCAGCTACTCAGGAGGCTGAGGCAGAAGAATTGCTTGAACCCGGGAGGTGGAGGTTGCAGTGAGCCAAGATTATGCTACTGCACTCCAGCCTGGGCAAAAGAGTAAAACTCAACTTAAAAAAAAAAGAAAGAAAGAAAAAGAAAAAACAGGGTAGCAAACTTACAGAGAAAGAATTTAAGGTTTGTCAAGACAGAGTTTGGGTATGTTCATCGAGAAGATTAAAAATGGATGCCAAGTGAATAAAAAATAGGAACTCATTACATGATTTTACAAAGAAGCACACAGATGGGCCTAGAGAAAAGTCAGAAACCTTTTCAAAATAAGCAGCTGAATGCCAGAAACTCATAATTTGGAGACCCATCTATTTAGATATGTGGAGTTTTCATTTTCATTCTCTCTCTACCTCTTTTTTTTTTTTTTTTTTTTTGAGAGATGGGGTCTCACTCTGTCACCCTGGTGACATGATCATAGCTCACTGCAACCTCAAACTCCTGGGCTCAAAGGCTCCTCCCACCTCAGCCTCCTAAGTACCTGGGAATACAGGTATGTACCACCCCACCTGGTTAAGATTTTTCATTTTATGTAGAGTTGGGGTCTCATTATGTTGCCTAGGCTGGTCTCAAACTCCTGGCCTCAAGTGATCCTCCCAACTCAGCGTCCCAAAGAGCTGGGATTACAGATGTGACCAACCATGCCTGAACAGTTTCCAATTTATAACTAGACCATTGAGCTCAGGGTGAAGCCATTAACAAATAGGGTCAACAAAGCACTTGCAGTTTTTAGGAACTAATATACAAATACGTGAAAAACAGGCACAGCCAGAAGGTAGAGCATCTAGATTCTTTGAAATCAAGGATCCCATTTTTTTACACTGAATACCAGGTTTCCCAAAACAGGGAAATGCCATGGGACCAGGTTACACAGTACTTCCACAGCGCATCCTGCTGCAAGGGCCACCCAATGGCAATCAGCCCAATCTACAATTAGCCCATTCCCCATTAGAGTCATCCATTGGTACTGTTTCCATGGCCTCCAAATGTTCAAATTGTGACTTTTAATCCAGATGAGCAAAGAAATGAGTAGTCCCCTGTAATAACCATTCATGGTGACAACTCTCAGCCACCTACAAAACTGGAACTCTTGTCAGTGACTTACCAGCCATCACATACAGAAAGGTCAAGTTCTCCCTCACATTACGAAGTAATGTCTGGTACACTCAAAAGACAAGGAGATCAGGTAACACAATTCATAAAAGAGCAGAGCTTTACACCTGCAAGGAACCTGCCTGATGACTCTTTGGACTGTAAAGAGCAGACAGAAGACCCAAAAAGTGGGTGAGTGGTGCCTTTTTCTGTGTTCCTCACTGGGTCTCAGCATCATTAGAAGTTCCCTTCTGGATCCAACCCCAACTCCTTTTTTTTTTTTTTTTTTTTGAGACAGGGTCTCACTCTGTCACCTAGGCTCGAGTGCAGTGGCATGATCACAGCTCCCTGTAGCCTAGACTACCAAGGTTCAATCCGTCCTCCCACATAGCTGGGACTACAGGCATGTGCCACCATGCCCAGCTAGCCACCATGATCGGCTAATCGTTTTTTTCTTTCTTTTATTTTTTGTAGAGACAGTGTTTCACTATGTTACCCAGGCTGGTCTTGAACTTCTGGGCTCAAGGGATCTGCCCGCCTCGGCCTCCTAAAGTGCTGGGATTACAGGTGTGAGCCACTGCGTCCAGCCCCTTCTAGATCGTTTCATGTGGTACTGAAGATGACAAAGAGGAAAGAGGAGCAGAAGTAAATGGGAGAACAATTTAAATATATATATATGCTACTACCACCAAAATCTGCACCTGCAAAGGCTCCACTTGGGCTTCAAGCCTCACTGCAGCAACCCTCCTACTCGTTGCCCGGTAGCATCCAGGGAGAACAATTCTTAAAGGAGCCAATTGGGGAAATTTTAAGCTTTCTGAAGGGCCAATAAAATGCTGCATTTTTCTCAGTAAAAATCGTATCAACAAGAAAGGAAGTGAACAGAGGACCAAATATATTTTCAAAAGTTGTTTCAGTTGACTGAAAAAAAAAAAATTCCCAGAAACAAGATCCAAAGAGGAAAAGTAGAAAGGCCTTTAAAATAAATAAATAAGTAAATAAATAAATAAATATCTTGAATATCAGCTTTTAATTATGCAGCCTTCTGACCACAGAGCTCTATTTTAAAAAAAAAATTCCTTTCAAATTTCATATGATCAGAATTATCTGATTTTAGCCAGAACAAACAGCTGATAATCCTGGCTTTGGAACTTTTTTACCAAAGGTACCCCCCTAAGTGACTCACCACCAAAGTTATGACTTAACCAAAGATACACAAGACATCTCCAAAGAGATGCAAAGCCATCCTCACAAGATCCAGAACCACCCCAAAGATAGCTCAAAGAATGGGAAGTTTCACTAGCTGCAAACTGACAACCCACATTTCTGTCTGGCCATATTCTCAGCTGACCATCTACACACAAAGACCTAAAAGTCCTGTGTGTCCCTACAGACAGAAGAAGACAAGAAATCAGAAGTTGTCCATGGAAAGTAAAAGGATCAATAACAAACGGGTACCCCCAAAAGTCAAAAGTCACAGAAATATCAAAACAAAAGGGACTAGTTCCCTGACTGGGAATCAAACCCAGGCCACGGTGGTGAAAGTGTAGAATTTTAACTAGACAAGATAGAGTAGTTATTGTTGCAAATCCTACAAAGGATCCAAAACTGGCAATTTGAGAGTACAAATCATTTTAAATTTGTTTTAGATCAGACTGTTGCTCTTTAATTTTGTCAAGAGAATTTCTAAGAATAGCCATGATACTATTACGTGTCATTCTTTTAATTTAATCTTCCTATAAATACAAATAGGGCCACTGTTTACAAAGATCCAGAACCACCCCTTCATCCCATTTAATCTTTTTTAAAATTTAGGGATCTTTCTAATGTATAGGATCCATCTTTTAGATTAGAATTTCCAATGGTGTACTTAGGCCTTTTTAAAAATTTTTTAAACTTTATTTATTCATTTATTTATTTACACACAGATGGAGTCTCACTATGCTACTCAGGCTGGTCTCAAACTCCTGGGCTCAAGGCATCCTCCCACCTCAACCTCCTAAGAAAGATTCCAGGCAGGAGCCACCACACCCAGCTCTAAGGGTGTACTTATTCCAATAGCAACTCAATCTAATAAGCCTTTTCATAGAAAGTCTAGGAGGTAATATTCCAGCATTGGAATAAGTTTTTAACAAGAGATGTTTCCTGGACAGGACATCGCAGAGGCAATACCAAAGATCCCTTCCAAAAAATTTACTCCCAGTAATAAGATAAGACAGCAAGTCTCTTTTTGCCACAGACGGCTAAGGATAGTACTTTCCCAGGACTAACCAGGCAACAAGAGTGGTGATGACAAAAGTTCCTTATGGATGGGAATTTTTTTCTTTTGAGACAGAGTCTCGCTCTGTCACCCAGGCTGGAGCGTAGTGGCGTGATCTTGGCTCACTGCCACCTCTGCCACCCGGGTTCAAGCAATTCTCCTGCGTCAGCCTCCCAAGTGGCTGGGACTACCGGCGCATGCTGCCACGTCCGGCTAATTTTTTGTATTTTAGTAGAGATGGGGTTTCACCGGGACTTCTTATTAAGACAAAAGTCACTGGAAAGTTTGCCGTATTCGGAAAAACATATATACTGTCGCGTCTTGGGTTCCCAGCCAGTTTTAGATTGGCCACCTAATATGACGCCAAATCACACCCATAGATGGTGGAGACCAAGAGCAGGTGCTCCCACTTAGTCACAAGTCAAGCTCCCAAGGACATACAAGACAAGAGAGGAACTTCATCTGGTTTTTATTTTGGGGGCCCACAGAAAAATTTGTCTACATAGATGATGGTCTAGTCAGAACCACAAAACCGACCTGTCTGCATGGCTGGCATGGTTGGCTCAAAGAGGGGGCTTATAGGGGTTTTAAGCCCACGTCCTACCAGAACAACATAGAAAGACAAAGATGATGGAAAAGACTATTTCTGGGAGGAAAGAAATCAATATTTGATCCCCAGTTTATACCAAAAAAAAGTACACCAGAGTTGCGATACCCAAGACTAGTCACACAAATCCTTTTCTCCCAGATTTTGCATAGGAAAAAGGGACAAACAGTGATTTTTTTTGTTTTTTTAATATCTGCTTGGCCAGCTTTTCCAGAGAGACCAGAACCTGGCTAGTAAGAAACTCATACCCCATTCTACTGGCTTATCGGGTCCTGGGTTCCCTTGACCGCTGTTTCCAGAAGAGCAGAGTGGCTTTGGTAATCTTGCTCACAGTGCCAAAACTATAGGGGCGAAAGGAAACTCCTTCACCCTCTGAAGTTTCACTAAAACAATCAACTCACAAAGAGGATTAATAGGAGAAATGGAATACAAATGTGTTAATGTGCATGGGAAGAAATACAGAGTGATTAACCCACCCCTCCCACCCCTCTGTGCCTTATATGTGTCCCATATAAGGCACAGAACCTTATATACTATCCTGAGGTTACAGAAAAATGAGGGCTTGGATTGTGACAAACAGGTTATGAAAGGGGAAGAAGAAGAGGCCTGACTAGCAAAGGTGATCTTATAATGCAGACGAAACCTCACAGGTAGGCTGGGCAGGGTGGCTCAAGCCTATAATCTGAGCATTTTGGGAGGTTGAGGCAGGAAAAGCGCTTGAGGCCAGGGGTTCAAGGTTTCAGTGAGCTGCAATGGTGCCATTGCAATCAGCTTACATGACGGAGTGAGACCCTATCTCTTAAAAAAAAAAAGAAAGAAAAGAAACCTCACAGGTAGCAGCTATCAGAGAAAAATAGATGGTGACTGTTTCTTTTATACCTTTAAAGGTGTCAGACTTTCAGTTAATCTTTCCTAGATCAGACAAAAGAGGGCCTCGGAGAAAGGCTGACTGCATCAATGCAGATTTTCTCTACAGATGCAAATCTCGCCCACAAAAGACAGCCTTTCAGCTATTCTTGTATTTCCAGCCTTTCTGAATAGCCATCTTGAAATATGTTAAAGAAGTATATTCTGGAGTGAAATATTTTGGTTTCCTATACATGCCTGCTATGTTTCTAGAACAGCAAGGAACCCATGTTGACTGGAACAAATGGGATGAAGGGGAGGGTAGTAGGAGATGACGGTCAGAGAGGTTAAGGAGGGGTAGACTGAGTAGCCTTACAGGCCTCTGTGAGCACTTTAGCTTTTATTATGGGTGTACTGGAGAGCCATTGGAGGATTTCAAGCAAGGGAATGACATGAGCTCATTCATTGTACAAATGATCACCCTGCCTACTGTGTTTCGAACAGACTATTAAAGGGTCATGGATAGATTACCAAGAGACCATTTAGAAGGCTATTGCAATAATCCAAGTATGACGGTGAAAATGACTGATATAGCAGCAGTAGAAATAAGTGCTCAAATTTTTGATATATTTTGAATTGATGTGGTGTGTGTGAGAGAGAGGTCAAAGATGACTCTGAGGTTTTTTCATTAGAGTAGGTAGACAAGAGCAGGGCAGGAGAGGGCTCCCCTCCACACACACACCAGGAATGTCAGGTGACCATCTGGTGATGGTCAGGCAGTTGTGAGCTGTCTCTCTAAAATACTAACTGGTCACAGCTGGCGCCAGGGAAAGGCCGGCTCCCAGTAAATAGAAAACACCTGAAACTGGTGAGCATCCGCTTCCCAGTAAGATCTGGGCGAATGGACTCACACATGCACACTATGAGGGAAAATGGCAAAGTTTAACTGGGATATGACCTCCTAGGGACATGTGACTGGTAAGGGAAGAATGCCTCAAGTGAGCATGTGTACAACCCCAGTAAACACAATACGCATGCTCCCCTCCCAGGTGACAGCCCACCCTAAGGGAAGAATCCAGGGAGAAGTAATGCAAGACTCCGGAAGTATGCCAACATATAAAAGGCCAAGCCAAAAGATCAAACCACACACTTGTCTTTCAAGTTGCCCTCTTCCAAGTGTACTTTCCTTCCTTTCATTCTTGCTCTAAAGCTTTTTAATAAACTTTCACTCCTGCTCTAAAACTTGCCTTGTCTCTCCTTCTGCTTTATGCCTCCTAGGTCAAATTCTTTCCTCTAAGGAGGCAAGAATTGAGGTTGCTGCAGACTCATACGGATTCATCGGTGGTAACTTATTTTGGTGCCATGTGACTCAGATACTTTATACTGTTAACATTTTGACCTCAGTAACTAACAGATGGACAGTTATTAATGAGACAGAGAATGGGTGAGTGGCACAATTACAGAAGAAAAATGGAATGAGGAGTTTGGCTTTGAACACATTAATTATGAGATGTCTATGGCATCCAAGTGGAGATGCCAAATAAAAAGTTGGACATATCTGTCTGTAGTGCAGGATGCTGCCCCGGAAAAGAGACTTATCAGCATACGCATGGTGCTCAAAGTCATAATAAGATAGAAGGAGACCTCATAGGGAGAGAGGTATAGGGAAATGAAGATATAAAACTGGACTGGGCACTGGGGTGCTACCAGTAAAAGGAAGGAGGAGTCTGCCAAAAAGACTGAACAGAAGCGTCCAACAAACTCAAGGGAAAACCAGGAGTGAGTTATCAGAAAGGAAATTGTCTTAGTCTATTTTGTGTTACTATAAAAAAATACCTGATGGATAATTTATAAAGAAAAACAGTTTATTTGGCTCACAATTCTGATGGATGTTAAGTTCAAGATTAGGCATATGTAGCTGGGGAGGGCCTCAGGTGGCTTCCACTCATGGTGAAAGACAGAAAGTGACTTGGTGTGTGCAGAGTGCACATGGAGAGAGAAAGAAAGAGAAAGTGGGGGAGGTGCCAGGCTCTTTGTAACAATCAGCTCTCATGGGAACTAATGAAAAACTCACTCACCTTTGAAGGAGGGCACTATTTTATTCATAAGGGATCTGCCCCCATGACACAAACACCTCCCAGTAGGACCCACCTCCAACACTGGGGATCAAATTTCATCATAAAGTTTGGAGGACACAAATTTCCAAACCACAGCAGAAGTGAAAAAAGTATATCTCAAAGGAAAGTGTGACCAGCTATATAAAATGCTGCTAACATATTATAAAGAATGAAGAATTGGAGGCACAAATTCCATTTGGAGACATAGCCAAAGACAGAAATAAACAGTAACGAACCAAGAAGTAAGTGATCCTTTTTTATTCTAAGCTGTGTTTAGGAAGAGTAATATATCCTGGGTTTGCCAAATTCTTCATAGAATTGTTATTGCTTGTTCTAAATTGTTAGGAAGGAAGGACAGAAGGTTAGGTTGACCAAATATTGCCACAGTTTGAGTGGTGGATCTTGTGGCTCAGCTCAATGTTTCCCTCTTTTCAAAGGCCATCTTCTACTTGCACAAACCCCTTCACCTTCATATAAAAACAATTGAGATAAAATTGTTCTGAAGATAAGGGAAATACACTCCCTCTACCCCAAACTTCAGGTATTCTTAGGCAACTAAGAATCTTGTGGACCTTGGAGGGAAATCCCTGGTGATGTGCAACAGTCCATAGGGTTCCACTATGAACAGAAGAACATTCAAAATAGTCTAGCTCCTCCAGGAAACACTTATGAAGACGGGTCATTTAGCATTAGGAGTAGCTCCCTCTTTCAGCAGCGAGTTTTCCTGAGACATGTAAGCGAGCTAAATCCACTTGGGAGTGCAAGCCTGAGGAGTAAAGCTCTAAAGCAACATATTTTTGACCCTGTACATTCTTAGCTTAGTGCAGATAGATGGGGACAGGAAGTAACATGGGAAATTAGACATCAAAGATTGAAATCTTTGAAGGGTGCTTACCACCCCTTGAAACACCAGCTGGATTTATGACAAAATTATGGCACTTCATATTGAGAATTTTTGAATCACTGGATTAACATGCATATTGGGAGAGAGCTGGCTCAAAGATGAAAGAGAAAGAGTGAGAAAGCTACTTTCAATGGCATCTAGAAGCCTCTAAGGTAGGAAATGACAATCATTTCCATATGGGAGGTAAATCACAAGATTCTGGAAATTGTTTCTCAGTTGAAAAAAAGTCTGAATTGTCTACTGTTTTATCCTCTTCTACTACCATTCCTGCTCCGTCCCCCAGAGCCTTTCCAATCCTCTGCTCTCAGAATTGCCCTGTCCAGACCTACCTTGACTTCCTCTCCCATTATCTATGGAAGTTTTAGCAGCACCTTCCAAAGGAAAGCTGAATCCAAGGGAGGATCCTTCAGTGGCTTATACCACTTATACCTGGACCAAATTAGAACTCAGGGGTTTTACTAATTTCCTGATACTACCCAAGATCCTATAGGCTTTCCTAAGGAACTTAGTTTGGCAGTAAAACCTGGCTGGGTGTGGTGGTCAGCCTGTAATCTCAGCACTTTGGGAGACCGAGGAGGGAGGATCACTTGAGCCCTGGAGTTTGAGATCAGCCTGTGCAACATTGTGGGACCACATATCTATAAAAAATAAAAATGATTAGCCAGGTGTGGTTTTGTGGTTACAGCTACTCAGGAAACTGAGGTGGGAGGACTGCTGGAGCCCAGGAGGTCAATACTACAGCGAGCCATGATCACACCACTGCATTCCAGCCTGAGTGACAGAGTGGGGTGTGTGTGTGTGTGTGTGTGTGTGTGTCTCAAAAAAAAGACCGATAAGCCAGTATATTCATATTTATGTCAACTAGTTCATATGTTACTATCTGAAAGGAAAGGTAGAGAATGGATATCAAAGGTTGATTTGAAGAATCCAGTAAGCAATTTCTATTAACAAAAGGCAGAGGACCCAGCAGAAGCCTCAGAACTGACAAATTGTCTAACACAGGTAATTCCCCAGATATTTCCCAAAGAACACTAATTGGTTTAAGGTGCAACAATGTAGACAAGGATCAAATGAGACTGTATTAGACTACTTTGAAAGATTTTAAAAGATGTTTAAACAATACTCTGGAATAAATGAGGCCAGTTGTATTAGTCCATTTTCACACTGCTATAAATACCCAAGACTGGGTAATTTATAAATAAAACAGATTTAATTGACTTATAGCTCTGCATAGCTGGGGAAGCCTCAGGAAATTTACAATCATGGTGGAAAGCAAAGGGGACGCAAGGGACATCTTAAATGGCAGCAGGAGAGAGTGAGAGTGAAGGGGAAACTGCCAAACACTGTAAAAACCTCCAGCTCTCATGAGAACTCCCTCATTATCACAAGAATAGAATGGGGTAATTCACCCCCATGATCCAATCACCTCCCACCAGGTCCCTCCTTCAACATGTGGGGATTACAATTAGAGATGATATTTGGGTGGGAACACAGAGCCAAACCATATCACCAGTCTAAGATCATCAAAATGATCCCTTACTAAATTCAAGTTTATTTAATGGGTTAGACAAACAATTGGCCAAGGTAGTCAAGTTACATTAAATAAACTGGGACTCATCACATATTTCTGAGCTTGTAAACCTTCTTGATAAGCCAACCAGGGCGATACAACAGAGGAAGGATGACAATGCCACTAAAATTATAAATTTACAACTCCAGTGACTTACTGGCCAAGTTGCTAGGTTTAAACAGAGGCCACCCTTTTGGAAGGCGTTTCAAAAACATCTAAGAATGTCTGTATTATAAAAAAAAAACAAGACATCTTTTAAAACACTGTAGAAAGCTGAAATGGGTGCAAAAGCAAAAAGAGAAAATGGAAAGGAAGAACAGGGAGGCTCTGGAAAAATAAAGAGGGCTTTTCCCTTCCTCCTAAGTTACACTCTAGGGGACGTAAATACGTTTATAAGCAAAAAACAAACTAAGGCTTTAGTTGATATGGAAGCCAGACTTTCTATTCTCAACCCTACCCTCCTAAAGAGCCCTCTTCCTTGGAGTAACCAACCACTTCGGATGGTAAGGATATCTAATCAGCCTATGACTGTACATAGATCAGAACTTTTAACTTTGCAGCTAGGGAATTTAGATAGACATCATTCCTTCCTTCTGGTGCCTTCTGTACCAATATATCTTACAAGGAGAGATTTCTTAGAGCTTTATAATGCCCATATCTCTTTTTCAAAAACAGGAAGAATATTCTTCAAAATGAGAAAGAATCAGCTGAAATTGATACTATAAACATTTTCAGTCAAATGATTATTCAGGTTCAATTACTAGGCACCAAAGGAGGAACACCATGATTTGTTAGACTTCATTCCTGATTATCTATGGTCCTGTGCATCCATGAACATAGGGAAAATTCCGATGGCTGTACCAGTAAAAAATACAAGTAGATCCAAATAAACCAATTCCTGATATTAAATGATCCCCATTAAAACAGGAATCCATAATAGGCATAAAGACGTTAATTAAGGAATTCATTGATAATCATTCCTTGCATCTGCCCTTATAATATGCCCATCATCCCAGTACAAAAACCCAAGGGGAAGAAATGGAAATTTATGCCAAATTTAAGAGCCATTAACAATATTGTTGTCCTTTGACATCCAGTATTTCCAAACCCTCATAACCTCTTGTCTAATACACCCATAAATAATAAATGTTTTACTGTATTTGACTTATGTAGTGCCTTTTTCGGTATACCAGTAGATCCTGATAGTCAATACCTGTTTGACTTTACTTGGGACAGTGCCTATACACCTGGACAGTCATGCCCCAGGGTTTCAAGGAAAGCCCAACCTACTTTTCACAAATATTAAAAGTTGATTTATCTGAACTAAATTTTGAAGAAAATTCTGCTCTGCTCCAGTATGTGAATGACCCTTGTTATGCTCTTCCAACTTAGAAAAATGAAAAAGGGACTGTCTATATTTATTGGAACTAGCAAAAAAAAAAAAAACACCATAAAGTCTCTAAGAAAAAACTTCAATTCTGCCTAACAGAGTGAAATACTTAAGACATTTTATTTCTAAGGAAGGGCTACACATAAATCCAGACAGAATAACTGGAATTCTTACATTCCATACTCCAAAAACTAAAAGATAACTTAATGGATTTTGAGATTAGCTGGTTCCTATTTTTTTTTTTTTTTTTTTTTTTTTTTTTTTTTTGAGACTGAGTTTCGCTCTTGTGGCCCAGGCTGCAGTGCAATGGCCTGATCTCGGCTCACTGCAACCTCCACCTCCCGGGTTCAAGCGATTCTCCTGCCTCAGCCTCCTAAGTAGCTGGGATTACAGGCGCCCACCACCATGCCCAGCTAATTTTGTATTTTTAGTAGAAACAGGGTTTCTCCATGTTGGTCAGGCTGGTCTCAAACTCCCGACCTCAGGTGATTTGCCAGCCTCAGCCTCCCAAAGTGCTAGGATTATAGTCGTGAGCCACTGCACCTACTGAGATTAGCTGGTTACTGTCACAGCTAGATTCCTAACTTTTCCCTCATGGCACAAACTATATATTTATTATTTTTAACACTCTTTTATTTTTTATGTTTTTAGAGACAAAGTCTCACCCTGTCACCCGGATTAGAGTACTGTGGCACAATCATAGCTCACTGCAGCCTCAACCTCCTGGGCTCAAGCAATCCTCCTGCCTCAGCCTCCCAAGTAACTAGGACTACAGGTGCATGCCACCACAACCCAGCTAATTCTTTTATTTTTTGTAGAGATGAAGTCTTGCTATGTTGCCCAAGCTGGTCCCAAACTCCTGGCCTCAATCAATGCTGCCGTCTTCGTTTCTCAAAGTGTTAGGATTACAGGCATGAGCCACCATGCCTGGCCTGTTTATATACATTAGTAAAAGAGGATCATCCAGATCTCATACATTAAACCACAGAAGGACAAACAGCTAACTAGGAGTTAAAGGATAGTTTTATAAAAGCCCCTGATTGAAGACATCCAAATTACTAGTAACCATTTTTCCACTTTGTCCATGGAAGTCATGGAATCACCTTACGCATTCTGGCCCCAAAACACGGGGACAACATAGACGTATCAGCTATTACTGCCAACAACTAGCTTCTGTAGCATGTGGATTACCCCCTTGTTTAAGAGCCATCTCAGCCATAGTTGCACTTCTCAAGGCTACTCAGGAAATTGTAATGAAAGTTCCACTACGTATGTACCTCCTTCTGCTGAAGCTCTTCTAAATTTGCATTGCACTTAACCTTTTTCTATTAGCAGGTTGGCTTCTTTTGTTTTGTTGAGACAGGGTCCCACACTGTCACCAGGATAGAGTGCAGTGGCATGATCATAGCTCACTGCAGCCTCAATCTCCTGGGCTCAAGCAATCCTCCCATCTCAGCACCCCTGAGTAGCTGGGATAACAGACATGCCACCACACAACCAGCTAATTTTTTAATTTTTCTGTAGAGTTGGAGGTCTCGCTATGTTGCCCAGGCTGGTCTCAAACTCCTGGGCTCAAGCCATCCTCCCGCCTCAGCCTCCCAAAATGCTGGGATTATAGGAGTAAGCAACCGTGCCTGGCCAGCTGGTGTCTTATGAGATACTTTTACTCTCTCCCTCACATAATACAATCTTCATTATAATGCTCTTAAGCTCACTTCCCTGCTGCCTAAAGTGACTGATGAGATGCCCTGTGATTATATATCACTAACAGTATAGCTCTTGATGGCCAGACAGGATTTGTTAAAACAAAACAAAACAAAACAAAACAAAAAAACACTAGAGAATGCTGATGTTATTTGGTGATAGATCATATCTAAAGGATAAATATTGGAAAATATTGAGCAGGCTATGCTGTTGTGTCTTTTGTGGACATTACAAAAAGTAAGCCTTTCCTTATGGTGATATCACCTCAGCTGGCTGAATTAATAGAGCTCACTAGAACTTGCCAGTTGGCCAAAGATCAGACAGCTAAAATTTACACTGACAGTCACTATGCTTTTGGTGTAGCTCATGACTTCGGAATGTTACAGAAATAACAAGGTCATCTGACTTCCTCTAGACACCCTACAAAACATGGCTCTCACGTCTCTAAACTTATAGAAGCCATTCAATTACAAAAATAAATTTGGCTATAAGATCCCTAGATATTCAAAAACTGAGTCTCTGGAAAGTAAGGGAAGCCATTTTACTGATGTAGCAGCAAAGACAGCTGCCCTATTACCAGTATGAGATGAAATCATAGAAATAGCCATGCTTAAATGGAACCCAATTAAAAGGGAATGTCAGGATGCTCAAGAAAGAGCCTCAGAAAAGGAAAAAGAAATATGATTAGCAGGCTGAGTGTGGTGGCTCATGCCTGTAATCCCAACACTTTGGGAGGCTGAGGCAGGAGGATCACCTGAGCCGAGGAATTTGAGACCAGTCTAGGCAACATGGTGAAACCCTGTCTCTACAAAAAAAAAAATACAAAAATTAGCCAGGCATGTTGGCAGGTACCTGCAGTCCCCAGTTACTCAGGAGGCTGAGGCAGGAGGATTGATTGGGCCCAGGAGGTTGTGGCTGCAGTGAGCCATGATTGTGGCACTGTACTCCAACCTGGTAGACAGAATGATACCATGTCTCAAAAAAAGAAAGAAAAGAATGAAAGAAAAGAGAGAGAGAAAAGAAATATGGTTAACAAAAGGCAAATATTCCCCGCTACCACTTGTAACCTATGGTATGGACTCAATGACAAACCCATTTGCCTATGGGATTTCAATTTCCTATGTTACAACACATCTATGAGCTTATACACTGGAGACCTAAAAAAAAAAAATGATTGCATGAGAAAAACAATACTACTGAAAACCTTCACCCACAATAGCTTATAAGGTTTATGCTAAATAAACATAATCTAGCCCCTCTGTGAGTCACAGAGGCACTTCTCCCTTTCTGCTGGACCCTTTGATATTTGACAAACACATTTCGTTCAATTATCTCCTGTTCAGGGATATAAATTCATGTGGGTTATGATTTGCATGTTCTCCCACTGGGTTGAAACATTCCCAAGCAAAAGAGCCACAATGCAAATTATAAGAAAATGTCTGTAATAGTCCATTCTCAGACTGTTATAAAGAAATACTGAGACTGGGTAATTTATAAAGAAAAGAGGTTTAATTGGCTTTGGGTTCTGCAGGCTGTACAGCAAACATAGAAGCTTCTGCTTCTGGGGAGGCCTCAGGAAACTTACAATCATGGCAGAAGGCAAAGAGGGAGCAGCACTTCACATGGCCAGAGAAGGAGCAGGGGTGGTGTGGGGTCGGGGTGGGGGAGGCAGGGGACATGCTACACACTTTTAAACAACCAGATCTCACAATAACTCACTCACTGTCACAAGAATAGGGGATGGTGCTAGCCTATTCATGAGAACTCTAACCCCATGATCAATCATCTTCCACCAGGCCCCACCTCCAACACTGAGAATTACAATTCAACATGAGATTTGGTGGGAACACAGGTCCAAACCATATTATTGCACCCCGGGCCCCTCCAAATCTCATGTCCTTCTCATGTTGCAAAATAAAATAATTCCTTTTCAAGAGTCTCCCGAAGTTTTAACTTATTCCAGCATTATCTCGAAAGTCCGAAGTCTAGTCTGAGATAAGGCAAGTCCCTTCTATTTATGAGCCTGTAAAATCAAAAACGAGTTAGTTACTTCCAAGATACAATGGGGTACAGGCATTGGGTAAATACTCTCGTTCCAAAAGGGGGAAATTGGCCAAAAGAAAGGGGCTACAGGCCCCATGCAAGTCCAAAACCCAGTAGGGCAGTCATTAAATCTTAAAGCTCTGAAATAAGCTCCTTTGACTTGATGGCTCACATCCAGGGGATGCTGGGGCAAAGGGTGGGCTGCCAAAGCCTTGGACAGCTCCGCCCCTTTGACTTTGCAGGGTTCAGCCCCTATAGCTACTCTCATGGCCTGGCATTCAGTGCCTGCAGCTTTTCCAGGTGCATAGTGCAAGCTGTTGGCAGCCCTACCATTCCAGGGTCTGGAGGATGGTGACCCTATTCTCACAGTTCCACTAGGCAGTGCCCCAGTGGGGACTCTGTGTGAGGGCTCTAACCCTACATTTCCTCTCCATACTACCCTTAAGTAGAGGTTCTCCATGAGGGCTCCGCCCCTGCAGCAGGCTTATGCCTGGACATCCAGGCTTTTCCATATATCCTCTGAAATCTAGGCAGAGGCTCCCAAGACTCAACCCTTGCACTGTGTGCACTGACAGGCTTAACACCACATGCAAGCTGCCAAGCTGCCACGCTTGTCCCCTCTGAAGTAGCAGCCTGTACCTGGTCCCCTTTGAGACATGGCTGGAGCTGGAGCAGTCAAGATGCATGGAACAGTTTATTATTTATTTTACAGCACACTACTGGGAGATGAAGACATCAAATGTCATGACCTCCAATTGGGTGACTACATTTATTGGGAAAGACATCAGCTAAAGGACTCTCTTAAGCCTCACTGGAAGGAACCTTATTAGATACTGTTGACTAATCATTGTGCAGCTAAACTTGAAGGATTTGACTCTTGGGTTCACATCTCTCATTTTAAAAAAGCCCCAACTCCTAAATGGATTTCTAAGCCCTCTGGAGATCTTCAGTTAAAATTTTGAAAGACTCCTGGCTCCTCCAAAGACAAGACAAAGACAACAACAGGGTACACAGTGTATCTCAAGATACTAGACCAGTCCCATACAATAAATTTATTCTATAGCTGGGCATGGTGGTGCATACCTGTAATCCCAGATACTTGGGGGGATCGCTTGAACCTAGGAGTTCAAGACCAGTCTACGCCACATAGCAAGACCTCATCAAAAAACAAAATAAAACAATAATTTCCTCTGTATATGACTTCTACTCTCATGCTTTCCTTTTATACTGTCTAAATATTTAATGACAACCCCTCTGTGGAGGACAAAGCAACTCCATCTTAAAAGTTAATCTGGCCGGGCACGGTGGTTCACGCCTATAATCCCAACACTTTGGGAGGCCGAGGCAGGTGGATCACCTGAGGTCAGGAGTTCGAGACCAGCCTGGCCAGCATGGTGAAACCCTGTCTGTACTAAAAAAAATACAAAAATTAGCTGGCCATGGTGGTGCACACCTGTAATCCCAGCTACTTGGGAGGCTGAGGCAGGAGAATTGCTTGAACTTGGGAGGCAGAGTTTACAGTGAGCCAAGATTGTGCCATCGCACTCCAGGCTGGGTGACAGGGCGAGGCTCCGTCTCAAAAAAAAAAAAGCTAATACACCATGTTGGCTTCTGATATTCTTTGTTCTGAGAAGGCATCTAAGATTTCCAGTTTATCTATCGTTCATTGTGTAAAAGCAAGTACTTACCATAAATACTGCCCTAAAGTCAAACAAACTTGATATTATTATATGTCAATTGTCCTACACATTCCTTCTAAACCACCCCTTCCCACTGGTATATAAGCCTTGGGTCTGAGGGGTCATGGTAATGGGCATCCACCATCTTGTCTTACTGCCACTGAAGACACAGACGTGGCTTCTGTTTATAACTGGATTTGTCAGCCTCTGTCTTCAGCCTCTCAGCTTCTGTGGACTTTGGGGTAGGTTTGCACATATCTGCTCCCCACAAAACACCTTCCTTTATTCAATACCCTCACCATACATTGGAAAATAACTAATTTGATGAACATAAATATGGGACAGACTCTTATTTTCCAATATTTCCATATCAAAATGACATTGGTATTCTAATGTCAACCGCTTGGAACCAATCCAATGTTCCTACAGCTTATGGTACTTTCTTTTCAGATATAATATACTATCTGAAATAGTATAATGTACTATCTAGGTTCCCATGTAGAAAGGAACATCCAGAAAGTCCTTCCCAATTCTAGATCTCGTTGGTCTATTTTTAATACTTGACAAATGGATCATTGTGTTTCTATAAATATAGGTATCAGTTACTGTGCAAGGTCCCCAGGTATAAGAAAAGACAGCAGCAACCTGTGTGCCCTGTCACAGTATCTCTTGACTGAGGGGACAGAAACCTTGCTTTTGTGGTTGGAAAAAAAACAGTATAATGTAACCTAAAATCACACAGTAGGAATCACTTAATGGACTAGGATCCCACTAGATGGTAATTTAGGACTCACTCAGAAAAAATATGGGAAGTCTTATGACACACTCAGACTAAGCTCTATTTAGGAGTAGCTACCATTCACCTCATGTTGATTTGGAACACTCAACATTTTTGGGTCCATAACTTATACTCAAACTGCACCTCTGCCATAAATGCCCAGTGGCAACAACATGTTTGGTGGATATGGCAACACTGGCCAAGTAAGGTAGAGATCCTTAGGGGCAACAGGTGCAGGATTGGGGGTGTTAGGGCAAGTCAAGAGTGCATATAATGAAAAAAGGCATTTTCAAAAAAAATCAATACTTACTGACCTAAATTTAAGCTAAAGGAAGTACTCTTCCAGGAAAAAAATAAAGGCTAGGCAGCTGCCTGAAAAGATAATGATGCTATTTTTAAAGCGGGTAAATCAAACTGCTCAATTTATGGGGAAAATGCTAAGGTCCAATAGTGAAAAAGAGCATGTGTCCAAACTCACTTTTTTAGTTCTTTTTTTTTTTTATGGATTTAGGGGTACAAGTGCAGTTGTGTTACATGGATATATTGAGTAGTGGTAAAATGTGGGCATTTAGTGCACCCATCACCAGAATAATATACATTGTATCTAATAGGTGGTATTTTATCCTGCCCCCCTACCCTTGCACCACTTGGAGTCTCCAATGTCTATTATTCCACTCTGTATGTTTATGTGCACCCATTGTTTGACTCCCACTTGTCAGTGAGAAAAAAAATTAATTTTGTTTCTGAGTTATTTCACTAAAGAAAATGGTCTGCAGTTCCATCTATATATATAAATATATATATTTATATATAAGTGTTTTATATACTTATAAATTATATATATAAATATATTACATATTACATATTATAAATATATAAAACACATATTTATATATTATATATAATATATACTATATAACATATAAAATATATAAAATAAAGGCTAGGCAGCTGCCTGAAAAGATATTGTATATTATATATACAAATATAATGTTATATATAAAATATATATTTTATATATACTTATATAATATATAAATTATATATTTTATATAATTTATATTATATAAAATATATATAATATATATATCTTTATGTCCATGAGTACTCAATGTTTAGCTCCCATTTATAAGTGAGAACATGCAGCACTTGGTTTCCTGTTCCTGCATTAATTTGCTTAGGATAATGGCCTCCAGCTGCATTAATGTTGCTGCATATGACATGATTTTGTTCTTTTTATGGCTGTGTAGTATTGACTCATGTCCATGTACCACATTTTCCTTATCCAATCCATTGTTGATGGACACGTAGGTTGATTCGATGTCTTTGCTCTTGTGAATAGTGCTGTGATGCATGTGTCTTTTTGGCAGAATAATTTCTTTTCTTTTGAATATATACCCAGTAATTAGATTGCTGGGTTGACTTGTAGTTCTGTTTTATGTTATTTGAGACATGTCCAAACTGCTTTCCACAGTGGCTGAATTAATTTACATTCCCACCAATAGTGTTTAAGCATTCTCCTTTCCCCATGGCCTCACCAGCATCTGTTGTGTTTTGACTTTAAAAGCCATTCTGACTGGTGTGAAACGATATCATATTGTGGTTTTGATTTGCATTTCTCTGATGACCAGTGTTGTAGAGCATTTTTTCATATGCTTGTGGGCCATTTGTATGTCTTCTTTTGAAAAATGTTGTCCTTCATGTCAAGGGCAGTATGGTCACTTTTTAATGGTTTTTCTTGTTGAGTAGTTTGAGTTTCTTATAGATTTTGAATAGTCACCCTTTGTCACATGCATTCTTTGCAAATATTTTCTCCCATTCTATAGGCTGTATGTTTAGTCTGTTGATTATTTGTTTTGCATTGCAGAAGCTTTTTAGCTTAATGAAGTCCCATTTGTCAACTTTTGTTTTTCATTTTTGTTGTTTCCTTTTGAGGACTTAGTCATAAGTTCTTCGCCTAGGCCAATGTCCGGAAGAGTTTTTCCCAGGGTTTCTTCTAGGATTTTTATAGTTTCAGGTCTTACATTTAAGTCTTAAATCCATCTTGGTTAATTTTTGTATACGGTGAGAGACGGGGGTCCAGGTTCATTCTTCTGCATATGGCTCTAAAATTATCCCGGCACAATTTATTGAATAGGGTGTCCTTTTGCCAGTGTATATTTTGTCAAATATCAGTTTGCTGCAAATATGGGGCATTTATTTCTAGTTTCTCTATTTTGTTCCATTGATCTATGTGTCATGTCTATTTTTATACCAGTACCATGCTGTTTTGTTTACTATGGCTTTGTAGTATAATTTTAAGTCAAAATGTGATACCTCCAGCTTTACTCCTTTTGTTTAGGATTGCTTTGTCTATTTGGGCCCTTTTATGGTTCCACATGAATTTTAGGATTGTTTTTTCTAATTCCATGAAGAATGACATTGGTAGTTTGCCAGGTATTGTGTTGAATCTGTATTTGCTGAATATGTATTCCTGAATCTGTATTTGCTGAATCTGTATTGTTGAATTTGAATTGCTTTGGGCAGTATGGTCATTTTGATGACATTAATTCTTCTAATCCTGGAGCATGAGGCGTTTTTTCCATTTGTTTGTGTCATCTATTCTTTCTTTCTTTTTTTCTTTCCTTCTTTCCTTCCCTTTCTTCCATTCTTTTCCTTTTTCTTGAGACAGGGTCTCACTTTTTTTTTTTTTTTTTTTTTTTTTTTGAGACACAGTCTTGCTCTGTTGCCCAGGCTGGAGTGCAGTGGCATGATCTCGGCTCACTGAAAGCTCCACCTCCTGGGTTCATGCCATTCTCCTGCCTCAGCCTCCCGAGTAACTGGGACTACAGGCGCCCGCCACCACGCCCAGCTAATTTTTTGTATTTTTAGTAGTGACGGGGTTTCATCGTGTTAGCCAGGATGTTCTCGATCTCCTGACCTTTTCACCAAGGCTGGAGTCCATAATCATAGCTCACTGCAGCCTCCAACTGCTAGGCTCCAGCAATCCTCCCACCTCAGCCTCCTGAGTAGTTGGGACTACAGGCATGCAGTGTCAGGCCTCTGAGCCCAAGCTAAGCCATCATATACCCTGTGACCTGCAAGTTATATGCCCAGATGGCCTGAAACAAGTGAAGAATCACAAAAGAAGTGAAAATGGCCTGTTCCTGCCTTAACTGATGACATTCCACCACAAAAGAAGTGAAAAATGGTGGGTCCCTGCCTTAACTGATGACATTACCTTGTGAAATTCCTTCTCCTGGCTCATCCTGGCTCAAAAGCTCCCCCAGTGAGCACCTTGCGACCCCCACCCCTGCCTGCCAGAGAACAACCCCCCTTTGACTGTTAACACATTTTCCTTTACCTACCCAAATATTACAAAACGGCCCCACCCCTATCTCCCTTCACTGACTCTCTTTTGGACTCATCCCGCCTGCACCCAGGTGAAATAAACAGCCTTGTTGCTCACACAAAGCCTGTTTGGTGGTCTCTTCACACGGACGAGAGTGAAACGCAGCACCATGCCCAGCTAATTTCTTTGGTTTTTCAGGGATTGTAGAGACAGGGTCTCGCTATGTTGCCGAGACTGGTCTCAAACTTGTGGCCTCAAGCAATCCCCCAACCTTGGGCTTCCAAAGTGCTGAGATTACAGGCACCAGCCACCTCACCTGGCCTGATTTCTTTCATCAGTATTTTGTAGTTCTCCGTGTAGAGATCTGTACTAGTCTGTTTTCAGGCTGCTGATAAAGACATACCCCAGACTGCGCAATTTACAAAAGAAAGAGGTTTAATTGGACTTCCAGTTCCACGTGGCTGGGGAAGCCTCACAATCATAGTGGAAGGCAGGGAGCAAGTCCCATCTTACATGGATGGGAGCAGACAAAGAGAGAATGAGGAAGACGCAAAAGCGAAAACCCTGATAAAACCATCAGATCTCCTGATACTTAAGTCACTACCACGAAAACAGTATGGAAGAAAACACCCCAATGATTCAATTATCTCCCACCAGGTCCCTCCCACAACACATGGGAATTATGGGAGTATAATTCAAAATAAGATGTGGGTGAGGATACAGGGTCAAACCATATCAAGATCTTCCATGTCTTTCAACAAGAATAATTAATATGTTAATTCACATAGAAGCTGAAATAGTCTCCAAACATGGCCAACCCTCTTAGATTCAGAAACACAAGGTTTACACTTATAAAAAACATATGGACCCCTTTCCTCCTGGAAATTTACTACCAGGGTTTGTAGTCTAATTGACTATACTCCTACAGCTTTAACATCTCATATAGATGATAATCAGACCTATGATATAGTATAACTAGTTAAAATAGAAATCATATTTCAGAGTACCCACATTCTTCCCATGTGCAGTTGACGGGCCATATTACAAAAACAAAATTTGGAACTCCATTTCTGTTTTAGATTGTCCACAGCTTCAAGACGAATGTTATCGTCTACAAAATGTTTAAAATCCTGAAATTATAGAAACGTGGCTTTAGTCTCTACCCATTCAAAATAATATGTAATATATGGAAAATGTTTTTGTTGAGGAAGAAAGATAAATGAGACTGTGACCATCTTAGGCCTCACAATCAGACAACATTTAAGTCATATTGGTATTTGGTGCAAAACTGGATTCATAAAAAATTACTTTGGCGACAAAATGACACAGTAGTCTAGATATTGATACTCAAATATTCTGGGTATTAAAACTCAGTCTTCTTCAGGTTATACTCCCAGCTAACTTACTTTGGGACACGTTCTCGGTCTATACTGAGTCTGTGTTCCCAGGCTTAAGTCCTCAAACTTGGCCGAGTAATAAAACTAACCATGATTTCTTTAAGTTTTAGTACCTGTTATTTCACCTTTCGGTCGACAAATCGTTTTTCTCATGTTCCTCTGTCTTACATCAATTTAATTTGTAGACCAGCCAAATGACCTAAAAGGCTAGAAGGAAACAATTTTTCCTCCCCTACAACTATTTCCTCTAGTCCTCCGGCTGAAAGTTGTTCCACGTCCTGGGCAGAGAGAGCCCCACCAGGCAGCACCACCAGCTCCACAGAGTTGGAGCGATTCCCCCAAGAAGCTCCCCTGCGCCCCTCCTCACCCCCAGAGACCAGCAGAAGAAATGGCATCTATCCCTTGGAAGACACTAGGCAGGAGAGAACAACTGCAAGCCCTTCTGCTCACACAGAAAAAAGGATGGCGGAGGTGGCGAATGGGATGTAGCAGAAACCCCGCGGCTGCGGCGGAAGGGACACCGCCCCTCTCCAGCCTAACTCTGAGCCATCTTCCCCCTGTTGTTATAGCACTTAGAACGGACGCCACTGCGCAGGTCACACCGTGCCGCGCAGCCTTCTGGGGGTCGGAGTCCAGAGGGGCTGAGGCGCGAAGGCGGAGACCGACTTCTTAGCGGGCCGCAGTTGGAATTAGATTTCTACTGGGGCGGGGCTCGAGCGAACCACGGCCTAATCCTCATTAGCAGAGAAGGATAATTACCGCAATACTCTGCCCTGCCCTGACAGCAGCTCGTGAGACCCTGAGTCTGCTGAAGGCCGCCTCCAGCCTGGGCTCCGGGCACAGGCCACACCCCTCCCGCCGCGTCCTGGCCTCTCCCATCGATGGCGTGTGGGTGGGGCTTCGTGGGGGCGGAGCTGCGCGGGGCGGGGCGTCGCTGCGCGGGGCGGGGCGTCGCGGGCTCGTCCGTGATGCTCTGGGATCCCGCGCTTCCGAGACTCGCAGTCTACGCGAGCTGCCTGTTTTTTTCCTGCTTGGACGCGCATGAGGGCCCCGTCCATGGACCGCGCGGCCGTGGCGAGGGTGGGCGCGGTAGCGAGCGCCAGCGTGTGCGCCCTGGTGGCGGGGGTGGTGCTGGCTCAGTACATATTCACCTTGAAGAGGAAGACGGGGCGGAAGACCAAGATCATCGAGATGGTGAGTGTGGAGGCTCGGCGCGCCCAGAGCACGCGAGGGGCCGGCTGGGCCGTCCGCTGGCCTCGGCAGCCTGTGCTGGGCCGCTGTTCGGTCGCGACGGGGAGCTGCCGGCGTCGCCTGTCAGGCTGGGATCTCGCTAGCTCGGGACGCGCAGCTTGGGGGACCCGGCCGCCCCGCGTGCGGCCACTCCGCGGGCTTGGTGACCAGGGTTGGGTCCCCGGCTGCGGCCCTTGGCTGCCCGTGGTCTTTGTTAGGTTTCCGTTTGAAGGAACAAGGCAGAAAATAGATGAATCGGACACAGGCTACTTTGTGCTGCAAAACCCGTTTCTCTAGAGATAAGCTGCATGTCCTGGGCAGGTGGCTCCTTCTCTCCCTGCCTTGCTCCCGCCCTCCCCCCGGATCCGCGTCAAACCGTTGCCGCTAATCTAGTTGCAATTCCCGCAGAGGACTAGTTTTATGTTGGGGCTGCCGTGAGTTAGATTATGAAAATGTGCAATATCTAAAATTTTACAAGAATGGCAATCCAGGAGAAATTCAGGATAGTTTATTTTGTATTTGAATGTATTCCTTCTTGTCTCAAAACTCCCACGAAATATCTTTGTTTTCATCTTAACTCCCAAAGCTCTTGTATACATTTTCGAATTTAATTTTTTATTGAAGAGGGTGTCTCAAGAATTCCCTTTGAGATACATTATAAGTAATTGTTTCAAAAATGAGGATATTTAGTTTCGTTTTGTATTTTAATTAGAACCCACTCAGGAAGACAATTCTTGCACAAACTTGCACGCTTATGTATTTCCTGAAATGCATAATCCTGGGTATACGCCTGACCGTGTGCTATACATGTGAACATCTAGGGTCAGATGATTTATGATAGAAAAAAATTTAAAATCTACACTAAATAATATCATTTTAGGGTGTAATACTTGGAATTTCTGAGCACCTGCAATATGTTCCAACTGACGAAAGACACGATTTGTCCTATTGGTTGTACTGACCCCAGGTTGAATACAGATGTATTTGCATAATTAAAATTAGCCAGTGTCCCAGCTATTTGGGAGGCTGAGAGGAAGATCACTGGAGTCTGGGAGTTCAAGGTTATAATCACACCTGTGGATAGCTACTGCACTCCAGCCTGGGAAACATAGCGAGACCCTGTCTCTTAAAAAAAAAAGTTAATTCCCACTTGTCTCATATTCCAATAATATTCCCTAATTTTGAATTAATTTATTCTTAAAGGGTCTTAATAATTCTAAAGGCTTATTAAAATTCATTTGTCCCACATCTGTATGCCCACAGCAGCAAATGGTTTTAACTCAGAAGTTTCATTTTGCTTTTGTTGCTTTCCTGCTTAGAAAACTTGGCTTTCTTTTGCCCAAGGTTAATAATGCCTATGTAGGGGAAAAAACCGAGTTGCCATATCTCCCTGCCTGTGCTTAAACTATGGATTGGTCTGTATACCACTTATCTAAGCCAAGTAAGGTTAAAAATCAGTGTGTTCACAAAATCCTTCAATGATACCATCATAGGAACAGTTTGCTATCTTTGTGACAAATAATGAAGACCTATCTAGAATACCAACTTATTGGTACTAAAGAAATCAGTCAATATTTACATGTATGCATAGTATATTAATTCAGATTGTAATATATGTGTAGCCTGCTAGTAGCTTTTCAATGGAAAAAGTGAAAAGAGCTTCATGTTAACTTTTTTAATTTTAATAGGTTGCTTCTTCAAGTGGAAGAAGTATTTGACTGGGGGTCAGAAGACCTGGGTTGGAATCCTAGTTCCATCTTTCTGTAATAATGTAGGTCTGCTCTGCCCATCCTCTGCCCTCCTCCCTCAGAAAAATCTCTGCAAACCCATGATGTCCAACAGACATAGCTCATATTGGTCACAGCTAACGGAGTTAACTACCTAACCAAGTTGGGCCTATCTAACTGGCTAAGAAAACCAATAACTTCTGGGACTTGGTCAAAATGATGCATTGTCTTGCAAGAGTTTTTAATTGAGAGACATGAGGAAGTTGCTAGTGGGTTGTGTATGCTACAGCTGAAATATCCCATAGGGCAGCAAGATTAATGTACAGAAGAAGCCAGTCATGGCTAGGCATGGTGGCTCACACCTGTAATCCCAGCACTTTGGGAGGGTGAGGTGGGAGAACCCTGTCTCAAAAAAAAAAAAAAAAAAAAAAAAAAGAAGGAAAGCAAGATACGGAATGGGATCAAGAAACTGAATTGTAAAGGAATTTTGTAAAGCCATTATAAAGAGTTTGCTCTTTATTTTGCAACAAAGGATCATCAAAGGTTTGCTTTGGCAGGGTACAGTGGCTCACGCCTGCAATCCCAGCACTTTTGGAGGCTGAGGCGGGAGGATCCCTTGAGCCCAGGAGTTCGAGACCAGCCTGGGCGGCATAGGGAGACCCTTTCTCTACAGAAAATAAAGATTTTAGCCAGTGCAGTGGCACACACTTGTAGTGTAGTCCCACCTACTTAGGGGCCGAAGGTGAAATCTCTTCAGTCAAGGTGGTCGAGGCTGCAGTGAGTCGTGATCACACCATTGCACTCAAGCTTGGGTGACAGAGTCACCCAGAGTCTCAAAACAGAGAAACAAAAAACCCAACAGTATGTTTTATGAAGATGAGATAAGGTGGACTGGAAGGGAAGATCCTGGAAAGAAATAAATTTAGGAGGTTGGTAGTATTGCTTGCGAAAGATGATTAGAGATCTTAAACTATGGCACTAGCAACAGGTATGGAAATAAGGGATCAGGAGACAAACATTTCCGAGATAAAATCAACGGGACTTTGTGCACAGACTGTAGAGTCATACAAACCTAGTTTTGAATCTAGTTTTTCTCATTTATCAAGCCATGTGACCTTGGGCAAATTACTTAACCTCTCTGAATCTCCCATTTTTCATCTATTAATTGGGAGATAATGATAGTACCTACTTCATAGGTTGTGAAGATTAAATGAGATAACACAGTGCCTAGAACATAATTGCTTTCTTTCAGAGCTTATTATTTGTGATCATTAGATAAAGGGATTAATTGTAAGGAGAAATAACTTTAAGATTATCAGGTAACTGCTGATTCTGGTTATATTATTAGCCAAGATGAAGAGAAGGAAAAAATGGCAGGTTTGGAAAGTAGCCAGGAGGTAAGGGAAATGTGGAATCACAAGTTCACTTTAAGTCATATGAAATTTGAGATGATCAAGGAATGACCAACTAGAAATGTTCATGAAATAGTTAATATATTTAAAGTGCTTAGAAAAGTGCCTGGCCCAGAGTAACCAATATATACATTACTTATTGTTATTATTAGCAATAGCAACTGAAAATGGAAGGCTGGAGCTCTAAAGATAAATTGAGGCTAGAAATAATATTTTCCCTAATGTCTAGCCTCTCAATGGCCAGTGTGGAGCTGGATATTATTTCTCATCCATAGTTTTACAGCGAGAAGAAAACAGAAAACTTGGCAATGCCAAGTTCAGTAAAGATGCTGAAAGCTGTCAGAGGTGGAATAACAGGAAATGTTTCCAAAAGAAGGGGCAGAATTAGCTATGTCCATCTTCTCTAAGGTCAGAAGTTGATGACAAGATCAGAAGTTGGTCTGAAAGGCTATGGTAGCAGTGGGTTGAGCCGCCGTTGGTAAAACAATGATGTGAAGACAACTAAAAAATGACTTTTGGGCAGAGGAAGTAGTTGTGCTGAGGATGGGTATTTTGTTTTGTTTTTCGAATGGTTGGCACAGAAGTATGTTGGTGGGCAGAGGAGTAGTGAAAAGCAAATGGTTAAAGATAAGAGGAGGAGAAAAAATAATCAGTCTAGCAAAGTTCTAGGGGAGATGTGGACAGATGCCTTTTGAGGGGAATACGGAACATCTCTGTCTTTCTGAAAGAGTGTACTACTCTGGGCCAGGCGCGGCGGCTCCCGCCTGTAATCCCAGCACTTTGGGAGGCCAAGGCGGGTGGATCATCTGAGGTCAGGAGTTCAAGACCAGCCTGACCAACATGGTGGAACCCCGTCCCTACTAAAAATAAAAAAACAAAGTAGTTGGGCGTCGTGGCGGGTGCCTGTAATCCTAGCTACTTGGGAGGCTGAGGCAGGAGAATCGCTTGAAACCAGGAGGCAGAGGTTGCAGTGAGCCAAGATTGCACCATTGCACTCCAGCCTGGGTGACAGAGCAGGATGTCATCTCAAAATAAAATAAAATAAAATAAAAAAATAATAAAAGTGTACTATTCATACTGAATTATAGTTACTTACTCTCCATATTCTCATTATATTACATCTTATTATTTACAGCCTTAGATTAATTGCCTCCACCTACTTCATTCATTACTTCTATCCAGTTAATCTGATTTTTCCTACTAAATGACACCTCTTTCAAATGTTACATACCGACTTCTTTTCTAATTTCTCCTGCAATATCAGAATGTATTCTATTTTTATCAGCAAATTTTCAGTTTTTCTCTAATAAAGCTACCAAAAAGAGGATGAGACTAGAATTCAAAGAAAGAGCCAAAAGGAAAAAAAAATGAGATTGCTTAATCTTATTCAGTTATTCTAATATCCTTTATTAAATTCTCTAAAGTAGAGTATTTATCCAGTGAAGTAAAATGCAAGCACAACACTAGAATGAATGTGTAGTCTTAAGCTTAGCCCCTAAAAACCAACGAGGAAGGGAGGAAATTATTTAGACAGCAGGATAGGGGAGATGGAATGGTCACTAGAACCTCCACAACCAGTTAAAAATGGTCATTTCCAATTTAAATATATCTCTCAACGATTTATTGCTTTGTTGTTAACGTCAACTATTACTTAAGTAGCTGATGTGGGGGATAGGGGAGATGGAACGATCACTAGAACCTCTACAACCAGTTAAAAATGGTCATTTCCAATTTAAACATATCTCAACAATTTATTGCTTTGTTGTTAATGTCAACTATTACTTAAGTAGCTGATGTGGTTTTTTTAAAACTTTAGCATACTGTGTTTCTTTCTAGGACATAAACTTCTTTTTTTATTTTATTTTCTTTTTGAGGCAGGGTCTCACTCGATCACCCAGGCTGGAGTGCAGTGGTTGAATCTCAGCTCACTGCAACCTCCACCTCCTGGGCTCAAGCCATCCTCCCATCTCGCCTTCAGAGTAGCCAGGACTAAAGCACGCACCACCACGCCCAACTAATTTTTGTATTTTTTTGTAGAGATGGGGGTTTTGCCACATTGCCCAGGCTGTTCTCAGATTGCTGGGCTCAAGAGATCCACCCATCTTGGCCTCCCAAAATGCTGGGATTACAGGTGTGTACCAACTGTGCCTGGTCCTAGTAAATAAACTGTTAACAAAAACTTCTTCCCTTCTTCCACTTTAAGACAATATAGGCCAACTCTGGGTGCATTGCCTATGAGTTAGCCCTGCTCCTCAAGGAGCAGTTAAAAAAACAAAAAAGGGCCGGGTGCGGTGGCTCACACCTGTAATCCCAGCACTTTGGGAGGCCAAGGCGGGCGGATCACCTGAGGTTGGGAGTTCGAGACCAGCCTGACCAACATGGAGAAACCCCATCTCTACTACAAATACAAAAAATTAGCCGGGCATGGTGGCACATGCCTGTAATCCCAGCTACTCGGGAGGCTGAGGCAGGAGAATCACTTGAATCCAGGAGGCGGAGGTTGCAGTGAACGGAGATCACACCATTGCACGCCAGCCAGGGGAACAAGAGCAAAACTCCATCTCAAAAAAAACAAAGAAAATATCACATGTTTTCTGGGTATTATACTGAGTGAATCGAAAGCCCACTATTGAGTCTGTGTTTTAAAAAAGAAGGGAGAAGCAACCCAAGTTTTAAACAACTGCTTTAGTGAATCAAATAGACTTTATTTTATTTTATTTTTGAGACTAGGTCTCACCCTGCTGCCAGGCTGGAGTGCAATGAAGCGATCATGGCTCACTGCAGCCTCAAACTCGTGGGCTCAAGCAGTCCTCCCACTTCAGCCTCCCAAGTAGCTGGGACTACAGGCATGTGGCGCCACACCTGGCTAAGTTAAATTTTTTTTTTTTTTTTTTTTTTTTTTTTTTTTTTTTTTTTTTTGGTAGAGACGGGGTCTCACTATTTGCCCAGGCTGGTCTTAAATTCCTGGGCTCAAGCAGTCTTCCTGCCTTGGCTGCCCAAAGTGCTGGGATTATAGGTGTGAACCACCATACCTGGACAGACTTTTAAAATATCTCCATATCTCAATTTTTATCTAATTTATATCAGTGCTTAGATTTATGACTTTTTAGGACCTGTTTTGAATTCTTGATTTGTTTTGTAAAACATTTTCTCTGAATTCCTTTGGCATTTCCTGATGATTTCTCATAATTTAGCAATTTATACAGTGTCTCATATTGTTTATTATTATTTATGTTCCTTGAGGGTTGGAATGGGTGCTTTTCTTTTAGTCTTATTTATTTTTGAGACAAGGTCTCATTCTGTTGCCTGGGCTGGAATGCAATGACATGATGATAGCTCACTGTAGCCTCAAACTCCTGAGCTCAAGTATTCCTCCTGCCTCAGCCTCCCAGGTAGCTGGGAATATAGGCATGAGCCATTATGCCTGGCTAATTTTTTGTTTTCTGTAGAGACAAGACTTTGCTGTGTTGCCCAGGCTGGTCTCAAAATCCTGGGCTCAAGCAATCTTCCCACCTCAGCCTTCCAAAGTGCTGGGATTGCAGGCATGAGCCACCTGACTAGCTGGTCTCTTTAAAAATTAGTTGCACTTGACTAAGAGAAAGAGAGACCCCAAAACAGTGGCTTCAGTAAACAGTAAATTTTATTTTTCTAATGGAATGACAATTCCAAAAAACAGGCAGTTGCTTGTGTTAATTAGGGCCATAAGGATACCAAGGCATAGGTCTTTGACATTTCCCTTGTCTTTTCTTCATGGTCGTGAGATGGTCGTTCCAGTCATGGCCAATGCGTCCATGTTTCAGGCAGCAGAAAGGTGGAATCAGGGAAGAAAATACCTATTTCAGTCAAGCTGAATTTTCTGCTTACAGATAATTGGAGAGAACAAGGTTATATGGCTACCCTTATGTAAGTGAAGTTGAAGAATTGTTTTCTGATTGAGCACATTTGCCACCTTCCAACAAAAATGAGATATTATTAGTAAGAAAGAAAGGGAGAGAGTCCATTAATTGGTTACTTATAATACAGCAGTAGAGAACACAAACTCAGAACAGCTTCTGTCTTCTTTTTTTTTTTTTCCGACACCAAGTCTCGCTTTGTGCTGGAGCGCAGTAGCATGATCTCAGCTCACTGCAACCTCTGCCTCCCAGGTTCAAGCAATTCTCATGCCTCAGTCTCCCGAGTAGCTGGGACTATAGACAGGCACCACCACGCCCAGCTAATTTTTGTATTTTTAGGAGAGATGAGGTTTCTCCATATTTGCCAGGCTGGTCTTGAACTCCTGACCTCAGGTGATCCGCCCGCCTTGGCCTCCCAAAATGCTGGGATTACAGGTGTGAGCCACCATGCCCGATAGCATGTATCTTTTGTTTACCCCGAGTAAAGATATATTCATTCACACTTGAAATATCTAGATTTTAAGTAGCTCTCAACACATAGCCACCTCCTTTGTATGTCCTAGTGAGATGTGGAAGCTAATCTCCCAATTATGTGTCACAACTAGCTTCAAAACTATAGACCTAACAGTACTCCAAAATGAATGCAGATTGAGCATCCCTAATCTGAAAATCTGAAATCCAAAACTCTTCAAAATCTGAAGCTTTTTGAACGCTGACATGATGCCACACAAGTGGCTGAGATATTGACACCTTTGCTTTCTGATGGTTAAGAGTACACAAATTTGTTTTAGCCACAAAATTGTGTAAAATATTTTATAAAATTACTTTTAGGCCATGTATATAAGGTAGATGTGAAACATAAATGAATTTCATATTTAAACTTGGGCACCATCCCCAAGATATAATGTATGTGCAAATATTCCAAAATCCCAAAATACCCGAAATCTGGTCCCAAGCAGTTTGGGTAAAGGATACTCTCAACCTGTGTAAGGTTGTGAGACATAGCAACAAAAGGCTATGTGATAAAGAAACAGGAAATGACATTGCATAATGATTCATGGCTGTGGTGATGTTTGAAGGATAAAAATCATGATTGTTCCAGTTTGAAAAACAGAGAAATACATTAAATTCTTTTTTTTTTTTTTTGAGGCAGGGTCTTACTCTGCCACCCAGGCTGGAGTGCAGTGGCACCATCATGGCTCACTGCAGCTTTGACCTGCTTGACTCAAGTGATCCTCCTACTTCAGCCTCCCAGGTAGCTGGGACTACAGGTGCATGCCACCATGCCTGGCTTATTTTTGTATTTTTTGTAGAGATGGGGTTTTGCCATGTTGCCCACCTGGTCTCAAACTCCTGGCTTAAGCGATCCTCCTACCTCTACCTCCCAAAGTGCTGGGATTACAGACATGTGCCACCATGCCCAGCCCATTAAACTCAACATTATCAAAGGCTATATTCAAGATGATCTTGAATTCCCAAATTTGTAAACGTGGAAATGTTTGTACCAGGCATGTATGACTTTGTCCTTTCAAATCATGTTTGTCAGGTTTCCTGTAGATTATCCATATGCCACAAGTTAACCACATTTTCAACTTTAATGCAAAGTTGTTCTCTTATCTAGTGAGCTACTTGTATATTAGCTAGAAACAGCTCCTTCCTGAAACAGTTTTAGCTTTACAATTTTTTTTCTCTTTCCTTTTGTTGTGAATTCATTTACCTAACAGATGGAGTCCCCTTTGAACTGGATACTTAATTTTAAATTTATTCACAAATTTTTTTCTGACTAAAAGCCATTACTTCTTTCTTTCTTTCTTTCAGTCATTTATTTATTTATTTTAAGAAATGGGATCACAGTCTGTGAGCCAGGCTGGAGTGCAGTGGTACAATCATAGCTCATTGCAACCTCGACCTCCTGGGCTCAAACCGTCTTCCCCCCTCAGCCTCCCAAGTAGCTGGGATTACAGACATGTGCCACCATGCCTGACTAATTTTATTTTTAGAGACAGGGTCTTGTGGCTGGGCACGGTGGCTCACGCCTGTAATCCCAGCACTTTGGGAGGCCAAGGTGGGCAGATCTTGAGGTCAGGAGTTCTGGAGCAGCCTGGCCAACATGGTGAAACCCTGTCTCTACTAAAAATACAAAAATTAGCCAGGCGTGGTGGCACAAACCTGTAATCCCAGCTACTCAGGAGGCTGTGGCAGGAGAATTACTTGAACCCGGGAGGCAGAGGTTGCCGTGAGCCAAAATTACACCATTGCACTCCAGCTCTGGGCAACAGAGCAAGACTCTGTCTCGAAAAAAAACAAAAACAAAAACAGACAGTGTCTTGTTATGTTGCCCAGGCTCATTACATCTTTAGATCCTTTTACTTTCTTCACCTCGGTTACCAATACTAGCCATTGATTGGCGGGCAAGAGGTGGGCATTTTTTCCTACAATACAGCAATTTTTTACAACCTGGCTAAGGCTCCTAAGAGCTGGTTATATAAACCATGACAACTAGAGAAGGATGAAACCTTATTTTGAAATACAGGATCCCATATACTAGTGTTTTACACCAATGGTACTCAAAGAGTGGTCCCAGACCATGGCATCAACATTGAGCAGGAACTTGTTATATATGCGAGTTATCTAGTCCTACTCCAGACAAACAATCAGAAACTTTGAGGTTGGACCCAGCAGTCTGTTTTAACAAGCCTGCAGGTGATTGTGATGTGTGCTAAAGCTTGAGAATCATTTAAGTAAACAATTAAAATTCTTACTACAGCAAAATGCAAATTTTATGTGTAACAAAACTTCCAGGTTACTTGCTCACAAATAATAGAATCGGTGCTGCCAGACAATTACTGTATAAAGAGAGAGTGATGAGGATATAGAAAAATAGGTACTTTCATTTACTTTATTAAAGGCAGTATACATTGGTTAAATGAATGATGGTGCATTTGTATAATAAAATATTGGGCAGCTGTGAAAAAAAAATCTGTATAACTTTTTTTTTTTTTTTTTTTTTTTTTGAGACCGAGTCTCTCTCTGTTGCCCAGGCTGGAGTGTAGTGATGCGATCTTGGCTCACTGCAACCTCTGTCTCCCAGCTTCAAGTGATACTCGTGGTGCCTCAGCCACCTGAGTAGTTGGTATTACAGGCACCTGCTACCACGCCTGGCTAATTTTGTATTTTTAGTAGAGACGAGGTTTCACCATGTTGGCCAAGCTGGTCTCGAACTCCTGACCTCAGGTGATCCACCTGCCTCAGCCTCCCAAAGTGCTTGGATTACAGGTGTGAGCCACTGTACCGGGCTATGTTAACATTTTAAAAAGCTCAAGAAATGGTGACAAGGGGAAAAGGCAAGTTGCAGAACAGTTGTGCTCCCAAAAGAAATACACATGTATATCCTTATGTCATTGGAAATTAAAAAACAAAACAAAACAAAACAAAACAAAAACTTTAGAAGCTGTTTCTAGTTTTACTAATGACAGTGGACTTGGGAGGATGAGACCAGGAAGGGAGACTTCAACTTTTTCATCCTTTAACTTTTTATATTGTTTGACATATCATGAGCATGTATTGCTTTTATATATTTTTTAAATCGGTTTTTTAAAAGCAACAAGATTTTTTAAAGTGTGTTGGGACCACATTGTAGAACATCTCTATTAGTATAAGATATTTGCAATTTATTTGCTAGAGAGGCTTTGGGTATGGTTTTTAAAATAAGTGATACCATCTGGAATGTGTTTTGATACAATTAAACTGATAACTGAGCACGCACTAAATTAATATTATTAGAATCTGGAGGTGGGGAGCAGGAATTAAAATAAGCCTGTATTAAAGATAATGAAGTATTAAACTGTTATGGGAGCAGTAGAAAGAGGAAGACAGAAAAGAGATGGATTGCAGAGGTGAAATCTATAGGACTTTATATTTTTTGCACAGTGTTTTGGATTATCCTTAATGTTCATAGTAGTTTGAATGTTCCTGTGTATTTTATGTTAAATAGTTTCCATATTTACCTCTTTTGTTTGCTTTAAAAATAGTTCAGTTGGCCAGGCGTGGTAGCTAACGCCTATAATCCCAGCACTTTGGGAGGCCGAGGCGGGCGGATCACAAAGTCAGGAGTTCGAGACCACCCTGACCAACATGGTGAAACCCCATCTATACTAAAAATACAAAAATTATCTGGGAGTGGTGGCAGATGCCTGTAATCCCTGCTACCCAAGAGGCTGAGGCAGGAGAATCACTTGAACCCCAGAAGCAGAGGTTGCAGTGAGCCAAGATTGCACCATTGCACTCCAGCCTGGGCAACAGAGTGAGACTCCATCTCAAAAAAAATAAATAAATAAAAAATAAAAATAAAAATAGTTCAGGTATTACATATTTAGAGAGAGTTATTAAAGAGAGAGATATATAAAGAATCTTAAGTCCTATTTTAATCTTTATTCTCTTTTAAATTAGAGGTTGTAGTTTATATCTTCAGCCTAACAACTTGACATGTAATGTCATTAAACCATACCTGATAGGTTTTTTTTCTCTCCTTAAAAACAGCAGTAGGGAAATCTATACAATTCAGTTTTTCCATCAGCAGGTGGCAGACTTCTCTGGCCATTGTGACACACTGCTATTCTATATCAAATTATCTTTCTTGTGTTACGCACTTTTATGTTAACTCTCAGAGTTGCTTAAACCATTAATCTATACAATTTAAACCAAGTAAGACAACTTTCTGCCATTATAGACTTAAATGCCATTTTGTCATTTTTTTCATATATGTTGTTTATCTTCCTCATTTTCAAGGTGCTGATAGATTACAAAGTAGTTTAGCAGTTCATTAAAGAGTTGCTTCATTTGTTTGCCAAGTTCCTTCTTGTAATTAGGTGGAAGTAGAGAGCCAGTGCTTGCAAGATCCTTCCTGTCCCCATTCTGTCTTCTCTACTGCCTTGTCAGAAGGCATAGCCTTCTCCTTTGCCTTATCTCCGATATCATTAGTTAGGCAGACTTTTCCCAGTGAAAAAGATCAGTTTTTCAGTCTATCTGGATTTCTCTGTCAAATGGTTAGGGTTCTAAGGGAACAAGTTGCTAGATAAAATTCAGTGAGACAGGAAAAAGTTGAGAACCCAAGCATTATATACAGCATAGCAAAATGTTGCAAAATAGAAACTTACTATAGTCGGCTTAAGAAAAAAGGAGGCTTCACTGGGACTAGAACTAGAAAGCAGTTAGAAACTGACTCCCATTTGGGTTAATTTGGCACTGTGCTATTGTTTGGTAACTAGGGAAAAACTAAAATTTAGAGGTGCCTACGTTGACCAAGTATACTCTACGCATTTATTTAGTCCTTAAAACACAGTCTAGCTGTAGTTACTTTCCTAATTTTCTGTTAACTCACTTAGGAAATAGCTAGTTAAGTAGCACAGTCAGCATTCGTTTGATTCTTGTACTCTGAAGCTTTTGGATAAAGTTTCCCTGTTTGGGTAATTTAAGCAGGTGTACATTTGTTGCCAATTTTTATGTAATTTTTTTTTTTTTTTTTTTTTTTGAGATGGAGTCTCCCTCTGTCGCCCAGGCTGGAGTGCAGTGGTGCGATCTTGGCTCACTGCAAGCTCCATCTCCCGGGTTCACGCCATTCTCTCGCCTCAGCCTCCCAAATAGCTGGGACTACAGTCACCTGCCACCACGCCTGGCTAATTTTTTTGTATTTTTAGTAGAGACGGGGTTTCACCGTGTTAGCCAGGATGGTCTCGATCTCCTGACCTTGTGATCTGCCTGTCTCGGTCTCCCAAAGTGCTGGGATTACAGCCGTGAGCCACTGTGCCCGGCCTGTTGTCAATTTTTAAAATTTTGATGTCTTTCTAAGCTAGATAAATAGAATAAAAATTCTATTTTGTGTACAATATGTACATAAAAGAGATTTTGTCACATGTTCCTAATTTTGGTAAGATAGGAAACTCTAGTGTTCCATAATTTTTATTCTGTAATTCTTTGTGTGTGGCTTATTTAGTAATGATATACAGTATCTTTTTCCTTTAACAAGTTATAGAATCTATGGCTTGAACAGAAGACAATCTTGTAAGGGAATGGGGTGGTCTTTGAAAGTTTAGTAGTTGGTAAGTCCTTGGTTCAAATCTCAGCTCTGCCACATTTTAATGGTTTATCCTTGGACAAGATACTAAACTTTTCTAAGCTTCAATTTCCAGTTATCTAGAATGGGGATGATTCACCTAAATACTCTTATGCCTTGTTTACTTCAGGGTATTATATTAAGAATGTATTTTGACTTTGTCAGGCAATGTTGCTATAAGGCCTAATAATAATAATTAATAAAGAATATGTTCTTAGTGTTTGTATTTTATTTCACTTGATGTTTTAAAGTAATTATATTTTGGAGAATTCTAACAGTATACTATTCTAAGTGCCTTCCTGGATTAAGATTGAAAAAGAGATGATATACATAAAGTTGTAAACAGTGCTTACCACGTAGTAGTTATTCAATACATATTGTCCTATCTTCTCCCTTCTGTTAATAAAGCTAATTTTGTTCAACTTACTTTTAGACATGATACTCTCTTAAAGTAGATTTAATTATGTAATGCATTAAAAAATTATCTCTAAACAATATTCCATTTGAGCCCTCAGATTTGGAGATAGCAGAATGTTTGGTGATGTCATACATCTTTCTTAAAGTTTAAAAAGATGGGATATGGGGAGATATCCAGCATTATGCCAAATTTTGAGCAACAATTTGTAACCTGAGCACTTAGCACTGTAGAAAACAGGGCCTGATCCCCTGAATGCCTGCCATAATCATTGGAGATGATTAAAGTGACCCGGGGGTCTTGGAGGCATTGCATATATAATTATTTAATTTTGAGCTACTGAAATTTAATTTGGCTAAAACTATGCAAGAAACATAAGTTACTATAGATAATAAAGCTTTCATATATGTTTTACCCACTTTTGAATCCCCTCTAGTACACTTATAGCAAGCATAGATCGATCATGTGATTCACTATAGATTTCAGAAAACTAACTTATGAGGTCCACATTCATGGGTTTCCAGTCATGTGACCTAACTTTAAAGAAGTCTTAATAATTGGACTCATGAGTACCTGAATTATGATCCAGCTTTTTATAAGGAATTTGTTTATTTTAAACTATTTACCAGGCCGGGCAAGGTGGCTCATACCTGTAATCCCAGCACGTTGGGAGGTGGAGGCAGGAGGATCACCTGAGCCTAAGAGTTAGAGACCAGCCTGGGCAAAATAAGGGGACCTCATCTCTACTAAAAATCAAATACATCAAAAAAAAACCACACACACACACACACACACAAATCAAATGTATCAATACTATAAATGAAGACGCCATTTATGGTATTATCTTACATCCTGTTTTCTTGGACCTGACCTACCTATTGCAACATAAATGTCATTTCCTCTAAAAGTTTATTTAAATACAGAATTTAATCCTATTTAAGTAAGAAATCAAAAGACACACACACACACACACACATACACATATAAAAGCCAGGTGTGGTGGCACATGCCTATAGTTCCAGCTACTTGAGAGGCTGAGGCAGGAGGATCACTTGACCCCAGAAGGTTGAGGCTGGTAAGCTAAGATCATACCACTGCACTCCAGTCTGGGTGATAGAGTGAGACCCTGTCTCAAATAAATAAATAATTTATCTATTTTATTTTGTATTGATTCTTTTTATATCATACAATACACGTTGATATAAAAGTGAATCTAGATGAGCAAAAGAAATCTATAATTTTCACCACCTTAAAAGACCCCCGTTTTAGTAAGTGTACTTCCTTTATTTTTCTATGTATATAATTAAGTATAATTTTTTTACCCAAATGAAGTCATTCTGTAATGTTTTAAATCAAGATTGTTTACTTAATTTGTTTATAAATTTATACTTATATTTTCATAACTATATTGTATTTATGCTATTATATCACATGGATATCATAACTATTTAAAAATGTATTTAATTGATGCATAGTATTCAACTCAAGTTATCACCCGCCAGTCCTTCATATGATTTCAGATAATTTTGCTACTAGTTACTATTAATTCATGAATTTAAATCTCAAAATAATTTTGTTTATTGTTCTCTTGCCTTAGTATTTACTTAATGTGTTTATGTGGCACAGTAAGAAGGAAGGGTAGTAAGTTAAATCTTAACTTTTTACTCCTCATTTAGATGTACTCGATATAGTGCACCAATAATAAAAGCTTAAATTGCATTACCTTTTTGCCATTTTTAATTTAACTTATAACAAAATAGTGATCTTAAACAATATTGTTTGTTTCTTTTTAAGGGCAGGAATACCAATTGTGAGATGTAGAAGGAGTCCAAAATTAAAACAGAAAGCTTTTCATCTTGTTTCATTTCAATCATAGAGATTCAGCTATAATAAAATAAAAAGATTCGGGAGGCTGAGGTGAGAGGATCGCTTGAGCATAGGAGTTCAAGACCAACCTACTACACCCCATAGCAAGACCCGACTCTTAAAAAAAAAAAAAAAAGAAGCCAGGTGTGGCAGGGTGCACCTGTGGTCCCCACTACTCCAGAGGCTAAGGCAGTAGAATTGTTTGAACCCGGGAAGCAGAGGCTGCAGTGAGCCAAGATTGCACCACTGCACTCCAGCTTGGGCGACAGAATGAGACTCCATCTCCAAAAAAAAAAAAAAAGTCAGTGCTAAGCATCTTGAAATATTCAAACATATGGCATTTGAAAGGAGAGCCAGGAAAGACTCCCTTCATTTATGTTATTGTCTTACATCCTATTTTCTTGAACCTGACCTACCTATTGTAACATCAGTGTCATTTCTGCTAAAAGTTTAAAACAGAATTTAATGCTTTTTAAGTAAGAAAGTAAAAAAGATATAGTTCATGTTCAACAATTTTACTTGAGTTTTTGAAAATTAAATTACTTGATCTAGATTTTTGCAATTTTTTTTTTTTTGAGACAACCTCCCCCTGTCACACAGGCTGAAGTGCAGTGGCATGATTGTACTGCAGCCTCTACCTTCTGGGCTGAAGTGATCCTTCCACCTCAGCCTCCTGAGAAGTTGGGGCTACAGGCACATGCCACCACACTTGGCTAATTTTTTAACATTTTTTGTGGATACAGGGCCTCTGTATGTTGCCCAGGCTGGTCTCAAACTCCTGGGCTCAAGCAATCCTTCTACCTCGACTTCCCAAGGTGCTGGGATTACAGATGTGAGCCTCAGCCCCAGGCCTAGATTTTTGCAAAGTTTAAGAAATACATTGAGATGGGAACCATAGGTTCTCATCAGTTTGCATATACATATGTCTGTAAATTCATAAGGCTGCAATCAGTCTCACTCACAGTCATCTACTAGGATAAGTTTTTGCAGTGATCTTAAATGATAAAAAACATGAGGCTGGGCGTACTGGCCTAGCGCCTATGGTCCCTGGGAGGTTGAGGTGAAAGGATCACTTGAGCCCAGGAGTTCCAAGCTTTAGTGTGCTGTGCCAATCAAGTGTCTGCACTAAGTTCGGCATCAATATAGGAACCTCCTGGGAGCAGGGGACCACCAGGTTGCCTGAGGAGGGGTGAACTAGCCCTGGTTGAAAACAGAGCAGGTCCATACTCCTAAGCTGATCAGTGGTGGGGTCATGCCTGTGAATAGCCACCGTACTACAGCCTGGGCAACATAATGAGACCCTGTCTCTATGTTTTTTTAAAAAAAATTTTAATTAAAAAAAAAAATGAGGGCCGGGTGCGGTGGCTCACGCCTGTAATCCCAGCACTTTGGGAGGCCAAGGTGGGCGGATCATGAGGTCAGGAGATCGAGACCAGCCTGACAACATGGCGAAACCCCATCTCTACTAAAAATACAAAAATTAGCCAGGTGTGGTGGCGCACGCCTGTAGTCCCAGCTACTCGGGAGGCTGAGGCAGAAGAATCGCTTGAACTCAGGAGGCGGAGATTGCAGTGAGCCGAGATCGTGCCACTGCACTCCAGCCTGGGTGACAGAGTGAGACTCCGTCTCAAAAAAAAAAAAAAATTTTTCATTTGCCATTCATTTTCAAAAAATATGATAAATGATTATTTCATCTCTGTTTTCTGCTCCTTATACATTTTAAACCGTATTCATATAAACATTTATAGTACCTTGTTTCAGTTCTATTTTGAATAGTCATAATATTGAAGTCAGTTCACTGTTGTCTTCAGGGAAGTTTGAAGAGAAGTCACATACCTAGACTGATGTTTTGCATGTTTAAAAAAATCATCTTTCTATTTACATCATGCAGCAATTAGCAAGAACAAGTTTTGCAAGAGTCAGTATAGAGACTATTGCATCTCATCTTCTACTAAATTGTCTTCCGTATATGGCAGCTTCATTGTTTTGTTTGGAATAACTTCCTAGGGTGTCATCCAATTTAAGTTTAAAAATACATTCCTTGTTGGAAAGGTAATTGGATTATAGTAGCCCAACTGTAAATTAGTAGGCAAGTGTAGATTGTATTGTTGAGAAGTAAAAATACTTGCTACAAGTTTTATGTGGGATTATGATGTGATTTCTTTTACATGCAACTTTTAATTAATGCAGTACCTTTGTTTACTTCCCTGTCTCAATGTTAAAGACAAATAATAAGTTATTAAAGCTTAAATTCATATATTTGGTTTTCTGTGGGCTTTTTGTTTTTTCATTATTTGGAATTTCTAAGAAATCTTTTGATGGCAAAATATGAAGTGATAATTTTTAGTTTTTCAAGTTGATTGAATAATTGACTATCTAAAAAGCTCTTAACTAGTTACTCAGAAATAAAAATGGATATCCCTTTTTCCATTGATAAAGACATCCAGTTTCAGCGTTAAAAGGGGAGGAAAAAAAATCTTCCATTTGTGAATTCTGTACAAGTGCTGTGCTCTTTGACATATGAATTTCAGATCCAGAGTTTGCCGCTAGGAGTGATAGGAGTGATTTCTGTTTCTATGTCAATGAGTAAATAAAACTCCAAGGCAACAGGCCCCATTTATTGTGTACAGAGGTGAAAGTCCATTGTGCAGTTAAAGAACCTGTCTTTACAACTTCGTACTTCCATATCCTTTCTATCCCTTCTCAAAAAAAATTTTTTTAAGTGCCCTAGAGCTATTAGAAACAACATTCAGTGTCTTTGATTCAGTGCTTTGCTTGTGTCCTTATTCCTTTCTTGTGGCATATTTTTTAAACATTCTTACTCATTCATAGACTTCTCAAGCCCTCTCATGTTATGTGTTGCCCAGAGACAGCCTGATATAGTTTGGTTCAAAATGTGTCCCATACAAAATTAGCTGGGCTTGGTGGTGCATGCCTGTAATCCCAGCTACTCAGGAAGGCTGAGGCAGGAGAATCACTTGAACCTGGGAAGGCAGAGGTTGCGGTGAGCCCAGATAGCGCCATTGTACTCCAGACTGGGCAACGGGAGTGAACCTCTGTCTCAAAAAAAAAAGAAAAAAAAAAGTGTCCCAACTCTTGTACATTAAGTCACATAAGTAGTAAGTGACTTAACTTCTCCTGACTTCAGATTCTTTATCTATAAAAAGGGAGGAAGTATTATTTTTCTCTTAAAATTACACCAATTAAATTACAATGTATGTAAAGGGCCATCGCATGCTTCTGGGACTTTGAAAAAGCAAGAAAGTGCTTGATACATGTTAGTCCCTCTTCCAGGGACACCCCACCAGTCCCACTATCTCACTCCCACCCCACTCCTACCACATACACACTGGGTGGAATTAAAAAGATGAAGTTCCTTATGGACAGGAAGCGACATCCATATTCCCTCTCTTCTCTGTTCTCCTTAGAATCAGACTAGCAGGACAGGCACACACACCAGCAGAGCCCAAACCACCTACCCTTAGAGACCAACACTCCTCTTGATAAGATACCAGCCATCTTTTCATGCCATAAAGTGTTTTGTTTTGGAGCCGACAAAGCTGGCTGGATTCCTTGCTTCTGTGTCTCCATTAGAAACATTGTTTCAGACAATCCAACTATATGATGTTGACTGGGTTTTTAACTTTATTTTCTGATTATGGACATGATGGGTGCTACTCCTATGACGTTTTTAACACGCTATTTAAATTTCCCAAGGAGCACATTTATTTTCTAAAACTCAGGTTGTAAAAATGGCCCCTTAATGTCATTACAAATACTGTCTTATGTATTCTATTTTAAACTTTCCTATACTTGTATAAAGATTTTTCCTTCTCAAATTGGACTCTTGCTGTAGATATTATAACTTTTTTCAATCAGTAGTAGACCATATGTCTGTAAATACTCAGCTCATGGAGCAGTACTGTGCAGTGATCTGAAACATGGATTCTGAAGTTAGAGAGAACTGAGTTAGAATCCATTTCTGCCGCTTATCAAGTATAAGGCTTAATTTGCCCACCAGTAAATTGAAAATAATACTAGCACATACCTTCTAGGGTTGTTTATAAGTATTATATGAGACAAGGAATGTCAAGTGCTTAGAGGCATCTGGCACATAGTAAACACAATACATTTTAGCTATTCATAATAATCATTTTTAAGAGCAGTATAATTTTATATTTTCTGTATGTATCACAGCTTATTCACCTCTTCTGTATTAGTGAACATTTGAATATTGGCCATTTAGGTTGTTTCAAGTTTCCCAGAATTATAAAACAAATTTGCAGTATACGTCCTGGCAGCTAAAGTTTTGTGTACTGCCTAATTTCTTTAGGAAAAATTTCTAGACACAAAATTGATGTGTCAAAGGGAATGTATATTTCTAATGCTTTTAATAGTATTTCTAAATTGCACTCCAAAAAGATTGTAGAACTATCATTTCAATATTCTTGGTTGTTGAAAGTGATCTGTGAATCATCTTTCAAAGTGATGTATTTTAAATTCTTACCATTGTCAACTCTAATAATATTAAAGTACATTTAAGTCATCATTTTCATACATAATACAGAAATATTTTAGAAATGGAGCCCTTTGTGGCCCTTGAGTCTTCATTACTGATTAGAGATAATAGGCTGTCCTCTTAGAGGAGTGTTTCATTATGAATTTTATTATTTTATTTAAATAAGATAGCAGTGTCAAAGGTTTCACGTTTGGTAGATACAAATTTGGATAGTTTTGTTTTTTGTTTTTTTGGGGTTTTTTTGTTTTTTGTTTTTTTTGAGACAGTTTTGCTCTTGTTGCCTGGGCTGGAGTGCAGTGGCGCAATCTCAGCTCACTGCAACCTCCGCCTCCTGGGTTCAAGTGATTCTCCTACCCTGAGTAGCTGGGATTACAGGTGCCTGCCACCAGGCCCGGCTAATTTTTTGTATTTTTGGTAGAGATGGGGTTTCATCATGTTAGCCAGGTTGGTCTCGAACTCCTGACCTCAGGTGATCCACCCGCCTAGGCTTCCCAAAGTGCAGGGATTACAGGCATGAGCCACCACACCCAGCCTGGATAGTTTTTTAACACCATTTTTAACAGCAATTTAAAATTTTTTTCATGTTGTTTTTAATAGAGAACGATACTTCACAAAATTTGATTACTGAAATATTACTAGACTAGATTTCTCTGAGGACAGTAGAGAGAAAGCCGATAATAAAAATTTATTTACATAAGTGTAGTGTAGCCATGTTCCCTAATGATAAAGGTTCCCACAGCCCATGGCATAACTTATCTATCAGGTCCTGACACATGGTATTAGCATATTGCCACCCTACTACTCAGGTTAAAAGCAAGACTAGTTCTCTTTTAAAAAAAAAAATTTTTTTTTCTTCATGACAGTTGGACTGCTCTTATTTTTAACAGGCAGGAACTTTTTCCCCCCATTTTTAAAAACAGAAATTAATTTTTATTTTCAGATTTTATGGCTGGTCTTATTAAAAGTATAAGAAAATATAAAAATTACTTTAAATCCCACTGCCCTTTGATAAAGACTATTAACAGTTTTTTGACCACATTTGCATATATCATGTCTTTTTGTTTATGGACTTTAAGTGAGCTAATCTTTTTTTTAATAGTGGTAAAATATACATAATATAAATCGTACCATTTAAACCATTTTTAAGCATTTCATTTGGTGGCATTAAGTACATCTACACTACCGTGCAACCATAACCACTGTCCACTCCAGAACTCTTTTCATCTTCTAAAACTGAAACTCTATCCATTGAGCAATAATTCCCCATCCTCCTCCTCCAGCCCTGGCAACAGCAACCTAATCTTTTTAACTTTGTATTAAAATAGAATATACAGAAAAGTTCACATATCAGAAGTACACTGACAAACCACTGACAAACCAGGTGGAAAGGAATGTTTTTAAGTGTTAGTGTAGAGGTTCCTCTTTTCTTTCCAGAGCCAGTTGCCAGTTCTAATAGTACAGATTTACCTTCTCTTTAATCGTCACATAACTTCAATTGATAATGTTATGTAGATTGACTTGTGACTAGCTCAGAGCTAGCGAGGCTGTAACCAAGAGCATATATAAAGTACTGTGCAGCAGTGCGTCACAAGGTTTTTGCATAGGGCTTAGTCAAGGCTTTTGGAACCGCCCTCAGTTGCACCTTGTGCTATATTAGTACTTCTCAGACAGGAAGAATTTTCTTTTGCTGGTGTAGCTCGTCCGGTTACCTTCAGGGTAAGTGTGTACGGTTCATGTAAATGAGTTTCTCTTGTCTAACTTTATGTGATTCTTATTTGATTCTATAACTTACTGAAATTTTGGGCATTTTGAAATACAAACTTAGGAAATAAAATAATGTTCCAGTATAATGCAAAACTTCTTTATAATTTGTGAAGAAATGAATGTGCAAAACTTTGAAGAGTCTTAGGTCTCAGAAATTACATTTTATATGTTCTAATTTTAAGAGCTTCTTGTTTCACCTGTAGATGTTGAGAAAAAGCAAAGTACCTTCAGAAGTCTCTTTCCAGGTTGAGGGGAAACACTCTAAGATTCAATTTGGTTGTTCATTCAGTTGGCTATGTGACTCAGTTTTACTGACAGCCACAAGCTTTGTGTTACTAGGATTAGGAACAGTTATTATGGGTAGTAATAAAGATTATCAATTTTTATTTTGTGCATGTGAGCTTTACCCAGGATTTTATAGAATGGGATTATCACTGGTATGTTTTATGAATTGATAAAAGCTAGATTACTGATTTATAACAAATTATATATTGAAAATTAAGATTCAAAAATTTATATTACAGTAAAAGCCTAGAATATTATGGCTAAGTTATATTTAAATAATTGAATTATCTATATTTTATAGGTTTTTTTTTCCTTTAAATCAGAGAAGTTAGATCATGCTGCAGATCATTTCTTAAAGCAGTTTGCTTAGTTTTTATTGGCAGCCTGCATCCAAGCCCGGCATCTCTGGGTAGTGCTTGTCACCTATGCTGTTGTCCTAGGACAAATTCAAGGACAGAAGAACTCAGGGTGTCTTAAGGGTTGTCAGTATAAATTACTTAGTTTCCATGTGCTGTATGTGGTTTACTTATCTTGAAAAAATGCTATTAGATATTAGAGGTAGTGAATGTGGGAAGGATAGAGGAATAAATTCTAAACATTGAAATTGTTTATTTGCATAAATATCCACAAAATTCTGACTCAGTAGCTGCTTTACCATTTGGGAAAATTGGTTAAAATTGCCCATTTTTAAATAACTAGCTTTTGAAATCTGTTTTTTCCTCTTTCCTCCTATATCTCTTCTACCCCTCCCACTCTTTGCTATTTAGTTTCATTTTTGTTTTATGCCTGTATTGAGAAAGTTTCACTTTGCAGCGTGTGTGTTTCTTTTTCCCCACCGCTGAGTTGAAAATCTAATTAGGAAGAATTATTTAAATGCCCCACCAAATTATTACAGCCATACAGAAAAGATGAAGTTACAGTTTGATTTTGCATGTGCTAATCACCCGAAGACAGTAACATTAAAAAAAAAAAAAAACAAAAAACCCAAGCTTAAGAAAGTCAAATAGTACAGGTTACTGAAAAAGTATAGGAAAAATTGATGTTTGGTACTGTTGCGGATACTGTGTCCATATTATGGTAATATATGCCTTTTCTTATGTGAGTAATACACAGTTTAGCATTCACAATTTTATTACCTTATCAATGTAGTTTACATGTTTCTGCGAGTATCACAATTAAAGCAGTCACAGTTTTTAAAGCTATATTCATGAATTTAATCTTTTTCACTTTCCTGTAAGACAGAGTCAAGTAGACCTTTAAAAGTAATCAGTTTGCATTCAGGTACTTTAAGACTTGCTTTAAATCAGGTAATTTTTTTTCATGTAGACATACCAATCAATTTTCATTAATTGACTTGTAAACTATCATCAGAATGAAATACTGTGATAACTAAAGTTTTCAGTTATCAAGTTTGTGTTAAGTGAAGTTCTTACCTCTTGCTTCAGTCTTTAGACTTGTCCTACATATTCCTTGTAAAGAACTCTGCTATAGTAGAGACCTTAATCTCATACAAAAAGCACACAAAGTAATTATTTTCCAGTTTCCACATTTTCCAGTTCACATTTAAAGACTCTGAAGACTTAAAATGTTAAAACTTCCTTTGAAGAGAGTTCGTAGATCAAGGGCAGTATTTTCTATTTTTGAACACGTCTTCTACACTTGATGTGTTTTTTCCAGCAACTCTTCTCTTGAAGCATCTGCAACAGATGACCATTGGCAAAGTAAGCCAGAACTTTATATACCAGGTATAGGTTTACAAGCCTATTGGTTTAAAAATACTCTGCCCTAATTTTCAGTGTCTTCCTTAGAATAGTGCCAGAATGCTGACATTTTACACCTGAGTCTTTACACTTTTTAAATGATAAGACCTTAGAGTAATTTTTGTATAAGGACTGCAGTATCACTTTATGTGAGATTATCTTTGAACAAAGATAAATTCTGGTCAGATTGCTAGTGAGGACTGGCAAGAATGAAAGATCTTTAGTTGAAATTTGCATAGTATTCATGAATTGTTGGTATACTTACCAAAAAAAAAAAAAAGGTCCTAAAGTTGGCCATCAAATTTCTTATCACTCTTTGTTTTTATTTGATGAGACCATGAGAAAGATGATCATTCTTTTACCAACTTATACTGACTTTTTTCCCCTTTAAACTCAAAATGTATGTTCCAAAAAGAGCCATACTTCAGAGGTAGAGAATAAAGAGGATTTCTACTACCTGAATGTGTAACAAAAAGATCTTAGATTCCTAGATATTAAAATGTGTTTAATTCTTCACTGTGTGAATTGTTTGCCCTTGGGCTTTTCAAATGTTTCACAGATTATGCGGTATTTTTGTAAACTCTACAGTACTTTTCCACAGTCTCCACACTATTCCTTTTTTTCAAGCTAATGAGATAGTTTTATTTAAATAGTGCTCTTTGAGAAATCTAGACTGCTTTTCACATATTAAACATCAAAGAAAAGCTGTAAGCATTTAATAATTAGGCTTTGATTGCTATGAATGAAGAAATAGACTTGCATGCAGCTTCTATAATATCTTGTTTGTTAAAAATCTGGATGACTGTGACAGAAAAAAGTTAGACCAAGGAAAGTCTACTTAAACTTGACTATAATCATCTAAGCTAAAGACTACTAATCCCCAAACTACCATTATATTTTGAGGGTGGTGATCAAATGTTTTATGAGTTATATAGTGTATGTGTGTATATATATAGCTGTACAAAGATATATACACATACACATCTTTATATCGATATATATACACACACTCATACTGCAGATACATTCTTTTTCAGATGTGAAAAATTGCAAGTTATCATCTTACTGTTTGGAAATCGTGTTTACTCAATTCTAAGATGCCGTCAATTATGAGACTATCAACTTACTAGCAGGCTTTCTGAGAGAGGGAGAAAAAGACATTTTGTAATTTCATGGACTTAAAATGGAAGGGAGTAGGGACCGAATTTTAGAATTTGAGAAAATTTGATATATCTGCTATAACACCTTTTAATTATAAAGAACACAGATCTAATGTCCAACTTATATTACTAGAGTTTAAGAAAAAGTCAGATATGTTCTCGCTTTCAACTAAGTTGCCATTTTTAAATAGTGCTTTAATTATAAAATTTTACTTATCTGAAATAAAGTAAAAGTAAAGTCATTATGGAACAAACATAGCTTAGTAATTTTCCCTAAGATTTATACTACCAACACAGCAACAACCAAAAATCTTAGAATAATGATGAGAGATGTTTTAAAAACTGGTTCCTTTTGTTTGATGAACAGATATATTTAAACTTCACCCAGACCCTAAAAGGTTCATTCAGTTGATAAACACTCTCACATACCTATTTTGTGCTAGACACAATGCTCGATTCAAATACAGCTCATGTCTTAGTCATATCATATTAAAAAATTAAAGATTTTAGGCCGGGCGCAGTGGCTCATGCCTGTAATCCCAGCACTTTGGGAGGCAGAGGCGGGTGGATCACGAGGTCAGGAGATCGAGGCCATCCTGGCCAACATGGTGAAACCCCATCTCTACTAAAAATACAAAAATTAACCAGGCGTGGCGGCATGCGCCTGTAATCCCAGCTACTTGGGAGGCTGAGGCAGGAGAATCACTTGAACCCGGGAATCAGAGGTTGCAGTGAGCTGAGATCATGCCACTGCACTCCAGCCTGGCAACAGAGCAAGACTGCATCTCAAAAAAAATAAAAATAAAAAATAAAAAAATAAAAATAAAATTTTAATGTAAGAAAATTGAAGGAAAAAATGGACTTTTGTGTTATGTCTTCCCTTACTTTGTTCTGTCTGTATATTCCTATATTGATTCGGTAGTAGCAATGCATAATTTTCCCACAAACTTCATCCTTACATGTAGAGAAAGTGTTGATAAAATATTCTTGCAATAAAGTGCTCTTTGCAAATATGTACTTCATTTTCACTGTTTATTCAATTTTCTTAATACCATATAAGTTCTTACAGGAGAGCTTCAGATTCTCCATACAAAATGGTTAATCTAAAACTATGCTGGATAGAGTAAAACCCTTGCTGAGCTTCTTAGAAAAAAAAAAAAGATGCTTTATGTGTCAAATATAGGCTATGTTAAATCATAGCAAAGCCTTTTGCCTCATTGCACTCCCGAAAGCAAGATGGGTCACCAGCAGCCCTACTGGAGCCACCCACGGAAGCTGGGCCAGGGTTCTCACTCTTGTCACATCTGCCCAAACCAGCATAGTCTGATCTGGAAACACGGCCTCAATATGTGCCGCCGGTGTTTCCATCAGTATGCAAAGGACATAGGTTTCATTGAGTTGGACTAAGTGATCTTCCTTGAATGGATTATCCAAGGCATCCACCCAATGAAAGAAACCATGTTAGTTCTTTGTACATAAAATAAACATTTTTAAAAAACAAAATAAATAAGTCATACCAAAAATTCCACCTTAATATATTATTGGCATAACAGGAAGAACCTGAAATTTATGTATGTCACGTGTACTTTTTTTTTTCTCTTTTGCTGTGACATCACCTGGGAAAATCCAGAAGATTGGATAACCAAGAAATGACTAATCAAGAGTCTGCCGTACATGTGAAAATGGTGGGTATTTGCCTATTTCCAGTTCCATTTATTAATGGTAAATCTTCACCACTTTTACCTCTGTCTCTAACCAGATAATTATGGGACTGAAATTTTATACAACTCTTTCTTCACAGTGCATCACAAAATAAACCTCAAATACTTATTGAATTGAATTTCAAATTATCTTTAAAATGTTTTTGCTTGAAATCTAATGCACATTGTCGTGCTTCTCAGAATATAAAATGTTTCCCCATTCCTTTTTACGCTAAATTTTCTTTGCTCAGCAATAACACACTTAAATCGTACAGTGTGAAATACATTATTGTAGGTTTCCAAATTTAAATGACAAGCATTCAGAAATTTTTAAAATACTTACTTGCATGACAATAGAGTTGCATTATATATACTAGGATGAGATAGGAAATGTACAGGCTTTGGAGTCAGAACTGGCTTCGTATCTTAACTCATTCCGGCCGGGTGCCTGTAATCCCAGCACTTTGGGAGGCCGAGGCGGGCGGATCACCAGGTCAGGAGATCGAGACCATCCTGGCTAATACAGTGAAACCCCATCTCTACTAAAAATACAAAAAATTAGCCGGGCATGGTAACAAGCTCCTGTAGTCCCAGCTGCTCTGGAGGCTGAGGCAGGAGGATGGCTTGAACCCAGGAGGCGAAGGTTGCAGTGAGCCAAGATTGCGCCACTGCACTCCAGCCTGGGCGACAGAGCGAGATTCCGTCTCAAAAAAAAAAAAAAAAAAAAAACTCATTCCTTATTAGCTTCTATAGCCCTGAATGAGAGCAGTAATCTTACCTTTAAGAAATGGGTGTGAAACCGCCAACTATGTGTTATTATTCATACTCAGTGAAAACGTCAAGTTCCTAGTAACCCCAGATTAAGCATTCATTAAATATTGATCTACTCTATTACGTTAGTGAGTGTTTTAACTGTGTAACTGGCATATTTATTTGCATGTGTGGAAAGAAATTACATCTGTTCTCCATATTCACAGTGATAAAATCTTAAAAACAACAATTAAAAATAATCCTTTCTTTTAAAGAGAACAACTGCCTCATGATCTCTTGTTTTCTCTTTGTGTTCTTATTATTGTTGTGCCTCCTCTTCTGTTCCATTTATTTTTTCAGCTTTCTCTTTCTCTCTAGCTTTTTTCTGGCCTATAAACTAGAGCGTGACACAGCATTTTGTCACGCTTAATAAATCTCTTGTTCATCTTTCCCCCAACCAGTGTAGGATCAAAGGTGAAAGTTGACTCAAAATGGTGATTAAGTCATCGTCAGTTTAGTTATTGCTCTTAGGTTGAAGCGTATGAAATTGTTTTTATATGTCAAATATAGTCCAGTATTGCCAGTTTTATATGGTTCAACCTAATAACAGCTCTTTCTATCCATTGAAGGATTGGCACTTGATTCATTGGAATTGAGCATATCTCTTTGATACATAGAATTAAACCAGTCTAAAACTTATTTTCTTGTTTGGGTTGACTTTTTTTTTAACTTACGTGAACACAAGCAGTATAGGAATTCCCTGACATATAAACAATGTTAATCCTCTTTGTATAATGTTGTTACTTGGGTCCTAGAGCCCTCTAGAAGGTGTTTGTGGAGGCAAGTAGCAGTGTATTCACTCCACAGTTATTCAGACTGTTGAAGGAAAACAAGCCAAAAGATTTTTTTTAACTATTATTGCATTAATTTACACAATTTTTACCTTGGGTTTGCTTTCCTAAAAATATTGATAGGTCTGGCCGGGCGCGGTGGCTCACGCCTGTAATCCCAGCACTTTGAGAGGCCGAGGTGGGCAGATCATGAGGTCAGGAGATCGAGACCATCCTGGCTAACATGGTGAAACCCCGTCCCTACTAAAAATACAAAAAAATTATCCAGGCGTGGTGGCGGGCACCTGTAGTCCCAGCTACTCGGGAGGCTGAGGCAGGAGAATGGCATGAACCCAGGAGGCGGAGCTTGCAGTGAGCTGAGAGGCGCCACTGCACTCCAATCTGGGCGACAATGCGAGACTCCCTCTCAAAAAAAAAAAAAATTATATATATATATATATGTCTTTTATATTGACAACTTTATAGCATGTTATTCTTTACTTCTCATGAACAGGATTCAGATCTCTCTGTCCAGACTTTTTACATGCACACTTCTCTGTGTACACTCAAGTTCTATACAAACAGAGCTATTTCTCTTTTTCCCATATTAGACCCTGCACTTTGATTCCTCCCTAATCTCAGCATATCTAAATCCTGTTTCTCTTCCAGAGCCTACCTCTGTTGGCTCTTCCTCCTTTGACCCCAGAAGAAGAAATCTTTGTTTCTTCTATTCCTTTTACATTTTATCTGGACATCTTGGCAATGTATTAATTATTTGGGTTTCTATTTTTTAATCCACATTAGAGAATATGCACCTTGAGTGTAAGATTTATATTTTATATATCTCTTACAGAGCGGCTTCACACACTGTCTTATACTTAATATGTGGTGAAGGAATGAAAGAATTTGGCCTACACTATCTTAATGTAGAAACAGACCAAATATGTAATAAGCAAGGGAAATCGCTATTACTAAAATTTAGTAGTGCATAATCTTCCAAATAAATCTGAGAATCATCTATGTGTGGGGGTAAATGTACCAGTTTGAATAGGTGGCTTTAAATCTATACTTTCTGTGTAGCTGGATAAAAACTCTAGTGCCTACTTCTTTGTACCACTGCAGTAATGAAGTCTTTTGTTGCTACCAAATATAAACAATGGAAAACCAAGAAAGAATATTTCTCTGAGAACATCTGACTGGAATTTCTTAAGTGATTCAAACTAATTTTTATGTGGGCTATTTCCAGAAAAATGTAGGATAATACTAAGGTGATTTAAAATTCACTGAGGCTGGGCACTGTGGCTCATGCCTGTAATCCCAGCATTTTGGGAGGCCAAGGCAAGAGGATCGCTTGAGCTCAGGAGTTTGAGACCAGCCTGGGCAACATAGTGAGACCCGTCTCTACAAAAATTAAAAAAATACCTGGGCATAGTGGCAGATGGCTGTAGTCCCAGCTACTCTGGAGGCTAAGGTGGGAGGATCTATTGAGCCCAGGAGGTCAAGTCTGCAGTGAGCTGTGATCACGCTACTGCACTCCATCCTGGGTGACAGAGTGAGACCTTGTCTCAAAAATTTTAAAATAGGTCAGGTGCAGTGGCTGATGCCTGTAATCCCAACACTTTGGGATGCTGAGGCAGGCAGATTGCTTGAGTCCAGGAGTTCAAGACCAGCCTGGGCAACACTACAAAACCCTGTTTCTACAAAAAAATGCAAAAATTAGCCGAGGGTGGTGGTGAGCCCCTGTAGTCCCAGTTACTTGAGAGTCTGAGGTGGGGGGATCACCTGAGCCCAGGAGGGAAAGTTGCAGTGAGCCAAGATCACGCCACTGCCCTCCAGCCTGGGTGACAGAGCAAGACCCTGCCTCAAAAAATAAAAATAAAAAAACATAAAAGTAAATTTTTTTTTTTTTTTTTTTGGAGACCGAGTCTCACTCTGTCACCCAGGCTTGGAGTGCAGTGGCGAAATCCTGGCTCACTGCAACCTCCGCCTCCTGGGTTCAAGCAATTCTCTTGCCTCAGCCTCCCAAGTAACAGGGTTACAGGTGTATGCCACCATGCCCAGCTAATTTTGTATATTTAGTAGAGATGGGGTTTCACCATGTTACCCAGGCTGATCTCGAACTCCCGACCTCTGGTGATCTGCCTGCCTTGGCCTCCCAAAGTGCTGGTATTAGAGGCATGAGCCACTGTGCCTGGCCTTTTTTTGTTTGTTTTTGAGACAGAGTCTCGCTCTGTCACTTGGGCTAGAGTGTAGTGGTGCCATCTCGGCTCACTGCAACCTCTGCCTCCCGGGTTCAAGCGATTCTCCTGTCTCACCCTCCAGAGTAGCTGGGATTACAGGCATGTGCTACCATGCCCAGCTAATTTTTGTATTTTTAATAGAGACAGGGTTTCACTATGTTGGCCAGGCTGGTCTTGAACTCCTGACCTTAGGTGATCCACTGGCCTTGGCCTCCCTAAGTGCTGGGATTCCAGGCGTCAGCCACCGTGCCCGGCCAAAAATAAATTTTAAAAATAATAAATAAATGAAACTCATATAGATGAACATACATATTTATAAATTAAAAGTACAAGTAATTTTTTTAGTCTTGGTTAAAATATGAATTGTTTTCTCTGTACATTGTGGATTGTATAACCCTTAGTTTATTTTGTTTTTTATTTTTAGTTTAAGAATAATAATTCATTATTTTAAATATAATGTATTTATGTGTGTTTTTTAATACAAAATCTTTTTATTTATTTATTTTTTTTTTGAGACAGGGTCTCACTGTGTCACCCAGGCTGGAGTGCAGTGGCATGATGTCAGCTCACTGCAACCTCTGCCTCCCAGGCTCAGGCAATCCTCCCACCTTAGCCTCCGAGTATCTGGGACTACAGATGTGCACCACCATGCCCGGCTAATTTTTGTATTGTTTGTAGAGACAGGGTTTTGCCACGTTGCCCAGCCTGGTCTCGAGCTGCTGAGCCCAAGTGATCCTCCTGCCTCGGCCTCCTAAAGTGCTGGGATTACAGGCATGAGCCACCATGCCCGGCCGTGTTTTCTTTTTTAATCAAAATTTAATATAATTTGAAATCTAGTTCAAACAGAATTAAACTTTGAAGTTGTCATAATCTCATCCTGGAAATTAGGATTATCCCTAGTCTGGAATATTATCATTGGATTGATGATACCAAGCCACACCCAGAAATTTGGTAACTGTACTATGGAGCTTCTCTCTTTTTTTTTTTTTTTGTTTTTTTTTGAGGCAGAGTCTCGCTGTCGCCCAGGCTGGAGTGCAGTGGCGCGATCTCGGCTCACTGCAGGCTCCGCCCCCCGGGGTTCATGCCATTCTCCTGCCTCAGCCTCCAGAGTAGCTGGGCCTACAGGCGCCCGCCACCTCGCCTGGCTAATTTTTTGTATTTTTAGTAGAGACAGGGTTTCACCGTGTTAGCCAGGATGGTCTCGATCTCCTGACCTCGTGATCCGCCCGCCTCAGCCTCCCAAAGTGCTGGGATTACAGGCCTGAGCCACCACGCCTGGCCAGAGCTTCACATTTTTATCTTATCCCAGTGTATCCACAAGATCATATCAAATCTAATATTAAACAATTGAGTTGTGGATAAAATGGCATAACTTTGAAATCCATTTCATCTCTATAAATATATTAAGTATTGGTCAAAATAAGTGAATTTTAGGTCTTTCTTAATCATTTTTGGTGTTGATTCAGATTGGCATCAATCAACCAACATACCCTGATTCTTTTCAGGAAGGCATTGCTCCCTCCCCAACATTTTACGCTGCGGCTTTACCATAAAATGAATTTGTTCTCTTTTTATCACAAATGATGGAAATTTTTAGCTTCTTATTTATTTTTCATAAAATTTTATCATAATCAAATTGAAAATTTTTCAGACAATTCAAAATACCTTGCCCTTCAAATTTGAAGTATCATTATTTATATGCCACCAAACCAAGTCTGTGTTTTTATAAGAGGGATATAGACAGAAGGACTTTGTGGAGGTAACAAAAGTATGTGATCTCATGCAACAGTTGGGGCATGTTCAACAACAACCACCACAACAAAAAGTATGTGATGTATTTCATCATACTTCTACAGTGTGCTTATATTATGATACTCTTTGACATATTCCATACAGGAGTCTTTGATTCTCTTTCTTAGGCTATATTGTAAAGTATTTGAGTAAAATACCCCATATCTCAAGTTCTTGTGAAGTATTTCTCATATAGATCAGTGACATTAATTGTGTATTGCAGGAGAGGAGTATAGTATACTATATAACCCAAGACAGATAGAATGGTCATTTTTATATTTCTTATACCTATTTCATCATTATTTTACTCCCGTGCCATTTGTGTATTCACTACTTATGAATACACAATGAAAATGAATGGTTGTATGTTGCACAGGAGCCACCAATGCCTTTAGCTACTGGTTCTCTTTCATCCATTGTGATTTAAAGTAAACCAGTATTGGCTGGGCATGGTGGCTTACACCTGTAATCCCAGCACTTTGGGAGGCTGAAGCGGGGAGATCACTTGAGCCCAGGAGTTTGAGACCAGCCTGGGAAACACAGCAAGACCTTATCTCTATAAAAATAAAATAAACCAATCTTACATTTGTTAGTGTAGCAGAAACCAGCCTTCTTCGAAGTGGTCTTGGTGTGATTCTCCTATCCGTTATCAAAAACTTGAAGCTGTGATTTGCCTGAGGTAAGACATCTTGGGTACACTGAAATCAAATATTTAATTTTTTTGGTGAAAAAATAGTCTATGATATATATCCTGTGTTGCTTTCACCATAATGGATTGGTTATTGAATCAAACATATGCTGATTGCTGTGCATCTGCCAGTTAAGGCTGAGGTAAGAACAGAAATTAGTTGTCAAGAGATAAACTTACTAGCTGAGGTATTTGTAAGGGAGTTACAGAAGTGATATTCCAAAACAGCAGTGGTCCCTAAAACTCAGCAGAAAAGCAGAGTAAATACTACTCATCATCATATCCCTAGCATTTAGCAAGAGTGTGTGGCACAAAGTAGACACATGGTAAATATTGGTTAGGCGAGTGAATGGGTTAATGTATGAAAAAAAAAAATAGGAACCAGTGCCTATCTGCCTTTCCATCTATTGAAAAATCACTATAAAATACATAGATAACCTTTAAGCCATTGAAACTCATCCAGTTGAGTTAAAAGGATTACTACATCAAGGTTAGTTGCATTGCAGGTCATCCTACTTAAATATGGCTTTTTAAAATTAAATATATTGTAGGTGGTAGATCTTTCATCCATGGAGAAAATTTTAATGTTAGCATTTGTCTTTTCTCTACACTTTCTTTTTTTTTTCAAGCTCTGCCTCCCGGGTTTACGCCATTCTCCTGCCTCAGCCTCCCAACTAGCTGGGACTACAGGCACCCGCCACCACGCCCAGCTAATTTTTTATGTTTTCAGTAGAGACAGTATTTCACCATGTTAGCCAGGATGGTCTCGATCTCCTGACCTCGTGATCTGCCCACCTCGACCTCCTGAAGTGCTGGGATTACAGGCGTGAGCCACTGTGCCCGGCCTCTTTCCTCTACACTTTCGTTATCATCTTCCAGTCTTTGGAAGACAGTCCATCCTTTTTCTGATTTTTCTACTCTTGCCCATTATGTAGGAACAACACGGCATCTGATAGATTTACGTGGTGAGATTCTCTTGTAGCAAAGATAGAAGGTCCAGGGAATTTTTGTAACCATGTCCATGACACACATGAACTATGTTAATATTACTAATAACATACCCAGAATAAAAACATATAAATAAAGATTATCCAGTACAAACCAGTATAGAACTTGGATTTGAGGTACTATTATTGCCTATGCTGTATAACTGACTATAAAATGAGGCATAATTTTCTCCTTCTAGTTGTATTGTACATGTGCTATGAGAGCTTGTACTGATTTTTCCTCTAATCAGTTTCATTCTATTTGTGATAAAATAGCTAGTAACAAGAAATAATACTTAAGATTAAATTGTTGAGCAACCCTAAAGTCTTCATAACTCTGTAGTAGCAGCCTACACCCATTTTTTAAGATGGGTCTTGCTGTGTTGCCCAGGCTGGTCTCAAACTCCTGGGCTCCAGTGATCGTCAGCTTCCAAGTAGCTGGGATTACAGGCATGTGCCACTGTGCCTGGCACAATACTTTTTGGCAGTTATCTCCATTTGAAATAAATCTATTGTAAAATGTGTGCCAAGAACAGTATATTATTTGGAAAATAGTACAATAAAAAGAGCAAAGATCTTGAAGCAGCTTTTCAAATTTAAAATATTTTAAATGTATTTTAATTATACAAAGACAAACTTTTGGGGGAATAATTGTGATAATTGCTTCCTTTCTGCTCAGGAACATTTTAAAATATAAATATGTAGGCAAGCTAAATGTATGTATTAATTCATAAAAGCCAGATGCAAAAGTATATAATGAGGATGAGCTAAAACTATATGCGTATATATGCATGTTTCAGAGGGATATGCTGAAGGTATTATATTAGTATTAGGGTGGAAGTTTAGTTACTGTATTATATAAAATGGAGGCTTAACGGGAGTCATCTTAAGATTTTTAGAAAAATTAATCAATCGAGGGGTAGCTGCTGGGGTATTCATGGTTAAAATATGATTTCTGGGCTCTCTGGATTGCATCACAACCCAGAAATGAAACTAATAGAAAATCACAGAAATGAAACTAATAGAAAATAAATTTAAATGTTACTTGTTTATCTTCACGTAGTTGAACTCCAGGCAGTTTTTATTGTCTTTTTTATATTTTTACTGTTATTTCTGTGGTAAGCGTGCATTGCTTTTATACTTAGAAAAAGATATATACTTTCTGATAAAGCAATTGAATCACAAATGTAGTTTTATCTTACTCTGTAGCTGGAAAATACTGATAAGTTTTAAGTATTTTTGTGTGTATAAATGGTAATGTGGGAGCTGGGCTTGGTGTCCCACACTTTTAATCCCAGGACTTTGGAAGGCCAAGATGGGAGGATTGCTTGAGGCCAGGAGTTCAAGATCAGCCTGAGCAACAAAGCAAGACCTCACTCACTTCTACAGAAAATTTTAAAAATTAGCTGGGTATGATGGCGCATGCCTTCTACCTACTCAGGAGGCTGAGATGGGAGGATCATTTGAGCCCAGGAGTTTGAGGCTACGGTGAGCTAGGATTGTGCCACTGCACTCCAGCCGGGGTGACAAAACAAGACCTCATCTCTAAAAAAGTAATAACAAAATAAATAAACGGTAATTTGATGTGGTGGCTTGCTTTTTAAAAATAATGCCTTAATATTTTTATGTCTTTAAATAAGACAGGTTTCTGCTTGGTATCAAAGGAACCTGGGGAAAGAAGAATGAAAACTAATTAATTAATTTTCTTTTACTTTTAGATGCCAGAATTCCAGAAAAGTTCAGTTCGAATCAAGAACCCTACAAGAGTAGAAGAAATTATCTGTGGTCTTATCAAAGGAGGAGCTGCCAAACTTCAGGTGAATAATTATCAAGAAGCCTTGGCTGTGTGTGTTGGCTCATGCCTGTAATTCCAGCACTTTGGGAGACTGAAGCAGGAGGATCACTTGAGCCCAGGAGTTCGAGACCAGCCTGGGCAACATAGTGAGACCCCATCTCTATTTAAAAAAAAAAAAAAATGGCCGGGCATAGTGGCTCACACCTGTAATCCTAGCACTTTGGGAGGCCGAGGCGGGTGGACAAGGCTGAGGTCAGGAGTTCGAGACCAGCCTGGCCAACATGGTGAAACTCTGTCTCTACTAAAAAATACAAAAATTAGCCGGGCCTGGTGGCGCATGCCTGTAATCCCAGCTACTTGGGAGGCTGAGGCAGGCTAATCACTTAACCCCGGGAGGCGGAGTTTGCAATGAGTTGAGATCATGCCACTGCACTCCAAAAATAAAAGCTTAATAATAAAGGCTTCTTTTTTTTTTTTTTTTTTTTCTTTTGAGATGGAGTCTCGCTCTGTTGCCCAGCCTGGAGTGCAGTGGCGCAATCCTGGCTCACTGCAACCTGCTCCTCCTGGGTTCAGGCGATTTTCGTACCTCCGCCTCCCCGAGCAGCTGGGATTACAGGTGCCAGCCACCACAACCAGCTAATTTTTTTGTTTTTTGAGACTGAGTATTACTCTGTTGCTCAGGCTGGAGTGCAGTGGCACGATCTCAGCTCACTGCAACCTCTGCTTCCCGGTTCAAGCAGTTTTCCCTCCTCAGCTTCCAGAGCAGCTGGGATTACAGGTGCCTGCCACCACACCCAGCTAATTTTTATATTTTTAGTAGAGACAGGGTTTCGCCATGTTGGCCAGGCTGGTCTCAAACTCCTGGCCTCAAGTGATCCATCCACCTCGGCCTCCCAAAGTGCTGGGATTACAGGCGTGAGCCATCATGGCCCAGCCTTATTTTATTTTTAATGTTAAAGCCGACTCATTCATCTCCTGTTTGATAAAATCTGAGTACAGCAAGTTTAGGTAGACAGTTTTTGCCTATCCTTTAGGAATATAAAATCCAGAAAATATATATCTTGAGTTGTTCTAAAACAGACAGAATACCCTATTGGAAAAACAAAAGTTAATAATCCTGAAATACTCTTAAGTTTTTATTAGTCTTAAGTAAGAAGCTAACTCATGCTGTGTACAAGCATTAAACCATTTTAAGGATAATATTTAAAAGTGTTTAGTTTTATGCTGCTCTTTCATGTTTTAATCATAGTAGTTCAGATTAAGATACAGCCTTATTAAGGGGATAATTGAGTTTTTAAAAAGTTGTCTCTGTTTTAAAGGAATGTGTTACATGTAAATTAAATCAACAATCTGGATATTCTGTAAAAAAAAAAATTATTCCTTTTTTAAAACATTTCTGAAAAATAATATTTAACCCAGTCTCCTAAGTTTCAAGAGCTGGCCAGCTATTTCAATGTGCATTCATTCATTGGTATAGTTTAAATAAGCAAGTTAAATCCAGCATGTAATGGTATCAGTAACTAAGAGCTTCATATAGTTGAATTGCTTCCACTGCATTTTTGTGCATTGACCAAGTTGGTCGAAAATCTCTAGTGAGAAGAGTAGCCATATCACCTGCAATTGCAAATTCCCATACCAATTAATCAGATTTTTTCAAATTTTTATTTATTTTTATTTATTTAATTTTGTTTTATTTTTTCGAGATGGAGTCTTATTCTGTCGCCCAGGTTGGAGTGTAGTGGCATGATCTTAGCTCACTGCAACCTGCGCCTCCCAGGTTCAAGTGATTCTCCTGCCTCAGCTTCCTGAGTAGCTGGGATTACAGGCACATGCCACCACACCTGGCTATTTTTGTATTTTTAGTAGAGACAAGGTTTTACCATCTTGGCCAGGCTGATCTCAAACTCCTGACCTCGAGTGATCTCCCCACCTCGGCCTCCCAAAGTGCTGGGATTCCAGGCATGAGCCACCGTGCCTGGCTGGATTTTTTCAATTTTTAAAGTCGATACATAATAACTGTATATATATATGCGGTACATGTGATATTTTCAAATGTATATAAAATGTGCAATAATCAAATCAGGGTAATTAGGATATCTGCCACTTCTAATATTTATTCTTTGTTTTGGGAACATTCTAAATCTTTTCTTCTAGCTGTTTTGAAATATACAATAAAATACTGTTTACTATAGTCATTCCACTGTGTAAACACTAGAACTTATTCCTTCTAACAGTATTTTCATAACCATTAACCAGCTGTTCTTTATCTCACCAACCCTCCCACCCTTCCCAGCCTCTGGTAACCGTCTTTCTACTCTCTGTTTCCATGAGATCAACTTTTTAAGTTTTCACATATGAGTAAGAACATATAATATTTGTCTTTCTGTGCCTGTCTTATTTCACTTAAGATAATGACCTCCAGGCTCGCCCATGTTGCTGCAGATGACAGCATCTCTTTGTTTTTTATGGCTGAATTACGAATCAGATTTATTTGGTGAAAACACTAGGGCACTCAAGGTAGCACCTTGTAGTTAAGATTATTCCCAGGACTTTATAAAGGAACCGCATGAGAAAATTCAATGTAAAGAGAATAAGTTAACAGTGTGGACCAGAGACTTGAGCACAGTCCTATGCATCTAGGAAAGCATGAAGTATGTGTTTGGGTAGCACAGAGAAATTCTGGCCATGTGGGCTATGTTTACAATAATGCATTTCACTCTTTTCTTACAGATAATAACGGACTTTGATATGACACTCAGTAGATTTTCATATAAAGGGAAAAGATGCCCAACATGTCATAGTAAGTGTGATATTTGTAAACAAATTCACAAAAGCATGTCATCATTATTTTAAGATCCTCTTTATATTACCTGTGAGATAACTGGGTTTTTAAAATTCTTCTTGGACATTGACAGTGAGGAGACCTGCTTTTTCTTATTATATTTTTGAGGTTTTTTTTCCCATATTATATAAATGGTTATTTTCATGTATGGTTTTGGTAGCAAAGGGAATCAGAGACTCCTGAAATATTTCTTGCCAAATATGGTCTATTCATTATTCAAGAAATATTTAAATAGGTTGTAAACTTTGGGTTAACCTGAAGAAACACCATTTATCAAATACTTTGTTTTCTAGGAATTTTACCAAATTTTAATGTCTTTTTTGTTTTCCAACTTGGCTGTGAGTTTTTAAAATAACACTCTTCAACCTGACAGGGAAACGGTGAAATGAACTCTCTCATTTGCTTTTAGTACATGTGTAAATTGAAAAATTATTTTGGGGCTGGGTGCGGTCACTCATGCCTGTAATCTCGGCATTTTGGGAAGCTGAGGCGGGCAGATCATTTGCAGTCAGGAGTTCAAGACCAGCCTGACCAAAATGATGAAACCCTGTCTCTACTAAAAATACAAAAATTAGCTGGGCATGGTGGCGGGCACCTGTAATCCCAGCTACTCAGGAGGCTGAGGCAGGAGAATCACTTGAACCCGGGACGTGGAGTTTGCAGTGAGCCAAGATTGCACAACTGCGCTCCAGCCTGGGCAACAGAGTGAAACTTCATCTCAAAAAAAAGTAAAAAAGGAAAAGAAAAATTATTTTGATAACTTGTATTAAAAAAATGCTAAAAATCGCCAGGCACAGTGGCTCACGCCTGTAATCCCAGCACTTCGGGAGGTGGAGGTGGAATAATCACTTGAGCCCAGGAGTTTGAGACCAGCCTGAGCAACATAATAAGACCTTTTCTTACAAAAAATAAAAAATTAGCTGGGCATTGTGGCATGCCTGTGGTCCCAGCTACTCATTTGGGAGGCTGAGAGGGTCCTTGAGCCTGGGAGGGCAAGTCTATAGTGAGCCATAATCGCACCACTGCACTCCAGCCTGGATGACAAAACAAGACCCTGTCTCGAAAAAAAAAAAAAACACTAAAAATCTTCATATCCTTTGCCCTATTAAGTCCTCTTTGGAGAATTTCTAATAATCTCAAATGCAGTTTTTAAAAAACTTTATTCACAAAAATAATGGTGACTAAGCTCAACATAAAATTATTACTAATAGCAGATGCTTGGAAGCAACCTAAAAAGTTTAATGCTGCAGAAATGATATAAATTATTTTCTGCTCACATACCAGAAATTTTAATTACATGGAAAAATGCAGACTACAATGTGAAATGAAAAAGAAAATTCAAAATTACAGATTTGGTATGATCTCTTATCTAATTGATATACATGAAATCTTAAGACTGAAAGGAAATATACTAAAATATTGTTCATTACTTATTATTGAATGCTAAAACCTTTTACCATTCAATTTTTGTTTTCTTCTTTACAGTGGTCTGGATTTTCCAGATGTTTACGTTAAGCATTTATTATCTTTTTATTACGAAAAAAATGTATTTCCCATATGTGTTTCTTATATTTAATTACAAAGTAGAAAATGGAAGTGATCAATACACAGTTCATAGTATTTGAAGATATTGAATTGTCTATCTCAGTGATGTAAGCGAGCAGTCACTGAATCTCAGATTTTAAGCCATTAGCTTCTTTAACAATGTCATGTGAATTATACCACTGACACCAAAAGTTATAATAACCATGCTAGTTGACTTGGCATTACTTAAAAGTATTGGGTTGGTGCAAAAGTAATTGAGTTTTTTGCCATTACTTTATAGCAAATTATTCATAGTAGTGGTAGCATAAATCAGAGTATTTCTTTTAATGCTTATTTTGCTTTCTATCTTTAGATATCATTGACAACTGTAAGCTGGTTACAGATGAATGTAGAAAAAAGGTAAACACTAACAACAATCTATAGTCACTCAAAGACTTCATTACCCTTTTTGCCTGAGAATTTCTTCAGGTGCATTCACAGAAGTAAGAATGGATGTAAAGTGCTTACAGCCATACCTGGCACATAGTAAGCACTCAGTAAATAGTAGGTTTGCTGTATGAATTACACATTCAAAACATATTTTAAAGATAAAAATTCACAGTAACTTGACAACAAAACTTATATTTAAAACTCTTAAATGATTACCAAAGTATTCTGGTGTTGTAACGTTAACTGGAGATTTAAAACAAAAGTACTTCAGTTTTCTATAGGTTTTGCTCCTTTAAGTTGATGAGGAAGTTGCTTCAGTACTTCGCTTGAGTATGTATGTGTCTGTGTATATCTTAACAAAATGCAATTTGAAATGTGAATCAAATTTAATACCTTTATATGAAAACTAAAGTGTTTTTTGTACTGATAATTTTATTGTTGGTTTTTACTCATCTGAAAGTACTTTACAAAAGAAAGGTAGCTTTTTGCAGGTATATTTGATTACATGTCAACTAAGATCAACAAATATTTTTTCAATTGATGCATTAGCTCAACTTTTAAAGCAGTTTGTTGAAAATACTTGTTTACATTGTTTTGCTTTCTATAAAACCAAGCAGATTTATTTTCAAGTAATCTTCATGATTAAGTTATTCATATCTTCCTAGTTATTGCAACTAAAGGAAAAATATTACGCTATTGAAGTTGATCCTGTTCTTACTGTAGAAGAGAAGTACCCTTATATGGTGGAATGGTAAGTGTATATTAGGCAGTAGGAGGATTAAAAAAAAATAATAAAACAACACTGCAGTTACAACTGATGGCTTATTTTTTACCTGTATTGCAAACAAACAGATTAATAAATTATGCAAGTTAGAGCATTGAATAACAAAATGAGCTCTAATTATCTAATCTCTCTAACAGTTTAGGAATCCTTTTGTTTTGTTTATTTAAGGTGAAGTCCAGTAGGAATAAATTAAAAGTCCTGCATTTAAGTCTCAAATTAAAAACAAGAATTTTTTTTTAAGTATATGAACAAAACGTGGCTTAATGTGTAAAGAAAAGGTATGAGGATTTAAACTGAGTCTGAACTCAGAGCCAGCAGGTGATATGGTTACCCAAAAATCGACCTTTGGTTGCATTAATCAAAATGCAGTGTTCCAGGCAGATCACACTGAAAGCACTGTGTCGGATTCTGGAAGAATGCTGTTAAGAGAAACCATGACAATAGTGACCAAAAAAAAAAAAAATAGATCATGACAAACTTAAAAGGAGTCAGAGTAGTCCACCAGAATGATCAGAGGAATTTGAGCCTTCCCACTTGACGAACATTTCAAGGAATAGAAAATGCTTTGATTTGAGAAGGAACAACTTGTTTTAAAATCTTAGGAGACCAGGAATGATTTGTCTTTATTGTCCCGTTACGTAACAGTTGCATACTTCATCTGTATTTGTGGTACTAAATGTTGAAAAGATATTAGACTTAACTCTACAAACTGGTAGCAGCAGAACTGGAACTAGACTTGGAAGATATAAGAAGATTGATTTCAGCATGAGAAATGAAAAGCCTGTCTAGCAATTAAGAGTTTTCTGGCAATGGAATAAGCTTCCCTGGGAGAATGAGCTTACTGACATGTTAGAAGCTGACCCAGGCAGGGAAGAAGGTGACTTAGGAATATTATAGGGGTATTTTTAGGTATCAGATGAAGAGTTAGGCTTTTTTTTCTTTTCGTTTCTTTCTTTCTGTTTTTAGTGGCTGTTTGCATAATTGTAATGGGTTAGAGAGTCTAAGGGCCCTTTATACTGAGATGCTATGATTATAGGTGTTTTCTACATAAAGCAGGCTAATCTGTATATGACACTTGCCATAACAAAGATTTTCTCTCTTGTTCACTAAGTAGCATCTTCAGTATGTAGAAAATTCAAACTACAAACAAATTTTAAAAATGGGGTTGCTCTAATTCATTTTACTGCAATCAGAGAAAGGATTATGCTTCCATAGGTTGGGTTGAGTTTTTATGTGTAGAATTAGGAAAGGTTTATAGCTAGTTTCCTTTCATTACCTTACTAACATATTTAAGCTAAGTCTGGGTTTGGGAGGACTGGGAAACTCAGTAAGAACATGCATATCACATTTTGAGACATGAGGTATACATTCATTAGTGATGAACTTCAATCTCTAAAATTTAAATCCAAATATGAGGAACAGATTTTCTCACATGGAAGAATGTTTTGTAATAAAGATAATAATTTTAGTTTGTCTTAATTGATAGTCTTTTTTCCTTTGGTCATAAACTCCAGGTATACTAAATCACATGGTTTGCTTGTTCAGCAAGCTTTACCAAAAGCTAAACTTAAAGAAATTGTGGCAGAATCTGACGTTATGCTCAAGTAAGTTTCTTGGATGTTTTTTGCTGTTATTGTTCACAGACTTGAATTATTGCTATTTATGTAGTCAGTTGTACTTTTTAAAAATAAGATTGAATATTCCTTATATAACCATATCCAAAATATGCCACCTATCACAAAATACATAGTGGTAAGATAAGGAATTTAGAATGACGTATTAGATCTTGGTGTAGGTAGTAAGAGCCTTATGAGATTTAAATTCTAATTTGTATTTTGTTTCTCCAGATTAAAAATGTCAAGACTTAAAATTTTTGAACCAAGGCCATTTAAAAATTTTTTAGCAAAATACTTAGGAAAGACATATGAAAGGAATGTATAAATCAAGTTAAAAGGGATTTAAGTATACTTTTTTTTTTTTTTAAAGACAGGGTCTCTCTCTGTTGCCCAGGTTAGAGTGTAGTGACATAATCTCTTCCTCAGTTCAACCTCTGCCTCCTGGGCTCAAGCGATCCCCTTGCCTCAGCCTCTCAAGTAGCTGGGACTACAGTCATGCACCACCATGCCTGGCTAATTTTTGTATATTTTTGTAAAGATGGGATTTCACCATGTTGCCCAGACTGGTCTTGAACTCTTGAGCTCAAGCGATCCCAAAGTGCTGGGATTATATGTGTGAGCCACCATGCCTGGCAGTATACTATGTCTAAATTTACATAAGCCTACTTTTTAAATTCTCGAACTTCTTTGAAAACTATTCCTAGGAAAGATTAGTATGTTTTAGTACATAATTATATATGTATGCATGAGTTATAAGATACAAGAAGCTTTTTTTTTTCTTTTTTTTTTGAGATGGAGTCTCGCTCTGTCACCCAGGCTGGAGTGCAGTGGTGTAAGCTCCGCCTCCCAGGTTCACGCCATTCTCCTGCCTCAGTCTCCTGACTAGCCAGGACTTCAGGCGCCCGCCACCACGCCCGGCTAATTTTTTGTATTTTTAGTAGAGACGGGGTTTCACCGAGTTAGCCAGGATGGTCTCGATCTCCTGACCTTGTGATCTGCGCATCTCCGCCTCCCAAAGTGCTGGGGTTACAGGCGTGAGCCACTGCGCCCGGCCCAAGAGCCTGTTTAATACTGTTTATTACCTCGTAAAATTTTCAACTCATTAGGCAAATATGATGATGTTACTTTTTTATGATGATGTTATATTTTAAGGTGATTACTTCTAAAAAGGAAAGCAATAAATTGTCAGAAAAAGTGTGAGGACAGCTAGTAAGTGTTTCATTCCTTAGTAGGCAACATTAGCATTCTTTAACCTATGGCCCAGGAAGGGTAAAAAAGGGAAGAGGGCTTAAGATCTTAGTAAAGACACATGCCAGATGTCGAGAATACATCTAAGTTCCTGCCACTCTGCTTTTCTTTTCAATTTTATGGATTTTGATGAAACTGTAAGAATATCAAGTCATTCTTCATAATTTTAAAATCTGAAAATATTTTAATCATGTAAATGTATTTGTTGTTGGTCAATATATATCCATTAAGTTAGGCCAAGTTGATAGGCCCACTATGGGACTCCATCCTTCTCAGTGTTAATATATCCATGTTTTAACCCCTAAGTGGGGTTTTCAAGGTGTAGCTTAACTATTGTTTTCTCTTTTTAAATTTCATTTTAGAGACAGGGTCTCGCTATGTTGCCCAGAGTGGACTAGAACTCCTGGGCTCAAGCAATCCTCAAGCCTCAGCCTCCCAAATAGCTGGGACTATAGGCATGCACTGCTATGCCTGCCTATTTCTTTTTAAATGGTATAAATTGTGAACTGTAGGTTTATATTCATATTCAGTGAAAGCTTAAAGACATCTAGTTTGTAGTATTAGAATTGATTAAAGGGAAAGTAAAGAGTTAACTGTTGTTTGAAAAACTTGTAGTATTGTAGATATCAATAACAGCCCTCTTGGGCAGTATATTGAAATGAGAATATGAGTGAGCCATAGAATTACTAGGAATATTTCACTTTTTTAGCTTCTAAGTAAAAAGGAACTATATCTTGCTCTTTAATAACCAGTTTGTTATCTCCATCTTACAGAGAAGGATATGAGAATTTCTTTGATAAGCTCCAACAACATAGCATCCCCGTGTTCATATTTTCGGCTGGAATCGGCGATGTACTAGAGGAAGTTATTCGTCAAGCTGGTGTTTATCATCCCAATGTCAAAGTTGTGTCCAATTTTATGGATTTTGATGAAACTGTAAGAATATCAAATCGTTCTTCATAATTTTAAAATCTGAAAATATTTTAATCATGTAAATTTATTTATTGTTACTTAATATATATCCTATATCCAGAAATTAGGCCAAGCCGATAGGCCCACTGTGGGACTCCATCCTTCTCAGTGTTAATATATCCATATTTTAAAAACAATGTGCCCTTCTTAAACTTTCATTCCCCAAGCTATAGACTAATAATAAAAGTAGTAAAACTTCTTCTTTTTTTTTTTTTTTTTTGAGATGGAGTCTCACTCTGTTGCCCAGGCTGGAGTGCAGTAGCACAATCTCAGCACATTGTAACCTCTGTCTCCTGGGTTCAAGCAATTCTTCTGCCTCAGCCTCTCGAGTAGCTGGGATTACAAGCGTCTGCCACCACACCCGGCTAATTTTTGTATTTTTGGTAGAGATAGGGTTTCACCATGTTGGCCAGGTTGGTCTCGAACTCCTGACCACAAGTTATCCTCCCACCTTGGCCTCCCAAAGTGCTGGGATTACAGGCATGAGCCACCACACATAGCCTAAAACTTACTTTAAAATATTTTAATGCAGCAACTTTGAAGCCTTAACATTCATAGTTGGAAAAAGAAGTGAGTTAGAACTGACATTATTTGAATAACGTTTTCTAATCAAGGCAGTATATTATGAAATACATAAAATAACATAAAATAGGATATTTTGGTTAGAAACAAAATAAAAACTGAAAATTGAATTTTGAACTCATTTTGTTTTACCTTTTTTTTTTTTTTTTTTGAGAGGGAGTCTTGCTCTGTAGCCCAGGCTAGAGTTCAGTGGGGTGATCTTAGCTCACAGCAACCTCCACCTCCCAGGTTCAAGCAATTCTCCCTACCTCAGCCTCCCGAGTAGCTGGGATTACAGGTGCGTGCCACCAAGCCCAGCTAATTTTTGTTTTCTTAATAGAGACAGGGTTTCACCATGTTGGTCAGGATGGTCTGATCTCTTGACCTCATGATCTGCCCATCTTGGCCTCCCAAAGTGCTGGAATTACAGGCGTGAACCACTGTGCCCGGCCTTCTTTTTTTTTTTTTGAGACAGAGTCTCACTCTGTCACCCAGGCTGGAGTGCAGTGGTGCCATCTTGGCTCACTGCAACCTCCACCTCCTGGGTTCAGGCGATTCTCCTTCCTCAGCCTCCCGAGTATCTGGGACTACAGGTGCGTGCCACCAAACCTGGCTAATTTTTATATTTTAGTGAGGCGGGGTTGCACCATATTGGCCAGTCTGGTCTCGAACTCCTGACCTTGAGTGATCTGTCCTCCTTGGCCTCCCAAAGTGCTGGGATTACAGGTGTGAGCCCCTGCGCCCGGCCTTTGTTTTACCATTTAAAATAGTATCTAAAAAATCATTTACTTCTCCGAGCCCTTCTTAGCTATGGTGAATGTGATGGACTTAAGTGCTTTGAGATCTCTAGTATCAAAGATGTATTTACAAATATGATGAAATAATAGTGACATCAATTAAGAGCTCCAAAATATGAAAATCCAACAAATAGAATTTTTAAAGCCTGTTCAAAAGATTTATATTTTTCATAGGGGGTGCTCAAAGGATTTAAAGGAGAACTAATTCATGTATTTAACAAACATGATGGTGCCTTGAGGAATACAGAATATTTCAATCAACTAAAAGACAATAGTAACATAATTCTTCTGGGAGACTCCCAAGGAGACTTAAGAATGGCAGATGGAGTGGCCAATGTTGAGCACATTCTGAAAATTGGATATCTAAATGATAGAGTAAGTATACAAATCTGTAATTTTTTTCGAAGAAAATATTAGGATGAAACTTGATAGGCAATTGTTGCCATAGTCACCTGAGAAAGTAGTTATTTTAGAGACTTTTTTTTTTGAGACAAGCCTCTGTTACCGAGGCTAGAGTGTAGTGATGCAATCACATCTCACTGCAGCCTCGACCTTCCCGGCTCAAGCAATGCTCCCACCTCAGCCCCTCAGGTAGCTGGAACTACAGGCGCACACCACTACACCTGGCTGATTTTTAAATTTTTTTTAGAGATGAATTCTCCCTGTGTTGCCCAAGCTGGTCTCAAACTCCTGGGCTCAAGTGATTCTCCAGGCCTCTCAAAGTGCTTGGGATAACAGGCGTGAGCCACTATGCCCAGCCAAAACATATTGTGATCATGCATTTTGATTGTTCTTTATACTGGTGATGTTTAAAAAGGAGCTGAGATGCATGCTATAGGTACTGGGAAAAGGGAGGATGTGTATTCTGTAGGAGGCCTCTGTGTCTTCTGCCCACTAGATGCTGGATAGCAGTCTCCTGCCATGAGACTCAAAAATGTCCCTAGACGTTACTAAATGTTCCGTGGACAAAAATCACCCCATTTGAAAGCCACTGGACTGGAGAGAGAGCATTTTGGGGAGAAAAGCTACCATGTGGAAAAATGTCTGTCAGTGGGTCTTAAGGATTTGAAAATATTTCTTCATTTCAAAGATTTTTTGAAAGTGAATTTAATTTATTGCATTTTGCCCAAGAGATCTAACAACGAGATTCATACTGAAATTATTTGTTTCTTTGCCCTGCATGTTAATTTTCTTTTGTTCATCTCTTGATTAGGTGGATGAGCTTTTAGAAAAGTACATGGACTCTTATGATATTGTTTTAGTACAAGATGAATCATTAGAAGTAGCCAACTCTATTTTACAGAAGATTCTATAAACAAGCATTCTCCAAGAAGACCTCTCTCCTGTGGGTGCAATTGAACTGTTCATCCGTTCATCTTGCTGAGAGACTTATTTATAATATATCCTTACTCTCGAAGTGTTCCCTTTGTATAACTGAAGTATTTTCAGATATGGTGAATGCATTGACTGGAAGCTCCTTTTCTCCACCTCTCTCAACACACTCCTCACCGTATCTTTTAACCCATTTAAAAAAAAAAAAAAGCTAAAATTAGAAAAATAACTCCCTACTTTTCCAAAGTGAATTTTGTAGTTTAATGTTATCATGCAGCTTTTGAGGAGTCTTTTACACTGGGAAAGTTTGTAGAAATTTTAAAATAAGTTTTATGAAATGGTGAAATAATATGCATGATTTTAAGTATTGCCATTTTTGTAATTTGGGTTATTATGCTGATGGTATCACCATCTCTTGAAATTGTGTTAGGTTTGGTTATTTTGTCTGGGGAAAAAATATTTACTGGAAAAGACTAGCAGTTAGTGTTGGAAAAACCTGGTGGTGTTTACAATGTTGCTAATCATTACAAAACATTCTATATTGAAGCACTGATAATAAATATGAAATGCAAAACCTTTTTAATTCTATGGTCAAAACTATCTTTACTGAGTCAACAAATATTTATTGAGCACCTACCATGGTTTTTTGTTTTCTTCTTGTTTCTTTCTCTCCGTCTGCCTGTCTTTTGTGATATATAAATTCTAAAGTCCTTGTCATAGTGGCTATTTAGATTGAATATTTTCAGAAATTATTTAAGTCTAAAGATATTTCAGGGAAAATTTTGTCTGCCCTTCAGAAAATACTGAGACCTCTGAAAATTATTTTCTCCCATTTAAAACATCAGTAAAAGGTACAAGTCTGCAAGTTTCAGAAGCCGAGACAGGAAGCAGTGGAGCTGGGTCTCGTGGTGACTGAATCTGAGCAGCACTGCGACATTAGGAGCCAGCATCTCTCTGTACAGTCCAGCTACCCACTCCACATCTCTGGCTCTGCCTCATCATTCATCTTCAGGATTTAGACCTGCCATTGTGATCAATTTGACCGTGATTCTTACCCTTAATTCCAGATCCTATGAACACCTAATTGGTTTGCTTATATAAGCACCTGAGCTATGATACACACAAAGCATGATCTGATTCATTCTGGCCATCCAGTGTGAGCAGCAGTCTCTAGTTCAGTCAGATGTGGCTGGAAGGCAAGGTCACATGTTAGGAAACCTTTTTGTCCTGGGAATGCCCATCCTTATCCTCCCCCACCACTCCTTTTCATCATCATAAGCAATGAAGCAGGCCAGGCACGGAGGCTCACACCTGTAATCCCAGCACTTTGGGAGGCCAAGGCGAGTGGATCGCTTGAGCCTAGATGTTTGAGATCAGCCTGGGCAACATAGGGAGACCCCAGTCTCTACAAAAAATTAGCCAGGCATGGTGATGCACCTGTAGTCCCAGCTACACAGGAGGCTGAGGTGGGAGAATCACCTGAGCCTGGGGAGGTTGAGGCTGCAGTGAGCTGTGATTGCACCACTGCACTCCAGGCTGGTCAACAGAGCAAGAACTTATCTCAAAAAAGCATAAAAATAATGAGGCCAGGTGCAGTGGCTCACATCTGTAATCCCAGCATTCTGGGAGGCCAAGGCGGAGTTCAAGACCAGCCTGGGCAACATGGCAGGACTCAGTCTCTACTAAAAATACAAAAAATTAGCCAGGCATGATGGTGCGCACCTGTGGTTCCAGGTACTCAGGAGGCTAAGGTAGGAGGATTGCTAGAGCCCGGGGGGCCAATGCTTGCAGTGAGCTGAGATCATGCCCCTGTACTCCAGCCTGGGTGACAGAGCAAGACCTCATCTCAATAAATAAACAATGAAACAAAAATGCAATGGCAAAAGGCAGACTAGACCCTGCCTAAGTGTTTCTAAAATCAAACTGAAAATAACTTCTTGCATTAAAGCAGATAGCATGGCATGGGAGTATCAGAATTACCTGCAGGACTTTTGCACATAGAAAAAACAGTTGGGAATCTGATTCAATGATAGCTCTTTACCCCTGTATTGCAATCAGAGCTTATATTGGCTGTTTCCCAAAGGTGTTTATAATATGCTTCCATGAGTAAGTATATTGCATGCTGTAAATCTAAAGAACACTGAAGTCATGATCTACATTCTGGTCATGGCTCAGCCCCTTACTAAGAGTACAGGTTCAGTCACCTCCCTATATAATGAATGCCATAAGAACATGCACTCTCTAAGGCCTCTTCTAACCAATTCCATAAATTGAGTCTCATGCTTCTTCCATGATATGTTTATCAACCTATCACATCTCACTGCCACCTGATGCTACTGAAATTTAAAATATTGGTATTTGAGTTCAGTTTTCAGACCAGTTTAGTATAGCCATTAAGAGTGTGACCAGGACAAATTATTGAGCCTGTGTCCCAGTTTGCTCATCTATTAAGTGAAGATGGTGATATAGCTTCTAGATTCATAAGTAGATATGCTCATCTTTTATGTATGCATTTGAAATTTATGTATGCATTTAAAACAGTCCAAGTATTCAATGTTAGGTAGAATCCGTCCACAAATGTATAAGCTGTTATATCCCCCAGTACAGTGTTTTGTTGAATCAATGAAATGGAATGATCTTTTGCAGCCCCAGCAAATACTGGTAGTGTATGGTAACTACCATATTCTCCAAAGAGCCTAGCGTTAGCCAGTGGTTTTATTCAACTTTAAATTTTACTTTATGAAATAAAGTAATTTTGAGGGCTAGAGCTAACAATTTTGACAAAACTGGAAAAAAATGAAAACAACCATCAGTAATACTAGCTCATTCTGGAGTGATTTCACGAGAAGTCTACCTTCCATGGTCTATTTAATAGTCACCCAAATTTTGGTAGATGACCGAAGGTCTGTTTAACCGGCCTTCAGGTTCAGTTTTCTCTTTGATATACCCTAGGGAGAATCAGCAAGGAAAAGATCAATGTAATCTTGAATAACTTATCCTGAAACTTCTCCAGAGTTACCCAGAGAGTCAACAGTCATGCTGCTTTTTGTACTTAGTCTGGTGTTTCAGTACCAGTTTAACACATAAAAAGTGATCAAGGTGCAAGGGACACAGCTTTGAAATAGTCAGACCTGGATCTGAATCTGTGATTCTGTCATCTGCAATAAGTTTCTAACTTCTCCAAGCCTTAGTTTTTTATCTGTAAAGGGGAGTATTAACTAGAGATGAGGATTAAATGAAAAGTCACTTACTCAACAAGTCTCTATGTTGTGCTGAGTTCTAGGGAAACAGTAGTTAAATCAGGGCTGGATGCGGTGGCTCATGCCTGTAAAATCCCAGCACTTTGGGAGGCCGAGGCGGGCAGATCACGTGAGGTCGGGGGTTCGAGACCAGCCTGACCAACATGGAGAAACCCCATCTCTACTAAAAATACAAAAATTAGCTGGGCATGGTGGTGTGCGCCTGTAATCCCAGCTACTTGGGAGACTGAGGCAGGAGAATCGCTTGCACCTGGGAGGTGGAGGTTGCAGTGAGCTGAGATTGTGCCATTGCACTCCAGCCTGGGCAACAAGAGTGAAACTGTCCCCTCTGCCCCAAAAAAAAAAAAAAAAAAAAAAAAAATCAGTCATGCTTCCTGCCCTCGTGTAGCTTCCATTCCTAGTGGGTCAAACAGGAGGAAAGAGTAGCAATTATGAATATGGTAAATGCTCTGAAGAAAACACAAATGACCTACTTTATTTATTTATTTATTTTTTATTTTTTTGAGATGGAGTCTCACTCTGTTGCCCAGGCTGGAGTGCAATGGCGTGATCTTGGCTCACTGCAAGCTCCGCCTCCTGGGTTCACGCCATTCTCCTGCCTCAGCCTCCCGAGTAGCTGGGACTACAGGCGCCCGCCACCACGCCCGGCTAATTTTTTGTATTTTTAGTAGAGACGGGGTGTTAGCCAGGATGGTCTCGATCTTCTGACCTCGTGATCTGCCCACCTCGGCCTCCCAAAGTGCTGGGATTACAGGCGTGAGCCACCACACCCAGCCAACAGAGATCTATTTTAGATATGGTAGTCAGAGGAAGCTCTTCTCAGGTGATATTTAAGCCAAAGTCTGAAGGATAAGGACCTAGCCATGTGAGGAGTTGAGGTAGAAACATTCCTAGGAGAGGGAACAGGGTGTGGAAGGTCCCAAGTGAGAAAGTTTTAGGCCATTTGAAGAACTGAGAACTGGTTTAACAGTATTATGAACAAAGGGAAGAATGGCATCAGGCGTTGAACGGGAAGTAGGTGGGTGCCAGATCATGGAGGGCTTTATAAATCATAAGAACTTTGGTTTTTCTCTCCTTGCAAAGGAGGGGCAGGATCACTGCTGCCACGTGGGGCAGGGACTAGCGAGGGCAGATAAACCCAAGCACACCAGTTTGGGGGCTATTACAGCAGTTCCAGCTAGAAATAATGGTTGGTTTTTGGGGCTGGGGCTGTGGAACTGGAGAGAAGTGGGTCATTTCCAGGAGTAGCTTAGAGACAGAATTGACAAAACTTGCTGTTGGCTTAAATATGTAAAGATGAGATGAGAGAGCAGGGGGTCGCTGATGTCTGCTTTGGACACATGGGTGCCAGGGAAGATGGAGAGGAATAGGCTTGGTGGTGTTGGCAAGGGAGTGGGAACAGACATGCTGTTTTGGACATACAAAGTTTGACATGCCTGTGAGACGTACAAGAGAAGATACCAAATAGACAGACTAGAGCTCAAAGGAGAAATCTGAGCAGGAACTATAAATGTGGGTGTTGTCTGCATTTAAATGAGATTTAAATATGGCCAGTGTAAGCTGGAAGAAATTGCCTGACCAATCAGAATTTCCAACATTAAGCATGGAAACCACACACAAACTATTAATAAGCATAAATATTTTATATTTGCATCTAGCAACAAATAATCAGGAATATTATTTTGTTTTTGAGATGCGGGGTCTCCCTCTGCCCAGGCTAGAGTGCAGCAGCACTATTGGGGCTTACTGCAGCCTCAACCTCCCAGGCTCAAGTGACCCACCTCAGCCTCCCGAGCAGACCACAGGTGTGCACCACCACGCCTGGCTACTTTTTGAAACTTTTTGTAGAGATAAGCTGTGTTGCCCAGGATTGTCTCAAACTCCTGGGCTCAAGCGATCCTCCCACCTTGGCCTCCCAAAGTGCTGGGATTACAGGCATGAGCTACTACACCCAGCCCAGCATTCTTATTAAGTAAAAACTCCAGATCCCTGAGAGAGTGAAGGGAAAAAGTCTTCAAAAAAAGCAACTTTGTCCCTGGAAACCTGAGATAGTAAAGTAACAGATGGGGGCAGGGTCCACTGTTTATGTATAGTCTTGCAGTTAAACCTATTTCCCTGCCAGAATGAATTTTTTTCCTATCTTTTAAGTATTTGGACAAAATTATAAAGTCATAAATAATCAGAGATCAAAACTCACTGGTTTTAACAAAATGGTGCATACTGCTTACATGTGCAGGCGGCCTAGTTGTGTCAAACATACTCAGATGTCATGTTCATGTTCTATTAGACTCTCATCCCACAGTAGGTATCAATGACCCAGTTCATATGTAGGGTCAAAATCTGTATAGATCCTGAGTTAGGTAGTCACAATATAGTACCTATCAATAAATGTTCCTGTCAGAAGGTCCAGAGGCTGGCCAGGCACAGTGACTCACCTGTAATCCCAAAACTTTGGGAGACAGAGGTGGGAGGATCACTTGAGGCCAAGAGTTCAAGAGACTACCCTGGGCAACATAGTGAGATCCCATCTCGGCAAAAAACATTAAAAATATCTGGGCTTGGTGGCACCTGCCTGTGGTCCCAGCTACTCAGGAGGCTGAGATGGGAGGATTGCTTAAGCCCAGGAGGTCAAGGCTGCAGTGAGCTGTGATCGCACAATTGTACTCCGGCCTGGGTGACAAACCTTGTCTCAAAAAAAGAAAAAAAAAGTGCTGTCTCAGGTGAGAACTGATTTAGAAAACAAAAACAAAAATTGCTGTGTGGCATCTCTACCCTGTACTTGGCCCCTTATTTAGTATTTACAGCCTTGTTGGCAGAACTATAGCCCATAACCATAATGTAAATAGAAGCAAGTGTTGCAGCCATAGCATAAAGTGGGGCCAGCTAAGCAGCTTCCCCTTGCAGACAGATAAACGCGCCTGATCACTGAATGCCCTCCTCGGCAACGGGAAGAATGGAAGTGCCTAGGCAGAATTCAGCAGGCCAAAGCTTCTCTCCATTCCTGAAGTTCTAAGGTCCATGTCCTTTTTTTCTTTAGAGTCAGGGTTTCGCTCTGTTGTGCAGGCTGGAGGGCAGCGGTGCAATCACAAATCACTGCAGCCTTAATTTCCCGGGCTCAAGCAATCCTGCCTCCTCAGCCTCCCAAGTAGCTGCGACTACAGGCACATGCCACCATGCCCAGCTAATTTTTAAAATTTTTTTAGAGATGGGGTCTTGCTATATTACCCAGGCTGATCTCAAATTCCTGGCCTCCCAGAATGCTGGGATCACAGGCATGAACCACTGCCCCTGGCCAAGAAACTTATTTCTGATTCAGCCCGTCTGTCTCCACCATCACAGAAAACAGCCAGTGAAGAAATTCAAATAGGCAAATAAAAATCTGCGGTAGAGGATAAGCACAAGGTTTTTCTTTTCATAAGGCGGGTAAGGCTAATGAAGTCAAATGCATTCCAAAGCCCAATTCAACTTAGCAAGAAGCAAAAAAAAAAAAAATTTTTTTTTTTGAGACATAGTCTTGCTCTGTCTCCCAGGCTGGAGTGCAGTGGTGCCATCTCAGCTTACTGCAGCCTCCGCCTCCTGGGTTCAAGCAATTTTCCTGCCTCAGCCTCCTGAGCAGCTGGGATTACAGGCGCCCATCACCATGCCCGGCTAATTTTTTTTTTGTATTTTTAGTATAGAAGAGTTTTCACCATGTTGGCCAGGCTGGTCTTGAACTCCTGAACCTCAAATGATCCACCCATCTCAGCCTCCCAAACTGCTGGGATTACAGACATGAGCCACTGCACATGGCCAACATTTGCTTTTTAACAGCAACTTTATGTATATATAATACATATATTTTATGTTTATTAATATATATTAAAATAATTGCTTTTAAATATATAATTGCACCACACACACACACAGTTTCTCTATACATGTGCCAGTAATTCTCCATTTGCTCCCACCCACCCCATCCCTACCTCAGATTCATTCTCCACCTTTCTCTGCACTCAAGAGGCTGACTTCTGAGAACTCCAGTCTCTGAGCTCCTCTTACCCTCTGGCTTCCAACATGGTTCCACTAATGGGAGCCAGTGGCAGGCATCAGAGAATGGGGGCACAGAGGGGATGGGGCGTTTGTCCCTCGCTCTGCTGCAGTGTCAGCCGCACTGTCAGATGCAGCTGGCTGCATCCCTCTGTTACGCCTCCAGGTAGCCCTTCCTGTGCTGCTCCCACTGCCTCCTCTTGAGCTCTCAGGCCCTGGTGGTAGCAGCCTCCTGCGGTGGCCAACACTGCTGTCACTGGCACTCAACAGCCTCAGTTCCCCCAGCCTCGCCCACACCCCTCTAAACAGTCCTTTCCTTAGCTTCTCTTCAGGAGTCCCAGAGGAGGGCCAGGACCCTGACTGACACTCCCTATAAGTAGAGTGCGCTCCCTCAGTAAATGCAGTGAAGTCCTGCTGTTTTCATCAAGGGGATTCTGACTGCATGGTGCATTCTCATAGGTCTTCAGCCTTCCAATAAAATATCAGAAAACCAGATAATATCATTCAACATTTTATATCAGAAAAGATCAGCTTTCCAACATTTATTCCATGGAATGAGTGCACAGCATTTTCATGAACTACCTCAGGGCTACATCAGTACAAAATAGTTTAAATTAGTAAAATAAAGTAGTTTCAAAGGGAAATCATTGACGACTTCAGGATAAGTGCCACCACCATTTGGGAACAGAGGATAGAAGGTAGCCATGTGGTTATTCCATGATGCAGGAATCAGGTCGGCAGGTGGACTGTCATTGCTGTCTTGCGGCAGCTGGCCTCTGCCTTCAGGGTACCACCGTCTCCAGGACACAAATGGGCAGCAGAAAAATGTCACCTTGTTGATGCTCAGCAGCTCATCTATTGGGACAAAACTTCCATCTCGGCCAAGGGAAATACTCTGTTGAGTGACCAGCGGGGCCCAGCCCCCAGCCCTATTTATCTCATCAATATGGTTCAGGGAAGATAAAAAAGAGTGTTCTATGGGATAGAAAGGTGGGAATAAGAAAAAACTAAGTGGCTGGGCATGGTGAGTCACGCCTGTAATCCCAACACTTTGGGAGGCCAAGGTGGGCGGATCACGAGGTCGAGATTGAGACCATCCTGGCCAACACAGTGAAACCCCGTCTCTACTAAAAATACAAAAATTAGCCGGGCGTGGTGGTGCACACCTGTAGTCCCAGCTACTCAGGAGGCTGAGACAGGAGAATCGCTTGAATACGGGAGGCGGAGGCTGCAGTGAGCCGAGACAGTGCTGCAGTGAGCCGAGATGGCACCACTGCACTCCAGCCTGGCGACAAAGGGAGACTCTGCCTCCAGAAAAAAAAAAAAAAAAAAAAAGGAAAGGAAAAGCTAAGCAGATGACTTATGTGGCAAATGAGGAATCAAATTCTCTATTTGTGGTCTGAGATGCCTTTTCCTGGCCCAGTTTTCTGTCCAAAAGGCTCTTTTAACCTCCAAGTTATACACTATTAATGGTAGGCCCATAGTGGGGCGGGGTGTGATGAGCTGGAAAAGCATGATGTGCGTGTGCGTGTGCGGGGGTGGGGCCATCATCAGAATTTGCACAGGCTGCTGGGAAGAGCCATGGCTGTCTGCTGGGAACTCTGCTGGGGCAAGCAAGCCCTTTGACTCTCCTGCCCATCTCTAGAATATTTCTAAAATGTTTTAACCAGCAAGTTAAAAAAAAATTTAACCCTCTTTATATAGATACCCTGGACACCTTTTCTTATGGTTCCTCCAAGATGATTATAACTTCCGTCTGACACTATATATTCCTTTAATAACAAAATTTCCCAGAAGGCTCACAAATCATGGTTGGCAGTGCAGCCTTTTCAATACTGGACACATCCCATGCTAAGGCCCTCTGCACAGATTTTGTTTACTATCACTGGCGATCAGCCCAAACTTCTCACCCCATATATCAACCCACCCCGATGTGTACACCAGGTACTATGTGACCCACCTACTACTGGCTAATGATGCAACTTCTGAGAGACCCTTGCACCCTCACTGCACGTCTTGCCACACAGGTGGCTTGGTGTCACGTACTCCCTGGCACCATCTGGTTCATGCCAGGTTTAGAGTTCATCGTGTTTGGCTTCCTGGTCTTTGAGTTTAAATTCCTCGGCTGTGACCTTCCCATCTCCATTCCGGTCCTGGTTGGTGAACATATTCTTCACAATCAGCTCAGCATCAAAGCCAGGAGCGAGTTTCCCTTTGCCAGATGCCACCTGGGCGTGAATGTACTCTGAGAACTGGAAAAGAAGGGGACAGGAAAGACCATGAGTTCAGCCGCCATGAACGCCAGGCCTGGGGCCAGAAACAGAGCAGTCTGGGGGTGACAGGGCTGGAACTTGAGTCTGGGCTACCAACACAGACAAGATCTTTTTGGCAGCTATATGACCTATGATCTGTGTTTTGTTTTTTTTCTCTAAATGCAGGTGAAAAACCCTTGTGCTAAATGACTCCAAGAGCCCTTATTATTCAGGTAGCCAATACCCAGCAGCCGTCAGAGCTATTCCTTCTCCCAAGTTGGTTCCCCACCAAAGGCTGACCCCCAAGACCACCCAAGACTGTAAGAACATTCTTGGATGCAGGCATTCATTCATATGATCAAAACATATGGTCTACTATGTGCTGAGCACACTGTTCTAGATCTTGAAATACATCAATACACAAACACCCTGCCCCTGTGATGCTTGCATTCTAGTGGAAACAGACAATTAGACATGAACATAAAAATAGGTAAATTACACATTAAGTTACAAAGTGAAATGCTCCAGAAAAAAATCAAAAAGCGGAGCTCAGTAAGGAAGGGAGAAAGGGATGAAGTGTTGAATTCAGTGGTCAGGATAAAACTTTAAGGAGAAGGGAAGATTTGTGCAAAGTCTTGAAAGATGAGAAGGAAAGGACCGAACAAGTTATCTGGGGTAGATGTCTCCTGAGCAGAGAGGGCAGCCGGTGCCAGGGCTCAAGGTGGACGCATGCCTGGGTGGTCACAGACAGCACTGGGGGCAGGTGTGGCCGGGTAAAGTGGGCAGAGGGAGACAGCCGGCAAAGAGGTTACAGCGAGCAGAAAGTGCAGGGTCTTCACAGGCCACTGTGAGGCCCTGTAGACAGGGGCCTCTGCGGGTCTGACCCAGCTTCTGTGTGAGAACAGCCACTGTGAGGGCAGGAGGAGCTTCATGAACACCACTGCTGTGTGTGACCCGGGAAAGAGATGACAGGCCCCGGGCTAAGATGCTACAGGGTGGGGGTGGTAAGAAGCGTCAGGTTCTGTGTGTGCTCTCAAGGTAGAGCTGGAATGATTTCCTGAGGACCATTACGGCCTACGAGAGAAAGAGAGGAGTCAGAGATCACCGAGTGCTCTCGCCTGAGCCACTGGAGGCCAGTGATGCCACTGACTGCGACGGGAAAGGCTTTGGGTAAAGCAGGCCCCAAGCGGGGTGTGCGGGTGGATAGCAGGGGTTCCATAAATGAGGACATCAAGCAGGCAGCTGAACACATGAGTGTGAAGTGGAGAGAGAAGACTGGACTGGAGCTACAAATCCAGACGCCATCAGGATATGGACCCGATAAGACCACTGAGCGAGTGACTTAAAGACAGAGAAAAGAACAAAGGTCAAGACTTAGCCCGGGGTACTCCAACATGAAGCGATCAGGGACAAGAGGCCTGAGAGGGACGTACCAGGGAGGTAGAAGGAACACCATGAAGTGTGGTGTCCTGGAAGCCAGAGAAAGATGCGTCCTGTAGGGGAATCAGCTGTGTTGAAGTTAAGAGGAGCGTAAGAGCTGACCACTGGATTCCGCGATACGGAAGACATTGGCCACCCTGGCAAGGTCAGGCTCAGAGGCATAGAGGGACAAATGCCAGAAAGGAGTGGGTTTAGGAGAGAATGGGAGGAGAGGAATTGGAGGCAGAAAGGACACACAATTCTTTTGAAGTTTTTGCTGTAAAGGAAGGAAAGCAATGAAAGAAACAGACACATCCAGGGAAGGGAAAATAATAGCACATTTGTATGCAAATGAGAAAGATCCAGAAGGGCTGATGATGTGGAGAGAGAGAGGAAAAGGCTGGAGGATGTGCTTCAATAGCAGATGTGGAAGAGGCAGGGAGCTGGAATTCCCCAGGGGTGGGACAGAACAGATGGTTCTATTGCCCAGCTTCACAAAGAGGAGTGTGGTCCTGGCTCAAACAACTGAGTAGATGTGTGACCTTGGACAAGTCATTTACCTTCTCTGTGCAGTTTCTTCTAAAAAACAGCTGCTGTGAGGGCCAAATCAGAGAATACACTCAGCACATACAGGCAGGCATTGAGCACCCAGTAACGAGAACTAAATGCAGACTGTATGCCCTGGAATCATGCCCTACACCTCTTAGGGAATCGGTTTCTTCAGAGAGGAATGGTGAGCTTCCATCGAGAGGGTGTGTGTAAAAGCGCTTGGCACACAAGTGTGCTGGTCATCTCACAAGCCCTCCAGCCAGCTGGCCTCACCCTTAGAAGTCCTTACCTTCAGAACCGGCCCCACGGCCTTACCAGGCTCCCTGAGCTCTTCGGTCCCACCTTCCTACAGAGGCCAGTTAGTTACCTCTTCCAGGAGGACTTCTCCGTTGCCATCCTTGTCAATTTCTTCAAAGAGGTTGGGTGACACCTCACCATTCCATATGAACATGTACCCCTCAGGAAGGCCAGCCACCAGCTCCAGCAGCTCAATGTCAAACACTAATACGGCACTGCCGGGCACTTCTCCATCTGTCCAGGTGACAGGAGCGGGAGGCGGTGTCAGCCGGCAGGCAGCAGTCAAGCCCAACAACCAGCACCCACCCCAACCTCCAGCAGCCTCACTCAGAGTGGGACTTCTGACCAAAGCAAGAAAGCGGAGCAGAGGCTAGTCACTTTCTCACTGTAGGCAGTGGCCCGTTAATGACTCACGAAATCAGTTTAGAGGGTGGTGACCAGCGTTTAGTTATTTTTTAAATTAAGGAATAGAATAGAGGCCAGGCATGGTGGCTCACGCCTATAATTCCAGCACTTTGGGAGGCCGACTCGGGCGGATCACTTGAGATTAGGAGTTCAAGACCAGCCTGGCCAACATGGTGAAACTCCATCTCTACAAAAAATACAAAAATTAGCTGGTGTGGTGGTGGGCACCTGTAGTCCCAGCTACTCGGGAAGCTGAGGCATGAGAATTGCTTGAACCAGGGAGGCAAACATTGCAGTGAGCCGAGATCGCGCCATTGCACTTCAGCCTGGGTGACCGAGTGAGACTCCATCTCAAAAAAAAAAAAGGAACAGAATACTTTGTACCTCTAGAAAAGATAGGTATTGTGTCATGAAACTTGAGTTTAAATTTTATATATAAAACTAAAAGTAATGCTCACTTTAGCAACACATACTAAAATTGGAACCATACTGAGAAGAATAGCATGACCTCCGTGCAAACAGGACAAGCAAATTTGTGATGTGTTGATTAAAAAGAAATAAATAAATGTGTATATGTGTAACTTGTATGTTTATGTGGAATACAGATTGGGAAATAAAATGTATTTCTTACTGTGTGTCTTGTGGAAAAAAGTTTGAAAGCTGCTTGTAGAGACTACAATACAATGGTAAAACTTTTAAGTAAATCTAACAGCAGAACTTTTAGAATCTGAACAATATGCCTGAAGATGATGATCCAAGATTTGACTGTAAGCACAAATTCAAGAATAGTGTATACAGTATAGGTCCAAAGAAGTTATCTAAGTATGGAATATATAAAGGTAATGTGTATTATTCCAAATTATTATATTTTATCTAGATTATATGTTATATATAATATGCTATGTATTATAATTATTAATAATATATCACAGAAAAAGTCTTAAAGAATATACAACAATTTTTTTTTTTCTGAGATGGAGTCTTGCCCTGTCGCCAGGCTGCAGTACAGTGGCACGATCTCGGCTCACTGCAAGCTCCACCTCCTGGGTTCACACGATTCTCCTGCCTCAGCCTCCCAAGTAGCTGGGATTATAGGTGCCCGCCACCATGCCCAGCTAATTTTTTGTAGAGACGGGGTTTCACCCTGTTAACCAGGATGGTCTCCATCTCCTGACCTCGTGATCTGCCCACCTCGGCATCCCAAAGTGCTGGGATTACAGGCATGAGCCACCGCACCCGGCCAGAATATACAACAATTTTTAAAGCGTTTCTTCTGGGATTGGTAGGAAGAACAATGTACTTTACAATTCTTTTACGGGGAAAAAATATCAATCCACAGTGCCTATCATTGTTACCAGTTAGCTCTTCCTATCTCCTCCATGTCCAGATATCAGCAGTGTGAAAACACTGAAAAGAAGGGGTTCCTGGGGCCAGGCACAGTGGCTCACACTGATAATCCCAGTGCTTTGGGAGGCCTAAGCAGGAGCATCGCTTGAGCCCAGGAGTTAAGACCAGCATGGGAAAGATAGCGAGACTCTGTCTCTAAAAAATAAAAAATTAGCCAGGCGAGGTGGTGCATGCCTGTAGTCCCAGCTACTCGGGAGACTGAGGTGGGCAGATTGCTTGAGCCCAGGAGTTCAAGGCTGCAGTTAGCCATGATGGTGCCACTGCACTCCAGCCTGGGTGACAGAGTGAGACCCTGTCGCTGAAAAAAAAAAAGTTATTGAATCCCCACGTGGAGGACACATTGTGGCTGAAATGATGGAGTAAAACATAACCACTGTGAGGATGAGGTAAAGCCAGTATTTCAAGAACTTGCAACTAATCTCTCCCAAAGGAAACTGTCTTGGACAGCCTACAGGCTCAGAAGTGAAAAGCAACGGCCTACAGCATTCCACCTGTCCCAGGAAACAGTTCCAGAAGGACGTGCTCAGTCTGACCCCAGAGAAACCTCCCGGACAGCTCCCCTGGGGACACCTCCCACACATGGGTCTGAAGATCCAAGATTTATTTCACTCAAACTGGTTCTTTCTCAAGAGGGTAATGGAGCATTGACGTGGCTCACTGAATTCACAGGGGTCTCCAAACAAAAATACTAAATAATTTTTTAAAAATAGAAACCACACACTCTTTGGGTATTACATGTAAGAAGCATGCTGTGATTCTAACTATGGCACCCCAAAAAGCACAAAATTCAGATAGTAAGCGGGCCCCCAACACCCTTGAATAGCGTTGCTTACTCACCCACGCCAGCTTCCCCATAGCCCAGGTGAGGCGGAATGATCACTGTCCGTTTCTCGCCAACGCACATCTCTCTGAGACCCATGTCCATCCCCAACACAACTTGCCCAGATCCCAGAACAATATTGTAAGTTTTGCCTAAATTCCACCTAAAATGAAACAGAAGAGCCTCATGTTAGGTCACCAACCCATTGGCACTGAGAGTGTTCCCATGAGAAGAACACATCACTTCTAGGATATTTCTACCAAAGAAATGCAAATCCCTATCTAATCATGAGGAAACATCAGACAAAAACAAATTGGGGCACATGCTGAAAAATGTCTGGCTGTCATCTTCAAAACTGTCAAGGCCATGAAAATCCAGGCAAGACTGTGGAAGTTCCAGAGTGGAGAAGCATAGTGGAATGGGGTCCTTTTTGCTTGAGCCCAGGAGGTGGAGGCTGCAGTGAGCCAGGATCGTGCCCCTGCACTCCAGCCTGTGAGACAGAGTGAGACTCTGTCTCAAAAACAAAAACAAGACAAAAAACCCTGGCTTTTGGATTCAGCAAGACCTGAGATGGATTCCTGGTTCTGCCACTTAATTTAACCCTGAGAAATGTAATCTCTGTTACTTTATCTATGAAACGGAGACAACAAATATAGCTATCTCACAGGGACGTTTTAAATCGCAAATAACATGTTATGCTTGGCACAGTGGAGGGGAAGTACAAAGGGCTCAATAAATGTTTGGCCTTGAGGTGTAAAGTGTTTATGTCTGTAGCAGTCTAAGACTAAAAAAAAAAAAAAAAGACCACCAAGAGTTTAATTATCCTTGATGGCCATGGGCCTCAGGAAGCCAGTTAAAAAAAAGTTTGCTCTATCACTTCGGTCACTACTAAAAATAAATCTACGCCAAAATCTATGCCATTCCTATCACTTCCTAAAGGCAAACAGTGTTGATGTTCTTTACTCCAAGGAGAAAAGCCCCCTGACCCCCCTTGATGCCCATGAGCACTGGGGACAACATGGACGGGTGCCCCTTTGGGTCATATCCTCTTCTCAGGCTTCCCGACCTCCCCTGGACCCAGGGCAGCCACTTCTTTCCCTCCTCCAGCTGATTACCAGCAAACCAAGACAGGGTTTGTGTTTTCCCACCTGGGAGGAACCCCAAACAAAGCCAACTCAGGGATGGCTTTGGGGAGGGAGCCAACTCTCACTGCCTGCCTTTCTCTGGGGCTACTCCAGTTGCAAAGTCTTATGACAGAATATTCCAGAACTCAGTCATCCAGGAACGCATGTTTCTTCTTCCTCCTTGAGGCCAGTTTAAACACGCAAGCGTAAGAAAATTCTCCAAGCAAACAATTTGTTGTCATGTGTCATCTCTGAACACACCACTCATTCTTTTTCCTCGGGTCCTGTGATTTTCTTTCTTTCTCTCTTGGGCAGTGTTTCTCTCAAACACGGTCCTCACTCCCCCTGCATGCTTCCTGGCCCCATCCACCGCCGGCCTGCAGCTTCCTGCCTGCTTCACCCTCCCCGGCTCACTCCCACTCCTCTCCTCCCTTCTAGGCAGCAGCTGCTGCCTTAGTCCTGATGAATGGGGCCCAGCCCACACGGGGCTCTAGCTGGGACCAGATAGGCAGGTGCTGGCCAAGCTTTCCATTAGCCCAGTATTCTGAAGCTCACACCAGGAAGACACCAGCAGGGACGCCAGCCGCTACTCTTCTGCTGCAGATTTACATGTAATACAGAGGCTCTCAGAGTACAAAATGCACTTCCTGATAAGGAGCTCTGGCTCATGTGGCTCCTGAGTGCTCTGCCAGGATGTTATGAGTCCTTCAAACACAAGCAGGAGGCAGGGAGACTGACTCTCCCCGCCCCACGTGAGAAGCAGATCCTGGAGCCTCCGAGAAGGAATTCCTTTGTTCATTCCCCACACCCACTTCCCCTTTCCTCAGCCTCAGGATCAGCGGACAGGAATATGAACATCAGCAGGAGCAGTGACAGCAGCCACGGACCTTACAGACCCTTCTAACCTCATGGACCATTTTCACTCTTAGGAGCTCACTTGATCCACAAAAGCACTACAAGCCATGCCCCTTCCCTGCTGCCCTGCCTCCCGCTAGCTTCTAATAGTCAGTGGTTGGGATTTCTTTGCAAGGTCTGTTGTAAGCCAGGTCCCTGTACATCTGGGCCCTGGAAGCCTAGCACATATTTCACTGATTCTAAAATGCATATTTTTTCACAGTTTAACCTTTCTATAATTAGGATACATTTTATGACTGACAGTATGTCATCAGTTAGCGTTTTTACTTGGTCAGAGATACATGAAATGTTTCCATCACGCTCTTTAGAGTTGTTGAAATACATTAAATGCATTAGCATACAGGATCCCATACCGAGAGGGAGAGCTCTGAAGAGTATATCCATAGGGTCTTTTCTTTTTCTTTCTTTTTGGAGACAGAGTCTCACTCTGTTGCTCAGGCTGCAGTGCAGCAGTGCTATCTCGGCTCACTACAACCTCTACCTCCCAGATTCAAGAGATTCTCCTGCCTCAGCCTCATGAGTAGCTGGGATTACATTTGCCCGCCACTACGCCCGGCTAATTTTTGTATTTTTAGTAGAGATGGGGTTTCACCAAGTTGGCCAGGATGGTCTTGATCTCTTGACCTCGTGATCTGCCCACCTTGGCCTGCCAAAGTGCTAGGATTACAGGCATGAGCCACCGCACCCAGCCTCTGTGCATCAATTTTTAAAGAAAGCAGTTCGGCTGGGCATGACGGCTCAAATCTGTAACTCCAGCACTTTGGGAGGCCAAGAGGGGAGGATCATTTGAGGTCAGGAGTTCGAGACCAGCCTGGGCAACATAGTGAGACCCCCCCCATCTCTAAAAAAATTTTAAAAATTAGCCTGGGTCAGGTGCAGTGACTCACACCTGTAATCCTACCACTTTGGGAAACTGAGGCAGGAGGATCACCTGAACCCAGGAGTTTGAGACCAGCCAGGGCAACATGGCAAAACCTTCTCTCTGCTAAAAAGTAAACAAAATTAGCCAAGTATAGTGGTGCGTGCCTGCAATCCCAGCTACTTGGGAGGCTGAGGCGGGAGGATCACTTGAACCTGGAAGGCAGAGGTTGCAGTGAGCCGAGATAGCACCACTGCACTCCAGCCTGGGTGAAAGAGTGAGACTTGGCCGGGCGCGGAGGCTCACGCCTGTAATCCCAGCACTTTGGGAGGCCGAGGCGGGTGGATCATGAGGTCAGGAGATCGAGACCATCCTGGCTAACAAGGTGAAACCCCGTCTCTACTAAAAATACAAAAAATTAGCCAGGCGCGGTGGCGGGTGCCTGTAGTCCCAGCTACTAGGGAGGCTGAGGCAGGAGAATGGCGTGAACCCGGGAAGCGGAGCTTGCAGTGAGCCAAGATTGCGCCACTGCAGTCCGCAGTCCGGCCTGGGCGACAGAGCGAGACTCCGTCTCAAAAAAAAAAAAAAAAAAAAAAAAAAAGAGTGAGACTTTATCAAAAAAAAAAAAAAAAGAAAGAAAGGAAGGAAGGAAGGAAAAAAAGAGAGAAAGAGAGAAAGAGAAAGAAAGGAAAGAAGAGGAAGGGAGGGAGGGAGGGAGCAAGGAAGGAAGGAAGGAAGGAAGGAAGGAAGGAAGGAAGGAAGGAAGGAAGGAAAGATAGCAGTTATACGATGAGATCTGCTTTTCAGAAAGACAATTTCATGGGGTGAAAAATGACCTGCAGCAGGGCAAGACCATTAATAGGAAACTCTTAACACAATGCACCTGAGCAGTGATGCAGCCACGAGCTATGCAGTGGGGCAGCATGGAGATAAAAGCTCTCAACCAGCATCTACCCAAGAGAGGAGGATGGTGGGAGCATGCAACTGTCACCCTCCAGGCTCACTCCCACACCATTCTGGTTGCCCTTACGTGGAGTCCAGCAGGGTCCCATCCAGAAGTGAGGCATTGTAGTGATATTTGAGGTAATCTCCCTTCTTACTCAGCACTGAGCAGTCAGGGGGTTTGTAGTGGGAGGTGATGCTGATGGAGTCCGAAGGGTTGTGGAAGTCGATCACATGGATGTCAAACACCAGCACAGCCGAGCCGGGGATATTCCCTAAAGGACAGACACGGGGAATTAATGAATGACCCCTGCAGGCTGCAGCACATGGGCCTCCCCAGTGTCACCAGGTATGTCCTCAAGGCCCTCCAAGTGAGGAAAACGGGCACCCAGATACAGAACCCTAGGAGGACTCCAAGACTGACGCTGAAAGGGCTGTTAGATGTAACCTCATCCTCATTTTACAGGTGGATAAACGGAGGCACAGATTTGCCGTGGGTCTCACAGCCTGTAATGAGCACAGTTTGGACTAAAATTCAAGACTATGGACTATTGCCCCATGGAATCGTTGAGCCTGAAAGATGAGTGGCTAAGTTGATCACAGATGAGGAAACTCAAACCCAGCCAAATTAATACTTGCCCCTTGCCCACTGGAAGTAAGAGGTGGGGTGAGAAAATCAGCCGTAGAGTGAAATCACTCCAATGTCCTACCACTGCTCAAGAAAAACATAACATAAACTTCATAAAGAAAAAAACACCTCTCCCCCAAAATTGGCCCCTTATGATCATACACCTAACAGTCACAAGGTGCTTTTAGAATACATCCTATTTGTTCTATACTAAATTATTTATTAACTTTTCCATAATTTCCAATTTTGAAGACAGTAGCTCACATCTGAATAATGTTTTACAGTTTGCCAAAGTATTTTTCACCTACATTTTCCCTTTAAATCCCTGCAGCAACCTTATGGGGTAGGCATGGCCATAACCCCAGGAATTTAACGACAGCTTCCCAGGGGCGTGGGGGACACTTAAACATATGCATCAGTTGTAATACATCCCCCAGCCCAAATCATTTCAGAGAAGTTTAAATGTAAAATATTTTAAAATCATGTTACCTAGAGTCAAGGACATATTTTATTATCATCAGCATTTTACATATAAAAAAACCAACTCAGGTTAGGTATGGTGGTGGCTCATGCCTATAATCTCAACTCTGGGAGGCTGAGGTGGGAGGATCACTTGAGGCCAGGGGTTTGAGACCAGCCTAGGCAACACAGCCAAATGTCTCTACAAAAAAATTAGCTGGGCGTGGTGGTGAGCACTTGTAGTCCCAGATACTCGGGAGGTTGAGGCAGGAGGATTGCTTGAGGCCAGGAGGTCAAGGCTACAGTGAGTTAGGATTGCACCACTGTACTCTAGCCTGGGCAACAGAGTGAGACTCCGTCCTCAAAAAAGAAAGAAAGAAAGAAATGAAAAATTCAGACATGATATTACTTATTCAAGAGAATAACACAGCTAATGACAAAATTCAGATAGAGATACACAAACTCCAACAGTCCCTCCTTACCTCCTGTCCCAACACGTACTTTTCTGTGTCTGCTTCTTGATTGGTCTCTCTCCTATCTCTAATAGAAACACACTCACGCTCATATTTAATAGGCGTTTATTGAGTACCAGGCATTCTTCTAAATTAAACATGTATTGTTTAATTCTCATTAAAATCCTGAGAAAATGGAGGTACAAATTTTGGGGCTGGCCAAAGTTAAAGGTAATAATTTGAGAAGCGTGTGCTTTAATAGCAGAACACAGGTGCCTGCTACTCACTCAAAACAGGGGCTGCTGGTGTGGGTGGAGTGGGGTGCAGGCTCCTTCCCACAGGAACCAGGAAGTACAGCCTGCCATTGGCCAGAAGGCTGCTCAAAGCCAGGCCACGGATGGCTCTGTGTGGGAAGCTAACACACATGGACAGGGTGGGTGTCTGCAGAGGCAGATCTATGGTTCCTCAACCTTGGTAACCTGTTAAAAATCACCTGGGAATGAACCCGAAAACATTATGCTAAGTGAAAGAAGCCAGACACAAAAGGCCACATACTGTAGGATTCCAGGGATATGGAAACATCCAGCATAAGCAAATCCATACAGACAAGAAATAGACTACCTGTTGCCAGCGTGGGGGAAGTGGATGGATGAGGACAGGGTACGGAGAGTGACCGCTAATGGTTATGGGTTACTTTTTGGAGTGATGAAACTGTGCTGGAATTAGGTAGAGGTAATGGTTATGTTACCTGGTTAATATACTAAAAACAACTAAATTGTAAACTTTAACATGATTATTTTTATAGTATGTGAATTATATTTCAAGAAAACATTAAATAAAAATATCTTTCTTGGGTATATATACAAAAGAATTGAAGCTGGAGATGCGAACAGATATTTGTACACTCATATTCACAGAAGCATTAAGCATTATTCACAACAGACAAAAAGTAGAAACAGCCTAAGTGTTCATCACCAGACGAACTGATCAACAAAATGTAGTATATACATCCAATGGAATATTCATTCAGCAATAAAAAGGAATGAAATTTATTAGCCAGAAATGAGGAATTAATTTTTTTTTTTTGAGATGGAGTCTTGCTCTGTCATCCAGGCTGGAGTGCATTGGCATGTTCTCAGCTCACCGCAACCTCCGTCCCCCGGGTTCAAGCGATTTCCCTGCCTCAGCTGAGATTACAGACGCGTACCACCACACCTGGCTAATTTTTGTGTTTTTAGTAGAGACAGGGTTTCACCATGTTGGCCAGGCTGATCTTGAACTCCTGACCTCAGGTTATCCGCCTGCTTCAGCCTCCCAAAGTGCTGGGATTACAGGCGTGAGCCACCGCGCCCAGCTTGAAATTTTGATAAATGCTAAAATACAAATAGACCTTGAAAACATTATGCTAAGTAAAATAAGACAGACACAGAAAGAGAAATATTGTATGATTCCACTCAAGTGAGGCACTTAGAATAGGCAAATTGGTAGAGACAGAAAGAAAGGTGGTTGTCAGAGGTTGATAGGAGGGAGGAATCGGGAGTTATTGTGTAATGGGTTTATGTTGGGGATGATGAAAGAGTTCTGAGTGTAGATGATAGTAATGGTTATACAACATTGTGAATATATTTGATGCCACTAAACTGTACACTTAAAATGGTTAACAAGGTAAAGATGTTAAGTATATTTTACCACAAATTTTAAAAACTTCTAACACTGAGCTAAGCAGTCACCAAATTTTATCAATTCAAATATAATCTCCCCTCCAAGATGCATTCAGGTGCAGGGCCTTCTCCAGGGCAAAAGGGAATGCATCTGGAACCACCCACATCCCTGGGATCTGATGTCAGCAGTCAAATGAACTCAGCCTCTCAGGCCCCGAGGATTCCAGGCACAAGAATTCCAACCAGTGTAGAGGTCGATTCACACCCAGTCAAGGAACCATGTAGCATCAGGTGAGTATGTCAGCTTCTAGGAAGTTAACGTGAGTCAGTCTCCCAGGTGCCTGATAACCTCTGAGGCACACACATTATTGAGGGCGTCAACAAGGAAACACTCTCTGTGTGCGTAGGAAGTTTTGTTTGTGTTTCTTTCTGCTGAATCCCTAACACCGTGAGCAGGGCCTGGTCATGAAGAAACTCAATAAATCTTTGATGGATGGATAGATGGAGTTTCTCCGCCTGCAAAAATGAAGATCAGAGCCTTGAACCATAGACCCCACCTACCCCAGGCAGCACCAAGGCTTCGAACCTCTATCCCTCTATCTTGCTCTGACTTCCACAAAGCTATTTGTAGATTAAGTATAGAAATGAGTGCTGACCAGCAAACGGGCAGAAATAGTCCAACGTGGCTCCAACACCAACCTCCTCTCTGTATAAACCCTTAACCAATGCAGAAGTCATCATTCTGTTCTCACCATGAGGATGCCTCCCTCAGAAGAGATACAGATGAGAAAAACTTAAAAGCGGCCAATAGCCCACCCAAGAAACTCTGCAGCTCCTGCTGGGGGTGGATTTCCTCTGCTGGTGGTGGGTTTCCTCTGCGGTGGGTGGGTTTCCTCTGCGGGGGGTGGGTTTCCTCTGCAGAGAGTCAGTTTCCTCTGAGGGGGGTGGGTTTCCTCTGAGGGGGTGGGTTTCCTCTGCGGGGGTGGGTTTCTTCTGAGGGGAGTGGGTTTCCTCTGAGGAAGGTGGGTTTCCTCTGAGCGGGTGTGTTTCCTCTGAGAGCTCTAGGACTTCTGGTTTGAGGTCTCGGTTCTCCACATATGGGTATCAACAAGTCACTACCTAATGGGGACTCATTCTTTCTGTCTGTCTAGGACACATATGGGTCAGAGAGCCCTGGGTCCAATTCCAGCTCCATCATGGATTAGCTATTGTGGCCTTGGACACATGGGTGGAACTCTCTGGGCCTCATTATATTTCTAAACAATGAGGGTAATGATGCCTCAGAAGACTGTTTCCAGGTTTGAATGAGTTCATGTGCAAGAAGTCCCAGACACACAGTGGGTAAAATGTAATTTATTAACTTTCCTCTCTTTCCTAAAAGGGTGCTCAAAAGGTAATCTGGAAGTTGAGTAACAGCAAACCATCGATGAAGTGATGCTTACACATCCTCGCAGGCAGAATCCATTCTCCACTTTGAGGCTGCAAACCCATCCAAATGCCCTAATTTCAGGGCTGACCCATGGAACAAAGCAGATGGCAGAAAGATCCAGAACCTCTCCCAGGAGGCCTACCCTTTCCCCTCCACCAATCTTGCAGGGGAAAATGGCTGTGACAGAATGAAATGCTGATAGAGGCTGAGAGCACACGGTCAGCCCACAATTCATTCCTTCCACAAATATTTGCCAAACATTCACAATGTGCCTGGCCCTGTGGTATGCAGTGAAGAAGCCACTAAGAAGACAGTTTCAGCATCCTGACCCCTCTCGGGTCAGCCCCTCAGGGATCAGCACGAGCTCCTATGTAACCCCCACAAAGAGGCCAAGGGTGCTGATCAGGAGAGGACAGAGGCAGACTCCACTCAAGAGCACTTGGGGTTTATACCTCAGGGTCACTCAGGGTGCCCTCCTCCCACAGCAACGTGATTCAGGATGAAGGAGTCTCATTGCCCAGAAAATTTACGAGCCTTCGGCTGCTTCCCAGAGGCTTATATAATTCTTTGCAGAGCTCTGTCTCATACTTGATAGAAAGCCAAGAGGAAAAAAAGTAATTTAAGCAAATGTTTTCCATCAATGCATTCTTTTCAAAGAAAGGAAAGATTAGTCCTCAGGCCATAAAGAAACAAGAACATTCAGAAAGTATTTATCTGTTTCTGTTTATATTTGACTAGAAGTAGAAATCCACACGATAAAAAGCAATAGAGAATCAAGACACTAGACAAGCAGGATGTGTGAAGAAAGCCCTGTCGAATGGATCTTAAGCTGTGATCTGTTGTGGTTTAATCAATCAGAAATTTAAGTCAGGGAGAAAAAAATATTTCTCCATTGTACAACCTACCTTCCAACCAACTTGACGTTTCTTGGATCCTCTGGGATGAACACTACTGGGAAAACTCTCAAGATACATATGATGTATCAACAAAAAAACAGAACAGAACTAACAAAATAAATGTACAGCCAGCAAGGCCAGCCTCCATCAGCAAAAGAATACAAAAACAAAATAAATACTGCATCAACTATTGCTAAGCGAGGGAGCAGCCATTAAAATACATAGCATAGAAAGTTGTTCACAACATATCTGTTGTTCACCACAAATTAGGTGAAGAGAGAAATCACAAAGTAATACGCATAGACAATCCCATGTTTGTCCGTATTGATTAGTGTAGGTGGGCATTTTTTTTTAAACCTATACATAAACTCAAAGGTACAGAAGGACATTCACTTCATGGCTGCATTTGTTTCCTACTGTTGCTGCAGCAAAATACCACAAACTTGTTGGCTTAAAACAACGCAAACGGATTCCCCTAATTCTGGAAGGCAGAAGCATAAATTCAAGGTATTGTTAGGGATATGTTCCTTTTGGAGGCTGCCGGGGAGAATGTGTTTCCATCTTTTCCAGCCTCTCGGGGCCACCTTCATTCCCTGACAGGGTCCTCCTTCTGTATCTTCTAAGTCAGCAGTTTAGCACTTTTTCCCCGGTCTGACCCCCTGCCTCCCTTTTACAAAGACTGTTGCAAGTATTTTGAGGCCACCTGGATAATCTAGAATACTATTCCTATCTCAAGATCCTTAATCAAATCTGTAAAGTCCCTTTTAATAAGGTAACAGGAGGCTAGGCATGGTGGCTCACACCTGTCATCCCAGCACTTCAGAAGGCCAAGGTGGGAGGATTGCTTGAGCTCAGGAGTTCCAGACAAGCCTGGGAAACATAGCAAGACCATGTCTGTCTTTACAAAAAAAAAAAAATTGCTTTTGAATTAGCCGTGCATGGTAGCACACACATGTAGTCCTAGCTACTCAGGAGGCTGATGCAGGAGGATCACTTTAACACAGAAGCTGGAGGCTGCAGTGAGTTAGGAGCTTATCTTACCACTGCACTCCAGCCTGGGCAACAGAACAAGACTTTGTCTCAAAACAAAATAAAGTAAGGTAACATACTCACAGGTTCTGGGGATTAGAACATAGATACTTGGAGGGGCTGAATATTCTGCCTACCAGATTAAGATTAACAATATTTGTTTCTGGCATGGCATGGCGCTCACATCTATAATCCCAGCACTTTGGGAAGCCAAGGTGGGCAGATCACTTGGGCCAGGAGTTTGAGACTAGCCTGGCCAACATAGTGAAACTCCATCTCTACTGAAAATTAAAAAAAAAAATTAGCCAGGCGTGGTGGCACATGCCTGTAGTCCCAGCTACTTGGGAGGCTAAGGCACGAGACTCACCTGAACCCAGGAGGCAGAGGTTGCAGTGAGCCAAGATCGTGCCACTGTACTCCAGCCTGGGTGACAGAATGAGACTCTATCTCAAAAAAAGAAAAAAGAAAAAAAGGAAAAAAAATCTTTATTTCTGGGTGGCAGGATTTCTTTGCTTAACTGTATTTTCTTTTTCTAAAGTCAACATGTATGATTTGTGTAACTTTTAAAAGGAAGTGTGGTATGAGGGTGACAAAAATGTTCTAAAACAGGATTATAGTGATGGTGACATAACCCACTAAATGTTCTAAAAGTCACTAAATTGTATACTTAAATGGGTGAATTTTATAATATATAAAACAAAAACCAAAGAGGGGCTTTTGCACTTACTTTCAATGGTTCAGCCCAAAATAAATAAATAAATATAAAAAGAGATCAAATATAGCAAAATGTTAACAACTGGCAAAACAAAGTGGAATTCACCATAACGTGCTTTTGACTTTGGTGTAGGATTTAACATTTTCAAAAGGTAAAGGAAAATGGGCAGAGAAACAAGGAGAAATAACAGGACAACTCTAGAAACTAAATCTATTTGGGAATTCCAGTCTTAAGCTGGACTTTAGCTTCAATATTTTGGCTCTCAAGAAGTTCTGTGCAGGGTGTGGTGGTGCGTGCCTGTAGTGCCAGCTACTCTGAAGGCTGAGGCAAGAGGATCACTTGAGGCCAAGAGTTCCAGGCCATAGTACACGATGATCACACACTACACTTTCCAGCCTGTTCAACAGAGGGAGACCCTATCTCAAAAAGAAAGAAGAAAAAGAAAAAGAAGCCCTGTTTCAAGCAATGTGGAAGCAGCCACAGCTAGTGAGGAAGGCAGGTGATGCTGATGCTCACCTCTTCCTTCCTCTCCATACCCCAGGTGAGGCGGGACCACAATCCTTCGCTTTTCTCCAATGCAAACACCAAGTAGACCTTCATCCATCCCAGGAATCACGTAGCCCTGCCCAATGTACGTGTCAAACGTGCGGTTCCGAGAGTAGCTAGAAAAGAAGAAAGGAAAGAAAGAGGTCATTCATGAGGGCCTCCACAGCAGCTGTGCAAATTAGTTGGGAAAGAGATGCAAAGGCACACAGAGGCCTCCAGACTCCGGAACAGCGTAAACCACAGTATCTGACGACACAGCCAGGAAACATGCTCCCCTGGAAGGGTAAATAAGAACCCCCACACAGCATGTGAACAGCCACCTGTAGGGACACGCCATGTGGCCCTCCAGTTTCATCAGGTTATGAATGCAGTGTGGGTTATGAGAAGCACCACACAGAAATGGAGCTAATGTAAATTGAACACTATACTTTCTTTTTCTGAGGCAAGGTCTCACTCTGTCACCCAGGCTGGTGTGCAGTGGCACCATCATAGACAGCTCACTGCAGCCTCAACCTCCCAGGCTCAAGCAATCCTCCCACCTCAGCCTCCCAAGTAGCTGAGACTACAAGCACATGCTACCACACCTAGCTAATACTTTTTTTTTTTTGTAGAGATGGGGTCCCACTATGTTGCTCAGCCTGGTCTTGAGCTCCTGGATCAAGTGATCCTCCTGACTTGGCCTCCCAAAGTGCTGGGTTGACAGGTATGAGCCACCGTGCCCAGCCTGTACACTCTATAACCATGTCAAGTTAATGAAAACAATCAAGCTCTCAACCAGCCTGGGCAACATGGCAAAACTCTGTCACCACAAAATTACAAAACTTAGCTGGATGTGGTGGCACACACCTATAGTCCCAGCTACTCAGGAGGCTGAAGTCAGAGGACTGCTTGTGCCGGAGAGGTTGAGGTTGCAGTGAGCCAAGATCACAACACTGCACTCCAGCCTGGGTGACAGAATGAGACCCTGTCTTGAAAACAAAAGACAGAATCGAACGTAGCCCTTATCAGAAACTACGAATGTGTCACAAGGATAATGTCTCCAATATCTAAAGAGAAAATATCTGCATATGTGGGACATGAATATTCTGTTTTTATTTTCTAATTACTTTTTAATTTTTTTTTTTTTTGGAGACAGGGTCTTGCTCTGTCTCCCAGGCTGGAGTGAAGTGGTCTGGTCTCAGCTCACTGCAGCCTCAACCTCCTGGGCTCAAGTGATCCTTCCACCTCAGCCCCTCAAGTGGCTGGGGCTACAGCATGCAATACCATGCCTGGCTCATTTTTGTATTTTTAGTAAAGATGGGGTTTCACCACGTTGCCCAGGTTGGTCTCGAACTCCTGGGCTCAAGCGATCTGCCTGCCCTGGCCTCCGAAAGTGTGGAATTACAGGCTTGAGCCACAGCACCCAGCCTGACATGAAGATTCCGATCGCCAGGAAAGCAGCATACACACTGAGAGTAATGAATTCCGCACTCTCCACCACAGCCCGACAAAAGGCCCCCACTATCACCCCTGCTCACCCCGCCACCCTGGTGAATACTTGGGTTTTCCAAGTGCTCCTGGCAGGAGCCCCAAGTCCACTCAGTGGAGAGATCCAGCCTGTGTGTAAACTACTGAGTGATTCTATTACCATGAGTTTGGTAAAAAGAGGAATCAATTCCCCACAGCATAATGATTCCAGAATAAAATAATAAAACTTCATATGCCACAAGTCCACTATCAAACTGGACCACGTGACCTGCACCCCTTCCCCACACCACCTGGTGCCGATGAGGCAGAAAGCCTGTCCTGAAAGAGCCAGTCGGTCCTGCCATTCCCTCACCTCAAAGCCAGGGCATGATGCCCCGGAGAAGAAGGACTGCCGAGCAGGGCCAGGCCGATACACAGGCAGAGCTGTGGGGGTTCTCCCTTCTCAATACCCCTCAAAGACCACAAAGTCATGGGGCACGAAGAAAGAATCACAACAGATGTCTCTCCTCACCCAGGAAGCAGGAGATTGTCCACATAAACTCCCAGACGAGGCTGTGAGTCCCCCTTCCCACCCACTGAGAACAGCACCCCACGCTGAGCAGCTCCAATCCTCCTCCTGGTGCACTGGCCAGGAAGGCCTGGAGGGGAACACAGCAGGGAAGAGGAGGACCGTGTCGGCTCCCAGCATCCTTCAGCCAGAGCAGGGCTCACCCTCCCGAGGTTCCCACCTGCAGGACCCTGGGGATCACCAGCAATGTGCAGCCACTGCCAGACATTCAGGGAAGAGAAGGATACCTATGTGGTGGGCTCCCGACAAAGGGACACCAAGTAGTGAGAGAGATGGCAGGTACCCACAGCGGGGATTGCTGCCCACTGGAATAGTTGCAAAGATTCCATGGCAGAGGGGAGATAGCAGACACCGAAGGCTGTGGGATCTGCCTAAGGGAAGAGCAATGGTCTGGCAGCAAGGGCCAAGCCAAGAGGCAGGATATAAGAGCCTCAGAAGGAGAGACGGAGTGGCGGGGTGGGCTTGAATTGTAGTAAATGCTGAATAAAAGTTAAAGACAAGTAAATGCAAAACCATCCTGTTCCCCAATGGAAAAGTGAAGTCGTCAGTCCTCCCCTAAACTAACTTATAAGTTCTTTTATCTTTTCTTTTTTTTGAGACACAGTCTCACTCTGTTGCTGAGGCTGGAGTGCAATGGTAAGATCTCGGCTCACTGCAACCTCTGTCTCCTGGGTTCAAGCGATTCTCCTGCCTCAGCCTCCCAAGTAGTTGGGATTACAGGCATGCACCACCACACTCAGCTAATTTTTGTATTTTTGGTAGAGACGGGGTTTCACCATGTTGGCCAGGCTGGTCTTGAACTCCTGTCTTCAAGTGATCCACCTGCCTCGGCCTCCCAAAGTGCTGGGATTACAGGTGTAAGCCATCGTGCCTGGCCTAAGCCACCACAGCTGGCCCAAACTAACTTACAAATTTTAAAGCAATTCCAATCAAAATTGCTCAGTAAAGTAATGCTAAAATTCACCTGAAAAAAGAAATAATTAAGAATGCTGTTTTTAAGGTGCAGTATACAGCAAGCTATCATTCTTGTAAAAAATTAAGCAGGAAATATATACATATATGTACTTCATTATATATGTATGGAACACCTATGAAATTAATAACACTGGGCCAGGGGCAGTGGGTTACACCTGTAATCCCAGCACTTTGGGAGGCCGAGGTGGGTGATCACTTGAGGTCAGGAGTTCGTGACCAGCCCGGCCCAACATGTTGAAACCCCATCTCTACTAAAAATACTAAAAAAATTAGCCGGGCCTGGTGGCATGTGCCTGTAATCCCAGCTACTCGGGAGGCTGAGGGCAGGAGAATCGCTTGAACCTGGAGGGCAGAGGTTGCAGTGAGCCGAGATCGTACCATTGCACTCCAGCCTGGGCAAAGAAGCGAGGCTCCGTCTCAAAAAAAAAAAAAAAGAAAGAAAGAAAGAAAAAGAAATTAGTAACACTGGTTCCCTATGAAGAGGGGAGGTGGGACAAGGATAGGAGGGAAATTTGTCATTGTATACCTTTTCATACTTCCAGGGTTTTAAATCATGTCAATGCATCACTTAGTAGAAAAAAAAGCTATTTTTTAAAAAAGAAAAAGAATGCCCTCTACTATACAAATTAAAAAGCTAACACTAGTTAATCATAGTTAAAGTTGTGATGCTGCCCTAGGAATAGATAGAAGGTAAAGGATAAAAATTCTACACAAAGACTCAAAAGTACATATAAGAATTTAGTTCATAACAAAAATCACCTTTTAGAGCAGTGAGGAAATGACAGAGTCATTCATGACGGATGTTGGAAAAACTAGCTAACCATCTGGAAAAAAATAAAGTTAAATCCTTCCTGTCACAGTGATACCACAATAAATTCCAGATGGATTAAAGACTTAAATATGAAAGCATTTATGAGCATAGAGAGAAACTGCAGAACGTTGTTAACACTGGCGATCTCATGGTAGTGAGAATGGAAGGGGCTGACAGGAAATTTACATTTTCTGCTATACATTTTTGCATTGTTTCCATTATGCAATTAGGACATATTACCTCTGGCCTGGTGCGGTGGCTCATGCCTGTAATCCCAGCACTTTGAGAGGCCCAGGCGAGTGGATAACTTGAGGCCGGGAGTTTGATACCAACCAGGCCGAAATGGTGAAACCTCATCTCTACTAAAAATACAAAAAAATGAGTCGGGCAAATTTTTTTGCATCACTACAGGTGATGGTGCACACCTGTAGTCCCAGCTACTCTGGAAGCTGAGGCAGAAGAATTGCTTGAACCTGGGAGGTGGAGGTTGCAGTGGGCTGCAATCACATCACTGCACTCCAGCCTGGGCAGCAGAGTGAGACTCTGTCTCAAAAAAAAAAGAACATATTACTTTTGAAAATAAAAATTCTAATAAAGAATATCTTAAAGAATAGAAAAAAAAACCATTAAAAGGCTTGAGGGAAATACAGGCAAACATTTATATACTCTAGGAAGAGGACAGACTTTGTAACAAGTCACCAAAGACAGGAACCATAATGAGGAAGTCTAATGTATTTAACAACATAACAGGTTTACAGTTAAATGGGCCAAAAATCAACATAACCAAAATTAACAAACAAATAAATTGAGGAAAATGTTTTTAATAATATGCAGCCATAAAATAATTAATATTTTTAATGTGTAGAGCTCTTCAAATCAACAAGAAACAGACAAATGCCAATGCCCTAAATAGAAAAATAGGCAAAGGACCTGAACAGGTAGTTCACAAAAGAAAGTACTCAAATAAACACCCAAAGGAATTTCAATCCCAATAGCAATAGAAAATTCAGATTAAAACCACAGGTATCATTGTTTTCTCCTATAAATTAGCCAAGATAATTTTTAAATGATACCCAATGTTACTGAATTTGTAGGGAATGGGATACTCTTAAACTGTGATGCTGAGTAAAACCTTCCTTGAGGGCAACTTGGTAGTATGTATCAAAAGGTATAAAAATACACATAACCACTGGGCGCAGTGGCTCATACCTGTAATCCCAGCACTTTGGGAGGCCGAGGCGGGCAGATGACTTGAGGTCAGGAGTTTGACACCAGCCTGGCCAACATGGCAAAACCCTGTCTCTATCAAAAATACAAAAATTAGCCTGGTGTGGTGACAGGCGCCTGTAATCCTAGCTACTCGGGAGGCTGAGGCAGGAGAATCACTTGAACCCAGCAGGTGGAGGTTGCAGTGAGCCGAGGTCACACCACTGCATTCCAGCCTGGGTGACAAAGCAAGATACTGTCTCAAAAAAAAAGGCAGGGCGCAGTGGCTCACACCTATAATCTCAACACTTTGGGAGGCCGAAGCAGGCAGATCACCTGAGGTCAGGAGTTCAAGACCAGCCTGGCCAATATGATGAAACCCCTATCTCTACTAAAAATACAAAATTAGCTGGGAGTGGTGGCTCATGCCTGTAATCCTAGCTACTAAGGAGGCTGAGACACGAGAATCGCTTGAACCCACGAGACGGAGGTTGCAGTGTGCTGAGATCACGCCATTGCACTCCAGCCTGGGCAAGAAGAGCGAAACTCCGTCTCAAAACACACACACATAGACACACACACACACACACACACACACACACACACACACATAACCTTTGACCCAGAGATTCTTCTAGCGATGTATCCCAGGGAAACAATTAATCATATATTTTAAGATTTCCCTACAAAAATAATTACTGCAGCCTTAAGTGTCAAAATACAGGAAACATACAGGACAAACAACAAGGATTGATTACCTAAATATAGGCAAATCTATACAATGAAATATATGCAGCTGTTAGAATGGGCTAGATCCCACTGTACTAAAATGGAAAGCTCTTGAAACCTAAGAAAACTGTGGTTCCATTATATGAACAGAAATCTGGTGTACACAGAAAAGTGGTCTTTCAATTGGAAATATAATTCCAGGGAATAAAGAACAGAACCACACTGGAATGTAACAAAGAATAATACACATATGCACTAAATGATTTTTTTTTGGTAACAGAAAAAGATAAAAACAACTCAAATATTCATCAATAGGGGAATGGTTATCTAAATACAATATACTCACCCAATGGGACGCCATGTAGATGTAAAAAATAAAGGATTTCTCTCTATGTATTAGTATGGAAAAATCCCAGAGTAACAAAAATCAAGGAGAACACCACCTTGTTCCCTAGTAATACTATATTCTGAAATCCGTATAATTTAAGGAGAAGAAAATAACATTTGTGTTTGCTTATACTTGCATTTTAAAAAATCCACACATTAGGCTGGGCCCAGTGGCTCATGACTATAATCCCAGCACTTTGGGAGGCTGCGTTGGGTGGATCACCTGAGGTCAGGAGTTCGAGACCAGCCTGGCCAATATGGTGAAACCCCGTTTCTACTAAAAATACAAAAATTAGCCAGGCGTGGTGGTGTGTGCCTGTAACCCCAGCTACTTGGGAGGCTGAGGCAGGGGAATCACTTGAACCTGGGAGGTGGAGGTTGCAGTGAGCCAAGATTGTGCCACTGCACTGCAGCCTGGGTGACAGAGTGAGACTCTGCCTCAAAAAAAAAAAAAAATCCAGACATTGGAAAAATTAAAAATAGAAACCAATAAAGATGGTTAACTCTAAGGGGTAGGGGAGACAGGGAGGTTAGGCAGACAGGAACAGGTATACAACATATCTTTTCTTTTTTTTTTTTTTTTGAGACAGAGTCTCGCTCTGTTGCCCAGGCTGGAGTGCAGTGGTGTGATCTCAGCTCACTGCAACCTCCGCCTCCTGGGTTCAAGTCATTCTCCTGACTCAGCCTCCTGAGTAGCTGGGATTACAGGCACCCGCCAGTGCACGCCTGGCTAATTTACAACATATCTTAATGCATACTTTGTTTTGGTTTTGAGCTATGTAACTATTACTCTTTTCCAAAAAATTTAAATGACAAATTTAAAAGAGATCCTAGGAACAAGAATGAATTATTCAAATGAAATAATGCCATATACAAATTCTTCTGTAATGGTTTTGGATGACTACATTAACTAGAAGTCTATCACCTCAGAGACAGGGAGGTTGCTGTCACTACTTGTTTGCTCTACTGGAAGCTAAAGGAGTAGTTTCAAACAACACATGCCACTAGAATGAGCAAAACAGGCCAAACACAAGCCATCTCTACAATTGCAGGCCATGGCTGATAAACAAAACAAAACTTTGAACAACAAAAGAGGCCAGTAATTAGCCTCTATGGCACCCAGCATCCAGAAGGGAGCTGAATGCATCCAACCAGTGCCGTCCAGCTGATCAGCCTCTGAAATTTGTAAAGCACTGTGACACATACCTTATCTCTTTAATCTAACCACCTACTTGACAAAGTTGCTGGAATAGGGAAAAATGAAGTCCAAGGCAGTCAAACACTATCCAAAGTCATACAGCTAGTGCACCACAGACAGGGGCTAGAGCCCAGCTCTCTTGGCATTAAGCCCATTCTCTGCCCACTGTACCTCCTTGACATCACTTCTGGCCACTCCTCATCTTGGGCCCCATAATGAGGTTTATAACTGGATAACTAAGCACAGTATAGGGGGATGGTGGGAGTCGAGGGTGAGTCTCTCCTGTCTTCCTGCAGAACCATCTAAAACAGCCCCCAAGAAAGAAATGGTTACAAGAGCCTATGAAGAAACTTAAGCCCATCTCTACAAAAAATAAAACATTAGCCAAGCATGGTGGCACACGCCTATCGTCCTAGCTACTAAGGAGGCTGAGATGAGAGAATTGCTTGAGCCCAGGAGTTCAAGGCTGCAGAAAGCCACGATCATGCAGCTGCACTGCACTCCACACTGGATGACAGAACGAGACCCCGTCTCAAAAAAAAAGAAAGAAAGAAAGGAAGGAAGGAAGGGAGGAAAGAACTAAGTATCAGAAAACAGAAACTTGTATTAGAGATGAAAATGCCAACTACAAATCAGCATGGACAGAGTATTTAAATCATGGTCCAGCCAATGGCAGACTTTATTTAATACAATGTTCTGGCAATTGAAGACTTTAATCATTTCCTTACCTGGAATCAAAGAGGGTGCCATCCAGAAGCGTGCCATTGTAATGATACCTGAGAAAGTCCCCACTTTGACTTATCCGCTCACAGTTTTCAGGTACTACCTTGTTCTCAATGGAAATGCTGTCCTTGGGGTTATGGAGGTCCAATAATGCAACATCAAACACCAGAGATGCCTGACCGGGAATGTCTTTCCCTAGAATGGAATGGGAGAAGATGATTAAACGGGACACAGGATTTAGGAAGTACTTTACAACTCAACAGGCTTGGGGTTGGTGTTATTCATTTCTTGAGGTTTTGAAGCCAAGGAAACAAATGTTCTTCCAGGTCTTGAATGGGCCCCCATGGTGTCCAACCATGGGCTGATGGTATAATCTAAAACCTGACTCAGCAAAAGGAGAAAATTGGTATTAATGACATAAGAGACTACCATGACCATATTTTCTGGACTCATGCTGGAAAATCAAGGCTTTATGTAGGTGGGCAGGCACCCACAGGCAAACCCAAATACATACCTCTGTGGGTTTCTGTTTGTGAATAAATGCAAACCACAGACATTTAAAGGAGAAAATTCCAAATCTCTGGTCTGGTTCTGGAGAACTGTACACAGACTTGTTCTTTGAAACGAACGGCCAATTTTTTAGAGGCAAAAAGTAAAACTCAATGCTTTAAGTATATCCAAAGCAAGATATAAATAAGATGAAAGCAGAATAACAGAGAAAAAAATGGCACCCACAATCCAAAATATAAATAAATAGTCCTCAAATCACTTCTATCTCACTTCTGGGTAGTACTGCTTCTCTTGGATGTTCCTGCCAGTGGGAATATTTTGAATATCTGCAAAATGAAATCCACATGAAGAGATTACAGGACACTAGTTCTTCCTGCAAAGATCAACATCAACCAATAAATAACTCAAAATCCAGTAATTTGGGATAGTAGAAAGTTAACCAACAAACCAATCCCTCAGTTTTACCTGCCATTTGTTATATCATGCAAAGGAGTAGGCCCAGACAAGCAAACCAGATGCCGCCAAGCCTGAGCTCCTTCCACTGGCCTTTGGCAAAGCCCACCCTGCATCTCCTTCCCATCCAAGGAATGATGAAATCTGCTGAAAGCCGGCTGCTGAGTCAGCCCCTGGAATGCAAGGTGTGGTCAATCCCTAAATCGCATGCGTGGGAGATAGAATATTAATCTTTTGTGCCTTACTGTATCTTTTCATTTAAGAGAAAAATGAAAGCCTTAAAAGTAACCATGGGGTTTAAATTTTTCTTTTCTTTTTTTTTTTCTTGAGACGGAGTCTCGCTCTGTTGCCCAGGCTGGAGTGTAATAGCTCAATCTTGGCTCACTGCAACCTTCGCCTCCTGGGTTCAAGCGATTCTCCTGCCTCAGCTTCCCGAGTAGCTGGGATTACAGGCACCTGCCACCACGCCTGGCTAAATTTTGTATTTTTAGTAGAGACGGGGTTTCCCCATGCTGGCCAGGCTGGTCTTGAACTCCCGACCTCAGGCGATCCACCCAAATCAGCCTCCCAAAGTGCTGGGATTACAGGCGGCAGCCACTGCGCCCGGCCTGGGGTTTCAATTTTTCTAGCATTAATGTGTACTAAATGAATAATGTTTTCTATAGCAACTTTGCAGAGATATAATTCACATACCATACAGTTCACCCATTTAAAGTTATACTTGGATAGCCGAGCACAGTATTCAAGTATAAAGTATTCAAAAATAACTACTCTAAATAAGCTATTATTTATTTAAAGTAAAGAAATAATATTTCTCATATTAGGCTCACATCTGGTTTTGTTATGTGGCTGATGACAAAAGGATCTGGGAGCCAACGTGAATGAACTTCTTGGGGCCAAGGACAAGACCATTTGAACATCAATAAGAAAACAGTAACTGCCAGGCACAGTGGCTCCCACCCGTAATCCCAGCGCTTTGGGAGGCTGAGGTGGGAGGATCGCTTGAGTCCAGGATTTCCAGGTAAGCCTGGGTAACGTAGCGAGACACTGTCTCTAAAAAAACTTTTTTAACTAGCCAAGCATGGTGGCACACGTCTGTACTCCTAACTATTCGGAAGGCTGAGGCAGGAGGATCACCCAGGAGTTTGAGGTTACAGTGAGCTATGATGGTGTCACTCCAGTCTGGGTGACAGAGTGAGACCCTGTCTCTAAAAATAATAATAACAGTATCTTATATCTCAGTGGGGGGGAGAATTAAGACATATTTATGGCACTGCTTTAAACTTTATTTTTCTTTTAGTAGGGAATTCCACCCCTAATGCTCTGTTTAAGAAACCATCTGCAGATCCCCAGCATGTAAAATATATAAAAGTGGGCCAGGCACAGTGGTTCACACCTGTAATCCCAGCACTTTGGGAGGCCGAGGTGGATGGATGGCTTGACCTCAGCAGTTTGAGACAAGTCTGGCCAACATGGCGAAATGCTGTCTCTACTAAAAATACAAAAATCTGCCAGGCATGGTTGCATACGCCTGTAGTCCAAGCTACCCAGGAGGCTGAGGCAGGAGAATCTCTTGAATCCAGGAGATAGAGGTTGCAGTGAGCCGAGATCGCACCACTGCACTCCAGCCTGGGCAACAGAGTGAGACTCTGTCTCAAAAAAAAAAAAAAAGTGTATATATATATGAGTATATATATATGAGTGTATATATACATATATATATATGGGCATGTATATATATATATGAGTGTATATATATATATGGGCGTGTATATATACATATATATATATAAGTATATATATATATATGGAGATAGAAAGGAGAGAAGGCTGAGCCCCATCACCTCAGGCTCCCTTCTGCTCCTGCTCCGCTCCACAGAGCCAGGAAAAAACGTTGAAAACATATTGGCTATTGTAAGCTGGCTATCACTATCAGTAAACTTCTTAAGAAGCATCATGTTCTCATTTATATCCTTAACTACAAAATCATGTGCTGCACAATGAAGTTTTGGTCAACAACAGACCACATATATGAGAGTGGTCCCATGAGATTATCATATCATGTCTTTACTGTACCTTTTCTATGTTTAGATACACAAATTCTTACCATTGTGTTACAGTAGCTCACAGGATTCAGTACAGATGCTGTGCAGGTTTGCAGCCTAGAGGAAACAGGTTACACCACACAGCCTAAGTGTGCAGCAGGATGTAGCACCTAGGATTGTGTAAGTGCACTCTATGGCATTTGCACAACAATGCAATTGCCTAATGATGCCTTTCTCAGAACATATCCCCATTATGAATCAACACATCATTGTATCCATCTGCTGTTTAAATGTCTACCGGTCTCTATGTTGTGCCAGCATGTCAATATGACTAAACGCACCTGAAATTCAAACATGAGTACCTGAGACATTCCATTTATCAGTCAATATTATGTGTTTTCCTTCACAGTAAAACTACAAACAGGACACTAGTTGTAATTAATGTGTTTTCTAACATTACACTTTGCTTTTGTCCATATGGAGTTAATGCCATAGGTAAAACTCATCATAGAGGTGCAAACGGGGAAATCTGGCAATTCTGACATTGTATGGCTAAATTTCTACCTGGATATCTGCAACTTTTATAGTGTCTAATTCAAGTCTCATTTCACAAATGTTAAAGCCAGAGAGGTTGGTGGCCAAGGCCATGGCAGGTACAACAGGGGCAGAGGGGGTTACTTATGAATGCCAATGACTATAAGTAAGTGGAAATTTCTGCAACTCAATCATCAGACAGCAGACAATCCAGACTAGCACTGTCAAATAGAACTTTCTGAGTGATGGAAATGATCTGGGTCTGTATCTGCACTGTCCACTATGGTGGTCCTCAGCAACGTGAGGCTATTGGGTACCTAAAATGTAGCAGTGTGACCAAGGAACTGAATTTTAAATTTTAGCTAATTAATAGCCACATGTAGCTAGTGGTTACCATATTGGCCAGTGTAGGTCTAGACCGAAAGGTCTAGTGGGTTTCATGTGGTGACAACTGAATTAACCACTGCAATAAAAATAAGGGTAGGAAAGAGTGGCTCCAAGAAGGAGACGGACTTACCATCTCCATCCTCTCCATAGGCCAGAAAAGGAGGAATGGTGATGATGCGCTTCTCACCCACACACATCCCCAGCAGCCCTTTATCCATTCCAGGAATCAGCCAGCCAATTCCCACATACGTGTCATATGTTTTCATGCGATTGTGACTGAAAGGTAATGAGAAAGGGAAAAAGTTCCACACCATGAGGATATTTCCAACTCATCTCTCCGTACGGTTTTTCTTACCCAAATATCAGCTAAACGATGATCCCATACCCATCCTAGAGATAGACATTTATGGATCTTTTCCCCCAAACACAGGGCAGATGTCCTCAAGTTTAGAAAGAAATAAAAAGCATGCATTTATACTAGTGATAGACAAAAACAGGCCAGCTATTCCACTAATCAAACACGCTCTAATGAGAAGAAATTGCGAAGGGTTCCCTGATCTCCCGTGTAGCCCCATGCCTCTCCATAGCTTCACATACATTCATCTTTTCCCTCTTGCTTCCATGGGAAAACTATAAAAAGGAACCAAAACGTGCATAAGCCTCCTTAGAAATAGAGACTTACACGGCCGGGTGCAGTGGCTCACGCCTGTAATCCCAGCACTTTGGGAGGCCAAGGCAGGCAGATCATGAGGTCAGGAGATCGAGAACACCCTGGCTAATATGCTGAAACCCCGTCTCTATTAAAAATACAAAAAATTAGCTTGGTGTGGTGGCATGCGCCTGTAGTCCCAGCTACTTGGGAGGCTGAGACAGGAGAACCGCTTGAACCCAGGAGGCAGAGGTTGCAGTGAGCCAAGATCGTGCCACTGTACTCCAGCCTGGGTGACAGGGCGAGAATCCATCTCAAAAAAAAAAAAGAAAGAAATAGAACCTTTCACTTAATGATGAGATCTCAAAATACTGTTAAGTTAGATAAACACTGCTCTTCAATGTTTCTAAGATGTATTAAAATTTTGACTCTGGCACCAGAGAAGATGCAACACTGACCAAAAGTCTTAAGTAGATGAGTTCAGTACTGATTACAGTTGAGAAGAGTCCTTATTCTGGTATCCCCATCAGCATAAAAAGCAAGTAAGACAGAAGGAAAGAACTATGCATGGGACATTTCACTGATACTGCCATGAACGACAGGACTTACCTCGAATCAAACAGAGTTCCGTCCAGGAACGTCCCGTTGTAGTGGTACCTCACAAAATCAGACACCTGGATGGTCCGAGGGCAACTCGGGGGCTTGAAATAGGTGTGAATCTGAACCTGGTCTTCAGAATTCCAAATATCCATCAGAAGTACATCAAAATGAAGCACTGAATTGGGGGGGATCACACCAGCTAGAAATTAAAGATTACACACTGAGTTCACAGTTGCTGCCTTTCAGGCCAGATAAATAAACACCTAGGATGCTCCCAAGGTGAATGTGGGCCAAAAGGGTTCAAGCAGTCACCGCTATACAATCCCAAAATGACCCATTCTTCCTCCCTCTTTCCTCCAAATGAAATTGAAAGAAAAGAGAAAAAACAGTCTTCTTCTCATTGAGGGTATCATTCAGTACATCTGTGTTAATGACACTTTCTTTCACATCTAGAAGAAATAAACCTAAGATGGAAATTTTAGCTGTGTATGAGTTCACTGCTTTTCATTTTCCCCCAATCTAAAGCTTCCAAGATTCTCCAGTCTGTTTGACTTAACATCCTAAAAGTGTTCTCATTGTTTCTGCTGACGTGTTTATAAACGAGGAAGAAAAGCTTACAAACTCCTTCATTTCCGTAGGCAAGCTTTGGGGGAATCTTCACGAAACGTCTCTCGTTTACGCACATCCCAACAAGAGCCTGGTCCATCCCTGTGATCAGCTGTCCTTTTCCCACAAACACATTGAAAGTGGAGTCTCTGTCATAGCTGAAGGCCCAAAGGGTAGGGAAAGAGAAAGAAAAGTATAAATAGTCCCTTCCTCAGTAAAAACCAACCTGTAAAAATGTGCCCACAGATGTAATGGGGCCATAGCAAAGCAAAAACCCTGCCTAGGAGTTACTGATACAGGAACATCTCCACTGGACAGTACTTGTAGGGTTGGAAATTTTAGACTACCTTGAATATTGCCAGCAAATCTAGTTCAATAAGAATCAGCATAACTCTCTCCAAAAAAAAAAAAAATGTGTTAAACTGATTTTGCAAAATAGTTACCTATTCTTTCACACACACAAAAAAGAAAGAGTTGGCTGTGGTCAGGCCAGGGCTTTGGAAGGCCAAGGCAAGAGGAGTTAAGTTGAAGTTAGGAGTTCGAGACCAGCCGGGGCAACAAAGTGAGGCCCCCCCGCCTCTACTAAATAAATAAATACATATAATTAGCCAGGTGTGGTGGTGCATGCCTATAGTCCCAGCTACTTTGGAAGCTGAGGTAGGAGGATCGCTTGAGCCCAAGAGTTTGAGGCTGCAGTGAGCTATGATTGCACCACTGCACTCCAGCCTGGGCGACAGAGTCTCAAAAAATAAAATAAAATAAAATTTTAAAAAAAGACTTTACAGCCAGGTGCAGTGGCTCACGCCTGTAATCCCAACACTTTGGGAGGCCGAGGAGAGTGGATCACCTGAGGTCAGCAGTTTGAAACCAGCCTGGCCAACACGGTGAAACCCCATCTCTACTAAAAATACAAAAAATTAGCCAGGCGTGGTGGCAGGCGCCTGTAATCCCAGCTACTCGGGAGGCTGAGACAGGAGAATCACTTGAACTCGGGAGGCGGAGGTTGCAGTGAGCCAAGATAGCGCCACTGCACTCCAGCCTAGGTGACAGAGCAAGACTCTGTGTCAAAAAAAAAAAAAAAAAAAAAAAAAACAACAAAAAACTTCATTTCATTTTCTATATGATTGGTACCTAAAAGCAACATCATAGGTACTAATGGCCAAAGTTAACACACACACACACACACACACACACTTGATTTTTTTTAAAGTCATCCAGCTAAGTTAAACACAGAGGCAGCATGATAACAGCATAAAACATACTTAAACTCTCTTAACCTCAGTTTCCTCCACTGCAAAATGCAAGAAATAATAACAGCCTCCCCAGGATCTGTGTAACAACGTGAAAAATGCTCTGAAAACCTAAGTGTTATGCCAATATTGCTATAATTATCACAGGTAATAGAAAGTATGATGTAGTCTTAGGATCACTAATATACGTGTTTTAAAGGCTGATAGGCAACAGCCTTAGATCAAAAGATAAATAAGGAAATCATGGCTGTGACTCACACCTTTATCTTCTTCAATGTCAAATTTAGCAATCAACAGGGGTTTGCCTATTAGGGGACTGTGCCAGGTGCTTTGGGGGATATAAAGTACAAGGCATGGACTTTGCCTACAAGTACCTTATATACTGATAGAGACCCACAGGGTTTCAGAAGACATAAAATAAAATGCTCTATGGCATTTTATAACAGATTTTTACTCACTGACGCGGAGGGATATATACAATAAGAGTAAAGGGCAGGTTACAATGCCAGGCGTGGTGGCTCATGCCTGTAATCTCAGCACTTTGGGAGGCCAAGGACGGTGGATCACTTGAGATTAGGAGTTCGAGACCAGCCTGGCCAACATGGTGAAACCCCATCTCTACTAAAAATACAAAATTAGCCAGGCGTGGTGGTGTGCACCTGTAGTCCCAGCTACTTGGGAGCCTGAGGTACAAGCATTGCTTGAACCTGGGAGGTGAAGGTTGCAGTGAGCTGAGATGGTGCCACTGCACTGTCATCCAGCCTGGGTGACAGAGTGAAACTTTGTCTCAAAAAGGGTGGGGGGGGAACAGGTTAACACAGTATAAAATCACTCCGTTTTCAACTTACATATATAGATGCATATGAAAAAATCCACAAGGCAATACATGAAATATTATCTATCATCTACAGGTAGAGGACTTCAGGTGACTGAATTTGTTTTCTCTTTAATTATCTTACTTTTCAAAATGATAATGTAATTAATTATGTAATAAAATGTTAAGAGCTGCTGGGATTTACTTCATGAGAATGCGTCACCCTTCATTTTGCAACATATTTTCACTTTTTCCTCTTTTTCCCTAATGAACAGTTTGGGCGAGCAACAGAGTCCACCTCACCACTCCCCTCAGGGCAGCTTCCTGAGACCTGGCCCTCTTCTCCCTCTCCTCCTAGTTTTACAGCCTATTTTAATAAGTTTCCTTTCTTCAAGGTCAGTGAACAGAAAGCAAGATTTCAAGTACAGGCCAACAAGCCAGAGGACAAAAGCACATGGCCAGTTGTGTGCCCAAGTCAGCTTTACACCTCCACCCTCTACCTCCGGGGCCCCAATCCCCACCCCCTGGAATGCCTGCTCTTGAATTACACTTGGCTGGGGACTCGCCCTGCCACTAAGCTATCATCAAACTGGCAGATTTATTATAATAATGGGCCAGAAAGCAAGACTTCAAAGACTCCCAAGCACAGAACACAGGCAAGCAGCAACAATGCACCGGCAAGAAACTACTTTAAAAATATTTTTTTCATTCACAGAACCAGAATATACTTCCTAAATTTAACAAAACTTTTTAATACTAACTACTGTTTACAGAGTATCTATTATTTATTGGGCACAGTAGCAAACTAAGCTCTTCAATATATACTACACCATTTAATCCTCATACAATACTTCAAGGTGGGTGCTATGATACTCAGGCTCTTTGGAGATTACAAAATTTCCCAAGCTCATGAAATTAAACATGAGGAGGGAAAAAAGCAAGAATCTAGGACCATCTCAATCTCACACTCCAGGGTCAGGGCATCCCTAGAGGTGTATAGAAACAGTTGTTGCCCAGCTTGGGCAACATTGTGAAATCCCATCTCTACTAAAAATACAAAAAATTAGCTGAGCATGGCGGTATGTGCATGTGGTCCCAGCTACTTGGGAGACTGAGGTGGGAGAATCGCTTGAACCTGGGAGGCAGAGGCTGCAGTGAGCCAAGATCATACCCTGGCACTCCATCCTGGGTGACAGAGTGAGATCCTGGAAAGAAAGAAAGGAAAGAAAGAAAGGAAGAAAGGAAGAAAGAAAGGAAGAAAGGAAGAAAGAAAGAGTTGTTGCCTCACAGTATTAACTTCTTCATTTGATGTCGCCTAAGCACTGTGAACAATTAAGCACCAAAGTGCTAAAAACCAAAAAATCTTTCTGAAAGAAAATGTATACATTTATATAAGAGGCTAACAATGCAAGACCAGTCTTATCTACTGCTTAAAATTCTGACCATCTGGAAAAATAAAGTTGTTCTGAACAAATTTATTCTGATCAGCACAAATGGCACAAACTCATGGGCAGCATCAAGCCCAGAACTGGTCATGAAAATTACTTCTGCACACTCTGGAGTAAGCATTTATACAACCTGTCCTGGGATCTGGCTTATTTACACCTTTTACAGGCATCTCATTCAGGGGCCTGCAGGAAACAGATGACACACCCAAACGAAGCTGTTCCAGGAAAGTTTAATAATGGGGTTGTGCACAGCTGAGATCATAATCAATGGTGAAAAACTGAAAGGTGTTCCCCTGTGATTGGGAACAAGGAAAAGATGCTTGGTTTCAACACTTCTATTCAGCATGGTCCTGGAACTCCTAGCTAGAGCAATTAAGCAAGAAAAAGAAATACATGGCACAGAAATTGGAAAGGAAGAAGTAAAAATATCTCTTTTAACTGACAAAATAACTTTATATATAGAAAACCCTATAAGAGTCCATAAAAAAAGCTGTTAAAACTAATAAACATTGGACTTGATGGTTCTGTGGGGGAAAAAAAAACAACTAATAAACAAATTTGGCAAAGTTGCAGGATACAAAATCAACACCCCAAAATCAGATGCATTTCTATACACTAATAATGAACAATCTTAAAAAAGGAAATGAACAAAATAATTCTATTTACAATAGCATCAAGAAGAATGAAATACTTAGGATTAAACCTAACCAAGGAGGCAAAAGACTACAATGGAAACTAGAAAAACATTGCTGAAAGAAATTAAAGAGGGCCAGGTGCAGTGGCTCATGCATGTAATCCCTGCACTTTGGGAGGCCAAGGCGGGCGGATCACCTGAAGTCAGGAGTTTGAGACCAGCCTGGCCAACATGGTGAAACCTGTCTCTACTAAAAATACAAAAATTAGACAGGCGTGGTGGCATATGCCTGTAATACCAGCTACTCGGGAGGCTGAGACAGGAGAATCGCTTGAACTTGGGAGGTGGAGATTGTGGTGAGCCGAAATTGCACCACTTCACTCCAGTCTGGGCGACAGAGCGAGACTCTGTCTCTAAAAAAAGAAAGAAAGAAATTAAAGAGGACACGAATAAATGGAAAGACATTTCTCGTTCATGGATGGGAAGACTTAATATGGCTAAGATGTCCACACTAACCAAAGCAATCTATTGATTCAATGCAATTCCTACCAAAATCCTGATGGCATTTTTTGCAGAAATAGAAAAAAAAAAACTAAACTAAAATTCATACGGAATTTTTTTCTTTTTTTGAGATAGAGTCTCACTCTGTCGCCCAGGCTAGAGTGCAGTGGTGCAATCTCGGCTCACTGCAACTTCTGCCTCCCGGGTTCAAGCAATTCTGCCTCGGCCTCCTGAGTAGCTGGGATTACAGGGGCCCGCCACCATGCCTGGCTAATTTTTGTATTTTTAGTAGAGACAGGGCTTCACCATGTTGGCCAGGCTGGTCTTGAACTCCTGACCTCAGGTGATCAGACTGCCTCGGCCTCCCAAAGTGCTGGGATTACAGGTGTGAGCCACGGTGCCTGGCCTTGGAATCTTGAAGGACTCTAAAGAGCCAAAACAATCCTGAGAAAGAAGAACAAAACTGGAGGCTTCACACTTCCTGATTTTGAAACATATTATGAAGCTATCATAATCAAGGCAGCATGGTACTGACCCAAATACAGACACATAGACCAATAGATCAAAATAGCCCAGAAATAAACTTTTGCCTATATGGTCAAATGATCTTTGACAAGGGCTAAGGCTACACAGTGGGTAAGGATGGTCTCTTCAATAAACGGTGCTGGGAAAATTGGATCTCCACATGCAAAAGAATAAAGTTGGAGATTCTTACTTTATACCATAGGAAACAATCAATTCAAAATGGATTAAATGCATAAATATAAGATCCAAAACTATAAAACTAGGAAAAAAACACAAGGGAAAAGCATCATGACATTGGATTGGATATGACACCAAAAGCACAGGTAACAAAAACAAAAACAGACAAAGAGGACTTTGTCAAACTTTAAAACTCTGAACAGCAAAGAAAACAATCAACAGAGTAAAAAGGCAACCTAAAAAATGGGAGAAAATGTTTGCAAACCTCATATATGATAAGGGATTAATATCTAGAATATATAAAGAACTCCTAAAACTCAACGACCACAAAATAATCCAATTTTAAAATGAGCAAAGGGATTGAATGAATATTTCTCCAAAAAAGATATACAAATGGCCAACAAGCGAATGAAAAGATGCTCCACATCACTAAACAGCAGAGAAATGCAAATCAAAAACCACAATGCAGGCCAGGCATGGTGGCTCATGCCTGTAATCCCAGCACTTTGGGAGGCTGAGGTGGGCGGATCAACTGAGGTCAGGAGTTCAAGACCAGCCTGGCCAACATGGCAAAACCCCGTCTCTACTAAAAATACAAAAATTAGCCAGGCATGGTGGCATATGCCTGTAATCCCAGCTACTCGGGGGGCTGAGGCAAAACCCCGTCTCTACTAAAAATACAAAAATTAGCCAGGCATGGTGGCATATGCCTGTAGTCCCAGCTACTCAGGGGACTGAGGCAGAAGAATTGCTTGAACCTAGGAGGCAGAGGTTGCAGTGAGCTAAGATCACACCATTGCACTCCTGCCTGGGCGACAAAAGTGAAACTCTGTCTCAAAAAAAAAAAAAAGAAAGAAAAAGAAAACCACAATGCAATATTACCTCACACACACTTGTTAGAATGGCCACTATCAAAAAACTGGAAAATAAAAAGTGATGGAGAGGATATGGAGAAATTGGAATCTTTGTGCACTTTGATGGGAATGCAAAATGTACTTGCTCTAGAAAATGGTCTGTAGGCTCCTCAAAAAATTAAAAATAGAAGTACTGTATGATCTAGCAATCCTATCTCTTGGTGTATACCCAAAAGAACTGAAAACAGAATCAGGCCGGACGCAGTGGCTCATGCCTGTAATCCAAGGTTGAAGCTTGAGCCCAAGAGTTCAAGACCAGCCTAGGCAACCTGGTGAAACACCATCTTTACAAAAACACAAAAATTAGCCATGTGTGGTGGTGCAAAGGTACTGTAGTCCCAGGTACTCGGGAGGTTGAAGTGAGAGGATCACTTGAGCTCAGGAGGTCAAGGCTGCAGTAAGCTGTGATCATGCCACTGCACTCGACCCTGGGCAACAGAACAAAAGACTCTGTCTAAGCTGGGCGCGGTGGCTCACGCCTGTAATCCCAACACTTTGGGAGGCTGAGGTGGGTGGATCACCTGAGGTCGGGAGTTAGAAACCAGCCTGACCAACACGGAGAAACCCTGTCTCTACTAAAAATACAAAAATCAGCTGGGCATAGTGCTGGGTGCCTGTAATCCCAGCTACTCAGGAGGCTGAGGCAGGAGAATCACTTGAACCTGGGAGGCGGAGGTTGCGATGAGCTGAGATCGCACTACTGTACTCCAGCCCAGGCAATAAGAGCGAAACTCTGTCTCAAAAAACAAAACAAAACAAAAAAACCACTCTGTCTAAACTAAAACAAAAACAAAACAACAACTCAGATATTTGCACACACATGTTCAACTCAGCACGATTTACAATAGCCAAAAGCTAGAAGCAATCTAAATGTCCATAGACAAATAAATGGATAAAAAATATGTGGTATACACACACAATGAAATATTATTCCGCCTTAAAAAGGAAGGAAATCCTATCACATGCTACAATATGGATGAACCTTGAGGAGATTACGTAAAATGAAATAAGCCAGTCACAGAAAGACAAATACTGCATGATTCCACGAATTATATGAGGTATCTAAAGTAGTTAAACTCATAGAAACAGAAAGTGGAATGTTGTTATCAGCGGACAAGGAAGAAGGAAAAATGCAGAGAAGTTGTTCAGTGGGCACAAAGTTTCAATTTTGCAAGATGGAAAAATTCTAGAGATATATTGCACAACAGTGTGAATATAGCTAACACTATTATACAGTTCAAAACAGTTACAATGGTAAATTTGATGGTTTTTTTAAAGTAATAACAAAGTGGGTGTGTGCAAAGGTGTGTACAGAACACAGCAAAACACAAGGGATAGTACCTCTGTGGCTGGGTGGGGAATGCTGCTATCACACCTGAGCTTGAATGACAGAGACAGAGAGGGCAGCTAGGGGTTACCTGACAGGAACCGGGCCCTTTAGTTTAGGGCCACAATCCATGGTGACCCTACAGACAGGAAGCCAGAGGAATACATACCTTCACCTCACTCTCTTCCCTCGCTTTGAACATCTGATGCCTGATAGGGTTTGGATCTGTGTCCATGCCAAATCTCATGTTGAAATGTAATCCCCAGTGTTGGAGGTGGGGCCTGGTGGGAGGGCTTAGCGCCATCCCCTCGGTGATGAATGAGTTCACAGATCTGCTTGTTTAAAAGTGTGTGGCACCTCCCACCCTCTCTCTTGCTCCTGCTCTTGCCATGTGAGATGTCTGCTCCCCTTTTCCCTTCCACCATGACTATAAATCTCCTGAGGTCCTCACCAGAAGCTGACGACAGCATGCAATGCTTCCTGTACAGCCTGCAGAACTGTGAGCCAATTAAACCTCTTTTCTTATAAATTACCCAGCCTTGGGTATTTCTTTCCAGTGATGCAGGAATGGCTTATCACAATGTCCCAATGGCTGAACCCAACCAAAGCCAGAAGACAAAGAGTCATTAATGCAACCCATACTATGCACATGTAGTCCATACATGTCAGCCTCCCAGAGCAAAAAGCAAATGGAACAGGTGAAGGGTGGACCTAGAAAGGCAAATGGAAACCACCTAGCACATCCAACACCCTCCTTTTCTCTCCATCAGCTTGTTTTTATCCCCTTCCATCACTGCCCCAGGGGGGTGATGGGAAAGTTGTCTGTAGCACCCTCTGATGATGCTCTTTAAAATTATTAACCCAAGGACCACTAAGACAAGAGACATCATAGTCAACACACTAAACTGCCTACACAAAAGCTCACATTATATTGGCAACACATTACTTGAGATAAATAACTATCCTCATGGCTATATTCTTTTTTTTTTTTTTTGAGATGGCGTCTCACTGTCACCAAGGCTGGAGTGCAGTGGCACGATCTTGGCTCACTGCAACCTCTGCTTCTCATGTTCAAGCAATTCTCCTGCCTCAGCCTCCCTAGAAGCTGGGATTACAGGCACACGCTACCACGCCCAGCTAATTTTTGTATTTTTAGTAAAGATTTGGTTTCACCATGTTGGCCAGGCTGGTCTTGAACTCCTGACCTCAGGTGATCCACCTGCCTTGGCCTCCCAAAGTGCTCGGATTAGAAGCATGAGCCACCGCGCCCAGCCCCCCATGGCTCTCTCTCTCTCTCTCTATATATATATATGTATGTATATATATATATCTGTACACACATATATATATATATATATATATATATATATATTTTTTTTTTTTTTTTGACATGGAGTCTCGCTCTGTTGCCCAGGCTGGAGTGCAGTGGTGCAATCTTGGTTCACTGCAACCTCCACCTCCCGGGTTCAAGCAATTCTCCTGTCTCAGCCTCCTGAGTAGCTGGGATTACAGGTGCACGCCACCACGCCCAGCTAATTTTTGTAATTTTAGTAGAGATGGGGTTTCACCATGTTGGTCAGGCTGACTTGAACTCCTGACCTCATGATCCACCTGCCTCGGCCTCCCAAAGTGCCAGGATCACAGGCATGAGCCACCGTGCCTGGCCCCCACGGCTATATTCTTAAGGCAGAATGGGGCTTCTAAATGTAGGTTTAAATCTGCAATAAGAACGAGCTTTTAAAAGGACAAATGACAGGCTGGGCATGGTGGCTCAAGCGGTAATCCCAGCACGTTGGGAGGCCCAGGCGGGTGGATCACTTGAGCTCAGGAGTTCGAGACCAGCCTGGGCAACATGGCAAAACCTTGTCTCTACCAAAAATACAAAAATTAGCCAGGTGTGGTAGCATACACCTGTGATCCTAGCTACTCGGGTGGCTGAGGCATGAGAATTGCTTGAACCCAGGAGGCAGAGGTTGCTGTGAGCACCACTGCACTCCAGCCTGGGAAACAGAGTGAGACCCTGTCTCAAAAAGAAAGAAATTAAAAAAAAGACTGCCATATTTTGAGAACCCATAACAGAAGGGAGGCAAAGTAAGGAAGAACAAGTCCACTGGGCACGGGAACTACCCTTTGGGGGCCTCAAAGTTGGTCCTGTCTCACTTGGGCCAACTCAGATGGCTGACTCACAGGGGACCTGCTTGACGTTTGGACTGTGGTCCTGCCACCACCCTTCACGAATGGGACTGAAACTCACCTCCCCACTGGCCGCCTAGCTCCCAGCTGAGACTCACCCCCTCTGCTGGCTGAGTTTCACCACTGAGACTGATCTTACTGCAGACTTGAAAGCAGGGAGGCAGAGTTTGGCTTTTCTGCCTAACACCTCCCTCTCCACACATTCACTCCCAAAGGGGACTCTGGGCTTTCTGGACCCTTTGCCTAAGACTATTTCCCTCAAACAGCCATCTCTACCAGTAGCTAATGAGACATGCCAGGGAGAAAAGAAAAGCAGTTAATGAACTGGCAAACTACCCAGACGGGAAAGTGTGAGAACGCTGCAGAGGAGGAAGGTTAGAGGAGGTGAGGGAGGAGAGAGGGAGCAAGCGGGAACAGAGAAGAAATGAAAGAGAACGCCTCCATTCATAGCTCCTCAGAGAATCAGACCCTGAAACATGAGCTGTTGGCTTGGATGGGCTTTGACCCATTAAAACATCATTAAATGAAAAACTTTGCAAAGCAAAGCAAAATCCATTGCTGTTATGGATTTTTGTTTTTAAGCAACTGCACAAATTAAAATGTCAGATCCCTATAGATGATTCCCATTTTTCACAGGGCTTAGCCCAGTAAAATACCATACAGCCAAATTAAATTGTTAATATAAATGTGTAATTGCTCGCAATGACCCACAAATGAAAATTCAAAGCCACGCTAATAAGTCTTCACCAGGGGTGCTTGGCCAGCTGCCAATGGCCTCAGGAGACCACAGTGAGAAGTAGCTAGGATCTTCCCCTAGTTAGCAGAAACGCACAGGGCTAATGCACGGTAGCAGCCTCCGTTTCAGCACTCTCCTTCTCCATAAAAAGAGCTGCAATGTGCAGTCACACTCTAAACAACTCCTAAGTTAGCATGTCCTGACCTGGCCAGTTGTTCTGACACCACTGACCCTGTCAGGCCCCCCTGACTGCATCCTGGCTGCTGTCCAGCCTACTGGCTCTTCCCTGTGGACCAGTCCTGCTGAAAGGGTGAGCCTGGGCCCCCACTTAGGACCATGTGACTTAACACCCAATAGGGTAGACACCTGCCCCAAGCAGGACCCATCAGATTATTTCCTGGAAACCTAGAAGTGAGAAAGTCCAGTTTGTCGGCGCTGGTGCTGGATCCCAGAGGTCATGTGTGCAGCATGGGGAGCTTATTGGAGCACTCTTTTTCTAGTGGGAGAGAATGAAGCCCCGTTTGCAACCCCTTGGAGAGAGGCAGAAAGTCACCTCAGTCCATGATTCTGGACCCTCACAAGGAATTGGAGATCCTTCCAATAAATTCCCACTCCTTTCTGCTTAAGTCTGCAGGACGGGCTTGTGTTCACCCCAACCCTGACTTGAGGGCAGGGACTTTTGTCAGCTTTATCCTCCGCTGTATCCCAGTACCTGGAATGTTAGAAGCTGGATGAATCCCTGTGTAAAATGAAGCCCCAATGAGGCTGATCTCTAGAATTTCTACTTACACTATCAGTCCATCCACTGAGCACCTCAATCCCCTTACTCCTCTGAACAAAAACCTTCCCTTCACAAGATTCTGAACAGAAGCATATATTCAGGGCAACTTGAATCCATGGGATGAAAAAAAAAAATACCAAAGTCCACAACACCTAGCTCAGCCACCCAGGCCTCCCAAGGACTGGGTTCTCCCACACCCTTCCAGTGCCAGGTCCCCTGCCTCCTGACCCAAATATTGGAGCCTCTCACTGTTCCTTGAGCATGCACTACTCAGGCCCAGACTCTGGTCCACCCCATCCACTCTCTTAAACACACTCCCCGCTTCAAGGAATGAAATCCCATCCATGCTCAAGGCCCAACTCAAGCATCAGCTCCTCCTCAAAGCCTTTCATATGGCTTCAGCAAGAAGAAATCCTTCCTTCCCTGGAACGGGTAGAGGTATCTATGCATAATACTCACAAGGCACTCACTGCATGCTGGCTGCTTTGTGTGAGGCATGAGAGCTCCCCAGTCCAGAATCTGAAGGTCAGTTATATTAGCTGGGTGGCCACTGTCCTCTCACCTTTCTGAGCCTGTCGCCCCACCCTCCCACCCCTCACTCCTACTGCTTTTTCTCCATAGTCCTCACCAACTTCTACTTTACCATATAACTTAAGAGTATGCCTGTCCTCTCACTAGTATGTAAGCTCCATGAGGGCAGAGATTTCTGTTTTATTCACTGTTACATCCTTGGCACCTGCAAGAGTTGGTACTCAGTAAATATCTGTTGGATGAATAAATGAATTCCAGCCTGGCCAAGGTGGCGAAACCCCATCTCTACTAAACATACAAAAATTAGCCAGGTGTGGTGTTGCACACCTGTAATCCCAGCTACTCAGGGGGCTGAGGCACAAGAATTGCTTGAACCCAGGAAGCAGAGGCTGCAGTGATGTGAGACTGCATCACTGCACACCAGCCTGGGCAACAAAGTGAGACGCTGTCTCAAAAAAAAGAAAAGAATGAATAAATGAATGAATATACAAAATGAAGTTGACCCCTGTTATTGAGTTCATGATTCTTTTATTTAGTTAGTTAGTTTTTGAGAAGGAGTTTAGCTCTCGTTGCCCAGGCTGTAGTGCAGTGGTGCAATCTCGACTCACCGCAACCTCCACCTCCCAGGTTCAAGCGATTCTCCTGCCTCAGCCTCCCGAGTAGCTGGGATTGCAGGCATGCGCCACCACACCCAGCTAATTTTTTGTATTTTTAGTAGAGACGGGGTTTCTCCATGTTGGTCAGGCTGGTCTCCAACTCCCTCAGGTGATCTGCCCGCCTTGGCCTCCCAAAGTGCTGGGATTACAGGCATGAGCCACCGTGCCTGGCTGAGTCTGTGATTCTTTTAGAGCAGTGGTCCCCAACCTTTTTGGCCCCAAGGACCAGTTTCATGAAAGGAATTCACTTTTTCCATGACCGGGGTGGGGGGATGGTTTTGGGATTATTCAGATACATCAAATTTATTGTGCACTTTATTTCCATTATTATTACACCGTAATATATAATGAAATAATTATACAACTCACCATAATGTAGAATCAGTGGGAGCCCTGAGCTTGTTTTCCTGCAACTAGATGGTCCCATCTAGGGGTGATGGGAGACAGTGACAGATCATCACGCATTAGATTCTCATAAGGAGCACATAACCTAGATCCCTCCCATGTGCAGTACACAATAGGGTTCATGTGCCTGTGAGAATCTAATGCCCCTCCTGATCTGACAGGAGGCCGAGCTCAAGCAGTGATGTGAGCAATGCGGAGACACTGTAAATACAGATGAAGCTTTGCTTGCTCACCTGCTGCTCACCTCCGGCTGTGCAGCCCGGTTCCTAACAGGCCACAGACCACAACAGGTCCATGGCTCAGGGGTTAGGGACCCCTGTTCTATTTATTTATTTACTATTTATTTATTTTTGTAAATTGATATCCCATTTCAGTACCCCTGTTTTAGAGCAGTGGTTCTCAAAGTGTGGTCCTCAGACCAGTAGCATCAGCTGGGAACTTGTCAGAAAAGCAAATTCCTAGGCCCTATCCCAGAGCTACTGAATCGGAAACTGTATAACAAGCTCTCTACGTGATTCAGAAGTATATGTAGTTTAAACACTACTGTGCTAGAGCATCTAGAACTCTGTATACCCAAAAAGGTATGTGGTAGGCACATAATAATATTTATCAAAAGACAAGCCTGGACCTTGGGGTCTGCAGACACACCCCTGAGCTCCTCCCAGGTGAATTTTCATCATCCTTGGGTCTTATCCCTGCCATACCAGGATTCCATCCTAACCTCCCCCACACACAGACACAAAAATATATAGTTAAACCTTCTCTGTGCTTTCATAGCTACTTACCTTTCTTCTGTCATATACATGGGTGGACTACAGACCATAGATTATGGCCATGAACTACCTGGGTTCAAATCTCCACTCAACCACTTAGTACTTATGTTCCTTGGGCAAATCATTTGAACTTTCTGAGCCTCAGTTTATTCATTTGTAATGAGGTACCTACCTCACTGTCTTGAGAAGTTAAACAAATTATTCTAAGATTAAATGAGTTAACATATGTGAAGGCACATGGTAAGAACTATGTGTGAACTCTATGAGAGACAGAGTGTGTGCTACTGTCTTACTGTACTTATCACACCATGTTGTAATAGCCTAGGCTGTAAGTGGTAGGGATGGGGAAGAAGCATACTAGACTAGGACTAGTCTCTCTCTTGAGGGATAGACGCTGAAAAACGTTTGATGAATGGATGGTAGATCCTCCATGCTCTTTCAACTGCCCTACACTACCTCACAGTGGCTGCCAGCCCTAGAGATGTTCTAGATAGTAGGACAACTTGTTCTACTGGAATTAATTACCATCAACTCAAGCAAGAAATTCTTCCCTATGAAAGAAGCACATGAAAGAAGATACACAAATGGTCAATACGCATATGATGCTCAACATCGTTAGCCATTAGAGAAATGCAGATCGAAACCACAATGAGATATCATTTCACACCCACTAAATGGTTATAATCAAAGACACAGGCCAGGCGTGGTGGCTCCCGCCTGTAATCCCAGCACTTTGGGAGGCCGAGGTGGGCAGATCACCTGAGGTCAGGAGTTCAAGACCAGCCTGGCCAACATGGTGAAACCTCGTCTCTACTAAAAATACAAAAATTAGCCAGGCGTGGTGGCAGGCACCTGTAATCCCAGCTACTCAGGAGGCTGAGGTAAGAGAATTGCTTGAACCCGGGAGGCAGGGAGGTTGCAGTGAGCTGTGATCGCACCATTGCACTCCAGCCTGGGTGACAAGAGCAAAATTCCATCTCAAAAAAAAAAAAAAAAAAAAAGACAAGTACAAGTGTTGTTGAGACCGTGGAGAACTATGAACCTTCATACACTGCTGGTGGGAATGTAAAATGGTGCAGCCATTGTGGGGAAACAGGTTGGCTATTCTTCAAAACGTTTATAACATAGGTGCCATAGGACGCAGCAATTCCAACTCCTAGGTATATATCCAAAAAAAGGAAAAGGTACATCCACACAAAACCTTGCACATGAATGTTCATAACATCATTCATGATAGCCAAAAAGTATAAGCAATCCAAATGTCCATCAACTGATGAATGGACACAATGGAATATTACATATACAGCCACAAAAAGGAATGAAGTACTGATATACCTTACACCGTAAATGAACCATGAAAGAAGCCAATTATAAATAAATAACAAAGCACCTCAAATTATATGATTCCATTTATACAAAATGTCCAGAAGAGGCAAATCCATAGAGACATAAAGTGGATTCGTGGCTGAAAGGGACTGGAGGGCAGTCTAACTGGGGTTGGGGAGTGACTGATAATGGGTCCAGCGTTTCTTTTTTGGGGGTGATGAAAATGTTCTGGAAATAGCTAGTTGTGATGTTTGCACTACTCTGTGAATATACTAAAAAACACTGAATTGTACACACCAAATGGGCAAATTGTATGGCATTATATCTCAATAAAGCTGTTTTTTTTGTTTCGTTTTTTGTTTTTTGTTTTGTTTTGTTTTTTGAGACGGAGTCTCCCTGTCACCCAGGTTGGAGTGCAGTGGCACGTCTCGGCTCACTGCAGGCTCCGCCTCCCAGGTTCACGCCATTCTCCTGTCTCAACCTCCCGCGTAGTTGGGATTACAGGCGCCCGCCACCTCGCCCGGCTAATTTTTTGTATTTTTAGTAGAGACCGGGTTTCACCGTGTTAGCCAGGATGGTCTCGATCTCCTGACCTCGTGATCCGCCCGCCTCGGCCTCCCAAAGTGCTGGGATTACAGGCGTGAGCCACCGCGCCCGGCCTGTTGTTTTTTTTTTTTAAAGTAACTAAAATGGTAGTAAGAATGACCATTTCTAAGCGCTTGCTAGTGCCACATACTATGCTGAACAGCTTTTGTATATTCATTGTCTGGAACTTCAAAAAAGTCAAGAGTCTACAAAATATTCGTAATGACCCTAGGCCTTGGGGCACATAGCAGGGGCTCAACAAATAGCTCTCTCTGCCTGATCTAGTGTTCGCGAAGGGAAGTGCTGGCACAGACCAGGGTTTGTAACAAAAGCCTTGGCGAGGAGTAGCCTGGTGCTGGACGAAGAGAGGCCTGTTAACCCCGAACCTAAACTGGAGGGAAACGGGAGAGCAGTGCTGTGATCCTGAGGCAGAGCTGAGAGAAGGAGTTCTGGGCTTGATATAGGGCCTGGTATAAAGCAGAGTGACGGTCCTGGACTACCTCCTGCCCACGAGAGGTGTCGTGTTGTGTTTTGTTTTGTGATGGGATCTCTCTCTGTCTCCCAGGCTGCAGTGCAATGGCACGATCATAGCTCACAGCAGCCCCAAACTCCTGGGCTCAAGCGATCCTCCCGCCTCGTTCTCTCAAAGTGCTGGGACTACAGGCGTGAGCCACCACGCCCAGCCCCAAGAGAGGTTTTTGTATGGCAGGAAAGGAAGGGCAGTGGTAGTTGCGCACACAGACTCTGGAGTTGGATTAAACAATCTGACTCCATTGTTTAAACACGTTTCTTAGCCGCAGTTGCTTGTTACCTTACTGATAAAATGAGGGTAGTGATAGTACCTACCTCACAAGACTGCTGTACAATTAAATGAGTTCACTACAATATGGAAAGTACTTAGAACTACACCTACACATTGTTAACAGCTCATTGTATGTTTGGGGCTGCTAGCCTCTTCATCATTGTTCTGTGTGAGAAGCACCATCTGACTAGATTCCCAAGGGAGCGGAGGGAAGGAACAGGAAAGGGCGAAGAGAGGCAGGCACGAACATCCACTCTTGGGGGTCCAGTTGTGCAACGTGGCCTCCACTTACACTGATTATTTTACACTGATTTTGCGTGTGTCCATGCGCTGGGAGGAAAGGGAGGACGTGGTCTGCCCCAACCCCGCTGCTCAAGGTCCTCCAAGGGTCCAGTCCCCGGCTGGCAGCCTAGGGCACGTGAGGGCCGGGAGGCTCACCCGCGGCGGAGGGTCTGGGGTCCGGGAGGATCTGGGCAGCGGAAGAAGGGAGGAGCGCGGCTGCACGGGGCGGAGCTAGGGGAGGTCCGGCAGGAGGGAAAGGCCTGTCCGGAGAGAGGGACGCGCATCCGCTGAGGCCGCGCCGGGCGCCAAGGGCGCGGTACCTGGAGTCGAACTTCTGGCCGTCGGGGAACGTCCCCACGTAGTGGTAGCGCACGAAGTCGCCGCTGCGCACGGTGCGCGGGCACTCGTCGGGCACGAAGCGCCGCTCGATCTGCAGCTCCGCGTCGGAGCCCAGGCCCGCCACGGGCGCTGCCTGCCCGGTCACCCAGAGCAGCAGCAGGAGCAGCGGTGGCGGCGGGGGCCTCCAGCCCCGGAACGCCATCGGGGCGGCGAGAAGAGTGGCGCGGACGCAGCGCGGCGCTCGGGCGGCACGGGTCGGCCTGGGCGTTCGGCTGCGTTTGCAAACGTGGACCGGGTCTCCTGGCCCTACCCGGGCTGCAGCCGCCACCCCGTCTCCCCGGCCGCCCGCCCTCCCGGCCGCAGCTCCAGGGGAGGAGCCCAGCCTGGCCGCGCGCCGAGGGCGGGCCTGCTGCGCCCTGCCCCGCCCGGCATTGGGAATGTGCGTGCCGCAGCGGGGAGGGGGGCTGGGAACTCCAGTGGGGACCAAGTCTGGGCCTAGAGAGGGCGTGTCCCCGAGCGAGACACTGTGATCTCCGGACAAGGCTTTGGCCCAAAGTCGGAAGAGAAAAGCGCGTACTGCCCAAGCCCACCCGCTGGTCTCCGCCCGTCCCTGGAGACACCGGGTTTGGTGCCGTGAGGGGCTCCTACGTGGCCGTGGATCCAATTTTCCCTTGCTGCTTTGGAGAGGGAGGGAAAATTAGATTTTAATTTTTTAAGCTTAGTTACAAGGGTATGGTCTACCTTGAAAGAGACCGAAACCATCCTTCAGGACTTTTTTTTTTTTTTTTTAATACTGCTTAAAGGAAAAGGAAGGCCGGGCGCCGTGGCTCACGCCTGTAATCCCAACGCTTTGGGAGGCCAAGGCAGGCGGATCACGAGGTCAGGAGATGGAGACCATCCTGGCCAACATGATGAAACCCCGTCTCTACTAAAAATACAAAAAAATTAGCCAGGCTTGGTGGCGCGTGCCTGTAGTCCCAGCTACTCGGGAGGCTGAGGTAGGAGAATCGCTGGAACCCGGGAGGCGGAGGTTGCAGCGAGCCGAGATCGCGCCACTGCACACCAGCCCTGGCGACAGTACGAGACACTGTCTCCAAAAAAAGAAAAGGGAGGCATGTATTGCGAGAGGCTCCCGTGACACTTGTCTAGGCAAAAGTTTTAAGGCACCGTGAGGGTCCTCCAAGCCATCAGCGGCCGCACTGTGAGCTGATACTTGCAGACATCCTACAAGCTCCCATATACGAGCCTATGCCAGGGAGGACTTCATCATAGAGACCCAGAAGCCACAGGAATCCATTAGAGTAATCAGATGCACTTGGAATTGGAATTGGGTGTTATAATTTATTAAAATTTTGGAATAATGAAAGCAAATCACCAACTCTTTCTCAACTCGTTTTGGAAGCAAACACAATTCTGATACCAAAACCTGGCAAAGAGAGCAACAAAAAAGAAAAATAAAACTGAAAAAACAGGGCACGATCTAATTTATAAATATAAATGCAAAAATACTGAATAAAACGTAATAAAATCGGATTCAACCGCATATTAGGCCAGGCGCAGTGGCTCACACCTGTAACCCTAGCACTTTGGGAGGCCGAGGTGGTTGGATCACCTGAAGTCAGGAGTTCAAGACCAGCCTGTCCAACATGGTGAAACCCTGGCTCTACTAAAAATACAAAAATTAGCAGGGTGTGGTGGCACGGCCTGTAGTCCCAGCTACTTGGGAGGCTGAGGCAGAAAAATTGCTGGAACCTGGGAGTCGAAGGTTGCAATGAGCCGAGATTGTGCCACTAAATTGCACCACTGCACTCCAGCCCAGGCGACAGAGTGAGACTCTGCCTCAAAAAAAAAATAAATAAAAAATTTAAAAAACGGTATGTTAAAGGAAAAATATACCATTACATGGGCTACCTAGGTGAGCTTCTGTAAATTAACAAAATGTCAGTGTTCTCTGTAAGATGAAGATAAAACAATCATTATAAGATTACTATAATCTTAGGTTTCAGGGATCGAATGAGAAACTACATGAATAACAAGAAAAATGTTCATTGTTCATCTTAGAGCTTATTCTAGAAATAGAACACCTATTAATAAAATTATAGGACAGAAGAAGGGAAAAAAAGCTCTAAGATCATGTGGCCATAGACTCAAAACGGCATGAGATAAAATTCAACATCTACCTCTGATTTTGAAAACAAACAGAGGGCCTGGTGGCTCACTTCTGTAATCCTGGCACTTTAGAAGGCCGAGGCAGGAGTATCACTTGAGCCCAGGAGTTTGAGACCAGCCTGGGCAACATGGCAAAACCCCACCTCTACGAAAAAATACAAAAATTACTCACCCCTGTAATCCCAGCACTTTGGGAGGCCAAGGGGGGCAGATTGCTTGATCTCAGGAGTTTGAGACCAGCCTGGGCAACCTGGTGAAACCCCGTCTCTACTAAAAGTACAAAAATTAGCTAGGTGTGGTGTTGCATGCCTATAATCCCAGCTACTCCGGTGGCTGAGGCAGGAGAATCGCTTGAACCCCAGAGGCAGAGGTTGCACTGAGCCAAGATCGCACAATTGCACTCCAGCCTGGGTGACAGAGCAAAACTCTATCTCAAAAAAAAAAAAAAAAAAAAAAGAAAAAACTTTCTGATTGTAGTCTATTAAGTCTATTAATGGCACTGACCACCAAAAAGTACTTTTGCATGTCATCTTTGTGTTGTCAAACAATACCTTGATTTTGAAGTATATAATCATTGATAATAAAAATTGTTATACATTTTATTGGCATGAATTCAGACATTCAGTTCATTCACTACACATATACTTTGGTCCAGTCTTTGCTTCACTTATGTCTCCGTGGCTTCAGGCAAGTCAGGTAACTTCTTACTTCCACCCTTGACTGTAAAACAGATGATACTTATCTTGCCTACTGACCTCTTACGGCAATTTGGGGAAATATCTTGGTGCTGAATTAGTTTCTAGGCTCAGACGCTAAACATACAATACATATTAATTGGTAAAGACTTGGGATTTGAAACTTGATCTTTTGAACTAGATGCCAAGAAGTCCAATCTTCATGACAACTCTGTATAAGGTCATAGGTGTAATCACTACTTTACAGAAAAAATAAACTCCAGCCTGGGCAACTGAGTGATACCCTGTCTCAAAAAGAAAAACAAAAACCAAACAAAAATTAGCCAGATGTGGTGGTGTGTGCCTGTAGTCCCAGCTATTTGGGAAGCTGATGTTGGAGGATCGCTTGAGCCCTGGATGTTGAGGCTGCAGTGAGCCATGATTTCACCACTGCACAATTGGCCTGGGTGACAGAGAGAGACTTTGTCTCAAAAAAAAAAAAAAAAAAAAAAAAAAAAGGTAGAGCAGGGCGGCCTGCACCTGTAGTCCCCGTTCAGCTACTTCGGAGGCTGAGGTGGAAGATCATCTTCAACCTAGAAGATGGAGGCTGCAATGAATTGTGATCACACCACTGCACTCCAGCCTAGGTGACAGAGTGAGAGCCTGTCTAAAAATATATATAAAATAAAATAAAAATGAATGTCTGCTCGTGGTGGCAGGATCTAGGAGCCTGTAGTCCTAACTACTTGAGAGCCTGAGGTGGGAGGATCTCTTGAGCCCAGAAGTTCAAGTCCAGCCTGGGCAACATACCACGACTCTGTCTCAAAAAAGAAAAAAAAAATCTTGCTATTAAAAAATGTCACAAATTTTTTAAAGACAAATGATAAATTAAAAAAATACTTGGCCAGGCGCTGTGGCTCACGCCTGTAATCCCAACACTTTGGGAGGCCGAGGCGGGCGGATCGCGAGGACAGGAGATCGAGACCATCCTGGCTAACACGGTGAAACCCCATCTCTACTAAAAATACAAAAATTAGCCGGGCGTGGTAGCGGGCGCCTGTAGTCCCAGCTACTCAGGAGGCTGAGGCAGGAGAATGGCGTGAACCCGGGAAGGGGAGCTTGCAGTGAGTTGAGATCGCACCACTGCACTCCAGCCTGGCGACAGAGCAAGACTCCATCTCAAAAAAAAAAAAAAAAAAAAAAAAAAAACAACTTACGGCCAGGCATGGTGGCTCACGCCTGTAATCCCAGCACTTTGAGAGGCTGAGGCGGGTGGATCATGAGGTCAGGAGTTCAAGACCAGCCTGGCCAAGATGGTGAAACCCCGTCTCTACTAAAAATACAAAAATTAGCTGGGCGTGGTGGCAGGCATCTGTAATCCCAGCTACTCGGGAGGCTGAGGCAGGAGAATCACTTGAACCCCAGGGACGGAGGTTGCAGTGAGCCCAGATCACACCACTGCACTCCAGCCTGGGCAACAGAGTGAGACTCTGTCTCAAAACAAACAAACAAAAAAACCCTTACAACTATATGACAAAACAAATGTGTAAGCATAAGTGAACACCCCATCTGTGTTGGCCTGAAATTCTTTGAGGCTCCTCCCATTTAGAAGTGGAGTTTATGATTATCCTGTTGAATCTGGATAGGCCCGCAGCTGTGCTGACCAATAGAATACAGTCTAACTGGTGGGCCGTGACTTCTGGGCTAGATTATAAAAGGCCATGTTGTTTCCACCTGGTTCACTGGAACACTTGCCCCTTAAGTCCTGATCCCTGTAAGAAGTCCCACTACCTAGAGTCCTCCATGCTGGGGAGGTCACAGGCAGACTCTGTGATTGACATTCACACCTGAGCCCATACCTCAGCCATCCCAGCATAGGCAGCAAAAATGTGAGTAAAGCAGCCCCTGGATTAGCCATCTGCCATATGTTCAAGTCAGCCCAGCCATTTGAGCAGTAAAAATAATGTAGCAGACAAAGCCATGACTGCTATATCCTGCCAAAATTCCTGACCCACAGAATTTGTAAGCATATTAGATTGTTGTTTTTAAACTCTGGGGTGGTATATTATGCAGCAGTACAACAAAACTGAAGTCGGAATACACAGGTGAAGACTTCAGAAAAGAGGAAATACAAATAAATATATTCACCCTCACTAGTAATCAAGAAAATAAAATATGCTGGGTGCGGTGGCTCACACCTGTAATCCCAGAACTTTGAAAGGCCGAGGCAGGTGGATCACCGGAGGTCAGTAGTTCGAGACCAGCCTGGCCAACATGGTGAAACCCTGTCTCTACTAAAAATACAAAAATTAGCTAGGTGTGGTAGCACACGCCTGTATTTCCAGCTGCTGGGGAGGCTGAGGCAGGAGAATCACTTGAACCTGGGAGGTGGAGGTGACAGTGAGTCCAGATCACACCACTGCACTCAAGCCTGGGTGACAGAGCAAGACTCTGTCTCAAAAATAAAAAAGAAAAGAAAATAGAGAGTGTACTTTCACTTGTACCAAAGGCTGCACCTCCCCAATCTATAGATTGTTTCTCAGAAAATAAAAGGTCTCAATTTTCCTCAAAAAAAGAAAAGAAAATTAAGACAATGAAGTACATTGTTACAGCATTTAAAGAGATGCATGATTTTGTTTTGTTTTGTTGTTGTTTTGGTTTAGTTTGTTTTTTGTTTGTTTTTTTATTTTGAGACGGAGTCTCGCTCTGTCACCCTGGCTGGAGTGCAGTGGCGTGATCTCGGCTCACTGTGAGCTCCACCTCCCAGGTTTACGCCATTCTCCTGCCACAGCCTCCCGAGTAGCTGGGACTACAGGAGCCCGCCACCACGCCCGGCTAATTTTTTTGTGTGTTTAGTAGAGACGGGGTTTCACCGTGTTAGCCAGGATGGTCTCGATCTCCTGACCTCGTGATCCACTCGCCTCGGCCTCCCAAAGTGCTGGGATTACAGGCGTGAGCCACTGCGCCCGGCCAAGTTTTTTGATACCAAGTAACAGAACTCCAAATTTCACATAGGGAATTAAAAAAAATCATTTGAGGAATACCAGAGGTTTTCACTCAATTGAGGGGTTGTATCCAATTCAAAGAAGTGGCCAGGTTTCCCCTCCTAGGAGGAGTTCAGGAATCACTAGAACCAATATGGCTGTTTGCTGACATGCTCTGTCTCCATTTCTTGTTTCTGCATGTTTGTATATGGGCTTTGTTCTAAGATGCAGATTGTCTTCTGCCACATATCAAAAAACAACGCCCTTGACATCTCTTAACTTGAACATCTGGCAGGACATTGCAGCCCCAGTGATAGCGGATCTCATCATGTCTGTCATTGTAATTGGTCCTGATAGCTGCCGCCAGCTTAGCCAAAGTGCCTTTGTCTTCTGAGTTCACCTGTGTGAAGGCGACAGTGGTGCAGGTCTTCCGGTGGACTAGATGTCCCAGTCTTGCCTTCCCCTTGATAATGCAGTAAGGGACCCTCATTTTACAGCACAGGGCAGGCAACAAGACAACCAGCTGGAAGAAAGCATTAGCTGAAGAGTGTATTTTGACCAAAAGCAGTAAATTTCAAAGTTAATACCCAGCTAATTTTTTAAAAAAAATTTTTAGTAGAGATAAGATCTCACTATGTTGCCTAGGCTGGTCTCCAACTCCTGGGCTCAAGAGATCCTTCCACTTCAACCTCTCAAATTGCTAGCATTATAGGCATGAGGCACCAGGCCCAGCCAGGGTTTAGGATTTTGTTTTTACTTTAAAGGTTTGACACCTGTCCAGTAACACAGGCTAAGGATCACGTGCAGCTGCCCCACCACTATTGGGTCAACACCAAGGCCGCCTGGCTGGCCTCAAGAATGAATCTGGTATCTTAGGACGGGCAGAAGAACAAACTAAAAAACAAACCGAGGGGCTCATGGACAGGAGAATACGACAGCGAGAGAGTACAAACAGAAGTGTTCCTCACTTGCGTAGGCTAGGTGCCACAGTACAATGTGAAGGGTGCCTCCATATGTGTTTATGGTTGGCTAACAATCACTTTACTCTCTCTCTGGAAATGGACTGTGCCTGCACAACCTTCCAGATGAAACAGGCATAAACTAAATGATGATGGGTTAAAAAAATGCTTTAAAGTTGTAATCACCAGGGAAAGAATTCCATAACCATCCATTGGTTAATGGACGGGATATTATTGCATCGAATCTCTTGGTATCAGAAAACTGGGCTGGATTTGAGAGGTGACCCCATATAATGAAGAACCTGACTGCATTTTTGGTGTTCTACCACTGAAAACTTTCAAGCTCCACTTCCACGGTTCCCTCTGCCCCACATGTGAATAAGCCAATAGAAACCCCATGCACTCCTTCCCTTGGCACTGTAGGCGGAAGTTCAAGCCACACAAAACCTGGGCCCTTGTGCAGGAATGCTCACCCAGGTTCCACCCCTAACTGCAGTAATCCCAGGGCCACTTGCTTTTGCTTTGTCGAAGCCATTTTTGGACTGGCTGAGGCACCTGACCTGCTCTCCCCAAAAGCTTCAAAATGTGAGTAATACATTTCTTTTTCTTTTTTTGTTTTTTGTTTTGTTTTGTTTTTTCAAACAGTTTCACTCTGCCACCAGGCTGGATGGTGATCATGGCCAACTGCACCCTTGACCTCATGGGCTCAAGCAGTCCTCCCACCTCAGCCTCCCAAAGTTGCTGAGATCACAGGCATGAGCCATCACATCCCACCATCAAAAAAACTTCTCAGTCTGGTGTCAAAATATGTAATGAACCTAGATTCACATAAACAGGTGGAAATAAAGGCAAAAAGAATTTTCACTGCTTTATCAGCTCTAAGACACAAATTGGGAAAAGAAAAAAACTCTTATATCGGGAATGCCAATTCTTTTAAATTATCAGGCTAAGACAGACATGAAGTAAAACACAAATCACATTCTACTTTCCCCTTGAACTATGTATTCATCTCTTGAAACTACTTGCTATTGGCTGGGGGTGGTGGCTCACGCCTGTAATCCCAACACTTTGGGAGGCCGAGGTGGGCAGATCACGAGGTTAGGAGATTGAGACCATCCCAGCTAACACAGTGAAACCCTGTCTCTACTAAAAAATACAAAAAGAAATTAGCCGGCATGGTGGCAGGTGCCTGTAGTCCCAGCTACTCAGGAGGCCGAGGCAGGAGAATGGCATGAACCCGGGAGGCGGAGCTTGCAGTGAGCCGAGATCGCGCCACTGCACTCCAGCCTGGGTGACAGAGCAAGACGCCATCTCAAAAAAAAAAAAAAAGAAAGAAAAGAAACTACTTGCTCTTGCAACAAGTAGCAATAAATTAACCTAATAATGTCACACAGGACACTATAACCCACACCCTATAGTTAAATAATGTATAGCTAATCACTAATCAATGTTAATTTTGTAAGCCAGTGAGAATTCTTGACAAACAACTTTGTATCAGCCTACTACCTGCCCCCACCTTTTTACTTTCAAAAATCCACTTTTGGCTGGTTTTGGGGGCTTCCGCCTGTAATCCCAGTACTTTGGGAGGCTAAGGCAGGAGGATTCTTTGAGGTCAGGAGTTTGAGGCCAGCAAAATAGGGGGACTCCATTTCTACAAAATATTAAAAAATTATCCAGGCATGGTGGCACACACCTGTGGTCCCAGCTACATGGGAGACTGAGGCAGGAGAATTGCTTGAGCCCAGGAGGTTTGAGACTAAAGTGAGCCATGATCACACCATTGCACACCAGCCTGGACAACAGAGCGAGATGTTGTCTCAAAAAAAAAAAATCCACTTTTAACTGCTGCTAATTGGAGTGCATATTCAGGACAACTTGAATCTATGCCCCCAGGTTGCAATCCTCAAGCCTGGCCCAAATAAACTCTCTAACTTATATTAATTTTGCCTCAGCTTCTTTCTTTTAGGTGAACATAATTATCAAGAAGAGATGACTAGAATGCAGATCCTGTCAGATTATTGAACTGCACATTTCCTACCCAGCATCCCAGCATCCCCCGTCTTTCTCTCTCTATCTCTCTGTCTCTGTCTCTGTCTCTCTCTGTTTAAGTCATAGCACATTGATTTTGGTTTCCAGAACTACCCCTTCCCCACTGTCAGTCTACATGACAGGGGTAAAGCTGATTCCACCCCTGGTAATTATGGCAGGCATGTAACCTAGGCTTGGCCAGAGTGACGCAGGATTTTTCTCAGTCATTTTGCCAGCTAGGGACCTCCAGCTGGTACCACTGCCACCTGGGCCTTGCTCAGGCATGCTACCTGCTGCAGGAGGTGCCCTGCCTACTCAGTCTGCCTGAGCCAAGTCTGGCTTGTGCATTGGCTCAGTCCGTGGCTGGGCCAGGTGTGCCTCAGCTCTCCTGTGTTACAGCATGTACACACATTCAGTGGTTCCTAAGTTCCTGTCCCATGTCCAAGAAGAATAAGGATACACTGACAATTGAAGGGTGAGGAGGGTGGAGAAGAACTTTATTGAGCAATGGAATAGCTCTCAGCGGAGAGGGGATGCAGAGGTGGCCTCCTGCTCACCCCCCTCCCCCGTCGGTTGGTTTCTCTCTCAGTGTGGCTGAGTCTGGGGCTTTTATGAGCTCAGAATAGGGAAGTGCATGCTGATTGGTTTGTGAGTACGCAAAGAAAGGCTAAAGCAAAAGCACCCCTCAAAGGTGGGTATGGCAGTGTAGAAAACCAATTAGGAAAGGGTAGGTATATGTAAAATAGGTGAAGGGTGGAGAATCAATCAGAGGAAAGCATGTCAAATGGGAAGACAGATTCTCAATCTCATCCGTAGATTTGACTTATAGCTTGGCTTTCAGGTTTTACACTGTCTTCAGCTTGTAGGTGGGGTTTCTCCAGGGACCTGCCCCTATCTGCCTAGGCATTTGTCTGCCTACTGCTGCTATGAAGAGCACCGCATCTCTCTGACCACAGTGATTTTTTTCCTTCAGAGCTACGTGATGTTTGCTGAGTCAATGAGCATAGTTTAAGTTTTTTGGAAATAAGATTTCTTTCAGTGGAGGCTGCTAAATTGGTGGCCATCTATGCCTTCTAGTGTCCATCTTTGCCACCACAATGAGAGAACCTACATGAGAATAAATCAATACAAAGGAAGGTGAGGCTGAGAGAGGGAGAAAGTGCTGACTGTATAATTTCAGCACCTAGATACAGTCATTCCTGAAGCTTCACCCGTGGACATTTCACATATGTGAGCCAATAAATTCCTTTTTTTTTTCCTTAAAACAGCGTGATTTGGATTTTGGTCCATTGCTATTTTCAAAAGAGCCTTGATGCATAGTTGCTTAAGTGGAAATATTGATCCCTGGGTCTTCTTGGTGAGAAAATAAATCACTGTTGTTGTATATCTAACAAGGCAAATATTTGAATCAGTCAAAACTCTTTCAATTGCAAGTGAGAGAAACCTGACTCAATTGGTTTCAGCACAAAATTATATCTTAACATTTTTAGACTACTTGCTTGCTGACTCTAAGGTCACTGATTATGGCTGGACAATTTCTTTCTTTTCTTTTACCCTAAAGGAATTAAATAAAAGGGTTCATGCTTATAATCCCAGCACTTGGGGTGGCTGAGGCAGGAGGATTGCTTGAGCCCAGGAATTCAAAGCTGGAACGAGCTGTGATCGTGCCTCTGCACTCCAGCCTTGGCATAGCTAAAATTATTGTCTAACTGAACACCTTTTTAAGAAATATAAAAATATAAAAAATATAGAAAATATAAAAATATAAAAAGAGGGCCAGGTGCTGTGGCTCACACCTGTAATCCCAGCACTTTGGGAGGCCGAGGTAGGCAGATCAATTGAGGTCAGGAGTTGGAGACCAGCCTAGCCAACATGGCAAAACCTCATCTCTATTAAAAATACAAAAATTAGCCAGGAGTGGTGGTGTGTGCCTGTAGTACCAGCTACTCAGGAGGCTGAGGCATGAGAATCACTTGAAGCCAGGAGGCAGAGGTTGCAGTGAGCTGAGATTGTGCTACTGCACTCCAACCTGGGCAACAGAGTGAGACTCTGTCTCAAAAAAAAAAAAAAAAAAAAAGGCCAGGCATGGTGGCTTACATCTGTGATGCCAGCACTGTGGGAGGCCGAGGTGGGCAGATAACCTGACATCAGGAGTTCAAGATCAGCCTGGTCAACATGGTGAAACCCTGTCTCTACTAAAAACACAAAAATTAGCCAGTTGTGGTGGTACATGTCTATAATCCCAGCTGAGGCAGGAGAATCGCTTGAAACTGGGAGGCGGAGATTGCAGTGAGTCAAGATCATGTCACTGCACTCCAGCCTGGGCAACAGAGTGAGACTCCATCTCAAGAAAAAAACAAACAATAACAACAAAAAACCAAACAACAACAACAAAACCACATCATTTTCCTGCATTGGTATTCCTTCTGGCTGATGACATTCCAGGAGTTGTTTTTTTTTTTTTTCTTAATTAAAGCTTCATTTGCCTGAAGAAGCCAGATAAGTTTCTCACTGGTTCAAAAATAATTATGTGTATGGAAGGATAAAAAGACACTTATGTGACCAGGCATGGTGGCTCATGTAATTCCATTGCTTTGGGAGACCAAGGTAGGAGGATCACCTGAGGTCAAGAGTTTGAGACCAGTCTGGGCAACATAGTGAGATCCCCTGTCTACAACAACAACAACGAAGACACTTATGCAATGGTGTTGCTGTTCAGTGATACTGTCTCCACTAAATTTGTGGTCTGTATATGAGTGCATGTGGAACGGATTTCTGTATACCTCAAACAACATAGAAACATGGCACAGAAGATGCGAAAACAGAGAATGCTGTTGGTGTATATAGAATCACAAAAGAATTTCAGAAAGAGTGGCACTTCATAGAAAATTAATGTGAACGTATTATCCAAGAAGAATCATGTTCTAAAAGGGAAAAAAAGCAGCTATTTATCCTGATGCAAGTCTTCCAATAATCATAAAATTGGCCAGCTCTTATGGACAATCTCCATGCAATTGGCCATGATCTATCCCTGTAATACACTGTAATTCCAGTTACTCAGGAGGCAGGAGGATTGCTGAGGATCGGCCTGGGCAACATAGTGAGACTTCATTTCTAACAACAACAACAACAACAAAAATTAAGTTAAAAGGGAAGGAAAAGTGAACAGAGCTTAAGGGACCAATGGGACATTATCAAGTGAACCAATTTATGCATTGTGGGAGTCCAGGAAACAGGAAAGAAATAGAAAGGGGCACAGAGACTATTTAAATAAATAATGGCCAAAACTTCTCAAATTTGATGAAATCCGTGAATATAAAAATCCAAGAAGTTCAACAAATTCCAATTAAGATGAACTCAAAGAGATTCACAACAAGACACATTATAGTCAAACTTTTGAAAGACAAAGACAAAGAGAGTATCTTTAAAGCAGCAAGAGAAGCAACTCATCTGACAAGGGATCCATAATTAGATTATGTGCAGATTTCTCATCAGAGACTTTAGAGGCCAGAAGGCACATGGCTAATATATTCAAATTGCTAAAAGGAAAAACCATCAATCATATGTCCTATATCGAGCAAGACTGTCCTTCAAAAATTAGGGACAAATTGAGACATTTCAAGATAAACAAAAGCCAAAGAAGTTTATTACCATTAGACAAGCCCTGAAAGAAATGTTCAAGGGAGTTCCACAGGCTGAAATAAAAGAACACTAGGCTAGGCACCGTGGCTCATGCTTGTATTCCCAGCACTTTGGAAGGCCGAGGCAGGTGGATCACTTGAGGTCAGGAGTTTGAGAACAGCCTGGCCAACATGGTGAAACCCCGTCTCTACTAAAAACACAAAAATTAGCTGGGCGTGGTGGCATATGCCTGTAATTCCAGCTATTTGGGAGGCTGAGGCACAAGAATCGCTTGAACCCTGGGGGCGGAGGTTGCAGTGAGCCAAGATTGAGCCACTGCATTCCAACCTGGGTGACAGAGTGAGATTTTCTTGGAAAAATGAGACAAAAATAAATTTAAAAAAAGAAGAAATAAAAGAACACTAGACAGTAAGCAGAAGCTATATGAAGAAATAAGGATCTCAATAAAGATAAATAGTCGGGTAATTATAAAACCTAGTATTGTAACAATGGTTTGTAACTGTAGTTATTGCCTTTTTTTTCTTTCTTTCTTTTGTTTTTTAGATGGAGTTTCACTCTTGTTGCTCAGGCTGGAGTGCAATGACGCAATCTTGGCTCACTGCAACCTCCGCCTCCCGAGTTCAAGCGATTCTCCTACCTCAGCCTCCCGAGTGGCTGGGAATTACAGGCATGTGCCACTACGCCCGGCTAATTTTTTGCATTTTTAGTGGAGATGGGGTTTCTCCATGTTGGTCAGGCTGGTCTCGAACTCCTGACCTCAGGTGATCTGCCCGCCTCAGCCTCCCAAAGTGCTGGGATTACAGGCATGAGCCACTTTAGCAAGTCTCTAAAAATAAATAAAAAATAAAATTTACCACCAAAGAAAAGCTCTGGACCTAATTGCTTCACTGGTGAATTCTACCAAACATTTAAAGAACTAACACCAGTTTGGCCGAGTGCAGTGGCTCATGCCTGTAATCCCAGCACTTTGGGAGGCTGAGGCAGGCGGATCACAAGGTCAGGAGATCGAGACCATGGTGAATCCCGTCTCTACTAAAAATACAAAAAATTGGCTGGGTGCAGTGGCGGGCGCCTGTGGTCTCAGCTACTTGGGAGGCTGAGGCAAGAGAATGGCGTGAACCCCGGGGGGCAGAGCTTGCAGTGAGCCGAGATCACGCCACTGCACTCCAGCCTGGGCAACAGAGCAAGACTCTGTCTTAAAAAAAAAAAAAAAAAAAAGAACTAACACCAATTCTTTTCAATCATTTCCAAAAAAATTAAAGAGAAAGGAAAACTTCCTATCTCATATTGAGGCTAGCATTACCCTGATACAAAGCCAGACAAAGACATTATAAGAAAACTACACCCCCAAATCACTTATCAACATTAATGCAAAAATTCTCAACAAAATGGTAGGAAAACAGGTTGAATACCTTATTAACAGGGTAATGCACTATGACCAAATGGAATTGATTCCTGGAATACAAGGATGGTTCAACACACACAAATCAATAAATGTAATATGCCACATTAACCTACTTGCACCTACTTGCTGCAAAACAAGTAAGAGGCCCAGGGTAAGGTGTCCGTTTAGATTCCATATGAATTTTAGGATTGGTTTTCCTATTTCTGTAAAAAAAAAAGTCAGTGGGATTTTGCCAGGGATTGCACTGAATGTGTAGATCACTATAAGGGTGGTAATAACACAAGTTTAAGATTAAAGACATTCTTATTAAGGGTTTAGCTGATTGGTACATAACAAGTGCTGTGTATGGTAGCTTTTATTTTCATCTCCAGAACCTATACCTTGCTAAATACAATATACATTGACTATGTTTTAAGCATGGATCATATGATCTGAAAATTGGAGAATTTATATGCAGAGTATTGCTTTCTTCCAAAAATGGCTGAATCCTATTGCTATGTAATGAGCAGCTCCCGTGGGTCTGGTCACTAGGGATCTACAAACCTGACTTGCACAAGACCCCTTGCCTCGGTCGGGAACCTCAAAGGGGCAGGGAGATGAGTGTGGCCTGGCGGGAACCCTGAAGCTCCTGGAAGCTTCCCCAGGCTCCCAACCAGGGCCCCGCCCCGCCTCGGCTCCAGCCGCCGCCAGCGGGCGCTCCCCGCCCACCGGCGGCTGGGCTCTGGGGCTCTGCGCACTGACTTGGGGCCGGCCGCGGGCAGGCGGGCATCTGGCGGCCGAGGCCGGGACTTCGGGGCCCCTCCCGGGCGAGTCGCGGGGCGGCGGCGGGAAGGGGCGCCGCACGGAGGAAGTGCCCTCTTGGCCGCAGCCAGAGCCGCGCCGCAGGTGCCGCGATGTCGTCCTGGCCGGGGCGCGAGGATGCGAGGGCTGGGGGCGCGTGGTGGCCGCGGGAGCCGCTGGATCAGGAACTGCAGCGGGCCCGGGAGCAGAAGCGGCGGCGGCACGACGCCCAGCAGCTGCAGCAGCTCAAGCGCCTGGAGTCCTTGTGAGTCTCGAGCAGCCGTCTGGGCCGCAGTCCGCGCGCCGCCCGTTTTCTGGGAACAGGGGCGCCCGGCGCCGTGTTGGGCGCTGGGCTGGGTCCTCCAAGCCCCCAGGACCCAGGCAGGGGTGCGGGCCTGTGAGGAACCTAGTGCCTGCGACGGGACTTCTAGTCCTCACTGGGTGGGGAGCGAGGCCCGCCCGGCCACGGAGGGGCCCTGGAGGCCGCGGCGCGGGTGGGCGGGGGCCTCGGCCCGGGGAGGCGGCAGCGGCTTGCGCTCCTCGCCCCCGCTTTGGTGTGGGCGTCGCCTCTTTTGGGGAAGCCAAGAGTTATTGGCGCTTGCTCGGCATTTGTGGACCGAACAGGCAAGTTCAACCGAGCACGCTGCCCCCGCGCTCCACCTCTGAGTTCCCTGGGCCACTGCGACATGGAGAAACCCCGTTCTTTTCATCCTCTGCTACGGAGAAGGGACGAGGACACGGGTCCTGCAGTGTTGGTGTGGCGAGGCCCGGAAGAAGAGAGAATGGGCGGCGGGGACTGGCCACGGCGCTGCTAGGTAGAACAGAGGCGGACTTGTTTTCTCCGGGTTGGAGGGAATTTTGTTGTTGTTTTTTTTATTTTTTACCAGGGTTCAGGGTGGGCATTCAGGGAGCCAGCTGCCGTTTGGCACCACGCGGAATTCGGGCCCTGACTTGGGAGGCCTTGCGCTCCCGTGGCTCCAGTTCAAGGAGGGTCCAGATGACCCGGGAGAGTGTGGTGTAAAGAAGATTCAAAGGTGGGGGAGGGAGATATGGCTTCCCCCTACGCTTCTAGGTTCTTTAGCTGGGCCACAGATTAAATTGTCATAAGACAGATTAACAAGAGAAAAACTATTTTTACATACCCATGCACTGGAGGGCCACAAAAGTGGGAGACTGAAAGAAGGGCCAGGGAATAGGAGCATGGGCCTTTTGGGGCGTGGTGGAGACAAATTATGGAAGGGTCAAAATGTATGATGAATAAAGGTTGCTTTGTTAGGCTCCCAGGTGATAAAAGCTGTCTCCAGGCAGCTCTCTTTCTGATACAGATACGTTTACTCATGGAAATTTCCTTTAAAGATGTAAATTTCTCTTTACAAAAGGGGAGCAGTTGCCGGCGAGGTGAAGTTTTCCTGTGTTGGCTGGTTCTGTTTCTTTTAGCTCAGAGTCATCAGTATGTCAGGGTGGCATATTTTGATGCCAATTAATTTGAGCTTTTTCATGTATTTTGGTAATGAAATGTCACATGCCTGTAACACATATAAACATAGGCATACAGACAAACAGAAGCAGATCTTTTATAAGATTCTTCATTAGCCAGTTTTCTAATAGTCTATGCCCACTTCAGATGATCGTCTGAAGTGATCATCCAGTTAGATCGTCTACTTAGTGATCCTCCACTTAGTGATCGTCCACTTTAGAGGATCAGTCTCTTGATTATCTTTTCCACTACCCTAAGTAATTAGTAGCTAGGCAACCCTAAGCTTGCACTTTCAAAAGACTATTAGATGAAACAAAGTAAAAAATTTACATCTAAAAGACACAGAACTTGTACCTAAACAGAATTATTTGCTGAGACAAAGAAAGGCATAGGTTACAAACTGGTTAAAATTACCAGGAAAAGTATTTTAAACAGAGGTACCGTACCGTTTGTTATGTAAACTTTAAACCAATGTCTTCCCCATCCTGAAATTTTCTAGTGGTTTAGGTCCACCGAGGGAGATGCCCTTACAAAAGGAGGTTTTTTTTCTTTTTTTTTTTTTCTTTCTTTCTTTTTTTTATTTTTTTCTTTTCTGAGACGGAGTTTCCCTCGGTCACCCAGGCTGGAGTGTATTGACACGATCTCGACTCACTGCAACCTCCACCTCCCAGGTGCAAATGATTCTCCTGCCTCAGCCTCCCAAGTAGCTGGGGTTACAGGTGTGTGCCACCACACCCAGCTAATTTTTTTTTTTTTTGTATTTTTAGTAGAGATGGGGTTTCACCGTGTTGGCCAGGCTGACCTCGAACTCGTGACCTCAGGTGATCCACCCGCCTTGGCCTCCCAAAGTGCTGGGATTACAGGCTTGAGCCACAGTGCCCGGCGGTAGATTTCTTTTATAAAGAGTTTCAGGCTGGGCGCCTTTGGCTCACGCCCTTAATCCCAGCACTTTGGGAGGCTGAGGTGGGCAGATCACTTGAGATCGGGAGCTGGAGACCAGCCTGGCCAACATGACAAAACCCTGTCTCTACTAAAAATATAAAAATTAGACAGGCTTGGTGGCGCACGCCTGTAATCCCAGCTACTGAATAGGCTGAGGCACGAGAATCGCTTGAACCTGGAGGCGGAGGTTGTGTTGAGTCGAGATCCTGCCACTGCACTCCAGCCTGGGCGACAGAGCAAGACTATTTTTTTTTTTTTTAAACAGAGTTTCAAAGTAGCCAGCTAAATGTCAGGAAGTTGCATTTTGTCAACTGATTTAGTTTGATAGATTGTTTCTTCTTCTTCTTCTTGTTCTTCTTTTTTTTTGAGGCAGAGTCTCCCTCTTTTGCCCAGGCTGGAGTGCAGTGGCGCTATCTCAGCTCACTGCAACTTCTGCTTCCCGGGTTCAAGAGGTTCTCTGCCGGGCGCGGTGGCTCACGCCTGTAAACCCAGCACTTTGGGAGGCCGAGGCCGGCGGATCACGAGGTCAGGAGATTGAGACCATCCTGGCTAACGTGGTGAAATCTCGTCTCTACTAAAAATACAAAAAATTAGCCGGGCGTGGTGGCGGACACCTGTAGTCCCAGCTGCTCGGGAGGCTGAGGCAGGAGAATGGCATGAACCCGGGAGGCGGAGCTTGCAGTGAGCCGAGATGGTGCCACTGCACTCCAGCCTGGGTGACAAAGCGAGACTCCGTCTCAAAAAAAAAAAAAAAAAAAAAAAAAAAAAAAAAAAAGAGATTCTCGTGCCTCAGCCTCTTGAGTAGCTGGAGTAGCTGAGATTACAGGCACCTGCTACCACACCCAGCTAATTTTTGTATTTTTAGTAGAGAGAGGGTTTCGCCATGTTGTTCAGGCTGGTCTCGAACTCCCATACTCAAGTGATCTGCCTGTCTCGGCCTTCCAAAGTGCTGGGATTACAGGCGTGAGCCAGATCGATTGTTTCTTAATGAGATTTCTGACTTCAGGATGGAGCCTCTTAATGAATAGGACAGTGAAAGAAGTTGCAGTTTTCAGGGCCTAATATTTAAATATGTGAAAAGCAGGCACAGCTGAAAGGCAGAACATTCAGATCTTTAAAATTTAAGGATTCTACTTTTACATTGAATCCCAGGTCCCCAAGAAGAGGGAAATACGACTGAACCAGTGTGAATTCTTTCCACAGTTTTCCTCAATACAAGGACATTTCACAGAGGCTGGTGGGCGACCTGACTCCATCAGTCCACTCTGCAGTCAGCCTCTCTCCCACAGGAGTCTTCAAGTGTTCAAAGCACACCTTTTAAATCTAAACAGGCAAAGAAACAAGTTGCCTCCTTCAGTAGTGACCATTCACTGCAACAGCTGTCAGCCACTTCCAAAACTGCAGCTTTTGCCAGTGACTTGCCAGCCATCACACATGAAAATGTCAAGTTCTCCACCACAATACAAAGTAATACCTCATACTCCAAAAGCCAGAGATCCAGAAACTCCGTGCAAAATAGAGCAGAGCCACAGACCTGAGAGAAGCCTACTCATGACTCTTAGATTCCATGAGAAAGACTGAAGACCCCAAAAAAGGGTGGGCATGGCCCCTTTTTCCGTGTACTCAAGGGGTCTCAGGAGTGCCAGAAGTCTCCTATGTGTTCAAGATGGCAAAAGGGAGAAGGAGCAGAAGTGGAAGGAAATGGAAGAGTTAAGTATTAGAGGGGCCAGTTTGGGAGATTTTAAGCTTTCTAAAAGGCCAATGAAGTTTTACATTTTTCTCAACCAAAATAATGCCAACAAGGTAGGAAGCAAACAGTGGCCTCCAACATTTTTTTAAAAGGGGTTTCAGTCGACTGAAAAATATTATCAGGAATAAGATCGAAAAGAGAAAAAGCAGAAGGGCCTTTTTTAGTTCTCAAAAAAAAAAAAAAAAAAAATTATAGCCTGAATGTCAGCCTTTAATTAAGCAGCTGACTCTGACCACAGAGCTTTTTTTTTTTTTTTTTTTTTTTTTTTGAGATGGAGTCTCACTCTGTCACCCAGGCTGGAGTGCAGTGGCATGATTTTGGCTCACTGCAACCTCCACCTCCCAGGTTCAAGTGATTCTCCTGCCTCAGCCTCCAGAGTAGCTGGGATTACAGGCGTGCGCCACCACAGCTGACTAATTTTTGTATCTTTGGTAGAGATGGGGTTTCACCATGTTGGTCAGGCTAGTCTCGAACTTCTGACCTCATGATCCACCCAACTCAGCCTCCGAAAGTGCTGGGATTACAGGCGTGAGCCACTGCGCCCGGCCGACCACACAGCTCTTTAAAAAAATTTTTTTATATCTCTCATGAGCAGATTTCAGCCAGGGCAAACAGAAAGGAGATTTCCCATTTAATTTGTCTGGTTCTAAACCCAGCTTTTCCCAATTGTGCAGAAAATTGAATTACTTTAGGCCTTTCAAAGGACCCCTATATTGGCCATCATAATTTGGGGTCCTCTCGAGTCATGTGGGCCAATGTGTGCAAATACTTATAAGATGAAACTCAGCAGGTATTGCACATAAAACCAGCTGGTGTCTCCGAGGGAGGGTGCCTCCTTGGGGAGTCCTCAGACCCGGATGATTTGTTACCCATAATTTAGAGACCTGAATCATTCATGACTCTGAGCAGTGTTTTGGGCCTAAATGTGCCGCTTGTGAGTGTATCACTTCGGTGTGTCACCAGTAAGTCAGGTCTCCTCTCTTATGTGTCTCAGAAACGCTGAATCCCCTGAAGGTCACAGAGGACTCACAAATGCAAGATGACCAGCCTTTATGCACACTCACTGGCAGGGTGAGAGGGTACAGATGTTCTCACAGAGGAAACCCTGTAAGGCCACTGAATGTTATGGACAAAGTCCTGGCACCTCGCCAAGTCTCTGATTATTTAGAGTTCCCTAATGGGCCAGAGGGAGTGAGTGCCTTTAATCTTCGGAGGGAAGTATTCATTCTCATAAATTAGGAAAAGGGACTCCAAGAGAGGTTGGTCCAGGGTGAAACAAGCACAGTTTCCATAATGAAAGGTCACAATGCAACAAGACCTTGGCCCCAAACCAAAGTAAATTGGCGACTTAAGACCCATGTGTTGGCAGATAAAAATCCTGATCCCCTGACCTTAGGAAAGTCAGAGATAGGAGTTCATGTTGGTACCAAGTGCCGCTTTCAGAGAGAAACACTGGGCAGTGGTGGAGGGAGGGACCTATTCTGCCAACTATGCCAGATATGTTGACCCAAAGGAAAAAACTGAAGCTAAATTAATATAAGTATAGAGTTTATTTTGGGCCAAGTTTGAGGACTGCAACCCAGGAGTGTATATTCCGGGCAACTTAAATAGATACTCCCAGCTTGCAGTCCTCAAATTTGGCTCAAATGAACTCTACTGACATTAATTTTGCCTTCGTTTTTCTTTTTGGGGGGTTGACATAGTGTGATGTTCACTCAGTCAACAGTTTGTTTCTGTCACAGGCACTTTTTGTTACCTATGCTATGTGGGTCATGTAAGGAAAGGTCCTCAAGGAGTTAAAATCCTTCATAATCAGACTTCTGGGAGATTGCATACAAAATGCAGTTTTTTGGTGGAGTCTGGCCTACTTTTTGGTGGCCCAAGAGCTGAATGACTTTTCACCTTAACAGGGCAGTGGTTGCAGGTTGGAGACCCTGCATTGTGGGCATCCACATTACTGGGCATTTCGGCCTTTTCAAGTAACCGGGTGGTGCTCTTGTTCTCCCATGGAAGACAGATGTTTAAAGATCTTTCTCTAGCATAACTGCAGGCAGGGCCTGGCCCTGCCCAACACTCAGTATATTTAGCTGTAGGATGCCACACAGTGGTTAATACCATGTGTTTATTTTGTAGCTCCTAGACAGCAGAGAGATTATAACCTGCTTTTGCAAATGATAAAATGGAACCTCACCAGCTAAGTAATATAGACCTATAAACTAGCAAAACCAGATGTTTACTTCTGCCATGGTTTGAATGTGTCCTCGAAGTTGATGTATTGGAGAGCTGGGCATAGTGGCTCATGCCTGTAATCCCAGCACTTTGAGAGGACTGGGTGGGTGGATTGCTTGAGCCCAGGAGTTTGAGACCAGCCAGCCTGGCCAACATATTGAGAACCCATCTCTACAATAAAAATAAAGATTAGCTGGGTATGGTAATGTGCACCTGTAGTCCCAGCTACTCTGTAGGCTGAGGTAGAAGGATCACTTAAGCCTGAGAGGTTGAGGCTGCAATGAACTGTGATCAGGCCTGCACTTCAGAGTGGGCAACACAGTGAAACTCTTGTCTCAAAAAGTTCATTTATTGAAACTTAATACCCAATGTAACAGTGTTGAGAGAGAGGACTTTTAAGATGTGATTATGTCAGGAGGGCTCTGCCCTTTTTGTTTGTTTTTTGAGACGGAGTCTCACTCTGTCGCCAGACTGGAGTGCAGTGGTGTGACCTCGGCTCACTGCAACTTCCGCCTCCCAGGTTCAAGCAATTCTCCTGCCTCAGCCTCCCAAGTGGCTGGGACTACAGGCGCACACCACCACGCCCAGCTAATTTTTGTATTTTTAGTAGAGACAGGGTTTCACCATGTTGGCCAGGATGGTCTCCATCTCTTGACCTCATGAGCCACCCGCCTCGGCCTCCCAAAGTCGTGGGATTACAGGTGTGAGCCCCCGCACCCAGCCGGCTCTGCCCTTATAAGTGGATAGGCGCTGTTAGGAGTGGATTAGTTATTGCTGGAGTGGGTTTCTGATAAAAACATGAATTTGCTGTCCATCACCACCCATGCTCTCTCTTGCTCTTCTGCCTTCTGCTATGGGATGATGAAGCAAAGAAATCCCCTGCCAGATGCTAGCCCCTTGACCTTGGACTTTCTAGCCTCCAGAACTATAAGAAATACATCTCCATTCCTTGTAAATTGCCCAGTCTCAGGTATTCCGTTATATCAGCATAATATGGGCTAAGATTCTCAGAGCACTGGGGTTTTCTAGTTTCAGAGATTTGCAACTGACTGGACTGTCAATATGTTTCCTTTGGCTAGTTCAGAGACTTGTTTGCTTTTAAATCAAATGTTATTCATTCCAGAGTAATACTTCATGTAATTTAAACTGTTTAATCAAATAGTACCAAAGGCTTTTTTTTTCTTGACTCAAGTGAACTCATAAGAAAAGGCTAATTTAAAAAAATAGTGGTTTGAGACTCCAGTTACCCTATATATTCTCTGCACCCCTCTCCCCTATCAAGACTTCTGTGAGGAAACTTAGTTTTTTCATCTGGGACATAACTGCTTATTTTATTTTATTATTATTACTATTTTTTTTTTTTTTGAGACGGAGTCTAGCTCTGTCGCCCAGGCTGCAGTGCAGTGGCGCCATTTCGGCTCACTGCAATCTCCGCCTCCCAGGTTCATGCCATTCTCCTGCCTCAGCCTCCCGAGCAGCTGGGACTACAGGCACCCATCACCATGCCCAGCTAATTTTTTGTATTTTTAGTAGAGATGGGGTTTCACCGTGTTAGCCAGGATGGTCTTGATCTCCTGACCTTGTGATCCACCCGCCTTGGCCTCCCAAAGTGCTGGGATTACAGGTGTGAGCCACTGCGCAAGGCTGTAACTGTTTATTTTAAAATCATGTTTCTTGCCTTTCTTTCCCTCACTGTCTCCCTCCCTCCCTCCCTTCCTCCCTCCCTTCCTCCCTTCCTTCCTCGTTTTTTAGAAAGAGGGTCTAGCTGTGTTGCCCAGGCTGGTTTTGGACTTAAGGATTCCTCCCACCCTGGCCTCCCAAGTGCTAGGATTATAGGCATGAGCCCCCATGCCCAGCCTTATATTGCCTTTTTTGATTCCGTAATGGACATTATCTATTTAAGGGGAAAGTTTTTTTCCTTCCACTCTTCTAAGGTCCAGGGCCCCTGTAACAGAAGATTAATAATAAAAAAAAAACAAGCATTGCCAGGCACAGTGGCTCACGCCTGTACTCCCAGCACTTTGGGAGGCTGAGGCGGGCGGATCACCTGAGGTCAGAAGTTTGAGACCAGCCTGACCAACATGGAGAAACCCTGTCTCTACTAAAAATACAAAATTAGCCGGGCCTGGTGGCACATGCCTATAATCCCAGCTACTCAGGAGGCTGAGGCAGGAGAATCGCTTGAACTCGGGAGGCGGAGGTTGCGTTGAGCTAAGATTGTGCCGTTGTACCCTAGCCTGGACAACAAGAGTGAAACTCTATCTTAAAAAAAAAAAAAAAGGCTGAGCGCAGTGGCTCACGCCTGTAATCCCAGCAGTTTGGGAGGCCGAGGTGGGCAGATCACTAGGTCAAGAGATCGAGACCATCCTGGCCAACATGGTGAAACCGCGTCTCTACCAAAAATACAAAAATTAACCAGGCGTGGTGGCGTGCGCCTGTAGTTCCAGCTACTCGGGAGGCTGTGGCAGGAGAATCGCTTGAACCCGGGAGGTGGAGGTTGCGGTGAATTGCACTCCAGCCTGGAAATGAGGGCGAAACTCTCTCTCCAACAAACAAACAGAAAAAAACAAGCAGAAGTTTATTACCATGTATATGTTCTATATACATGGGAGATACCCAGTGGAATGAAAAATCTTGAAGAAGTGGTTTTGGATTCAGGCTTAAATACCATGTTCAGCTAAATCAAAGAAAGAAAGATATGGGGGAACTGAGCTATGGGATAGTGACCAAGAAAAGTATGATAAATAAAGGTAAGGTTTGTTATGCAGGTTTGTGTCTGTGCTTTCCCCGTTGTTAGCATTCTCTTGTGATTGAGAGACATTTTTCTCTTTCTTATATAGAAAGGGTCTCACCTGTGGCCAGGAGCGGTGGCTCACGCCTGTAATCCCAGCACTTTGAGAGGCCGCGGTGGACAGATCACGAGGTCAGTAGTTCGAGACCAGCCTGAGCAACATGTTGAAACCCCGTCTCTACTAAAAACAAAAAAAATTATCCGGGCGTGATAGTGCGCACCTGTAATCCCAGCTACTCAAGAGGCTGAGGCAGGAGAATCGCTTGAACCGGGAGGCAGAGGTTGCAGTGAGCAGAGATCAAGCCACTGCACTCCAGCCTGGGTGACAGAGAAAGACCGCATCTCAAAAAAAAAAAAAAAAGGGTCTCACCTGAAATGGAGATTCCCTTTATAGATGAACATTTGTCTTACAAAAGGGTGACTTCGGCTCTCTTTTCAGAGCTTCCCCTGTGTCTGCTGTTTCTCAAAATGATCCTTAGCCAAAAAGGTGTGCTTTGAGGTAGCATATTCTGGTCTCCTACAGCTATTCAACTGAGGACAGAGTAGGTAAGATTTTAGTTGTTTTACTACCCTTGTCTCCTTCCTTCCTATGTAGTCATATTATAATAATTTTTGCTAAATTAGTAGTTAATATTAACATAAGTATTACTTTGCAATATCATTCACTTTTGCATCAAATAGTGACCTATGATTTATTTTGTATTTTTAAAGTAGTTAATAAGAGCCTGAGTTTTATTCATTTGCTTTTTTTTTTTTTTTTTTTTTTTTTTTTTTGAGATGGTCTCGCTCTGTCGCCCAGGCTGGAATGCAGTGGTGTGACCTCAGCTCACTGCAACCTCCATCTCCTGGCTTCAAGCGATTCTCCTGCCTCAGCCTCCCGAGTAGCTGGGACTACAGGTGTGCACCACCATACCCAGCTAATTTTTGTATTTTTAGTAGAGATGGGGTTTCCCCATGTTGGCCAGGCTGATCTTGAACTCCTGACCTCAAGTCATCCACCCACCTCAGCCTCCCAAAGTGCTGGGATTACAGGTGTGAGCCACCATGCCTGGCTGAATATTATTTTAAACTTTGGAAATATCTTAACATGCTACATAAACTAATGAATTGTTTAGCCCCAGGGAAAAAAGCATCAGCGCCCCCCCCCCCTTAAACTGGTGGGAACTCTTGTAAAATGGACTATTTAGGAAATGCCATTGCAAATAATAATAGAATTCAGAATGTGCAGTTCTATCACATTCCTTTTCCATCTAGGCAATATAGTTACATATTTTTCAGGAATTTGGAACTTAGTTTGGCCATATGTTGTTTGTTCAGCTCCTGTGGCAAAAATAATTATTTGTTGGATTATTGGATATTTTCATAGACTTTACCACCTCCCTTCCAAACTCTCTTAGGCCTCTGTGCATAAGGCATAATATTTTTTAATTTTTATTTAATTGTTTATTTGTTATTTTTTGAGACAGAGTCTCGCTCTGTTGCCCAGGCTGGAGTGCAGTGGTGCAATCTTGGCTCACTGCAAGCTCTGCCTCCCGGGTTCACACCATTCTCCTGCTTCAGCCTCCTGAGTAGCTGGAACTACAGGCGTCTGCCACTGTGTCCGGCTAATTTTTTTGGATTTTTAGTAGAGACGTGTTTTCACCGTGTTAGCCAGGATGGTCTCGATCTCCTGACCTCGTGATCCGCCCGTCTCGGCCTCCCAAAGTGCTGGGATTACAGACATAAACCACCGCACCCAGCCTTTTTTAATTTTTTATTTTGTAGAGATGAGGTCTTGCTATGTTGCCGAGGCTGATGGCAAACTCCTAGCCTCAAGTGATCCTCTTGCCTCAGCTTCTCAAAGTGTTGGGATGACAGGCGTGAGCGGCCAAGGCATAGTATTAACACCTCTAAAGGATGGCTGCAGGAGGTCTGTATCATCTTACCATTATTCTTGCTTATGACACACCACAGCTTTCCATTAGAAGATATTTTAAGTATTTACTTTGGAAAAGCACTGTATCATACCTAAAAAGCTAACTCCGCTACTACCCAGTTGTTTACTATGTAATCTTTGTGGAGTAGGTTCTCCTATTCCATGGATCAGTGATAGTGAGGGTGAGAGGAGTCCTTTGACAGTGTCCACAGATGAAGCCAAAGGGAAATCTTTCTTGCTGTAGCGACCTGTGCCATTTCTCATCTGTACTCTGGCAAAGTCCTTTTCTCTGACACCTTGGAGGCGAATGGAAGGGAAAGCATTTCACTTTCTCCTTAGTCTGTTCCCCTTAATCCCTCCCTCCTCCAGTATTTACTGTGTTCCAAAAGGGTCTCTAAAATCAGTTCATAAGGAATGGTTCAGGATGAAGAGAACATTAAATCATTAAGCATTCCTATACTTTGCAGCCATTCTGAAGTATTAAAATGAGTACTTCCTTGTAGGTTTAGAGGGTTAAGGCACAGATCTGAGCTACAAATATTTGTCTTACTTTTTTGGGGGAGGTGTGAATCCCTCTAAGAGCCCGAGTTGCTCTTTGAGTGCACGAACACCTCACCTGCAGAATTTCCTTCGCATCTCGCCGCCTGTCCCAGATACAGACTTTGCGTGCTCAGCATTCTGGGTCTCCCTCGGGTTCAGTCCCTGGATGGAAATAAGGAAGTCCTGGCCCATCTTTGGTGGCAGGTGCCACCTAGCACAGGGAGGAGAAGCGTTCTGCTCTTCCCAGGTAATACCTGTCTGTGCGGGGGAAGGAAAAATGGCTTCCCTACACCCTTCTAAATTCTTTGGGTAGGCTATGAATTAAATGAACATAAGATGGATTAACAGGAGGAAAAAAATCTTAATTATATCTCTATGTATGGGAGTCCCACAAAAGTATGAGACTCAAAGAAGCACCAGAGGAACCTTATATAGCATCCTCAGCTGCAGAAAGGAACAGGGGATTGGGGCTTCTTGGGGGAGGGGTAGAAATAAATTATGGGAGGATGGGGGAGGAAACATATGGTGAATAAAGTTTGCCTTTTTATGTAGATAAAAGTCTTTCATGTAATAAAATTTGTCTGGGAGCAGCTCCTTTCCTGATACAAACTCCTTTATTACTAATGTAAATTTGCTTTATATAATCGATGTAAATTTCTCTTACAAAATGGCAGCTCTTCAGGGCTACTCCTTGTCTGCAGTTTCTCAAAGTAATCAGCTTGAAATAATTAATATGCCAATGAAGCATATTTTAGGGTGGCATATTCTGGTGCTGTGCAGTCATTTTTGGGGTGCTGTGTCCTGGCCTCAACATCTGTAAACCTGGCAGGCAGGCGGGCGGGCGGGTGGAATTGGAGCTGGCGTTGCAGGCCCATGGGTGAGGGTGCCTCTGGGACGGGCCTGTCCACGCAGCTCTGTGCATCCTCCGCTGTGCCCCCACACTGTGTTGGAACAGATTGCACTCTTTTCCCCCAGGAGCCTGTTCAGTGTTGAGTACATGGATGTTATGCTAGGTCAGTAACCTGAGAAAAACACAGTGATGTTTTGGAACCAGAGGACCCACTGTCTTCTCACCTCATGCTCTCCCTGCAACCTCTTGCTTTCCTTTCTCCTCCAAATAAGATCATTGTGCTGAGAGACATTAGTTATTTCAATGAACATAATTTCTGGATCTCTGCAGGATGTGTTATCTCATCAGTTTATATGTGATCTGGAATGCTGAGCATATTTTATTAACTGTTTTAGATATAATATACTAAAATGTAGTTTTGAATTTTCTCTAAGAATCTCCTTTTTATTCTGACCTGGCTGCTGTCTTTTGTTCATAAAAGTATGTTACGTTCCCATTAAAATGGTTGATGGTTTTGTTTTTTGTTTTCCAGTTATGAAAAACCTCCTCCTGGGCTTATCAAGGTTAGTGTGAAGTTTGTACTCTTGGTTATCCCACTAGACATACTTACAGACTCAGTAATGCATTATGAAAAATGGTTGCATGACATTTAAATGCCCTTTTATGAAAAGCCTGTTTCTTTCCTGCAGATGACTGAGGGGTCATAATTTTTAGTGTTGTCACAAGCCTCTGCCTTTGTGGAAATTTCATCAGCCATGTTTCCCTTCCCTGAGGAACCAGTGCAGGCCCACATGGGTTCCTTGGCCGTGGCCCCCTTCTCTCTGACTGGGGAACGGCATCTTTAAGCTCAGCTGCCTCCTTTTCTTGTCAGCCTTACTTGGCTCAGTCCCTCAGTCCATCCTGTGTTGGTTTCTTGAGTATCAGCAGCTCAGAGAGCAGTCAACTCCGAGGAGACCCGACAGCTCATCCAGTCCAGCTCCCCGGTGGAGGCATCCTTCCTGCAGCTCCTGGCTACGGCACCAGGGTGTGTGCGCACGAGGGAGACTTAGAGTGGCAGGCCACGGCCAAGAAAACTTGCTGTTTCGTAACTGTCAATGGAGAAAGATTCTTCGCCAAGCGCAGTGGCACATGCCTAAAATCCCAGCACTTTGGGAGGCTGAGGCAGGTGGACCACCTGAGGTCAGGAGTTCGAAATCAGCCTGGGCAACATGGCAAAACACTGTCTCTATTAAAAATACACACATACAAAAAAATTAGCTGGACGTGGTGGTGCACATCTGTAATCCCAGCTACTCAGGAAGCCAAGGCAGGAGAATCTCTTGAACCTGGGAGGTGGAGGTTGCAATGGGCTGACATTGCACCACTGCACTCCAGCCTGGATGACAGAGCAAGACTGTCTCAAAGAAAAAAAAAAAAAGATTCTTAAAAACCATCTTTCTATTGAAATTTAATATTCATGGAAACTTGAAAAAATTACAGCATGCATGCGACTGTAAAACATGATAGGGGCCTTCAGGGTATAATAAGCTATTGTAGCATAATATGCCATTTCTATTATTCCAGGAAGCCTGGTTTACTTTAATTCATACATCTTGCTTCATTCTACATTTTGAGGTAGTGAAACCTTTTTTTAAAAAACCTTAGAATCTAATTTACATCAAAATTTGGAGCTCACCAGTCATTGCTATATAAGGACAGATTTTTCTGCTTCACCAGTAACTTTTCTCTAAGAACAGCTACATTGTTTTTGGTATAGTTCTTCTGGTACATTTGTTTCCTTTTTTTTCGATCAAGTGTAACTGTCTTTCTTTCTAGTTTTGAGGGGTAATTAAGATGACCTTGGCACCCACAGACCAGGAAAAAGCCAGGTGAGGGTGACTCCTAGGGAAGCAGGAGAGAATCCCAGCGCTATCTTGCCATGCTATTTGCACCTTGTTCCCTTTGTTTAGGAAGATGAGGCTAAGCCAGAAGATAGCATACCAGATATACCAGGCAATGAATACGCCAGAGAATTTCTGGCTCATGCACCAACTAAAGGACTTTGGTTGCCACTGGGGAAAGAAGTCAGAGTTATGCAGTGTGAATGTGGGAGAGTTCCCCTAATCCATGCAACTTACATGCCGCAACTTACAAAGCGCGTTTACTTCTTTTATTTAACTTGTTCTCACCACAGCCCTCTTAGAGCCAAGGCATGTTCTCTGTCTTCTAGATGAGGAAACAGATGTGTGTATGTCAGTAAGTGGTCCCAGGGAAGACGTAGAGCAAAGCTTTGACTCTAGGGTTCCTGATTCCAAGTCCAGCATTCTTTGCTCAGGACTGTCACTGCCTTGGGAGTACACTCTTCGGTGTTACTCCTGTAATAGAAAGGACTTTCTGGAAAGTAATAGGAAGTAAAGAAAGTAATAGAAAGGAAATGCCATGGGAGTGAGGGATGCATTAGAGAACGGGTCTTTTTGGGTCTTGCCTCTGTTGGGCACTCTCTATCAGTGGTGCTTTGTCCATGTAACGGAGAGAAGCTACCATGGGAGGATGGGTCTACACAGGTGGAACTCTCTGTGCGCATGCCCTGCCCCTCCGTTGCAGTTAACACATTCGAGAGCGTACGAAATTACTCTTCCATTGGGAGGCCGAGGCGGTGGATCATGAGGTGAGGAGATCGAGACCATCCTGGCCAACATGGTGAAACCTCGTCTCTACTAAAAATACAAAAATTAGCTGGGTGTGGTGGCGCATGCCTGTAATCCCAGGTACTCGGGAGGCTGAGGCAGGAGAATCGCTTGAACCAGGGAGTCGGAGGTTGCAGTGAGCTGAGATCACGCCACTGCACTCCAGCCTGGCGACAGAGTAAGACTCTGTCTCAAAAAAAAAAAAAAAAAAAAAAATCAATCTTCCAAAGAGTCAAGCTTTTTTAGTTGGTTGTTTTGATGTTTATCTCCACATCTTAACCCCATAGTTGCATTGTTGCTCCATGATTTTTCAAGTTTGGTCATTTTCTGATGCCTCTGTACAGTGGAAGATGAGTATGTAGTTCTCTCTCCTGCTCTCACCACACATGTGTACCCTTTTATATCTCATTTTCCCAGTAATTATTATATCATAAACTTAGTTAAATAAGTCTTTGGTATTTACTATGATTATGACCAGAGGTGAGCTGTATCTTGCAAAATGTGTCCGCTCAAAATGTGTCCTGTTTTTATTGTTTTTGAGTTTTTGTTATTATTATTATTGTTTTTGCTTTCCATGTACTGATCTGTAATTCAACCTCAACATTTTTCCAAGCTTCAAACTTAAGACCTTCAATGTATATACTTGAGATGTTCTGTCCATTTCATCTTACTGAAGGTGGCTACTCCCATGCGTATCATCCAGGCATCTCCCTTTACCAATATATGATGGACTGAATGTTTGGGTCTCCCCATAATTCGAATGATGAAGCCCTCATCTCTAATGTGATGACATTTGGAGATGGGGCCTTGTGAATTAATTAAGGTTAAATGAGATCATGAGGTTAGGGCCCTCATGATATGATTGGTGCCCTTTCAAAGAAGAAATTCTAGAGATCACTCTCTCTTGTGTAGGCCCAGGCTCATACATACATTCTCGCTCTCACTCTTGCTCTCTCCTGTCCTATCCCTACCCCCTTGTGCCATGTGAAGACAAAGTAAGAGGGCTGCCATCTCAAGTTAAGAAGAAAGCTCTCACCACAGACCTACCTTGCTGGGACCCTGAGCTCAGATTCCAACCCTCCAGAGCTGAGAAAATCAATTTCTGTTGTTTAGGCCACCTGGCACACAGCATTGTTACGTTAGCCCAAGTTGACTAAGACACCATCATTCTGCAGGTTCCTTTAGCCTCTCTCCTGTGTTGGATCACCCATTTTCCTATATCTGGAGTGTTCTTTGTTACTATATTCTGTTCTTATGGTGTAATGAATCCTAGGGCAATTTCCTTCCAAATGGGTTTATAGGAGGTAGAATTTTTTTTTTTTTTGAGACAGGGTCTTGCTCTGTTGCCCAGCCTGGAGTGCAGTGGTACCATCTTGGTTCACTGCAGCCTCGACCTCCTAGGCTCAAGTGATCATCCCATTTCTCAGCCTCCCACGTAGCTGGGACTACAGGCATGCGCCACCACGCCTGGCTGATTTTTTTTTCTTTTTTTGAGACAGAATTTCAGTGTTGTTGCCTAGGCTGGAGTGCAATGGCGCGATCTCAGCTCACTGCAACCTCTGCCTCCTGGGTTCAAGCAATTCTCCTGTCTCAGCCTCCTGAGTAGCTGGGCTACCGGTGTGCACCACCGCACCCAGCTAATTTTTGTATTTTTTGTAGAAAGAGGGTTTTGCCATGTTGCCCAGGCTGGTCTCAAACTCCTGGGCTCAAGCAATCCACCCACCTCAGCCTCCCAAAGTGCTGGGATTACAGGCATGAGTCACCATGCCCGGCCCCTAGAATTTTCATTTTATGTTTTTTAATTTGCTAGGATATCACATTCTAAGTTAAAAGTTTCCTTTAGATTTTGAAGGCATTGCTTCATTTTCTTGATTTTCTAGAATAGCTATTGGGAAGTCCAAAGTAATTCCAATTTTTGATCTTTTCATAAGGCCTTTTATCATTGCTTTGTTTTTTATTTTTCTTCTGTGGAAGTTTATAGCATCTTCTCATTCCTGGTGTTCTAAAATTTCACGGTGGTGAGCCCTTTCAATCTGGAATGCAGGTCTCTCAATTTTAAGAATTTTAAAAATTCTTTTCTCACCTCTGTGTCTGCAGTTCTATTCTTCAGATAGGCACTATCCTAGCTTACACCAGTTTAGCCCTATTCAGGGTAGCAGGGACTACACAAAAGTGTTCTTTTTAGGGATCAGCGATTATTAATTAGGGTCATTTTAGAGAGTGGCTGCCACAGTATTCTTGTTTTTTAGTGAAAGATGAAAAGTTGATTGGTAGCCCTGAGTGCCTGAGTAGGGCTTGTTGATCCCCCACTGCAGGGTGATTTTCTAGGTAGTTGGTTGGGGAACATCTGAGTTCAGTTATCTATTGATTTTTCTTCTTTGGGTGGCTTGTATTTTCCCAGAGAAGGCTCCCACGTGGAAGGGAAAGCCATGCTGTGAGTGTTCTGGGAGCTGAGTGGAGGGAGTCTGGGAAATCTGTCATTGGTTTTCCATTCATTCGTATGATCCTCTATGTCTGTTGCGGCAACTTCCTTAAGACCCACCTGATGTCTCCGTGGCCAGAGAACCTCTGTTATACCTTTTCCACATGCTAAACAAACTTCTGCCCAGACTAAGGAGAATTGCCTATGGACATTTAACCAATCCTCCTGATTTTAACTGCCCCTTCACCTCCAGAAGTATCTGGTGCTGCCAATTGCTGAGCTTTGGAGGTTCTGCAAGTAGAAACTGAGTCGGTTCTCAGATTCTACCCTCTGCTGCCTTAGACTTCAGTTTTCTAGGATCTGCTATTCTTTTAGTATTCATCTATCTGCATTATAACATCCCACGTTTTTTCATATGTGACTCTTTTATGGTTTCCCAGTCCTTCTGTGTTTATGGCTTTTTAAAAAAGGATTTTTGTGGTTTATTTTGGATCACTCAAAATCACCCTCAAATAAATGTATAATGCAGTGATTTTTAGTAACTACCAAGTGTGTGCAACCATCATCATAAATAAGTGTTAGAACATTTTCATCCCCTCCTTAAGATCTCTCAACCCATTTCCAGTTCATCCCCATTGATGCCCTAGGCAACGATTAGTCTACTCTCTTAGTGAATTTGGCTTTTCTGGACATATATAAGTGATCTGACTCTTTTCGTTTAGCATGTTTTTGAGGTCCTGCAATGGCATCATTTATTATTTCCTTCTTCTGCTTATCTTTGGTCTGGGTTACTCTTCTTTTTCCTGATTTTTATGATAAAAACCTAGATTATTGATTAAGACCTTTCTTCTATTATAAGAATTGGAAGCTATAAATTTTCTTTTAACCACTATTTTATCGGCATTGTGTAAATTTTGATATGTTGTGTTTTAATTTTCTTTCTTTTTTTTTTTTTTTTGAGATGGAGTTTCGCTCTTGTTGCCCAGGCTGGAGTACAATGGCATGATCTTGGCTCACCGCGACCTCCGCCTCCCAGGTTCAAGCGATTCTCCTGCCTCAGTCTTCCCAAGTAGCTGGGATTACAGGCATGCGCCACTATGCCTGGCTAATTTTGTATTTTTAGTAGAGGCGGGGTTTCTTCATGTTGGTCAGTCTGGTCTCGAACTTCCAGCCTCAGGTGATCCGCCCGCCTCGGCCTCCCAAAGTGCTGGGATTACAGGTGTAAGCCACCGCGATGGCCTGCTGTGTTTTAATTTTCTGACATCCCCTTTGACTCATGGATTGGTTACGCATGTGTTATTCAGTTTCTACATACTGGATTCTTCAAATTTCCTTATATTGTTGCTTTGTAATTTGAGTCCATCCTAGTTAGAGAATATACTTTGTATGGTTTAAATCCTTTTAATTATATTAATTCTTGTTTTATGGCCTAATATAGGGTCTCTGGATAATGTTCCATATTGACTTCAAAAAGTGTTTATTGTTGGGTGGTAGAGTGTTTTATAAGTAACTGTTAGGTTCAATTGATTTATATTGTTGTTTAAGTCTTGTAATTCATTGCTGATCTTCTCTCTAGTTGTTTTATCCATTATTGAATGAGGAGTATTGAAATCTCTATTATTGTTACACCGTTCTATTTTCCCCTTCAATTCTATCAGTTTGTGTCTCAACTATCTGGCACTCTTTTGCTAGGTTACATACATATTTATAAATGTTGTATCTTCTTGATGGATTGACCTTTTTATCAATACAAAATATCCTTCTTTGTCTCTGGTAACAGTTTTTGTCTTAGGGTGTATTTTGTCTGAAATTATCGGAGCAGCTTTAGTTCCCTTTGGGTTACTGTTTGCATCATATATTCCTTTCCATCCTTTTACTGCCAACCTAATTGGGTCTTTAAATCTACAGTGTGTCACTTATATCTAGTGCTTGGATAGCATTTTTCCTTTTTTTTTTTTTTTTTTTTTTTTTGAGACAGGGCCTCTCTGCTGCCCAGGGTGGAGTGCAGTGGCACAATCACAGCACACTGCAGCCTAGACCTCCCAGGCTCAAGCAATCCTCCCACCTCAGCCTTCTGAGTAGCTGGAACCACAGGTGCTTGCCACCATGCCTGGCTAATTTTTAAAAATTTTTTGTACAGACGGGATCTCACCTTGTTGCCTAGGCTATTCTCAAACTCCTGGGCTCAAGCAGTCCTCCTGCCTTGGCCTCCCAAAGTGTTAGGATTACAGGCATGAGCCACTGCACCTGGCGGATAACATTTTTATCCATTCTATAAATCTCTGCCTTTTGATTGAAGTGTTTAATCCATTTGCATGTAATATAATTACTGTTAAGGTAATTACAAACCTATGCACATGGTTTTGATTTTACCAATTTTAGTATTAATTAGAAAAGTGGTTCTCCCACTTTGATATTTCTACAAATAACCAGTAAATCTTTTAAAATTCAGGTTATATGTCCATATCAGGCCCAACCCAGAAATACTGAATATCCAGTATTTGAATATCCAAAATACTGAATACTAGATATTCAATATTTCTGGGTTGGGTCCTATACCTTGCTTTTCTAACAACCTTGCTCATATTGTTGAATTTGCTGGTCCATGGACCACACTTTGAATATCTGGGATCACCTTTCCATAATAAGAGGATTTTGAGCGGAAATGGTATCTTCTGGATATCTATACATCAATGCTTGTTCCATGGCATTTCACATCCCTTCAGCTTTGCCATAAAGGCACATATTAGTTTGAAAGAGTGTAGTCCTTCTCCCCCAAACTTTAAATGGTGAGGGAGATAAGGATAGGGATAGCTCACAGGCAATCAATAGAAATCCACAAACTTAGGCCAGGCACAGTGGCTCACACCTGTAATCCCAACACTTTGGAAGGCTGAGGTGGGCTGATCACGAGGTCAGGAGTTCAAAACCAGCCTGGCCAACATGACGAAACCGTCTCTACCAAAAATATAAAAAATTAGCTGGGTTTGGTGGCATGCATCTGTAATCCCAGCCACTTGGGAGGCTGAGGCAGAAGAATTGCTTGAACCCAGGAGGCGGAGGTTGCAGTGAGCCGAGATCGCGCCACTACACTCCAGCCTGGGCAACAGAGCGAGACTCGTCTCAAAAAAAAAAAAAAAACCCACAAACTTAATTTTTTTCAGTGGTTTCCTGCATTCAATCCTCAAATAAAAATAAAAAGAGAAAAACTTTCTTGCCCTGTCACTACGTATTTTCTGTAGTTGCCAGCATAGAGCAAACTTGGCTGAACTTACCTAAATCCCTCTTCATACTTCCCGACCTAGTTGCTTAGAATTGCTTAATACTCAAACACAGGGTCTCATTCACCATTCCCATACAGTTTCCTGATTTACACCACATCCAGATGGTGCTGAGAGGATATGAACAGGCGAGAGAAGTAACAAGGATCTCATCCATTCTTGCTTCACTCACCACTTCCTTTTTCTCAGAGGTCAATGCCTGATGCCAGGTCCACTCACTGAAATTCCATAAAGACTGGAATTTGTTGCCTTGGAGCATGTATATACATTCTCTTGTTATTCTCCTCCCAGTTCCTCATCAGGACCTTCTGTTGCTTCTAATAGTTAACCTCTTTAAATAGCACAGTTTCCCTCTTCTGAAAGTAAAGTTGCAGTAGGGTTCTGATGGCATTAATATTTTAAAAGAACTTGTGATTTTGTTTACTTAAAAGTGAGGGATGTGAACAGATGTCGACTCAACCTGAGAAAGAAGGTATTTGTTCTAGTGACTAAATTTATAAATGAGATTCAGAGCCACTTGATTAATAGAAGATATTTACTTTGAAAAATACAGCGAGACACACTAAAAAAATTGACCTTTTGCAGTACTTTTCATTGGATTGCTTCATAATTTCTTGGTGTTGGAAAATTAATTCCTAAAGCACAAGATTAAAGGATGCTTGGGTAAGCAATTAGTTTACCTGTCTTTTCTGGGACCTTACACGGTTCATCCATGATTGCATTTTCTTTTAGAATTGGAGTTTAATGAATAAAAACTTTAATATAATCTACTGATTCTTTATCTCACTAAGGTGAAACACTCTTATCTTACAGAAATATTTCCCCTTTTCTTTGCTTTTAGGTTGGCATTGCAAATGGTATGGTCACCGAACAGGCTACAAAGAATGCCCTTTCTTTATCAAAGACAACCAAAAGTTACAACAGTTCAGAGTAGTAAGTAAAACCATACAATGTCATTTTACCTTAATCAGAGATGGTGAATATTAATTAATCCGATAGTCACCAGCGAACTGAATGTTCACATAAATTACATTCCCAGAAGCCTTTTGGCCAAAGCGTCTGCTGTTAACTATACCTCTGTTAAATTGCATTTGTAAGACAAATTTAGCTCTTTAAGAAAAAAACTAACATTTATAAACGTGTTCTTTGCTTATACATTGGGACAGTGATTCTTTTTCTGAAGAAGACATTGTTCCCTATTCAACTCCCCTTTTTAAAATTTATTATATAAAAAGTCATGTCTCATAACTAAAATCAGAGTTTTAGTTTCCCAGTCTTTTTTTTTTTTTTTTTTTTTTTTTTTGAGACAGAGTCTCGCTCTGTCACCCAGGCTGGAGTGCAGTGGTGCCATCTTTGCTCACTGCAAACTCCACCTTCCAGGTTCACGCCATTCTCCTGCCTCAGCCTCCCAAGTAGCTGAGACTACAGGCACCCGCCACCATGCCCAGCTAATTTTTTGTATTTTTAGTAGAGATGGGATTTCACCATGGTCTCGATCTCCTGACCTCGTGATCCACCCGCCTCGGCCTCCCAAAGTGCTGGGATTACAGGCGTGAGCCACTGCGCCTGGCCTAGTTTTCCAGCCTTTAAAGAGTAGATGTCTGTCTATTATAAGCTAGAATTGTGTATATTTCCTCTTAAATGACAGTTAGACAGATCTATCATTAGCATCATCTATCTATCATTCCCCGCTTTAACATAGAGTCACCTCCCAGAGGTGTTAATTCACTGTTCAGTAACTACTGCCAAGTGAAATATGCTGCCTTGTGGATCTACTGAAGTGATCAGCATACACTTGTCCCTTGGTATCCATGGGGAATTGGATCCCAGTATCCCCTGGGATACCAAAATCCACAGGTGCTCAAAGTCCCTCATATAAAATGGTATAGGCTGGGTGCAGTGGCTCAACGCCTGTAATCCCAGCAGTTTAGGAGGCCTAGGCAGGTGGATCACCTGAGGTCAGGAGTTTGAGACTAGCCTGGCCAACATGGTGAAACCCCAGCTCTACTAAATATACAAAAATTAGGCTGGGCACGGTGGCTCACGCCTGTAATCTCAGCACTTTGGGAGTCTGAGGTGGGCAGATCACCTGAGGTCAGGAGTTCAAGACCAGCCTAGCCAACATGGTGAAACCCCGTCTCTACTAAAAATACAAAAATTAGCCAGGCGTGGTGGTGGGCACCTGTAATCCCAGCTACTTGGATGGCTGAGGCAGGAGAATCACTTGAATCCAGGAGGTGGAGGTTGCAGTGAGCTGAGATCATGCCACTGCACTGCAGCCTAGGCAACAGAGTGTGACTCTGTCTCAAAAAAATAAAAATACAAAAATTAGCCAGGCATGGTAGCACATGCCTGTAATCCCAGCTACTTGAGAGGCTGAGGCATGAGAATCGCTTGAACCTGAGAGGTGGAGGTTGCAGTGAGCCAAGATCATGCCACTGCACTCCAGCCTGGGTGGCAGAGTGAGATTTTGTCAAATAAAAGAAAGTAGAATAGCATATAAGCTGTGGACATACTCCTATATATTTTAATCGTCTCTAGATTACCTATAATACTGAATAAAAAGTAAATTGTTGTTAAACTGTATTGTTTAGGGAATAATGATAAGAAAAAAGAGTCTGAACATGTGTAATACAGACACAACCATCCTTTTTTTTTTTTTTCAAATATTTTCAATCCTTGGTTGAATCTGTGGACATGTAACTCTTCAGGATACAAGGGCCAGCTATATATGAAACTGAAGTCAACAGACATTCTTTTAACATTTTAAGGCGTTTAAAGTTTTGTGTTTTTGTCTTAATCTGAAAAATAATTATTCTAGATCAAGCACTTTTAGGTGAAATGTCAGTTTTTACAGATAGTATAAAACAAAACTTGTTGATAAATCTCAAAAATTTAATGTACTTCTTTTTGACTTAGAAATTCAACTTCTAAAAATTTACCCTAAGGATATAACAGAACATCAATTTATACAACTCTATAAGCATAATGTTCATAATTATGATTTTTTATTTTATTTTATTTTATTTTGAGACAGAGTTTCTCTCTTGTTGCCCAGGCTAGAGTGCAGTGGTGTGCTCTCGGCTCACTGCAGCATCCGCCTTTTGGTTTCAAGCAATTCTCCTGCCTCAGCCTCCCAAGTAGCAGGGATTATAGGTGCCCACCACCACACCTGGCTAATTTTTGTGTTTTTAGTAGAGACGGGGTTTCACCATGTTGGTCAGGCTGGTCTCGAACTGCTGACCTCGTCATCCACCTGCCTCGGCCTCCCAAAGTGCTGGGATTACAGGTGTGAGCCACCGTGCCCGGCCCATAATTGTGAATTTTAAGTCACTTTCAGTTATAGAATACAAGAATACAGTTTATTTGCCTTATTAAGCAAAATGAAGACCTCATAGTCAGGCTTTTACCACCAAGTCCAATCTTGCCTCCCTCCTGAGAGTGGGTTTGCAGCAAATAGCTTGATGTGTATATTTCCAGACTTCCTTGGGGTATGTAACACGTATTTTTGAGTACTTATAAATGATCATTCCTATGTATCATTTTGCAACTCATTTATTTTGCTTAATACTATCTTTTGGTCTAACCCAATAGAACAAAGAGAATTACCTCGGTATTTCTAAACTTGAGTACTGTTTTATAGTACGACTCTTCCAGTTTATGCAGTTATTTCCTCATGAAGAATATTATTTCGTGTATTTTCTCATTGGGAAATTATTTTTATAGCCTTAATGAGTTATCAGTGATATGACCCTTAAAAGGATTAAAACATGTTGAGCGTGTGGCTACATCAAACAGTAAAAGAAAAAAAAACTGTTTTCTGTAACATAGGGGTTTAATTTTATTTAACTAACGGTCCATGAAGCCTAACCAAACCTTAACCTTCTCTGTCCCTTAAGGCACATGAGGATTTCATGTATGACATCATACGAGACAATAAACAACATGAAAAGAATGTAAGGTGAGGTTGTCCTGGTGATAGTATCTATTTAAAGTTTTAACTTATATAAAGTTGGAAAAAAACCTTCTAGCACTAGGAGAGTGATATAGTAAACATGGCACTTCAATTGTGAAATATTTATTGGGTAGGAGTCATGGCTGACAAGACCAGTGTTGGGGAATCAGCAGGCCAGCCTCCTCCTCCTTGGGTTAGCTTAAAGCTGTAGGCTTGGTCCAGTTCTCTGACCACTGCAGTTGATATTAGCCACCCATGTTGTGCTATTTACTTGCATGGTACAATTGGTACCATGCAAGGTAATTCAGTTTATCTCCTCTAACGTCTTAAGGATCTCAGCTTTTGTTAAAGATTATACCTAGACAAGATTAGAGAGTGAATAATCAGGAGAGTTTGTTTTTTCAAACTGGTTACATTAAATTATAATTGTTGAGGGTGTAGATTATCTATTAGGAAATTGAGCAGTTGGGGAATGGTTTAGTAAAGTATGCGTCTGTTAGAATTTATAATTGTAAGTACTGTGGGAACCTACAGAAATGACTAGGACAAGGAAAAGAATACAAAAATGGTTTGTACACTGGTTACAGTCACATAAACATAGGCATTCAGGTGAAGAAGAATGGAGAAAACAGGTAAAAATAAAAATAAGTACTGTCTTTGTGATGTGGTTATTCATGATCCTTCCATATTGCTTTTGAATGACATATTTATCTAAGCAACTGTTGTAAGTTAAAGCTAAAACTGACTGTTCTTTGATCAATTTTGAATGTTTAGGATACAGCAGTTAAAACAGTTACTGGAGGATTCTACCTCAGGTGAAGATAGGAGCAGCTCCAGTTCCTCTGAAGGTAAAGAGAAACACAAGAAAAAGAAGAAGAAAGAAAAGCATAAGAAAAGGAAGAAAGAAAAGAAAAAGAAGAAAAAACGGAAGCACAAATCTTCCAAGTCAAATGAGGGTTCTGACTCAGAGTGACAAGGATGTGACTTGTTCAACATTCTCTTCTCAAACACTGACCAAGGAACAGAGGAAGATGCAGTCAGAGAAAGTAGCAGGATAGAGACGCCGAGAGAGGAGTATATGTGGGTCACAGCAGTGAGCTCCCACCCGCCTTGCAGTGAAGATGTGACCCCAGGAGAGGGAGTGTCTCCTTCCAGGTGCTAGCTCTGGACAGCAGCTGATTTTAGGCAGGAAAGTTTCTTCATCGTTGTCCTCCCTGCTGGTCACATGAGTTTACGATTCCTTAGAAGTGTCTCCCACAGGGTGGCAGGACTGGGAGAATCTCTGAGGCGTGTCTTCCAGGCCCTCCCACAGCTTGTGCCCTCCACAGTGTAGACTTGAACACTTGGCCTCATGTGATCCTTCCACCTTGGCCTCCCAAAGCATTGGGATTACAGGCGAGAGCCACTGGTTGGCTAAAATATTTATATTTACCTGACATGATTTGTTGATTTGGGGGCTAGGGAGTTCTTAAAACAACAATAAAAAATCTTCTGTGGCTGCATTCTACTTCACTTGCTTTCTACTGCCAGAGTCCCATGATTTTCACAGAGTGACTGACTCAGAAAAGGTTTAGGAATATAGGGGGATTTGTGTACTAGGTCAGGTATCCACATCCCAAAATCCATCCCTCCCTTTCTTCCTCTTCCTGTTGCCTGACCACAGCCCACCTGTGCTCTTGTAGCTGAAACTAGGCCACAGTAGAGGCATCTCAGGAGGCCAGGGTGTGTCTGCAGCTGGAGGAGAGGAAGTCTATCCTTTGCTGCGCCAAAGTGAAGCGGATCTTGCTCATAGGCAAGTGTGTCCCTCTGTGGCTAGCACTGGTCTCTTGCTGCTTTAGGCACTCAGTCAGGGTCCCAGAAACTCACTCCCATTTTCTGCCACTTTTCCTGGGGTTTGGATTCCCTCCTTTTTAAGGAACAGCCAAGCCAGGCCCAGACTGACCCTTCTTCAAGTCTCATCAGTCAATGCTCCTGTTCTTGGCCTCGGAATACCACCTCAGGAAAACAATCGGTTGAGATTGGAATGGCCAGGACTTAACTATTTCTGAAAACTGTAAGGCCAGTGGATTCAGCCTTGCCTTACACTTATCCTTGTCATGCAGAACACAGGCCATCTGTCCTCTGCCATATGCTCAGCATTTCTTACCCAGGTACAGCCGGTCCTCTTCTTCCAGGAATTGGCTACTGTCCCTCTGCAATCCCATTCATGATAAAAGCATTCTTATACAACACAAAAGATGCTGCATCAATGATTCTCAAACCTCCAAGACATCCAAATCAACTAGCATGCTTAAGATGCAGATTCCTGTGCTCGACTCACCAACTTCCAGAATTTTCCATTCCCTAGGTCTGAGGTGAACCTGGGAATCTGCCTTGCTAACAAATGATGCTGACACTGTTGATTTGGGGACCCCACTTGGAGAACCTGGGCTCTAGATCTCTACCCTCTTACTGAAGCCTTCTTCCACTTCCTGCTTTAACTGGAATCCAGCCGTCCACCCCTGTAGCCCTTGCAAAGTGAATCGTCCCTTTTCCCTCACTCTGTTTTTTTCTCCTCTGTTTCTAGCCTAGATTCCAAGGAACATCACTTTGGCCTGTCATCTCCCCTGATCTGTGATCCTTTTGTCCAGCTTTCCCCAAAGAAGCATCAATCAAAATCTTCCGCTTTGCTCCTATAGACAGACTACAGGGGAAAAATCCCAGAGCCCCTACAAATCCATCTCCAAACTCAAATGAGAACTGAGCTCAAAAAGCCCACTAGCAAACCAGAAGTGTGCTAGCCACCCACTTAAACTTTCTTTTTCAGACATCTCTTTCAGATATACATTTTCCATTACTATCCAGGGAGACAAAATAAGCCCTTAAACCTCCCTTCACTCAGACATCGTATGATGAATGTCAGACATCCTACTGATATGGTTTGGATGTTTGTCCGCTCCAAATCTCATGATGAAATGTAATCCCCAGTGTTGGAGATGAGGCCTGGTGGGAGGTGTCTGGATGATGGGGGCAGATCCCTCATGAATGGGTTAGTGCCATCCCCTTGGTGATGAGTCAGTTCACACCAGATCTGGTTGTTTAAGTGTGAGTGGCACCTCTCCCTCCCTCTTTTGCTCTGGCTGTTGCTGTCACCATGTGATATGCTGGCTCCTCATTGCCTTCCACCGTGACTGTAAACTTCTTGAGGCCTCACCGGAAAGATATTCCAGCACCACACTTCTCGTACTGTCTGCAGAACCTTGAGCCAGGCAGGTGTCTTTTCTTTATAAATTACCCAGGCTAAAATGGCATCATGATTTCTCCCACTAATCTTCAGACTGTTAATAGGATGCACTTTACTCCTGTGACTAGATTGTGTTACCAGTACAAGGAAAGGGAGACCACCTGGGTGTTCCTAACCAAATCATGAGAACCCTCTGGAACTCGATTTGTCCCTGGCTGTTAACCAAAGAGGAGGTCAGAGAGTCCAAGCCTGTGAAAGATTCCACGCATCATTACTGGTTTTAGAGTTGAAGGGGCCACATGGTGAGGGATGCAGCAAACTCTCATCAAAGGTTCCTGACTAACAGCCAGCAAGGAAATGGAGCTCTCAGTCCTACAGCTGAAAAGATCCGCATTCTGCCACCCTCAATGGTTCTGGATGCATATTCTTACCCAGAGCCTCCAGATGGAAGCCCACCTCTGCTGACATCTTCGGTTGGGGTTTGTGAGATGCAAGGTCGAGAACCCAGTTGAGCCTGCTCAGGCTTCTGACCTACACCACTGTGAGGTAATCAGTGGTGGTGGTTTTGAGCTTTTACATTTGTGAGAAAGTGTTAATGCAGCAACAAACTGATCCAGAGGTTTAATGAGCTTTCCCTCCTCCTCTCAGGCCAGTCCATCACCTATGCTCTGGATCCCACCAACAGCCAGCAGTAGGGGGCAGTGGCTGGAGCACTGGCCCTGCATCCAGACTGCCTGGCTTTGAATCCCAGCTTTGCTAGCTGTGGAGTTGCTCCACCTCTCTGTGCCTCCGTGTCCTTGACTAATCATGTCTACCAGACTTCTAGTGAGAATAAGGGGACTTGATATCCATAAAGCATTTAGAGCAGGGTGTGGCACATCTCAACTCTAAATGAATGTTACCTGCTCCTGCTGCTACTGCTGTCACCATCATCTAATCCTCAGGGAACTTCCTCCTCCTTTATCCCATGTCACTCACGTCTTCAAACTCTTCCTTTCTATTGTGATCTTGCCCCAGTATTTAAAAATTGTTTTGGCTCATGCCTGTAATCTCAACACTGGGAGGTCGAGGTAGGTGGATCACTTGAGGTCAAGAGTTTGAGACCAGCCTGGCCAACATGGTGAAACCCCATGTCTATCAAAAATACAAAAATTAGCTGGGCATGGTGATACACACCTGTAATCCCAGCTACTCGGGAGGCTGAGGCAGGAGAATCACTTGAACCTGGGAGGCGGAGGTTGCAGTGAGCAGAAATTATGCCACTGCACTCCAGCCTGGGCAACAGAGTGAGACCCTGCTCCCCAAACCCCACCAAAAAAAAAAAACAAAAAACAATTGTTTTAAAACTGTAAAATACATGCCCGTAAAGAGTTCACAATTCTGAGCCATTGGAGAACAAAAAGTGAAAAGGGAGTCTACTTATGATGCTTTGATACAGTGCTCCAGATCCTGATCAAAATGCATTAGCAAACACACACATGTAAATGCACGGTTTTTGGTTAGCTTTACATAACTGATAGACACTAGTAATACTGTTCTGTGACTTCATTTCACTCACCGTATGTTGGCAATTTTACTGCTCACTACAAGCTTCAAATGGCTACAAAATTCCTTGGTTTGAATGTGCCATGATTTGTTTAACCATTAATCTATTTATCAGAATGCAATTCTTTCCCATTTCTCATTCCTACAAAGAAGACTGAAAATAAAAATTTTTGAGTAAATATCTTTGGGGTTTTTTTTTTTTTTTTTTTTTTTTTGAGACAGAGTCTCGCTGTGTCACTCAGGCTGGAGGGCAGTGGCACGATCTCGGCTCACTGCAAGCTCCACCTCCCGGGTTCACGCCATTCTCCTGCCTCAGCCTCCCAAGTAGCTGGGACTATAGGCGCCCGCCACCACACCTGGCTAATTTTTTGTATTTCTAGTAGAGACGGAGTTTCACTCTGTTAGCCAGGATGGTCTCGATCTCCTGACCTCGTGATCCGCCCACCTTGGCCTCCCAAAGTGCTGGGATTACAGGCGTGAGCCACCGCACCTTGCCTTGAGTAAATATCTTAATGTATGTATGCAAGTATTTCAATAGAATAGTTACCTAATAATGGAATTACATATTTTAAGTTTGACAGATTCTACCAAATTACCCTCCAAAAGAGTCTACCAATTTATCCATTCTCTTACAGTATATAAAGTGGCCCATTTCCCTATCCAGCAGCATTTAAACAAGCTCAAGTCTCCCTTTAAAAGAAAAAAAAAAATCCGGAGGCCACGCACAGTGGCTCATGCCTGTAATCCCAGCACTTTTGTAGGCCAAGGCAGGAGGACCATTTGAGCCCAGAAGTTTGAGGTTACAGTGGGCTATGAGGGCACTGCTGCACTCCAGCCTGGGCAACAGAGTGAGACCCTGTCTCTGAAAAAAATAAAATCCTCCCTTGATCCCATGTCTCTATCTAGCACTTTTCTCTCCTTTACAGCCGTTTTGTCAACCTCGGACTCATTTATTTTAGGAACTGAATAATTCTAAGTGGTAGGGTTCGATTCTGTGCATTGTAGGGTATTGTGTGGCATCCCTGGCTTGTAACCACTTGATGCTACTAGTACATCCTCCAGTGGTAGCAACTAAAATTGTATTTGAATATGCACCTGCAAAAAAAAATTGGTCCCTTATCTTACACTATACACAAAAATCTGCTCAAAATGGTTTAAGGACTTAAACTAAAATCTGAAACTGTAAAACTCGTAGGAGAAAACAGGGAATAGACTACATTGGCCTTGGCAGTGGCTTCTTGGATATGACATTGAAGGCACAGGTAACAAAAGCACAAATAGACAAGTGGGATTGCATCAAGCTAAAAAGCTTCTGCACAGCAAAGGAAACATCAACAAAACAAAAAGGCAATACATGGAAAGGGAGAAAATGTTTGCAAACCATAAATCTAATCATGGGTTAATATCTACAAAATATAATAAACTCCTACAACTCAATAGCAAACAACCAGATGACCTGTTTATTATAACAATAGGCAAAGGGCCAGGAGTTAGAGGCTGCAGTGAGAGACATGATTGCACCACTGCACTCCAGCTGAGGCAACAGACCAAGACCCTGTCTCAAAAAATAAAATTTAAAAAATAGGCAAAGAGCCGGATGCGGTGCCTCACACCTGTAATCCCAGCACTTTGGGAGGCCGAGGTGGGTGGATCACCTGAGGTTAGGACTTTGAGATCAGCCTGATCATTATAGTGAAACCCTATCTCTACTAAGAGTACAAAAATTAGCCGGGTATGGTGGTGTGCGCCTTGTAGTCCCAGATGCTTAGGAGGCTGAGGCGGAAGAATTGCTTGAACCCAGGAGGCAGAGGTTGCAGTGAGCTGAGATTGTGCCACTGCACTCCAGCCCGGGTGACAGAGTGAGACTCTGTCTCAAAAAAAAAAAAAAAAAGCAAAAAACTGAATAGACATTGATTCCAAAGAAGAATGACCAGCAGGTATATGCAGAGGTGCTCAACAGCAGTAATCATTAGGCAAATGCAAATCAAAATAATAAGGAAATATCACCTCATACCTGTTAGAATGACTGTTTAAAAAAAAAACCCAGGCCGGGCACGGTGGCTCACGCCTGTAATCCTGGCACTTTGGGAGGCTGAGGCAGGCGGATCACGAGGTCAGAAGATCCAGACCATCCTGGCTGACACCATGAAACCCTGTCTCTACTAAAAATACATAAAATTAGCCAGGCGTGGTGGCGGGCACCTGTAGTCCCAGCTACTCAGGAGGCTGAGGCAGGAGAATGGTGTGAACCCAGGAGGCGGAGCTTGCAGTGAGCCGAGATGGCACCACTGCATTCCAGCCTGGGCGACAGAGCGAGACTAGGTCTCAAAAAAAAAGAAAAAAGAAGAAAACCCAAAAGATAACAAATGTTGGTTAGGACGTGAGGAAAGAGCCCTTAGACACTGTTGATGGGAAAGTAAAGTGGTGTGAGCACTGTAGAAAACAGTATAGAAGTTTCTCAACAAATTAAAACTAGAATTACCATATGATCCAGCAATCCCACTTCTGGGTATATATCAGAAGGAATTGAAATCAATCTTGAAGAGATTTGTACTCAGGTTCAGTGCAGCTTTATTCACAGTAGCACTGACATGCAAGCAAACTACACATCCATGATGAGTGAATGGAGAAAGAAAATGTGGTCTATCCATGTATAATGGAATATCCTTTACCTTAAAATAGAAGCAAATCTAGCCATTTATGACAACATGGATGAACCCAAAGGACATTATACAAAGTGAGATAAGCCAGACACGAAAGGCCAAATACCCCATGATACCACTTACAAGATGAATCTAAAATAGTCAACTATTTGAGGCCACAAGTTTTGACACCAGGCTGGGCAGTATAGCAAGAGCCCATCTCTACAATAAATAAAAAAATTGGCCAGCTCTGTTGGCACATTCCTGTAGTCCCTGTTACTGGCAAGAAAGCCCTAGGTGGGAATGGCTGAGGCCTTTGTTGTGATTGTCTCAGAGCCCAACTTCTCCCTCTGCCCAATCACATTCCCTTTGCCCTCTGAGATGTTATTCCCAAGAACACCAATGTGAATTTTCCCACAATCTCCGTCTCAGAGTCTTGTCCCCACACATGCAACCTGCCACAGGAGTCCAACAGCTTCCAAACATAACCAGACTTTTCATCTAGCCTCTAGGACAAAGGTCCAACTATGGGCAGAACTACAAAGCAGAAGTATCCACTGATTGGCCCCATTCTATTTTTGTGCTTCTTATCCACCTACTGTCAATTTTTTCCAACCTTCTAGAGTCCTGATGTCTTCCTACTGTAAAGACAGCCCCAGTCCATTGAAGTAACTACTAAGTACTACTAACAGAGTCAGTTTTTTCCACACTACTTGTACTGCTATTGTACAAGTGTTAAAAAGGCAATCAGATTCAATGTCTTCACACCAACACATTAAGGAAAATCCACTCCCTTTCATCTTGCCATGTAATCTAAGGAAGTAGGAATTGGATGGTTTTAATAGAAAGTGGAATGCCTTTCCAGATCCTACAACAGAAGCAAGGATGTTGGGTCACCTATAATCAGGAAGCCTTCACAAGAACCTCACTATGGTTTTCCTACTCCAACCTTCTGTGATTCTGGCCAACTCATTCCTAATCTCAGCCTCTGTACATCGTGTTCTGTTTGGTGTGGAATGCTGGTGGAAACAGGGACAAGGCCAGATGAGTCCTCTAAGGTTAAGACTACATGATTCATTCCGCAAGTACCTGGGTGTATACTCTGCACCAGGCTTCACACTAACTATTCCATGGGGATGCCACAGGGGCTACAATAACCACGGCCCTAAGGAACAGATGGAGTCTGGTTGAGGACAGAATTGAGGCCGTGAGTCTCCAGAGTCATGTCCTGAAATAGGTTATCAAAGTGTAATAACAGGTGCTATAGGATCATAGCAGGGTCACCTAATCTAGCCTTGGGTTAGAGAGGGTTTCCTGGAGTCTCTAAACCAAGTACTGAGGTAGGTACTACTTAGGCAAAAAGTGAGGCCTTCTCAGGAGAGCAGCTTTGGAAAAGCTCTTATCTTCTGCCTGCCTTTGGGATGTCATCTGGCAACGCTGTTATCACTTTTCACCATCTCCTCAAACCCTATTTTAAGGTGCTCGGTTAGGACAGTGAGTTATAGCGTAGCAGGGACGTCTTCATCACAGCTTAATTTAGAGGTGACATGCAGGGGACCCATCCATGTGCACCACCATCCTTTTCAGTCTACCACCCAGGGAGTTCTTGGAGGCACCTCTGTCCTCTCCCACATATACAACGCCATGAATCCAACAATAGCATGTTCTTTCAGATAACCTTGGTATACCCCTCAACCACACTACACCTTTTTGGCACCTAGTCACCAACTTAACCTCTAGTATTTATTGGAAGATGATTGTGTCAATTGACTTAAGTCCTAGGTTCTGAGTATAAAGAAGTTGTGTTTACGAAACAAACATTTCTTTGTTTCTAGAGTGTACAGTGGTTGAAAGGGAAGAACATATGATACTCCAAATCACTGCTGCCCACATCTGTCAGTGTTATTATCAGTGTTACGTGTCAGGTCTTTATTTGTAAAAATGAATAGGACATAGACCCCATCCCCAGGGCAGTTCCCATCTGTCTGCAGTTCATCCCTCGGCTTGATTTGACCCCATCATTTCCCCTTAGCTAAGCCTCCCTGGAGGTGAGGCAGAAGTACATATGGCAACATGCGTGATGGGTATTGATTTGGTATCAGTGATAGAGTCACTTTGGGCGAGAAGGTAAAATGGCTTAAGAATCACACAGACATGCAATTCCATTTACTATTTTAAAACTTCTAGTTGAGGCCGGGCGCAGTGACTCACACCTGTAATCCCAGCACTTTGGGAGGCCAAGGCAGGCAGATCACGAGGTCAGGAGGTCGAGACCAGCCTGGCCAACATAGTAAAACCCTGTCTCTACTAAAAATACAAAAATTAGCTGGGTGTGGTGGTGCACCCCTGTAGTCCCAGCTACTCAGGAGGCTGAGGCAGGAGAATTGCTTGAACCCGGGAGGTGGAGGTTGCAGTGAGCTGAGATCACACCACTGCACTCCAGCTTGGGTGAAAGAGTGAGACTTCGTCTCAAAAACAAACAAACTTCTAGTTGAAAAGGTTTTATATATCCCATTATTTAACTTGTTCACTGGTGTACCAGAGCTTTGTTAGTTGAAATGAAGAAAGATCTTCCTAACATGACATTGGCATTAGTAAAGTCTTCCTTCAGGTGGAACTCAGCAATTTGTTTCCTAGGAAATAACGGAAATCAAAACATTTTCTGAAATATCTCATGTAATAGATGCAAGATAAGTTATACAGAGAATTACTATCAATGTATCTTTAGTTTCCATTTTATAATGAAGCTAAAGGCCTTATCTTGACATTTTGCCTGAATTTAGTTAGTCTTTATGATCACTGCAGGGCAGAAACGGCCTCTGAGTCAAGGGACTGCTGTTTAACAGCCCAGCACAAGGGCTTGGAGGGTGGCAGGGATACTCAACACCAAGACTCTTTCGTGCCACTTGCTCTCTGACTGGATGAGCTAAGCTTCCAGTACTCACCTCTAAACTGGGACATTGTAATAGTGAAGTCACTGGGATAATTTACAAAATCCCATGTAATCCATGATAAGCAAGCTGGACACTTGCACAGGTGTGCCAATAGAAAAGGGCTAATTGAGGCCCAGGCATGTTCAACATGGAGGCTCCATCTTCCCTTTTCTTTGTCACCATGTGTGCAGTAAAGGAACAGGCAACATGGTGCCAGCCAGGTAGAAAATCCATCTGCATAATAAAAGATTAGGGTGGGGCAGCCAGCTTCTTTGTGTGCTATGCAAATAACACACCTGGTCAGATCAATCTTTCATGCCCTATGTAAATCAGACACCACCTCCTCAAGCTCATCTATAGAACCTTCTGCATTTCAGCCGGGCACGGTGGCTCACACCTGTAATCCCAACACTCTGGGAGGCCGAGGCGGGTGTATCACGAGGTCAGGAGTTGGAAACCGGCCTGGTCAACATGATGAAACCCCGTCTCTACTGAAAATACAAAAAATAGCTGGGCGTGGTGGCAGGCACCTGTAATCCCAGCTACTGGGGAGGCTGAGGCAGGAGAATCATTTGAATCCGGGAGGCAGAGGTTGCAGTGAGCTGAGATTGCACCATTGCACTCCAGCCTGAGCAACAGGGCAAGACTCCATCTCAAAAAACAAACAAACAAAAACACCTTCTGCATTTCATTGCAGAAGTAGCAACCCATTTTCTCCGGGACCCCTCTCTGTGCAGAGAGCTTTTTCTTTCGCCTGTTAAACTTCCAGTTTTTTTTTTTTTTTTTTGAGACGGAGTTTCGCTCTTGTTTCCCAGTCTAGAGAGCGATGGCACGATCTCGGCTCACCACAACCTCCACCTCACAGGTTCAAGTGATTCTCCTGCCTCAGCCTCCCCAGTAGCTGGGATTACAGGCATGTGCCACCAGTCCAGCTAATTTTTTTGTAATTTTAGTAGAAACAGGGTTTCTCCATGTTCATCAGGCTGGTCTCAAACTCTCGACCTGAGGTGATCCGCCGGCTTTGGCCTCCCAAAGTGCTGGGATTACAGGCGTGAGCCACCACTCCTGGCCTGTAAAACATTTTTTTAATGTAGATGTTCAACCAGGTAAAGCAATATATCCAATAGGTGTACTAAAGGAAACTTGTTCGGAGTGAGCAATCAGAACCAGAGCTTCAGGACATAAAAATCTCAATTTTAATAGAATTTCATGTTCAGCAATAGAACTGCATTATATGAGTGGCTTTCATATTAGTTTTCAAAGTTTCACATGAAAGATCCACCCATACATGGTGGAACTTTTAACAGTAACCTAAGGTCTAAGAATTATTCTACATCTCTGTACTGTCTTGGGGAACATTTGCTTTCACCCTTTTCGTGTGTATCAACATCAGATCCAAGATTCTTTTTTTTTTTTTTTTTGAGACAGAGTCTCGCTGTGTCACTCAGGCTGGAGTGCAGTGGTGTAACCGCAGCCCCGACCTCCCTGGGCTCAAGTGATCCTCCCACCTCAGCCTCCTGAGTAGCTGGGACCACAGGCATGCACCACCACACCCAGCTAACTTTTGTGTTTTTTTGTAGAGATAAGGTTTCACCATGTTGCCCAGGCTGGTCTTCAACTCGTGGGCTCAAGTCATCTGCCCAGCTCAGCCTCCCAATTACAGGCATGAGGCACAACATCCAGCCCAAAATCAGATCCAAGATTCTTTTTTTTTTTTTTTTTTTTTTTTGAGACGGAGTCTCCTTCTGTCGCCCAGGCTGGAGTGCAGTGGCGCGATCTCGGCTCACTGCAACCTCCATCTCCCGGGTTCACACCATTCTCCTGCCTCAGCCTCTGGAGTAGCTGGGACTGCAGGCGCCCGCCACCACGCCCGGGTAATATATATCCCAGCACTTTGGGAGGCCGAGGCGGGTGGATCACGAGGTCAGGAGATCGAGACCATCCTGGCTAACACGGTGAAACCCCGTCTCCGCTAAGAATACAAAAAATTCTTCGGGTGGGGTGGCGGGCGCCTGTAGTACCAGCTACTCCGGAGGCTGAGGCAGGAGAATGGCGTGAGCCCGGGAGGCGGAGCTTGCAGCGCGTCAAGATCGCGCCACTGCACTCCAGCCTAGGCGACAGAGCGAGACTCCGCCTCAAAAAAAAAAAAAAAAAAAAAAAAAAAAAAATTACCATCTCGCAGATAGAATGAACCTATCTGATACGAATGCCAGTTTTTCTATTTCAGAAAAGGGGATGCAAAAGTTTACCTCTACCCTGAGGGTTTTTAGCTGAGCCTGATAAATTGCCATAAATAAAAAAAGAGAAAAGCATACAAATTTATATGTTTTAAATGACACGGTGAGGTAGGAGGTGGGATTCCAAAGGCGAGGCTCAAAGAGGGGACCAGATTGAGGAAACTACTTTCCATAAGTCACGCCCACTAATGTGCCATGTGAGTTTACCATTGCCATGGCAACACCCAGAAGTTGCCACCCCTTTCCTGGTAACGACCCTACGACCGGGGTTGTTTTCCTAGAAACGTCTGCATTACTTTTCCTAGAAACTTGCGCATAATTCACCCCTTAATTTGCATATAATTACAAGCAGATGTGAACATGACTACAGACCTGCCTTTGAGCTGCTACTCTGGGCACACAGCCTGCTGGATAGCCCCACTCCACAAGGAGCAGTGCTTCTGCGGCTGTGCACCGCCGCTTCAATAAATGTTGCTGTCTAACACCGCCAGCTCACTTTTGAATTCTTTGCTGGGTGAAGCCAAGAAACTTCCTGGGTTAAGCCCCAATTTTGGGGCTCACCTGCCCTGAATCATTTAGAGCCCTCATAAGGAAATGAGCACCCAGAGAAGTGGCGAAATCTAAATGCTTTTATATTAAGTTGAATAACGAGAGGCAGTTGTAGAAAAGTGACTAAATTATGTGTGGATGCTACAATATATATATACATACATATATATACACATACATATATATACACATACATATATACATACATATATACACATACATATATACATACATATATACACATACATATATACATACATATATACACATATATACATACATATATACACATATATATACACACACATATATATACATATACACACACACACACACACACACACACACACACACACACATATATATATATATATATATATATTTGTTTTTTTTTTTTTTTTTTTCCGAGATGGAGTCTTGCTCTGTCACCCAGGCTGGAGTGCAGTGGCGCGATCTTGGCTCACTGCAACCTCCGACTCCCAGGTTGAAGCAATTCTCCTGCCTCAGCTTCTCGAGTAGCTGGGGTTACAGGCACCTGCCAAAACAATAATTATTTTAACAAGGTCATTTCCACTGAATTCTCTCAGCTATGATGTCCCATTGAAGAATGTTTCTTTTCTCCTCGTACAAGGAGGGCATCTTTCATGTGGGAGTTCTTATTTCCTGTTTTCGGGAAGAAAAGAGATCAGGGTGCCCTTCTTGCATCTGCTGTTTTTCAAGTAGCTCAAAATAATCCTTATACTAAAGTGGCATATTTTGGTGTGGCATATTCTGCCTCTCTTCACAGTAAATAACTTTTTTTTTTTTTCGAGATTAAGTCTCGCTCTGTTACCCAGGCTGGAGTGCAGTGGCACAATCACAACTCACTGCAGCCTTGACCTCCTGGGCTCCATGATCCTCCCACACCAGCCTCCCGAGTAGCTGGGACTGCAGGCACACAACACTATGCCTGGCTAATTTTTTGTGTCTTTTGTAGAGATGGTGCTTCACCATGTTGCCCAGGCTGGTCTCAAACTCAGGCAGTCCACCTGCCTTGGCCTCCCAAAGTGCTGAGATTACAGGTGTCAGCCACCTCACCCAGCCAATAACTTCCTTTGAAAAATAATTTTTTCCCCTTCCCAACCCCTCCCCTGAAAAATACTTTTCAGTGGCAATCACATCTTTGAATTATGAATGTATTACAATAAATGAAGTAAACTGTTGGTTGAGGACAGTTGTATTTATAGATCAGAAGTGCTGGCCGGATGTGGTGGTTCATACCTGTAATCCTAGCACTTTGGGAGGCCGAGGTGGGTGGATTGCCTTTACTCAGGAGTTTGAGACCAGCCTGGGCAACATGGTAAGAACCCCCTCCATCTCTACTAAAAATACAAAAAATTAGCCGGGCATGGTGGCGTGTGCCTGTGGTCCCAGCTTGGAAGGCTGAGGCAGGAGAAATCTCTTGAACTTGGGAGGCATAGGCTGCAGTGAGCTGAGATCACTGGCACTGCACTCCAGCCTGGGCGATGGAGTGAGACTCTGTCAAAAAAAAAAAAAAGTGCTGGGAAAGATTCTTGATATTCTCTTCATTTACTTGAGAAATAACTCACAGTTTCAGATTTTTATTTCTCTAGTTTTCACTGAATTTATATATCATTTTTTCATATTATTGTGACTACTTTTCTGTCACTGAAAAATGTGTGTATTCATATTTTGCTAGAATAAAGTTTCTATTATAATAATTGTATCTGAACTTTTTTTTTGAGACAGAGTCTCGCTCTGTTGCCCAGGCTGGAGTGCAGTGGCCGGATCTCGGCTCATTGCAAGCTCCACCTCCCAGTTTCACACCATTCTCCTGCCTCAGCCTCCCGAGTAGCTGGGAATACAGGCACCCGCCACCACGCCTGGCTAATTTTTTTTTGTATTTTTAGTAGAGATGGGGTTTCACCGTGTTAGCCAGGATGGTCTCGATCTCCTGACCTCGTGATCTGCCCGCCTCAGCCTCCCAAAGTGTTGGGATTACAGGTGTGAGCCACCACACCCAGCCTGTATCTGAACTTCTAATAATTAGGAGAGAAAATATGAAATTTGTGGATATTTGTAACGTGCAGATCCTTATCAGGGATTTCACACGTGACTGAAAAATTAGCAATAAATGGCAAGGGGAGGAAGCAAGTATATTAAAAACATAGCTGACCCTGTTTAAATTGCTATATTTATTTATTTCATCTAAGGACCATGATCTTCCAATGGCTGCAGGAAAGAAAAATAATTAGCAAAATAACAAATAGCCTTGTTTATAGTCTGGGCAAGATACTTTAAGTTTTAAAAATCTATTTATGCCTTGACTTTCAAATTATGTTTTAAGGTAAGACTAAGGTTCAGAACTTGATTATTCATCATAATATTGTATTATCACCATTTTATAGTTGAGGAAACAGGCACATAGATGTTAAGGAGCTTTTCCAAATTCTCTCTAACTATGAACACCAGGATTTCAATCAGATCTCTACAATTCTATGCTCAAGGCCAGAAAAATAATCACATCACAGCTGTAATTAAAATAGCCTGTGTTAGGAAGACATAGGAACTCAGTAAATAGTTGTTGCCTGAATGGTTAGATTTATAGATTATTGTTTGCAGATTACTGCCAACTACTAATAAGTTCAAACAAATGTGAAGTATCTTTGAATTTCATTAATATATTAGTTATCTATTATTTTTTAAGTTTTAATTTTTTTTGAGACATAGTCTTGCTCTGTTGCCCAGGCTGGAGTGCAGTGGGGTGATCTTGGCTCACTGCAACCTCTGCCTTCCAGGCTCAAGCCATCCTCCCACCTCAGCCTCCCAAGTAGTGGGGACCACAGGAGCACACTACCAAGCTGGTCTAATTTTTGTATTTTAGTAGAGATGAGGTTTCACCATGTTGGCGAGGCTGGTCTCAAACTCCTGGCCTCAAGTGATCTGCCCGCCTCGGTCTCCCAAAGTGCTGGGATTACAGATGTGAGCCAGTTATCTATCATTATGTGGCAGATTATCCCAAAATTTAGCAGGCGGCATGAGCCTATAGTCCCAGCTACTCAGGAAGCTGAGGTGGGCTCAACTCTGTTTGAGCCCAGGAGTTCAAGGCTGCAGTGAGCTATGATCATGTCACTGCACCCCAGCCTGGGTGACAAAGTGAGACCCTATCTCAAAACAAACAAAAACAGACATTTATTATCTAACATTGTCTAAGGGTTAGGAATTGAGGAGTGGATCACCTGGGTGCTTCTCGTGCAGGGTCTGTCACAAGGTGGTAGTCATCCCAAGGCTTGACTGCAGCCGGAGAATCAGCTTCCAAACTCGCTCAAGTTGTTGGTTGGCCTCGGTTCACCCTTGGCTGTTGACCAGAGATCTCGTCACTTGCACCTCTCCAAAGACTGTGTGAGTGTCCTCATGACATGGGGGCTAGCTTCCCCATGTACAAGTGATGAAAGAGAGGGAATGGGGATGGGTGGGTATAAAACACCCCAGAGAGAAAGACAGAGTGAGAATGAGAGCGAGAGCTAGAGAGGTGCGGGGGGAGAGAGAGAGAGAGAGAGAGAGAGAATGCTCCCAGGATGGAAGCTACAGTCTTTATAACCTAACATCAAAAGTGATACACCATCACGTCTGCCCTGTTCTATTGGTCACACATACCAAACTGGACAATGTGGAGAGGATTACACAAGGCTGAAAATACACTGGGGGGCATTCTTTTTTTTTGAGACAGAGTCTCCTGTCGCCCAGGCTAGAGTGCAATGCAACTCTCAGTTCACTGCAACCCCACCTCCCGGGTTCAAGTGATTCTTCTGTCTCAGCCTCCCAAGTAGCTGGGATTGCAGGCTCCCACCACCACACCCAGCTAATTTTTGTATTTTTAGTATTTTTAGTAGAGGCGGGATTTCACCATGTTGGCCAGGCTGGTCTTGAACTCCTGACCTCAAGTGATCCACCTGCCTCAGCCTCCCAAAGTGCTGGGATTACAGGCATGAGCCACCATGCCCGGCCTACCGAGGGCCATTTTTAAAGCTAACTACCACAACTAGCTTTAGAAATTTGAAAGGAGGTGTTCTAGAAGCAGCATAGACCCCAAAGCTGGCTTCTCAGTGATCATCCCACTTTCTAAATTGGGAACATGTGATCAGAAGAGAATAAACAATCAATATTTCACCATTATTACACAGCTAATTAAGAGTTGAACTAAGATCCACTTCTCCTAGGTCTTGTTCCAAAGGTCTTTCCTGTATACCGATTAATGACCCATGGGTTGTCAGATCATGGGCTTTATGAGAAGTATGGCATTTAGCTTGGAATGTAAAAACATTTACACAACCCAACTCAGGTATCAGCTGGGGTCATTCTATACTTTGAGATTTAAATAAAATTTAGCTCTTTCCCCCATTCTATACACATTGGGAGGCCCATCATCCCTTGTAAATATCTGTTTGGATACCTGGGACATGTTTCCTTTTAGATCCCTGATTTCAAGTTCCTGTTTCTGGCTGAGTCCTAGGTCTCCCTTACATGCTTCAATAAGGGTTTTCCCTTCTCATGCTCTGCACTGATAGACTTTGTCCCTTCTCTTTACCCTCTTGAACACAGAATCAAAGTTGTGCACCTAGCAGTTGAATCGTGGCCAGGAAGGCCAGTATTGGAGTGTATTTATATCACAGAATAGTACAGCAAACAATTTATTTTATTTTATTTTTTGAGGCAGAGTCTCACTATGTTACACAGGCGGGAGTGCAGTGGCGAGATCCTGACTCACCGCAACCTCTGTCTCCCGGGTTCAAGCGATTCTCGTGTCTGAGCCTCTGAGTAGCTGAGATTTAGGGCACCTACCACCACGCCCGGCTAATTTTTGTATTTTAAGTAGAGACAGAGTTTCCCCATGTTGGCTAGGCTAGTTTCAAACTCCTGACCTCAAGTGATCCGCCCACTTCAGCCTCCCAAAGTGCTGGGATTACAGGCTTGAACCTCCACGCCTGGCCAGCACACAATTTAAAAATGAATCTTAGAAATCCTCTTCTAAAAACTGCTTCCATCGTCTCCACCAGAAAGACATTTTCTCTTAGAATTCAGCCACACTGCTCTCTACCCTTTCTCTACCTGCTCAGCTAACTTTTTTTATTAGAACCTCAGAAATTCCTGTTCATTTCTCATGCAGAGCATGTCTCATCCAGCCTGTAGGCCCTCATCTTAAGAATAAATATGCCTGTTAAAACATTTTCCTGAAATAGAGGGTTTTCCCCTTGAAAAGACAAAATATGTGGCCAAGTATCAAAAATAGTACATTTGATCTCTGCCATTGTCACAGTAACAATTTTGCTAGATAACGTACTAAGGACATTCATGATTTTTAGAATGAGTATTTTCCCTTAAAGCTAGGAAGAATTAAGCCTTAAACAATGTAATACTTTGCCAAGTTACCTCATTTTAACTTCGTAAAAGACCCAGGAAGTAGGTACTATTATTATTTTCATTCTATAGACCTGAAAACTGAGGTTTGGGTAAGTCAGGTAACTTGCCTCAGGTCACGGGTCTAGTAATTGGCAAAGCCAGGCTTCTGTCCAGTGCTGTTTTGTTTTGTTTTAAACTTTTTTTTTTTTTGCTAAGATATTACAGGGGCAGGAAAACTCCACCTTCACCCTCTTAGGGTCCTGGCTAGGCCTGAGAATTAAATTGACATAAGATAGATTAACAGGAGAAGAGCATTCAAAGTGACTTTACAAGGTTTATATGACGCAGGAACCCTTATAAAGAAATGAAGACCCCAAGAAGCAGTTAGAGTACGTTACTTCCATTCTGGATTAGACAAAGAATGTAAATAGTAAACTGTGAAAATGTGACGAAATTACATGGGGGAGCTAAAAGATAAGTTATTCTTGGTCAGGCATGATAGCTTATGCCTGTAATTCCAGCATTTTGGGAGGCTGAGGCCAGTGGATTGCTTGAGCTCAGGAGTTTGAGATCAGCCTGGGCAATGTGGCGAAACCCCGTCTCCACAAAAAATACAAAAAATTAGCCAGGTGTGGTGGTGTGCCTGTAGTCTCAGCTACTCGGGAGGCTGAGGTAGGAGGATGGCTTGAGCCTGAGAAGTCAAGGGGGCAGTGAGCCAAGATGATGCCACTGCACCCCAGCCTGGGCAACAGAGTGAGACCCTGCCTCAAAAAAAAAAAGTAAGAGTTATTCTAGCAAAGTCTGTACAGTATTCTCTCAGTTTCAACATTGTATTCTCTCAGTTTCAGCATCTCATTGTTGAAGATAAGGTTATTGCCTTTCCTTCTAGAACACGGAGAGTATCTTTCACAAGGGAATTTCATCTTCTGCTTTTAAGAACTAGCACAGGCTGGGCGCGGTGGCTCACTCCTGTAATCCCAGCACATAGGGAGGCTGAGGCAGGTAGATCACAAGGTCAGGAGTTTGAGACCAGCCTGGCCAATATGGTGAAACCCTGTCTCTACTAAAAATACGAACATTAGCCAGACATGGTGGCGGGCACTTGTCATCCCAGCTACTTGGGAAGCTGAGGCAGGAGAAGCACTTGAACCTGGGAAGTGGAGGTTGCAGTGAGCCGAGATCGTGCTATTGCACTCCAGCTTGGGCGACAGAGAAAGGCTCCGTCTCAAAATAAATAAATAAATAAACAAATAAAAGAAACAGCACAAAGTTCAAAGTGATCTTTTGCACCTGCTGTTTTTCAACTGTCTTTAACTTAGTCAACTATTTAACCCCTTCAATATACATAAAATTTATCATTTTAATCATTTTAAGTGTACAATTCAGTGACATTCGGTATGTTTACTACAATGTTGTATAGCCATCACCACTATCCTTTTCCAGAACTTTTTCATCATCCCAAACAGAAACTCGGTACCTGTTAAACCCCCGGTAACCTCTATTCTACTTTCTGTCTCTCTAAATTTGACTATTCTAGGTACCACATACATATAAATGTAATCATAATATTTGTCCTTGTGTGCCTGGCTTATTTCACTTAGCGTAGTGTTTCACGGTTCATCAGTGTTTTAACATGTATCAGAATTTCATTTGTTAATTTTTGTTTGTTTGTTTTTGAGCCAGGTGGAGTGGCACCTGCACTTGTAGTCCCAGCTACTTGGGAGATTGAGGCAGGAGGATCATTTAAGACTAGGAGTTCAAGGCTGTGGTGTGTTATCATTGTGCCTGCGAATAGCCACTGTACTCCAGCCTGGGCAGCATAGCAAAACCCCATCTCTAAAAAAACAAGCTATATATATATAGATAGATATAGATATATATACACACACACATATATAGTAGAGGCAAAACTTTACCTCTACTCTCTTAGGGTCTCTGGCTGAGACTGAGAATTAAATTGACATAAGATAGATTTAACAGGAGAAAAGCCTATATATTTTTACAGGCACATGGGAGCCTCCACAGGAAAATGAAGACCCAAAGAAGTGGCAAAATCTAAGTGGTCATATATTAGGCTGAACAAAGACAATTTTGGAAAAGTAACTAAAACAGATAGGGAGACTGAAGGAAGATAAGAGGTACTTTAACAAGGTCTGTTTTTATAGAATATACTTAGCCTGGACTCCCCGTCTCTGCTGATAAGAATGTTTTCTGCAGGCCAGGTGCGGTGCTTCATGCCTGTAATCCCAGCACTTTGGAAGGCCAAGACAGGCGGATCACCTGAGGTCAGGAGTTTGAGACCAGCCTGACCAACATGGAGAAACTCCATCTCTACTAAAAACACAAAATTAGCCGGGCGTGGTGGTGCATGCCTGTAATCCCAGCTACTCGGGAGAATGAGGCAGGAGGATCGCTTGAACCCGAGAGGCAGAGGTTGCGGTGAGCCAAGATTGCACCATTGCACTCCAGCCTGGGCAACAGGAGTGAAACTGTGTCACACACACACACACACACAAAATTTTTCTGCATCTGTTAAACAACATCTCCTCATTCTCCTCTCCCACCATTCCCTGGCAAGCACTATTCTACTTTTTTGTGGCTGTGAATTTGATTACTCTGCGTACCTTATAAGTGCCTTATACAATGTGTACCTTATACAATGTTTGTCTTTTTGTGTTCCACTTATTTGACTCAGAATAATGTATTCACGGTTCAGGTTATAGCATATCATAATTTTCTCCTTTTAAAAGGCTAATATTCCATTCCATTGGAGTAATGTTCCAATTTATATACATTTTGCTTATCCATTCATCCACTGACAGACATTTGCTTCTACCTTTTGGCTATTGTGAATAATGCTTCTATGAACATTGGTGTACAAATGTCTACTCAAATTGCTGCTTTCAATTCTTTTGGGTATCTACCTGTGAAAATTGATCATACGAATTGGGTCATTCTTGTCATATTCAATTAAAACAGAGTTGAGAGACCAGGGAAAAAAAGCCCTTAGGGCACAAAACATTGCTCTAAGAATGTAATTCTCTGTAAGCTGGCTGCTGAAACTGCCTGAAACCAGTTTTATCTAATAGCTACTAAAACAGCCTGCTGCAATTCTGCGACTAATTTTACCCACCGCTGTCTCTCACTACTCAGAACTTGCCAGCTCCTCAAAACTTTACTAGTGCCAATGCACTTTCTTTCAAAAGAATACGTAATATTTCTCCTTTTTATAAAACCTCCAGCCTTCTCTTTCTTCTTTGGACGTAGCAAAAACCACTTGGTCTGTACATATGCCCTGAATTGCAATCCTTGCTTCCTACATAAAATGTTTTAAATTTAGAGATTTGTCTCTATTTTTTTAGGTCAACATACCTAGAAATGGAATTATTGGATAATATGGTAATTCTATGTTTAACATGTGAAAAAGAATATGATATTAAAAACTGTTTTTAATAAATGCTTACTATGTGCTACGCACTTTGTTACACTGTCTTGAATCCTCATTCCTTCTTTTTTTTTTTTTTTTTTGAGATGGAGTCTCCCTCTGTTGCCCAGGCTGGAGTGCAGTAGCACGATCTCTGCTCACTACAACCTCCACCTCCCAGATTCAAGTGATTCTCCTGCCTCAGCCTCCCAAGTAGGTGGGCTTACAGGCACCTGCCACCACGCCCACCTAATTTTTTTTGTATTTTTAGTAGAGATGGCATTTCACCATGTTGGCCAGGCTGGTCTCGAACTCCTGACCTCAAGTGATCTGCTGACCTCTGCCTCCCAAAGTGCTGGGGTTACAGGCATGAGCTACCTGCACCCGGTCCTCATTCATTCAGCATAATATGACCAGGTTCAGATAGGTTAAATAACTTGCCAGAATCATACAGCTACTGAATGGCAGATTGAGGATAAAACTCAGTTTGGTGCTTATACACTTCCATTTCCTATGTGGGTCTCATGGTTTGATTGTCTTTGTGGGAAACATGGTTGGTGGTCTCATCTACTTCTTCCTTGCTGAGAGAACGAAGATGTTGTCCAGATTGAAGGAAAAAAAAAAAGGAATGTGCTCAGAGAAAGGGGAACTCTTTCCTCTCTCTCTCCCAACTAATGACTGGAGACCATAACAACAATCTCATTATCCTGGCCAAGAAGACATCAGGGGTACTCTGTTCGGGATTCTGAGACATATTTTTCCTACCTGATTAGAAGAGAGAAGGGAGAAGAAAAATCACCCCCTTTTCCTTTCTGCTCATACTACTTAAACTATATTGCTGAGATAATATGGCAGTTCCTAAGATTTGAAGTGATGCTGGGAAGCAATTTGGTAGGAGGACAGAAGTCAGTAAAGCAGAGTGGTTAAGATCATAGACTCTGGGTGGGGCATAGAGGCTCACATCTGTAATTCCAGCATTATGGGAGGCTGAGGCCAGAGGGTTGCTTGAGGCCAGGGGTTCGAGACCAGCATGGGCAATGTAGCAAGATCCTATCTCTACAAAAAATTTTTAAAAATTACCTGGGTGTGGTGGCACATGCCTGTAGTCCCAGCCAATTGGGGGGCGGAGGTGGGAGGATCACTTGAGCCTGGGAGTTCGAGGCTGCAGTGAGCTGCGATCACACCACTGCACTCCAGCCTGGGCGACAGAGTGAGACCCTGTCTCAGAAAAAGAAAATGCAGACTGGGCAACATGGCGAGACCCCTCTACACAAAAAATACAAAAATTAGCTAGGCGTGGTGGTCATTCTACTGCCTCAGCCTCCCGAGTAGCTGGGATTACAAGTGCCGACCACCACGGCCAGCTAATTTTTGTATTTTTAGTAGAGATGGGGTTTCACCATGTTGGCCAGGCTGGTCTCAAACTCCTGACATCAGGTGATCCCCCCGCCTCGGCCTCCCAAAGTGCTGGGATTACAGGCGTGAACCACCTGTGCCCGGCTGCATGTTTATTTTTCTAGGAATCATTACTATCTTCTTTCTGTTCTAGAATCATAACAATGTTTAAAGTACAGTTTTAGGATGATACTTTTTGTGGCCATCAGTTGAAAGGAAAGATGACTTATTAATAATTAAAAGGAAAGATGCCTTGTTAATGGAAAAGGGTTGCATGAAATAATGTTTTGGATACAGATCACAAGAGAGATGCTGTACATTCCAAAAGAGTTTGTGTAACTGCTAGAAGATACTGATGTATGACTCCCTAAAATGGACACTGGAACTTGCTGTGATCACTCAGAGCCTTCTAAGCTCAGAGACAAGATCTCTAAGGGAATTAAGATGGTGTTTTAGGCGGAACATCAAATTAACGATGCCAAGAACCTACAGTTATTCTAAGATGGCAGCTGCAAAAGGAAAGCTGAACGGGAGTCACCCTCCCCTGACTGCACCAGTCCCTTCTTCCTCATTGTTCCAGTCCCCTGTGAGACTTTGTTTAAGGGGATGGGAACCTTGAGATAAGGGATGGCAAACAACTACAACTATTTGAGTATAAATGTTCAACCTGTTCTTTTCCCAGTTAAGATAACACACCAAAGCGATTGGCCTTTTTTGAAACCTAGGAACATCAATCCATCCTAACAGCTCTCAGGGTTTTAAGTGTTAAAGAAGGATGCTTTAAATATTAACTAACTAGCCGACTGCTATTTGTCTGACTTGTCTGACCCAATATCCATTCCCAGTGTTTTTCTCTTTTGTAATCTTTATAGGTGGCCAAATTACAATTCTAGACAATGAGATGTTTGTGGAAGTCTGCTGAGTTTGGGAGATGTAGTATCCTGAGAAAGCTTTCACTTTCCTGAAGAAAAAAAAGACCATGGATGGTGGAAGCCACCCCCTTTCCCCTCTTCTTGCCTTGAACAAAGGTGCGAAGGCTAAAACTGCTGCAGCCATATTGCAACCATGAAGTCAATGTCGAGAGAATCACAGAAATGATGGCCCTGCTGTTCTTGAGCTATTGAACCAACAAAGGTAACTGCCTACCTGTAGATTTGAGGTCTTGTTTAAGCTATTATAATGGAATCTTTTCGAAAAAAATGTGGGCCCAAATGCATTCCTAACTGTACAGCCATTAAAAGGACAACTTTAGTCCTCTCTTTCATCCTCACAATTCATTACTCCTCTTATAGTCACTGATAACACCATCTAATCACCCTAACTAAAAAACTCAGTTATCCTTGATTTCTTATTTCCCCTCATCCTCTAGGTAATCAAGTCTTATTTATCATAGCTGGCTAGTTTTCAAATGTATCTCTGCTTCTCCATTCTCACTGACACTGTTAGTTTGGACTTTCTCTCCAACTCATGTCTGGACTGCATTAACAGCGTCCTAACTAGTATCCCTGCTTCCAGTCTGCTATCTATCATGCTTTAGAATTTTTTCTCTAAAATCTTATCAAGATATTCTCCTGCTTAAAAATCTTAAGTGGCTTTTTGTTGCCCACAGGATGAATCACGAACTCCTTGCCGCAGGTATCATTTGTTGTTGTTGTCTGCATGTTTAGACCGCATCTCTCATACCCAATCTGGCACAAAGTAGGTGCTCAAGTGTGTGTTAAATGACTTTAATCTTTTGTATAGCTTGTTTGATATCATACCACTTAACTACTTAATTAGACTAAGTACAGTGGTAGCATGCTGGAAACTCAATGAAGATTTGTTGAATGTAGTTTCCAGATTCTACAGTAAAACAATCCTTTATCAGTAGTTCCTGATAACACGCATCTTGGTGTGCATTCAGTTGATCTAGCCTAGTTTACAGGAAGAGGCTCCCTTCAGTAATGTACTGTATGGCCTTTCAGATTATAATTAGTCATCTATATTCTCTAGATTGGGCTTGTGCCAAGACTGTAAGTTAGGAAGGTAGGTGGAGTCTGTGTGGGCATTTCTGACAATTTTTTGATCCACGAATAGCTCCTAGCAAATTTACAGCCTGCCTGCCAGCAAGCTGTGCCAAGTTAACTAAAACAGTACGGGCCACAGCCATTAGCTGCTGCTACAAACGCTTCGCTTTGCGAAGCAACGCTGAAGGCGCTCTTTTGGAACTCGGGGGGTTGGGGGCGTGCAGCCGCCGCATTGCAGCACACAACGGAAGGCTTCAGACGCTGGAGCTGCCGTCCGCACCCAGATGTCTCTCTCTCCCTTTTCCCCTAACCTCCCCCAACTGCGGGCCCTTTTGGGTGCTGCTCTGACTTCTTCCTTGGCCTTGGGAAAAGCCGAAGCGGCTCTGGAGAGAGGAGGGCATGGTTTGGAGAAGAGGTGCTGCGGCAACAAAGCGACCCGCCCAACGCCTCCTCAACTTTCTCCTGCCCCCGGTCTGGTATTGTTTAGTCCTACTCATTCCCACTTTCCGAGCCAGCCTGCAAAAATCTGTATTTCAGGGGAAATTCCAAGGGATAAAACACCTCCTTCAGCATAACAATTGGTGTTTTGCTCTCTAGATTTCCTAGCAATGAACTTGTCGGGCCTCTCCATCCGCCCGTCTAGGCCCAAGGCCTCGGCCGCCGCGGCTACTCGGAGTGCCCCTCTGCCGCGCACGCGCCCCTCAAGGGCTCTCCCATGACCTTTCCCGGGAACCCCCTTCAATTACGCTTCCCGTCACCTCGCGCCGCCCCCGCCCTTCCTGCTCTTTCCGTTTCCTCTTTCGCGCCTGCGCGGCCCCAATTGTTTTGGCTTTCCGGTGGCATCCGGCAGAGGAAAAGGGCGGGGGCAGCTAGAGTAAGGGAGGGGCGGGGGACGGTCGCGAGGACCCGGGAAACTGCAAAACTGCCGCTGGTGCCGACAGGCGCGCGCGCGCGCGAGGCGGGAGGGCGGCGTGGCGAGGGCGGGCGCGGCAGGCTGGCCAGCGGTCCATTGCGCGCGCGTTCCCGGGCCGCGGGCGGGGGCGAGAGCGCGCGGCGGGGGCGGGGGCGGGGGCGGCGGGGGCGGCGGGCCCGGCGTCTCGCGGCCCCGGACTGACAAGGCGGCGCGGGCGGGCGGGCGGCGCGGCTCCCGGGGGAGGAGTCTGGCGGTGGTCGGGCCCTGAGGAGCGTGCGGCGGCGCCCGCAGAGGACGCTGCTTTCCGCGCTGGACGGACCAAGCGAGGGAGGGTGCGAGGGGAAACCGGAAGGAAGAGGCGGCGGCGCCAGCCTTCCTCGGCCGGAGGCGGAGGCGAGACCCCAGGCGAGGCCGCGGCGGGAGGGCCACGCCCCCGCCGCCGCGCCGGAGGGGCCCAGTGTGGACGGGGCCACCGGCTGGAGCGGATCCCACACCTCCGGACCGAGGGACGCGGGTGAGCAGGCGACAGTAGCGCCGGGCAGGCTGGGAGCCCGCGGCGACCTGTGGAGGGGCCGGGGAGGAGGGCTGTGGCGGGAGGGGGCTCGGCCCTTTGTGGCTCGGCGGGTGGGAGGCGGCGGCCGCGGCATCTTTCAAACCCGAGACGCTTCCGCCGCGGGCGGGGGAGGGGCGCGGGCGGCCGGCGCCGCCCTCCGCACCCCGCGGCGGCCCCAGGGCGGCGGAGCTCCGGGCAGGTCCGCGGGGAAGGGGCGGCCCGGTACGCCGCTAGCTGGGCGTTTCCGGCCCCGGCACCGGGCGCCTCGGCGCCCGCGGGGCTCCCGGGCGGCGCCTTGGCCTCGGCTCGCGCCCGCCCTTACCGAAGTAAAGCTGTTTCCCTTAAAGACTCGCGACGTGTTCGCGACATGGTGGGCCGAAGGAGGACACCCCCTTCCTTCTGTATTCCCCCCGCGTACATCTGAACTAACCAAGAGAGGTCTAGACGAACAGAGCTCCTGTTATGGTCTATATCGACTTAAAAAAGAAAGCAGAAACTGCCCTTTGAAACGGAAAATTGTGTACGTGTTTACTTTGTGAAATCTTTAACTTCCTTGAATTCGACCACCTCCTTCTCCCTACGGATTGAACAACCGGGGAATAGAAAAATCGCTTAGTTTGGTGTGGGGCGGTTATTTTGAGTTAACATCTTTTTTTCCCTTGGGCTTAGCTATCTAAGAACTCTACCTGCCTCAAAAGGTAGAGGAGCGTCCATCCCACGGGCTACCACGGTGACCCCTTCCAGTGAAAATAGGAAAAGAATTCAAAATACAAAATGAACTTTAAAAGGGTGTGTGTGTGAACTATCTTCTGTGTCAATTAGCCTTATGAAGACGTAGGCAACAGGACTGGTCACGTGTTGTTTATACTTGAATCTGTACGTCGGGCTCACAGCATTTAGGCATTGAGAAACGAAACCCTATCAACGCTGTGCACTGACCAAAATGATATTTTCTTTTATCGAGGCAACTAATTAACAGGGATCTTCCCCCTCTTCCCTCTGAGTTGTACATTTTTGCCGAATTTGAGTAGTATGGGTCTTAGATCTCTTGTAATTGTGAATGACTTAGTTTGGTTAACCTTTGATAAGGACTTTTTTCCCCGACTTTTTTTTCTGATCTAAAGTAAATTGAAAAGCCAGTCGGTTGTTTTCTAATCTCGATGATGTGGAATTTTGCTATTCTTTCCATCTGGCTGATAACTAATGTTAAGCTTACTTCTTCACTTTGATCTTCTGTTGGCTTAGTGCTTATTGAAGCCCTTTTAGGTTGGGGCCTGGAATCCTCAAGAGGTTGTTTTCTGTCAGTAACTCGGGAGTGCTGTGGCCTTTCTGTTGAGCATGCTCTGTAGTCCACACGTTTCCACATAGTGGTGTTTTCTTTGCACAGTTTTGTAGGAAGACTTTATGAGTGCTGTAACTCTACTCCCCTTTTTGCTCTCATAAGAAGCATTATAAAATGTTAACTTATGTTATTCACAGGGCATGTAAGGAGATGGGAAGGAATAGAGGTATCAGTACATATGTCCATGCTCCTCCATAGATTTTCTTCTGGTTGGTAGAAATGTTGAGCTTTTCATTCCTAAACATTGAACATTGAATGTGCAAGGTGAATTCCTAGAAACTTGAATGCAGTCTTAAAAGCCAAATGATAACATTGGTTTTTCCAAAAATGTTACACATTTAGAAAAGAGTCCCCCTTCCCCTCTTCTCTTTGCCCACATTCCTAAGACAAGTAAGGCCAGGAAAAAGGATTGATCCTGGTGTCATAAAATATGAGTGAAAATTTCAAAGTCCTTTGTTAGCTTAATCTTTTCAGTTTTGTAGAGTTTGAATAGACCAACTGATACTTAAATAACTCAGTATTAGAAATGACAGGTTGATCTCAAGTAATTTTTTTTTGAGACAGAGTCTCTTGTCACTCAGGCTGGTGTGCAGTGTCACGATCTCGGCTCACTGCAACCTCCGCCTTCAGGGTTCAAGTGATTCTCCTGCTTCAGCCTCCTGAGTAGCTGGGATTACAGGCGCGCCCCACCAGGCCTGGCTAATTTTTGTATTTTTAGTAGAGATGAGGGTTCACCATGTTGGTCAGGCTGGTCTCGAGCTCCTGACCTCGTGATCCCCTCACCTCGGCCTTCCAAAGTGCTGGGATTACAGGCGTGAGCTACCGCAGACGGCCGATCTCAAGTAATTTTTTTTTTTTTTTTAAGAGACGGAGTCTCGCTGTGTCGCCCAGGCTGGAGTGCGGTGGCGCGATCTTGGCTCACTGCAAGCTCCGCCTCCCGGGTTCACGCCATTCTCCTGCCTCAGCTTCCTGAGTAGCCCACGCTGGGCTAATTTTTGTATTTTTAGTAGAGATGGGGTTTCACCGTGTTAGCCAGGATGGTCTCGATCTCCTGACCTGGTGATCTGCCCGCCTCGGCCTCCCAAAGTGCTGGGATTTACTGGTGTGAGCCATTGCGCCTGGCCACTTTTCCCCAGCTTTCTTAAGTCACTGCGCAGAGGTGAGAGGAAAAAGGAAAAGTGATACCCAAAATAAAAGGACATAGTATACTCATATGATTATTGTATCGCAGGTGGCATTGCCTTTATGTTCTTGTTTAATTTTTTAAAACTGAGATAACTTGTTAATCATAATATAGTACAGCTTGTACTTGTGACCTGAATTTACTTAGGGTGCTGAGCGTAATTAACCTGATGGAGCCATGTCATCTATCAGTATGGTTGGAAAGAGAGAACAGACCTAAGCTCTGAATGTGACTAGAGCAGAGGAAGCTATGCTGAAATTTTTTTTTTTTTTTTTTTGGGACGGAGTCTCGCTGTGTCGCCCAGGCTGGAGTGCAGTGATGCGATCTCGGCTCACTGCAAGTATGCTGAAATTTTTAAAACTTGATAGATTCTTCAAAAGGCCAGGTGTTTGTTTTTTTGGTTTTTTTGTTTTTTTTTGGTTTGTTTTTTAATTGATGCCTGTCACAACTCCAGAAAATTCTGTTTGTGTAGCAGTTGACAATCTAAAAAACAAATGGTCTTTTCCAGACATTCTCAACTGTCGTGGTTGTTTTGATAACTTGAAAGCAAACTGTTTCTAGCACCCATCTCTTGTCCTTCCTAAGGAGAAAACTATCTCATTGAAATAAAGAAAGGCTTGTTTTATGACTGGTGCCTTTCTGGACTCTCATTTAGTTTTTTACACTGACATCAGCCTCCTCAAGATTGGTCGTCTTTTAAGCACTAGTTTGTTTCATTATTTGTACCATCAAAATATGTGAGAAAAGGAAAAAAAAAGGAAAAATTATCTTAATATTTTAGAACACTGAATTCAGATTTCAAGTGTCAAATGTTTGCAAAAAAGTCCCAATATTCTCTGAAAACATTGGATTTCTCTTATGTAAAATACCATTTAGACAGAATGAAAAAAGAGAACTGTATTTGGAGTGCTGAGACCTTGAAATTGGAATCTTCGGACCTGGTGAAGGTGTGGAATCCAGGAGTTGGGAAAGTGCTGCAAAAGCTTCACCAGTGGGTGGGTTAATAAAAATAATTTCGAATATCTGTGTAGTGCTGTGTGTCAGGTACTGAACCAAGTATGAAATGTAATCCTAGAACAATTCATTGAGAAGAGAGTTGTACTTTTAACTACATTTTATAGATGAGCAAACTGAGGCATAGAGAATAAATAACTTAAAAAGGGCCACACAGCTATTAAGTTGCAGAACTGGGGCTTTAACCCAAGTAGTTTGGGTTTGTACTCAATTATTTTTCAACGGTTGACCTCCATGGAGAACGCCTTGGATCTTTTCCAACAAAAATTTTTAATCTTCTCTATTGACATTTGTAGCATTGGGAGATGCAGCACTCCCTAAGTTAGTAATGTACAATTTGAATGTGCTTCCTACAGGTGAATGATTTATAGCCGCACTGCCCCTCCTGGAGGGAGACCTATCATTCCTTCATTCCTACTATATAATTTATTTTATTTTTAGTTGGCAAATAATTGTATGTATTTGTGGGCTACAATGTGATGTTTCAATCTATGTACACATTGAGGAATGATTAAATCAGGCTATTTACATCTGTCACCTCATGTACTTATTTTTTTTGTGGTGAGAACATTTAGAATCTTTAGCAGTTTTGAAATACACAGTATATTATTGTTAACTGCGATCATCAACATGCTGTGTAACAGATCAGTAACACTTATTCCTCCTGTCCAATGGAAACTTTGTACCTACTACTGTGCTTATTGTAGCAGGCCTTGCTAGCAGCCTCCTTCCCATCTTTTTATCCTTTCTTCCTTTTTCATCCACAGCTCAGTTAATTGCTGATTGGTTTCTTTATCACATTCAATAGTTCTTTAATCCTTTATTCGTTCCTCAGTCTCTATATTCTGCCTGGTTAACATTGGAAAAGCTTGCTTTGCTTCTATTTGTGTTTCCAGGCTACTCAGTGGGAGGATGCTACAAAGTACACACCTCTAGGAATGAAAACTTGATTTCAAAGTGAAATTAGACATCTATCCCCCCTCATTGCCTCCCCCCAAAAAGCCAAAACACTGCCATCAACCTCTGACATCTTTAAAAGTATTTGGGATTTTTTAAAAATTTCAACATTTCATACTTTTAATCTTGGTTCCTTATCCTTTAATGTTAATAATCAGAATCTGTAAAACAATTTCATGGTCACTTATCTCTTTATGAGTATTAAAGTAGTATTTACTTTGTAAATTTTCTTTGCTGATAGACTTTCAGGCATGTTTTGCTGCTTATAGTGAGAAGTTAAACACCTTTTTAATACTGTTATTTTATAGGAAAGTTAAGTGAGGAATTCAGACAACCAACTTAAATTTGTTGCATAGAAACACAGTTGTCTCTTGGTTTCAGTGGGAGATTAGTTCCTAGGTCCCCTTGGGATATGAAAATCCAAGGACACTCAGGTCTCTGATAAAATGCCGTAGTATTTTCGATAACCTGTGCATATCCTCCCAATACTTTAAGTCATCTCTAGAAATAATATTTTGTGGGAAGAGTTTCAGATTTTTAAGTAGAATTGTATATGTTACTGTCGATTGCTAACTGATTTAATCCTGACAATCATTTAGTAACAATGTTTCAAAACTTTTATGTGTTGGAATTCACTCAGAACCTCGGAGACTTGGGCATCCTAGAGAAAATGTATTAGAAGCATTTGTTTTCAATCAGTTTATAAATTTTTGACTTCTGTAGGTAGTCTTCGGATTTAAAAATAAATAGGACTTTGTCCTGTAATAATTCGTAGAAAGTCAGTGGGTAGAGGCCGGACGTGGTGGCTCATGCCTGTAATCCTAGCACTTTGGGAGGCCGAGGCAGGCAGATCACCTGAGGTCAAGAGTTTGAGACCAACTTGGCCAACGTGGTGAAACCCCATCTCTACTAAAAATGTGAAAAATTAGCCGGACATGGTGGTGCGTGCCTGTAATCCCAGCTATTTAGGAGGCTGAGGCAGGAGAATTGCTTGAACCCGGGTGGTGGAGGTGGCAGTGAGCCTAGATCACACCATTGCACTCCAGCCTGGGCGACAGAGCGAGACTCTGTCTTTAAAAAAAAAAAAAAAAGTGTGTAGACAGTGGAGGAGAGGATTTCATCCTGTGTATAACATTTTAACCTTATCTTTGCCATTCTCTGCGATCAAGCAAATCAGTCAAAAACACTGAATTGAGCGCAGGACTTAAAAGAAGGAGTAAGAATATGTACACTTTTTATGTCAAAGTACATTGCACTTTATTAAGATTGTGAATTTCATTATATTGTGTTTGCATGACTCCAATTTAATTCTTATGCTGGTTAGCATTTTTTACTATGGAATATATTCTAATGATCAGTGTTAGAATATAGGACTTTCTTACTAATCTGGAAGCACCTGATACCAGGAATTGTGGCTTATAACAGGGATTTCCCAAAGTAATTTAAGTGTTTTTGAATAGCTTTTTCTCAGTATGGATTTTTTTTTTGGCAGGTTATCTTGGGGAGAGATGTCTTTTTTTTTTTTTTTAACCTTAATTAAAGGTACTCACACTAGATAAGAACATGTTTCGGAAGTCCACGGAACTAGCAGGAATTGGGGAAAGCAGTTGTGTGACTAGGTAAAAGATGTTAGAATATTTTGGTTGAGAAGAAAAGTGGAATATATATAAATTAGATTAAGAATTATATTTAATTCCGCGTTCAGGAATTTAAAGTTTGTGCTTTTCCTTGTTTTGTGATCTGAAGAGAAACATTATTCTTGCAGAAACAACTTGAGGTACGTATTTTAGTCACTGACTAAATATTTCATCAAGAAGCAGTGTAAGGCCAGGTGCGGCGGTTCACACCTGTAATCCCAGTACTCTGGGAGGCCAAGGCAAGTGGATCGCTTGAACGTAGGAGTTCAAGACCAGCCTGGGCAACATAGTACAATCCTGTCTCTTAAAAAAAAAAATTAAAATTTGTGTGTGTGTATGTGTGTGTATATATATATATATACACATATATGTGTATATATATATATACACACACATACACACATATATATATAAAAGAAATATAAATTTTTAAAAATAAAGCAGCGTTTGGTAAATGTGGCCTGTAACCTGTTCTTGTAAACAAAGTTTTATTGAAATAACATTTGTTTCCATATTGTCTTTGGCTGCTTTCAGGCTGCAGCAAGAGTTAAATCTTTGGGATAGAGACCTTATGGCTCCCAAAGCCTAAAATATTTTGTCTTTGTTATGAGAAGAGAGAATAGTGTACCTTTTGAAGTTTTATTATTATTACTATTTTTATTTTTATTTTTTTGAGACTGAGTCTCTCTCTTGTTGCCCAGGCTGGAGTGCAGTGGTGCGATCTCGGCTCACTGCAACCTCCTCCTCCTGGGTTCAAGCCATTCTCCTGCCTCAGCCTCCCGAGTAGCAGGGATTACAGGCACGCACCATCACACCAGGCTAATTTTTGTATTTTTAGTAGAGACGGGGTTTCACCATGTTGGCCAGGATGGTCTCAATCTCCTGAACTCAGGTGATCTGTCCACCTCAGCCTCCCAAAGTGCTGGGATTACAGGTATGAGCCACTGTGCCCAGCCTTTTTTTTTTTTTTTTTAAATTAAAAATTTTAGAGGCAGAATCTTGCTGTTGCCCAGGCTGGAGTGCAGTGGCATGATCATAGCTCACTGCAGCCTTGAACTCTTGGCCTCAAGGTACCCTCTCGCCTTGGCCTCCCAAAGTGCTGGGAGTACAGGCATGAGCCAGCACAGCTGGCCAAAAGTTTATTTTGTAAAAATCAGGTAATCATTGCATATATTAAGAAAATCCAGAAGGTTTAAATAGGTCTTCAATAAGTTTTTCCTTCCTCCTGTGTGATCCACTGTTAGTAGTAGGGCTGAGCACCAGATACCTTTGCTCATTTTACCTGTACTACAATTTTTCTTACGGTAAAGAGTAAAATTTCTTGAACTCATGTCTCTATTAAAAGTTTGAAAGAAAAAGATTAAGATAGCTACATTTCAAGAAAAATGTTTCATATACCCAGCTTGCTTCACTCATTTGCTTGCTTCTTGGCTTTTAAGTTTGTCTAGAATAGCTGGTTTTTAAAACACCATGTTTTTGAATGACAGCTGTAGCTGTGGCTGTAATCTGTAGTAAGAGTAAAAGCCCTTGGTGTTTTGGAGCTTTAGTGTTTGGCTTCTCTGAATCCGAGTATGTAAAGTGCAATGATTGGCACTTAGTATTCAATAAACATTTGTGGAATTTAGCCATTCATTCAGAAAAGAAAATTAAGTCAACAGTTTCCTTGATACCTGAGAATTAATCTGGGGAAGCTGGCTTCTACAGATAACAGGGTCTGTGACGTTTTGAAGCTGATTTTAGATATAGAATGATATACAAAATGTAATTATTGAAAAGGGAAAATTTGTAAAATACGTCACATCAGTTGGTAATTAATATAGTACATACTGAATTGCTTCAGAGGATTTAGAGTACTGGTTTCAAGTTTTAGGAGGGAAGGAGCCTTTTACAGAAAATGTTTGTGTTGTGGGCATTTGAAGATGGTTGGTTGATCGTCCTAAACTTTGCAAATTTTCACATTTTTATTTTTATTTTCGTGAGACAGAGTCTTGCTGTGTTGCCCAGGCTGGAATGCAGTGGTGTGATCTCAGTTCACTGCAACCTCCTCCTCCTGGGTTCAAGTGAGTTTCAGCTTGAAGCAGCCTCAGCCTCCAGAGTAGCTAGTATTACAGGCATGAGCCACCATACCCGACTAATTTTTGTATTTTTAGTAGAGACAGGGTTTTGCCATGTTGGTCAGGCTGGTCTTGAACTCCAGGCCTCAGGCCTCAAGTGATCTGCCCTCCTAGGCCTCCCAAAGTGCTGGGATTACAGGCGTGAGTTACCACACCTGGCCAAGCTTTCACATTTTTAGTTAATACCTTTTGAAGTCCATGCTCCCAGAGGGGTGAGATACTTAATTTTATTTATTATTTTTTGTTTTTGTTTTGTTTTGTTTTTGAGACGGAGTCTTGCTCTGTGACTTGGGCTGGAGTGCAGTGGCACGATCTCGGCTCACTGCAACCTCCGTCTGCCAGGTTCAGGTGATTCCCTGGCCTCAGCTTCCTGGGTAGCTGGGATTACAGCACGTGCTACCATGTCCAGCTAATTTTTTTGTGTTTTTAGTAGAGATGGGGTTTCGCCATGTTGGCCAGGCTGGTCTTGAACTCCTGACCTCAAGTGATCCACCGACCTCAGCCTCCCAAAGTGCTGGGATTCCAGGCATGAGCCACCACTCCTGACTTTAATTTTATTTTTAATTGTACTTGTTTATTTACTTAGTGTCATATCTGAATGACTTACTTTTTCTGCCTATTTTAAGGTAACTTTTACGTAGGCTGCCTCTCCAGGAAGAAAATGTATCCTGGATTACAAAAGAAGAGTGGGAAATAGGGGAATCTAATAAAGCTGTGTTAATGAGTATGACTTTGTACTTTTTTAGAAGCAGACTTCAATTGTTTTAATACGGTTTCATGGATACGATAAAAAATCAAATCTGGCAAAACCCAGTCGTAAATGAGGCCTCCCCAAAATCATTGCAGAAAATCATATTATTATATGGTTAATGAAATGACCAGAGTGAGCCTGTACCGCTAGCCTGCAAGAAATTCTGGGGTCTAGCGGCATGATTTAAGTCTGTCTTGGCCCTGGCCACCAGTTGCTGTCACCTTGTTTAAACATGGATGGGGACAATTTTGAGTCCAGCTACTGGGATTAGGACTTCTACTTTATTAATGCATATATTTCTGTAAAATATATTTCTAGAAGTAGGATTAGTAGATTGGTATTAAGCATTTCCAGTGCCAAGTATTATTAATACTTGCAATTTTGAAATTCAAAAAGCTCTGAAAAATCAAGTTGTTAAAAAAAAAAAATCTTTGCTAGTAAAACCTGACCTGAAGTAACGTGAGGCTATATATAGTCTTTATTTTTGACACCATTCATAGTTGCCTCAGCAAAGATAATATGTTTGATTATCCATTGCTACCTGAGACTTCTTGAGAGGATTTCATAATGTAGGGTACATGTGTCACAATACCTCTATAAAATCTGGAAAAGTGTAAATTCTGGAGCGTGTCTTGTGTCAAGAGTTTTGAATAAGGGATTGTGGGTATGTATCAACTTACTCCTCTGTGTAAGAATGCTTGTTTTTCCACACCCTCAACAACACTATGCCTTGCTGCATTATTAATGTGTGGAAATAGCCAGTGATTTTAAGTATTATTTGCCTTAGAGATTATAGTAGTAGAACTCAGATTTATAGTGTGACATGCTGTTCTGGAAGAGCAAAGTTATTACCTTAAATGACCCAGAGTCTCACTCTGCCTTTGCACCTGTTTTAGTTACTTTCAAAGTTAACTTGGCTGGAAACTTGACTGTATATCAAGTTAGCAGTTACTGTAATAGTATAGTTTGTCAGGAAGTGTATGTCATTCTCTTTGACATAATGGATGGTATTTTGTGAGGAAAAATAACAGTGATTCTAATGATGGAGTCATTTCTCATTATGGTAACTAATGGTCATCTTAACAGTTGGTGAAAAAAGAGGTGGCAGTTTTTATAGTTAACATATTAGTAGCATTCTATTTGGGATTTTCCTCTTTTCCTGATTTGTAATTCCTTTGCCATGTGTTGTGAATACTGAGTTCCAAATTAAATTTTTATTCAGCTGGAATTTTGGTTTTTTTTTTTGATGAATGGTATGCAGTATGACTAAAGCCTAGGTTTTTTTGCCCCCTTGAGCAGTTAGCCACTTCCAACATTATTTGTTGAAATAAACCATTCTTCCTAACTTGAGATACCATATTTATCTTTATCATATCTAATTTCTTTTTTTTTTTTTTTGAGACGGTGTCTTGCTCTGTCACCCAGGCTGGAGTGCAGTGGTGCGATCTTGGCTCACTGCAATCTCCACCTCCCGGGTTCAAGCAATTCCCCTGCCTCAGCCTCCTGAGTAGCTGGGATTACAGGCACACACTACCACGGCCAGCTAACTTTTGTATTTTTAATAGAGACAGGATTTCACCATGTTGGTCAGGATGGTCTCGAACTCCTGACGTTGTGATCCGCCTGCCTCGGCCTACCAAAGTGCTGGGATTACAGGCATGAGCCACTGTGCCCGGCCAGTCATCTCTGGTTTCTTATGTGTACTTGGTTTTATGGCAGTTTTATAGTACATTTAATATTTTCATAAAAATCATTAAAAACTTGCCCTTCTTCCCCTCAAATATCTTAGCAACCTTTGTGCATTCTTCCAGATAAATCCCTTGAAAATAGGATTTAGATTGGATTTGTATTAAAGTTACATATTAATTCGGAGAACATTCATATTTGTGTAATATGGAGTTTTCTGGGTAGGAACATATACCCATTACATTTTATGTTTTTTTTTTTTAAGTAAAATATACTTTTATTTGTAAAGATTCCTAGGAAAGAACCACTCCACAAAGAAACAAATTACATATAGTTCTCCTAGTGAATTGAATGGCAAATTTGAAAATTAACAGTTTGAATCTATTTACCGTATAGTTTAAATTAAATATGAAGACTTTGTGAACGTGTTTAAAATATATTCGGAGAACGAGAAATCTCTGTGTAGGAGAGCAGGTTTTTTGTTTTTTTAAAAAAATATTTTTTCTTAAATATTATGATCATTTGTTGCTACCAGACAAATAACTAAGAGATCTGGCTTTGGTAATTTAAGTTGTCTATTTTGAAAGAGCTTTAAAAATGTGTACTTATTCATGTGTTCGTTATTTTCTGTGACAGTTATATTTTGTATAGAAGGCAAAAGTTAACTTGAAATTACAACTGGTAATTTTCTTGTTTTTTAATTTTAAATGTAGACTAAGAATCTTCATTTTTGTCATGTTTCACTTTTATGGTAATGTCTAAAGTTGAACTTGAAATAAATATGATTTCTATTTAAGGCTGCCATTTTAAACGTTATATTCTAAAACCGTACTGGCCTAGATACTACAACTGAACTTTTTTTCTTTTTAGTTACTCCACAGGATCCGCTGAACATAGGATGTTGCCACAAAATCTACCTCGTGTATTTTTCTCTTTCACTCATGAGCTGCACAATTGCAGATTTGAGCACAATGTCTGCAGACTGTGTTGAAAAACTCTGAAGAACCTAATTAACACAGGATGACCTAGGAGTGATTCTAAGTCTGTGTAACAAGATATTACTCATTAGTGAATGTGTCAGTCTTGGTACTGAATGCTGCAGATAACAGCAAGTAGGTTCTCCTTTATTTCTGAAGTATTCACTTGACCTTCCATCAGTAAGACGGACTTTTCTAATCTGTTCCTGGAGATATTAATGGAATACAGTCATGTCCACTCAAGACGAGAGGCAGATCAATACTGAATATGCTGTGTCATTGTTGGAACAGTTGAAACTGTTTTATGAACAGCAGTTGTTTACTGACATAGTGTTAATTGTTGAGGGCACTGAATTCCCTTGTCATAAGATGGTTCTTGCAACATGTAGCTCTTATTTCAGGTAAGTACTTTTAATGTTTTAAATAGAAATTCTTTGAAATGTTATTTAATTTTTTAAAAAGCCACATCTCAATTTTTGTTTTTAAGTTTTGCTTAAGGTTTCTATTCAGATGATGTAGTACTTGGCAAATCTCATTCTTGCATGTGTAAGAGACACATGAAAGAAGTTTTATAAAGGTTGAAATACAAGAAATGTGTTGCAATTAACTAAGGTAAAGTTTTAATGTTGGGAAGGCAGAAAGGTTTAGAATATTCTTTTTCCATTAAAAGAGAAAGAAAAATGGGATAATTTACACTTTGAGATTTTAAAATGCTGCCTTTAGAAAACAGTGATCTCTGTTTTTAAACTGACAAGTTATAGGCTCAAATAGTAATTTTTAGAGGGTAAAAATTGGTGCTGTTAGATAGGTTAAGACTTTTCTTTACAAAATATATTTTTTCTCACTCTTTACTATTACCATTTGTGATATTTCTTTATACTAACTAGACTCTTTGCCAGATTTAAATATTTAATAACTAGTAACGTTGGTGTTCTCTATGCCTCTGAATGCAGAAGTTAATTTAGTTACTCTTTGCTAATAACAAATACATAAAGCTTAACTTTACATTTTTATGATCTTTTGCGTCTTTGTTGTACGTTTCCTGAGCAGAATAGAAGCCAAGGCATAGATGGATTGCTTTATTTGTTCTTTGCTTTTAGGTAATTTTGACTTAATATTTGAAAGGGACAGGGAGAATAAAGGTGAATTAAATGTGGACCTGTATATTTCTACTACAAATATTAACAGACATAAGCAGCAATCATTAGTGAGTTTGATGTTGCTGTTTTGTTTTGTTTTTGTTTTTTTTTTTTGAGACGATCTCACTCTGTTGTCCAGGCTGGAGTGCAGTGCAGTGGCGCGATCTCGGCTCACTGCAACCTCTGCCTCTTGGGTTCAAGTGATTCTGCTGCCTCAGCCTCCCAAGTAGCTGGGATTACAGGCACGCACCACCACGCCTGGGCTAATTTTTGTAATTTTAGTAGAGATGGGGTTTCACCATGTTGGTCAGGCTGGTCTCAAACTCTTGACCTTGTGATCCGTCTGCCTTGGCCTCCCGAAGTGCTGGGATTACAGGCGTGAGCCACTGCGCACCGCCTGTTCTGCTGTTCTTTAATGGCAGCTATAGACAGGATAGATTTCATTTGACCTTTCAGGGCTGACTGACTTTGTATGAAGATACCGAAACTTCACATTCCCTAACACATCCCATGATGATTGCAGAAGCTAAGGCTCAAACACCAGTTGTTGCCTTTGCTATGCCTACAATTTTTTTTTTTTTTTTTTAAAGACAGTCGCAATCTGTCACCCAGGCTGGAGTGCAGTGGTGCTATCTCGACTCACTGCAACCTCTGCCTCCCAGGTTCAAGTGGTTCTTGTGCCTCAGCCTCACAAGTAGCTGGGATTACAGGCACACACCACCATGCCCGGCTAATTTTTTTTGTATTTTTAGTAGAGACGGGGTTTCACCATGTTGCCCACGCTGGTCTCAAACTCCTGATCTCAAGTGATCCACCCGCCTCGGCCTCCCAAAGTGCTGGAATTACAGGTGTGAGCCACTGTACCCAGCCAAGTCTGGGAAGTTTGTTAACCAATCAGTCCCCCACAGATACCAAGGGACAACTGTGTATTATACCTAAAACAAATCAGATATTTATTAAATAAATAAAAATAGTTCAATATGTGTTTGGGGTTGAAGCCATCCATCATTAAAATCTTGTGCCTGGGACAGTTTCATATCCACAGGATATAATTTGAGCTTTTCACAAGTGTTCTTCAACTAGATTCTGCTGGCAGAATTGTAGATTTCGAGATCTTTACATCTAATGCTCCTATACATCTACTGTAGAGATTTTGCCTTCTGAACTAAATACATTCTTCCTTTGTAGTTTGAGTTACCAGTTCTGTCTATCCCACCAATAATTAGTAGGTACCTCTGAATAATAGTTTTAATATTTCTTGGTAACATTTATAGTTCATTTTAGACCCAAAATGAGAGAATTGCTTGAGAATTACTCAGCACTTCTGTTGTGGTACTTCAGCCTGTTACAATATTATGAAATTAAGTATTTGCTGTTTCTGGTCGGGAGTGCTGGCACATGCCTGTAATCCCAGCACTTTGGGAGGCAGAGGCGGGCGGATCACGAGGTCAGGAGATTGAAACCATCCTGGCTAACACGGTGAAACCCCATCTCTACTAAAAATACAAAAAATCAGCCGGCGTAGTGGCGGGCGCCTGTAATCCCAGCTACTCGGGATGCTGAAGTAGGAGAATCGCTTGAACCTGGGAGTTGGGTGTTGCAGTGAACTGAGATACCACCACTGCACTCCAGCCTGGGCAACAGGGTGAGACTCTGTCTCAAAAAAAGAAAAAGAAAAGCACCAGATCCTATTGGCTCTTTATAGTGGGTTTTGTTTGTCTGTTTGTTTGTTCCTTTTTGAGGTGGAGTTTCACTTTTGTTGCCCGGGTTGGAGTGCAGTGGCTCGATCTTGGCTCACTGCAACCTCTGCCTCCCGGGTTCAAGTGATTTTCCTGCCTCAGCCTCCTGAGTAGTTGGGATTACAGGCACCTGCCACCACGCCCAGCAAATTTTTGTATTTTTTAGTGGAGACAGGGTTTCACCATGTTGGCCAGGCTAGTGTCGAGCTCCTGGCCTAAGATGATCTGCCCACCTCGGCCTCCCAAAATGCTGGGATTACAAGTGTGAGCCACCAAGCGCCCAGCTATAGTGGTTTTTGTATTCATTTCTGCCAATATAACTTAGTTTCTTACCTCTTAGGTATATTATTGTCATAGCCTGATAGCCAGTTTTCCTGTCTCTAGCCTTTAGCTCTTATAGTCTGTCAGCTTAGAGTATTCATCCTACATTTATCACTTACATTTTGTCATGCTAAATTCAGACTTGAAACCCTTTGGTTTTCCCCACTATCTACAAGGAAAAGCTCAGACTCTCTTGTCTCATTTAAAGGCCCTCTGTGATCTGACTGCTCTCCATCTTTCCAATTCATTTTCTGGTTTCCTGCATGAGCCCTTATGTTCAAGCTATGCCCCTTGAACAATTGCTTCTTATGTTCTACCCTGTTTTATCCATTTTGAATGGCTTCTTCATCTCTGTCCTTGAGGGGCCCAAGTTAGTGCCCAAGTTAGTGACTGTTGTGACACTCACTGTTGACCGCTACATGCAGAAGCTTTTCTCTCCTATTTTCCTCTCTTACCTATATATGGGCATTCTACTTAGTATTCTCCATGATGCCAGTTGCCTTTCCATCATGATTTCCTGTATATAATAGATTTTTAGGAAAGTGTCCTGCATATTTTTAGAGAATTGTTTGAGTAAATGAATTTTTAACAGCTTTATTGAGATGTAATTTACATACCACAAAATCTACCCATTTTAAGTATATAATTAAATGAATTTTAGTATATTTACAGTTACACAACCATTTCCACAATCTAAATTTAGAGCACTTTTATCACTTTGTGTCTATTTATAGTCACAGACCCCATTCTTACAGTTCTAAGGAACTACTAATCTACCTTCTGTCTCTATATTTTCCTTTTTTAGACGTTTTATATAAACGGACTCATATACTATGTGGTTTTTTGTGTGTGGCTTCTTTCACTGAGCATAATGTTTTCAGGTTCATTTATGTTAAAGTATATATTAATACTTAGTTCCTTTTTATTGCTGAGTATTATTTCATGGTATGAATATAAGAAGTGAATAGAATTTTGAGATTTTCACTCAAAATGGCATGGTGGAATAGTCTGGTATATATTTGGGACTGGATTTTATTCTTATCTGTCTCCCTCAAAAATTTCATTGGCTAGGCACAGTGGCTCATGCCTGTAATCCGAGCACTTTCAGAGGCTGAGGCAGGAAAGATTGCTTGAGCTCAGGAGTTGGAGACCAGCCTGGGCAACATAGGGAGGCCTTGTCTCTACTAAAAATAAAAGAAAAAATAGCTGGGTGTGGTGGTGCATGCCTGTAGTCCCAGCTACTTGGGAGACTGAGGAGAATCGTTTGAGCACAGAAGGTCAAGGCTGTGGTGAGCCATGATGGTACCACTGCACTCCAGCCTGGGGGACAGAGCAAGACCCTGTCTCAAAAAAAGAAAAAGTTTCTCTTATAAGTAAATACCCTAAATAAACACCTCTTATTGTCTAATTGTTCTTTTCAGCTCTACATTTGTTTTACACAAAACCCTTACAACTTTGTTTTCTTCATCTCCCCTGTAGGGCCATGTTTATGAGTGGACTAAGTGAAAGCAAACAAACCCATGTACACCTGAGGAATGTCGATGCTGCCACCTTACAGATAATAATAACTTATGCATACACGGGTAACTTGGCAATGAATGACAGCACTGTAGAACAGCTTTATGAAACAGCTTGCTTCCTACAGGTAAGCATATATATATTTTTTTAGACGGAGTCTCTCTCTGTTGCCCAGGCTGGAGTGCAGTGGCACGATCTCCGCTCACTGCAACCTCCGCCTCCCAGGTTCAAGTGATTCTCCTGCCTCAGCCTCCTGAGTAGCTGGGATTACAGGTGCTAATTTTTGTATTTTTAGTACGGGGTTTCACCATGTTGGTCAGGCTGGTCTTGATCTCCTGACCTCGTGATCCACCTGCCTTGGCCTCCCAAAGTGCTGGGATTACACGCGTGAGCCACTGTGTCCAGCCTACAGGTAAGCATTTTTTTACTCAGTTACATACATGAGTTGTAGCTTATTGGTTTATTATGTGGTTTATTTTGTGAGGAAACATTGTTAAACATTTTTTATTTATGTTTTTGAGATGGGGTCTCGTTCGGTCACCCAGGCTGGAGTGCATTGGTGCAGTCATGGTTCACTGAAGCCTTGAACTCATGGGCTCAGGTGATCCTCCTGCTTCAGCCTCCTGAGTAGCTGGGATGACTAAAGGTGTGCACCACCATGCCCAGCTACTATTTTTATTTATTTATTTATTTATTTATTTTTATTTATTTATTTTTTTGAGACGGAGTATCATTCTGTCACCCAGGCTGGAGTCTAGTGGCGCGATCTCAGCTCAGATGCAAGCTCCGCCTCTGGGTTCATGCCATTCTCCTGCCTCAGCCTCCCGAGTAGCTGGGACTACAGGTGCCTACCACCACCCCCGGCTAATTTTTTGTATTTTTAGTAGAGATGGGGTTTCACCGTTGTTAGCCAGAATGGTCTCGATCTCCTGACCTCGTGATCCACCCACCTTGGCCTCCCAAAGTGCTGGGATTACAGGCATGAGCCACCACTCCCTGGGCCAATATTTTTATTTTTTGTAGAGACACGATCTCACTGTGTTGCCCAGGCTGGTCTCAAAATCCCAGGCTCAAGCAATCCTCCTGCATTGGCTTCTCAAAGCCCTGGGATTACAGGTATGAACCACCATGCCTGGCCCAGTAATGTCTTTTATCTATGTAATTTTCTTATTACGTGTTTTAGAAGGTAAAAGGTTTTTTTCTTTTTACAAAATGTGTAAGGGAAAAACAATAGGATTTGATTACCCAGTAAACTAAGTAGTTTTGTGATGGGAATGTAAATCTGTTAATAAAAGAGATAGGTGAAAATTTTATACTGGTTTCGTGTGTTTTACTACCTAATATACCTGAGAATTTTGATTTCAAGTTAAAGTAATTTTTTTTTGAGACGGAATTTCACTCTTGTTGCCCAGGCTGGAGTGCACTGGCACAATCTTGGCTCACAACAACCTCTGCCTCCTGGGTTCAAGTGATTCTCCTGCCTCAGCCTCCTGAATAGCTGGGATTACAGGCATGTACCACCATGCCCAGCTAATTTTTGTATTTTTAGTTGAGGTGGGGTTTCACCACATTGGCCAGGCCGGTCTGGAACTCCTGCCATCAAATGATCCACCCGCCTTGGCCTCCCAAAGTGCTGGGATTACAGGCATGAGCCACCACTCCCAGCCAAATTAAAGTAATTTTTAACAGTGTTTATTGAATTTAAGTGTTTCAATTTTTTTTTTTTTTTTTTTTGCTTAGAGCTTAGATATACTAATTTTTCATGGTACTATTTTTCACAGAAAACTTGGTGGAAATTATGATAAATATTTATAATGGCTATGTGACCATATTGAGCAATTAAGGAGAAGTATTTAAACAAAACAAGTGATGGTTGATATATTTATGTATGACAAACTGTTTTACTCTTTATTTCCCCATCATGTTCCCTTTTTAAATTTTAAGAGGAATATAAGAGTTTTTTTCTTCATTTCATCTCCTGTTTTGGAATAACACTGTATTTCACTAAGTTTCTTCAGAGGGAGAACCTTTAGATCAAAGGTTAAATTTGGAGAGCACTGTTCGTGATATTTGTTAAGTACTTAATAAATATGCACTGAATGAGTATGCATGACACTGGTTGAATGCCAACACCTGGGTATAATTCTGGAAACCAGAACTCAGTTCATGCTTTATGTAGTCTCCTTCCTTTTTAATCTTCCATAGGTTGAGTACCCTTTATCCAAAATGATTGGGACCAGAAATCCAGTTCAGCCAGTTTCAGATTTTTTCAGATTTTAGGATATTTGCATTATATGTTAGATTTACATCATCCCTAATCTAAAAATCTAGACTCTGAAGTGCTCCCGTGAGTATTTCAAGTGTCATGTCAGCACTCAAAACATTTCAGTTTTTGGAGCATTTTGGATTTTGAATTTTTGAATTAGGGATACTCAACTTTTTGTGTGACAGGGTCTTGCTCTGTTGTCCAGGCTGCAGCACAGTGGTGAGATCACAGCTCACTGCAGCCTCGATCTGGGCTCAAGTCATCCCCCAGCCTTAGCCTCCTGAGTAGCTGGGTCTGTAGACATGCATCACCACACTTGGCTAATTATTTGATTTTTTTGTAGAGACAAGATCTTATGTTGCCCAGGCTAGTCTCAAACTCTTGAGCTCAGGCACTCCTCTCACCTAGGCCTCCCAAAGTGCTAGGATTACAGGTGCGAGTTACAACACCTGGCCAACCTTTACTCCTTATTACACTAACTTTATCGTTAGTGTTCTACTCTACCCACAACTCTGGGGAAACTGAGGCTGGGGTAGCTTGCTGGTGCACTAGTAATTCCAAACTTGAACGGGAGAAATGCTTATTGGAAGCACTGTCTTTATATAGTTTGCAAGTTGTCATTACTTTTTATTTTTAGAGACATGTCTTGTTCTGTTGCCCAGGCTGGAATGCAGTGGCATGCCACCATGCAGTGGCATGGTGATAGCTCACTGCAGTCTCAAATTGCTGGGCTCAAGTAATCCTCCTCCCTGTAATCCCAAAGTGCTGGGATTATAGGCATGCACCAGCACATCCAGCTAATTTTTTGTTGGTCCTTCTTTTAAAAGCAGGCATTTCTCAGAATTACTAAGGCATTAAGGAATTTTAAGAAAATCTGATTCCAGAATACTTTGTTACTGTAAATATTGACACTGCTCCTTAACATTTTTTTTCTGCCATTTTAACGAAAACCGTATACTACTTCTGCTTGCTCAAATGCAAAACAGGACTCTGCCTCTTAGACTGTGTTGCCCTGGAAGCCTGAGATGGGGCATTCTATGACTACCAATATTACTTTCACTATCAACCACATGAAGTGATCATATGTTTCAGTACCAGATGGTGTACTGATACTTTATATATATTCTCATCTGATCCTTACAGGGCTCATTTGAGGGAGATAACTATTATTTCCCCATTTTATATAAGAGAAAATTGAAGTTTAGAGATGTGAAGCTTCTTTCCTAATAAGTAGTTTCCAGGTACTAATTGGCCAATTAAGTTTTAAATCCAAGCAACCTGACTTGTCAGTGTAAACAGTTTCTAGTTAATCACTGTGATGCTGAATAAGTATAGTGGGTAGCACATCTGATTCAACTGAGATCTACCTTCTTAAGAAAAAACAAATCTAGGAAGCTTACAGTGGCTAAGATGGGTCATTTAAATGTAGGTGATTTATAACTGCACGTAAGTCTATTTCGTGTTGCTTTGTTATCTTACCTCTCGATAAGAATGGCAAATAACTACTCTTACTCATTGTGCATGATTTTCTGGTTTTATGTGACTGTGTTCAAATTGAGGAAACCAGAATCCAGTTATTCAACAACAATAATTTTCTCTATACTATGATTTATTTACATTTTTTCATATAGTTCTCTCAATTATATATAAAGTCTAGGAAAGTATGACTTATGTGTGAATTTCCTTACCTATTCTTTAAGGCTGTTTTGTTTTTTAAGAGCCTATTTATTGTTGTACTGCTGGTTCCTAAATAGAACAGTTAAGTAGGCCACTGAGCAGGAAAAAATACTGCAAAATTTTATAGTCTTCTGAGTTTATTACTACCAGAAGACCTTATCTCAGCCCAGATGTGTGTATCTGAAAATAAAAATTACACTATGGGCATCTGATTAATATACTTACGTCTTACATAAAAGTAAAATGTGTCTGTCCTGGCCCTATCAGCCTGTTTTTTTTTTCCTTCTCATTCTAGGTAGAAGATGTGTTACAACGTTGTCGAGAATATTTAATTAAAAAAATAAATGCAGAGAATTGTGTACGATTGTTGAGTTTTGCTGATCTCTTCAGTTGTGAGGAATTAAAACAGAGTGCTAAAAGAATGGTGGAGCACAAGTTCACTGCTGTGTATCATCAGGACGCGTTCATGCAGCTGTCACATGACCTACTGATAGATATTCTCAGTAGTGACAATTTAAATGTAGAAAAGGAAGAAACCGTTCGAGAAGCTGCTATGCTGTGGCTAGAGTATAACACAGAATCACGATCCCAGTATTTGTCTTCTGTTCTTAGCCAAATCAGAATTGATGCACTTTCAGAAGTAACACAGAGAGCTTGGTTTCAAGGTCTGCCACCCAATGATAAGTCAGTGGTGGTTCAAGGTCTGTATAAGTCCATGCCCAAGTTTTTCAAACCAAGACTTGGGATGACTAAAGAGGAAATGATGATTTTCATTGAAGCATCTTCAGAAAATCCTTGTAGTCTTTACTCTTCTGTCTGTTACAGCCCCCAAGCAGAAAAAGTTTACAAGTTATGTAGCCCACCAGCTGATTTGCATAAGGTTGGGACCGTTGTAACTCCTGATAATGATATCTACATAGCAGGGGGTCAAGTTCCTCTGAAAAACACAAAAACAAATCACAGTAAAACAAGCAAACTTCAGACTGCCTTCAGAACTGTGAATTGCTTTTATTGGTTTGATGCACAGCAAAATACCTGGTTTCCAAAGACCCCAATGCTTTTTGTCCGCATAAAGCCATCTTTGGTTTGCTGTGAAGGCTATATCTATGCAATTGGAGGAGATAGCGTAGGTGGAGAACTTAATCGGAGGACCGTAGAAAGATACGACACTGAGAAAGATGAGTGGACGATGGTAAGCCCTTTACCTTGTGCTTGGCAATGGAGTGCAGCAGTTGTGGTTCATGACTGCATTTATGTGATGACACTGAACCTCATGTACTGTTATTTTCCAAGGTCTGACTCATGGGTAGAAATGGCCATGAGACAGACTAGTAGGTCCTTTGCTTCAGCTGCAGCTTTTGGTGATAAAATTTTCTATATTGGAGGGTTGCATATTGCTACCAATTCCGGCATAAGACTCCCCTCTGGCACTGTAGATGGGTCTTCAGTAACTGTGGAAATTTATGATGTGAATAAAAATGAGTGGAAAATGGCAGCCAACATCCCTGCTAAGAGGTACTCTGACCCCTGTGTTAGAGCTGTTGTGATCTCAAATTCTCTATGTGTGTTTATGCGAGAAACCCACTTAAATGAGCGAGCTAAATACGTCACCTACCAATATGACCTGGAACTTGACCGGTGGTCTCTGCGGCAGCATATATCTGAACGTGTACTGTGGGACTTGGGGAGAGATTTTCGATGCACTGTGGGGAAACTCTATCCATCCTGCCTTGAAGAGTCTCCATGGAAACCACCAACTTATCTTTTTTCAACGGATGGGACAGAAGAGTTTGAACTGGATGGAGAAATGGTTGCACTACCACCTGTATAGTGGGGAAGTTCAGGGAGTGCACGCCTGAGTTATGTGCTTTGTCATTTTCTTTGCTAAACAAAAGAGGCTATGAAAGAACTAAATATGAGTACATAAAATTCTATCTTTGATAAATTTTATTTTTATGCCCTACTTAATATTTGCATCAGTATAATATATATCAGTGAGTCTTACAGAAAGATATGCTTCCATAATATGAAATAGATTATTCAATAATTGAGAAACTTTATGTGTAATCATGAGAGTATAAGAATCTGGATTATCTAACATTGTTAGCCCTGTGTATGTACAGTTCAAAAAGTTCATTTATAAAAGTAGTTTCCTGTTCCTAGTGTGATGTATCACAAATTGTGCTGAGGTTATTTTAGTATGTGTGTTTCATTCCCGTGCTTCTGTTCTGAAGTCCTGGAATACAGTTTTCAGTGTAATTAATTCAACTGCACTTAACACTAATGTCCGTGTTGGTATAGAAATGTCTAAATCCTATACTCTAGTTGAGGAAGATCTTCCATAATTTTATGGTATTACACAGGGAAAGCTATGACTGCAGGATCAGTCTAACTATACTATTAGGTGCATGTATTCTCTTTTCACTAACTTATACTTGTCTATCTAGAATACAGGTCTTCCAGTCAGCTGGTCATTTACCAGGTGTGGACTTAAGTTGCTAGGCTTGCAGTAAGAATTGCCAGCCACTCATTGTGCGGGTCTGCGTGGAGCTTTAATCAGAAAAAGCCTCCACTTTCTGTATTATGTTAACATTGGCTCATGCATATAACTATCTGCTGCTGATGTAGTTCTCCATCTTCAAGATTTAGAGTGGGTTAACCAGGTCATTACATCTTAATTTAATAACAAGCATTACTGTAGAGTGATTGTGTATAGATCTGTTAGCTGTCAGGGTGTGTTTTTTTTAACCTGTTGTGTGCGTGTGGGGGTTAGGATTAGTAAGGTGAACTGTTCAGGAATTCTCTGCACTAGCTGTGCAGAAGAGCAGATAACTAGCGCTGCTCTGGCATTAATCCCAGGAACCACTAGCAGTAGTGGGGCGCCGCCAATCTAACATGAGCACAGGTGCTTCATGACAAACATTACTAGCATGTTCAACTGCACCATGTTCTGGCACTGTATTTTGAATGACATTAATTTATTAAATAAATTGTATATATTCAATATCTATTTTTCTTTTGTTATGGGAATGGTCTGCTTTTTAAATTTTGATTTTGCTAGGTCAAACTTAGCTAGTAATAGGTGGTTTCTTCCAAATTTTGTTTGATGAAGATTGAGAGATATGCATAGGCTTTCCTTAGGCTAGTGTCTTTCTACCCTGCTGGCATGTTAGAATCATCTGATTCTGATCATCATCTTTAGAAGCTTGAGATGATGCCTGAACCTCACCCCAAACAAAATGGTTTCTTTTTAGAGCACATCATTGATCATGTTTATAGACTTGAACTGCCCCTCCACTGCCTACTGAATGAAGTCCAGATTCCTTACCACATTTAAGGCTCTCTCTAATTTGGCTTTAAATTACCTTTACAGCCCTACCTTGCATTGTTTTTCCATAAGCCTTATCTTCTGATTAGGCTTTCGCTATGCTTTATGCTTTTTTATGCTATTCATGCTACTCAGAATGGTTTCTTCATCCCAACTTTACTTGCAGCTGTCTCAAGAGCTATTTAAGGCAGTTTTTAAAGAATGTTTCCTGATAACCATGTCTTACCATGAGGTGAAAAGTATCCTTTCTCACATTTTTACTACCTTGTACCTAGATCTTATTAATTGTACTGATCATTCTATTGACTATTACTAGTTTTGGCCAGGTGGGGTGGCTTATGCCTGTAATCCCAGCACTTTGGGAGGCCTAAGTGGGAGGAATGTTTGAGCCCAGGAATTTGAGACCAGCCTGGGCAACATAGGGAGACCCTGTCTCTACCAAAAAAATAAATAAATAAAATTAGCTAGTCATGGTGGTGTGTAGTCCCAGCTACTAGGGAGGCTGCAGTGGGAGAATCACTTAACCCTGGAAGGTCAAGGCTGGAGTGAGCCTTGACTGTGCCACTGCACTCCATCCTGGGTGACAAGACTGAGACCCCATCTCTAAAAGATAAGATAAATGAATATTATTAGTCTTCATGCTTTTCTACAAAATGATCAGTGTTGATTGTCTTATTTACGGCTGCATCCCCCTGCAGTGTAGCACAGCACACTGTATAGTTGGTGATAAAACTGTTGGATTAAAGCAGATAAATACGAAGAGCTTTGGAAAGTTTGAGAGTCAAACCCAATATGCCAGTTTTTTAATTCTCATTAGTAGTTCCATTAGTAACCTTTTCACTTACCTCTCCATCCAGCTCAGATCTGTCATCTTAATACTTCTGCCACTATCATGGCAATATCTTAAACTCCTTTTGCCCTGTTGTCATTAACTTATAACTGACAAAACCTGAGCCTTACATGAGTACAACTCTATCTTCCTTACTACTTTTTTCTTTTCTTTTTCTTTCTTTTTTTTTCTTTTTTTTTTTTTGAAAAGTTGCTGTGTGATGATGGAGGCAGAAATTAGAGTTATGTAGCTGCACACCAGGGAACACCAAGCATTGCCTACAACCACAGAAACTGGAACATGAGCATGGCCATTGATACGGTTTGGCTCTGTGTCCCCACCCAAAATCATGTCGGATTGTAATTCCCAGTGTTGGAGGTAGGGCCTGGTGGGAGGTGATTGGATCATGGTGGCAGAGTTCTCATGAGTGGTTTAGCACCATGCCTCATTAGTACTGGTTTTATAGTGGGAGAGTGGTCATGATCTGTTTTTTTTTTTTTAAAGTGTGTGGCACCTCCCGACTCTCTTCCTCCTGCTCTTGCCATGTAAGACATGCCTGCTTTTCCTTTGCCTTCTGCCATGATTATAAGTTTCCTGAGGCCTGCCCAGAAGTAGAAGCCACTATGCTGCTTGTACAGCCTGCAGAACTATGAGCCGTTAAACCTTCTTATAAATTACCCAGTCTTGGGTATTTCTTTATAGCAATGCAAGAACAGACTAATACAGAAAATTGGTACTTGGAGTGGTGCATTGCTATAAAGATACCTGAAAATGTGGAATCAACCTTGGAATCGGGTAATAAGCAGAGGTTGGAGGAGTACAGAGAGCTCAGAAGAGGACAAAGATGAGGGAAAGTTTGAACTTCCTAGAGACTTACTGAATGGTTGTGACCAAAATACTCATATGGACAATGAGGCCCAGGTCTCAGACAGAGATGAAGAATATATTGGCAACTGGAGAAAATGTCACTTTTGTTATGTGTTAGCAAAGAGCTAAGGATCTGTGGGACCTTGAACTTGAGAGTGATGATTTAGGGTATCTGGCAGAAAAAATTTCTAACCAACAAAATATTCAAGGTGACCTAACTGCTTCAAACAGCCTGTGCTCACATGCATGAGCAATGTAATGACCTGAAACTGGAACTTACATTTAAAAGGGAAGCAGAGTGTAAAACTGGAAAATTTGCAGCCTGGCCTTGTGGTACAAAAAAAGAACCTCTTTCCTGGGAATGAATTTAAGCTAGATGCAGAAATTTGCATAAGATGAGCCAAGTGCTGATAGGACAATGGGGAGAAGGCTTTGAAGGCACTTCAGAGAGCATTGTGGCAGCCCCTCCCATCACAGGCCCAGAGGCCTGGGAGGACTGCATAGTTTTTGGTCCAGGACCAGGGCCCCACTGCCCAACACAGCCTCCAGACACTGCTACCTGCATCCCAGCCAGTCCAGCTCCAGCTGTAGCTCAAAGGGACCCATTTATAACTCAGGTAGCTGCTCTAGAGGGTGCAAGCAATAAGCCTTAGAAGCATTCACATAGTGTTAAGCCTGCAGGTGCACACAGTGCAAGAATTGAGGTGTGGGAACTTCTGCCTGGATTTCAGAGGTTGTATGGAAAAGCCTGGATGTCCAGACAGAAGCCTGCTCCAGGAGCAGAGCCTCATGGAGAACCTCTACTAGGGCAGTGCAGACAAGAAATGTGGAGTTGGGTAGTGGGGCACTACCTAGTGGAGCTGTGAACAGAGGGCCACCATCCTCCAGACCCCAGAATGATAGATTCGCCAGCAGGTTGCACCCTCTACCTGGAAAAGCTGCAGGCACTCAACATCAGTTCTTGAGAGCAGCAGCAGAGGCTGAACTCTGCAACGCCACGGGGTTGGAGCTGCCCAAGGCCTTGGGAGCCCATTCCTTGCACCAGTGTGCCCTGGATGTGAGACGTGGGGTTAAAGGAGATTATTTTGGAGCTTTGAGGTTTAATGACTGCCCTGCTGAGTTTTGGACTTGCATGGGGCCTGTAGCCCTTTTATTTTGACCACATTCTCCCTTTTGGGAGTATTTACCCAATGCCTGTACCCACATTGTATCTTGGGAGTAACTAATTTGTTTTTTTATTTTACAGGAGCATAGATGGAAAGGACTAGCCTTGTCTCAGATGACACTTTGGACTTTGGAGTTTTGAGTTAATGTTGGAATAAGTTAAGACTTTAGGGGACTGTTGGGAAGGCATGATTGTATTTTGAAATTTGAGAAGGACATAAAATTTGGGAGGGGGCAGGGGTAGAATCATATGGTCTGGATATGACCCTGTCCAAATCTCAAGTCTCATTGTAATTCCCAGTTTCGGAGGTAGGGTCTGGTGGGAGGTGATTGGATCATGGAGGTGGAGTTCTCATTAATGATTTAGAGCCATCCCCTTTGTTATGGTATAGTGAGTGAGTTATCATGAGATCTCATTGTTTAAAAGTGTGTGGTACCTCCCACCTCTCTCTCTTGCTCCTGCTCTGGCCATGTAAGACGTGCCTGCTTCCCCTTCACCTTCCTCCGTGATTTTAAGTTACCCGAGGTCTTCCCAAAAGCCCAAGCCACTATGCTTCCTGAACAGCCAACGGAACCATGAGCCAATTAAACCTTTTCTTTATGAATTACCCAGTTTCGGGTATTTCTTTATAGCAGTGCAAGAATGGACTCATACAGCTCTGCTGACACCTTGATTTCAGAATCCTACTCTCCAGAACTGTTTGGGAATACACATCTATTGTTTTAAGCCAGTCAGTTTGTGGCATTTTGTTAGAGCAGCATTAGCAAACTAATACATCAACATAAGGAAACCAATTAGCAAATGAATAGGCACTGAAACAAGGTGTGTGGTGGGAATTACCAGCCTTAAAAGTGGGAACACTTTTAAGTGGGAACACAGTAAAGACAGCCCCCTTAAAGCCACTGGGGCACAGAAGGCAAGATCTGCACTGTAGACTTGGAGTCTGGAGAAGCCTGCAGGAGCCTGCCACACAGGACCCTAAGTGAAAGGCCACTGTCATGGCCCCAGTGAGAGGCCATGGATCCTGAGCCTAACCAGGACCACAGAAATAGGGTGCGAGAGAGGTGACAGCTGCCAGAAATACACAAGAGGCAAAAGTGGCAAGATCTGGTGATTGGTTGGATGTTGGGGGGACAATGCAGTGGGAGAAACTTAGGTGGATGGTGATTTTGCAGCAAAAATGAGGAATAAAAGCCAGTTTGGGGAATAAAGGGAGTTTATGAATTCAGTTTTTGACATACTGATTTGGGGAAGCTTATGGAATATACAAATGTGTTCAGCAGACAGTTGAGTCTATAAAGCTCAGGGAGATGCAATACACAAATGTTTGGGAGTCAACAGCATGGAGGCCGTTAAGATCACAGAGAGTAGGTAAAGACGAAAAAGCAAGTGTCAAGGGGAGAACCGTGAGCAACATCATCATGAATGTGGTGGGCAGAGGAGCCAAGGCAAGAGATGGGAAAGTCACTCTTCAGCATCTTCCCCCCACTCCCACTGAGTGTTCCAACTCAATAGAGATGGAAAGGGCTATAAATATGTCAGTCACATATTCTGAATCAAGGATCCACAATCTGGCTCCAAGGTATGAGAAAGTATAACAGTGGGGCCAAATATTTAAAATCAAGACCATCTCAGAAAATGTGGCCATGTCAACTGTAAAGGCATATGCAAATTGCTACCAGAAGCTGCCCAGAACAGAGGACATGTGACTCAGGACTTGCATGGGAGGAGGAGGAGGAGGGAACCACAATTCTTGTGAGAGAAACACGTGCACAAAGACACAGGACAGGAAAGCTCCATATGGCACACCATTTAGAATTAATCAGTGATTTCAGATTGATGTGACCATTGGAAGATTTCAAGTATGCATCACTAAACTTGAAAAATTAGTAAAACAGGAATAATTTTTATTTAAAAATAACAGTATTGTATTTAAAAACAATAGTACACGTCAAGAGATACTTCAGTACTGCCAAGGGTTTAATCTAGCATCCTCTTTCTCGCTAATCACACACCATGTAACCTTGCATAAGGTACTTCTCTGTGTGTTTCCACATCTATAAGATGGGAATAATGTGTCTACCCCAGGTTCATTCAAGGAGTCCTGTATACATGCAAAGCCCTTGGAAGAGTGCCTAGAATATAATGAGTGGTTGATACTTGTTCCTGTTAATATGGAAAATATTACTGTTAATAGTGCTTAAATAGTTGATAGGCTGCAGTTAACCTGCAGGACTCCTTGGTACAGGGTGCAGTGTTGAGTTCAATCCAACCAAGACACCAGCATACACTGGGTGGGGAGAGCAGCTATGGCCTGGGAGCACTACCAGGGGAAAGGCAGCTGGTGGAGCACCTTGGAGGAAATTCAAGCCTCCTTGGCAATTAGGGAAGATGGATTGTGTGTTTACAGCCGTGATCACCCATGTGCTCTGTGGTCTCAGACTTCCATGTCCCTGCACTTATCGCACAGGGGCCCTGCAACATGGCAGTCACTGAGGACTCAGTCTGCAGTCGAGATAGACATTAGGGAGTGGTGAGGTTTGTGGTGAACCAAAGGTGCAGATGCCTTCGGAAGGAGAAGGTCACCCCTCAATTTTAGCCAGTTGTTGTCATGTCAGAATATTAGCAAATCATCTTGATTTTTCAAATATGAAAAGTAGGAATTCTGTGGAGAACTTCCCAGTTGAAAAATGCAAGAAAAATTAGCTCTGTTTAGAAGCAAGTTGCAGCCTGCAGATCACAGTTGTGAACCCCCAGATGAGAGGCTCGTAACATAATCCTCTCGCCACGCCCTTTGATGTGCAAGCACCACTGGCAAGAAGTCTGGATACTTTTCTCGTAAGATTCTAACCAGTCCCAGAGGAAAAAAACTATTTCTTACTTTTCTCTGGAAGAATGTATATGTTGATTAAAGGAGTGTTACTACGTTAAGACCACTTTTCTGTGACTTTTACTGCCTCAGTCTGCAGCTCACCAACCTGTTCAAGGCTAGGAGCTGGAAGTCATTTGCTATCCCCTTTTCCTCGCCCTCACAGCCAATCCATGACCAAGTCTTAAAGAATGGATCACTTCAGTATCTCATAGATCTGTGCTTCCCACTCACATGTCAGGCCACGCCATCCTCTTGCTGAAGCCCTATTGATGCTTTCTAACAGGTTCTCGTGTCTCTCCCTGACCAGGCCCTCTTACAGACTGCAGAATTACCATCCACAGTGTACATTGGATGAGAATGTGTCACCACCATGCTTAGAACCACTCCTATCACTGACAGGTCAATATCTGAGCTCCTTGGCACAACACACATGTCCAGGGAGTGGCCAGTAATTAGTTGTGCCTGGAGTATTGAGAGCATCAGTGGCCGGGAACATCAGGCAAGATGTGATGTTTTAAAGAGCCTTGAATGCCATGCTAAGGACTTGGAACTGCATTGCACAGCCCATGGGGAGCTCTGGAAGGTTTAAAGCAGAGAAGAACCTTGCCTTGTCTAAATTCTGTAAGTCTCAGCACTCTGCTTCCTTCATAGCACTTGTAATTATTTCATTGACTTGTTTATTTTTTCCATATTTTCCACTAAATGTCAAGCTATGAGCAGAAATAAATTATGTCTATTTTGTTCACATTTACTTCTCAACTACCCTGTAAGTCCCTGAAACATAGTATGAATTCCATAAAAGGTAATTGAATACATGAGTAAATGAAGGATGAATGCAGGAATTGGATAAGTAGAATCAACACAAAATTAACCATGGGTTTCATTCAACACATACCTCACCACTCCTGCATGTATATAAGATTCTTCTGAAATACATCAAAATAAAATGCAAATTATATTGAAGCTTGGATGCAACAGAATACAGCAGCAATGACTGGACCTGAATGATGTGCATCTTATTGAGTAGTGCACAGGGCAGAGCAGACATTAGCAAGTAATTAGAGGCATAAGACCTTCACAAGTGCACATATGCCATAATTAATGGAAAAATCTGCTCATTTTTACTGGGGGCATAAATGCCAGGATTTGGTGTTCAACTCCACCTATAAGCATGTAAGATAAAGAGAGCTTACAGTCTTTATTAAGGTCTTCTTTCTTTGAATTCAAATAAATCAAGTTATTTATTAATTCAGACATACACTGAAATGTTATTGGGGTCTTCTCTGAGTAGTGAGATTTTCTCAATTGTCCAAAATTTTAATAGTAAGCATGTTTTACTTTAAAAATTAGAAAAACAATAAAGACTTAAGAAATGATTCTTGAGAATCAATTTATAATGCATTGTTTGAAGCCCTATAGTTGATATTTTTCAAATCCTTTTAATAACATTTTGATCCTTAGAACTAAAGTTTTTAGAGTAGGTGGAAATTTTGCCAGATCATCTGATATAGCTCCCTGCTGTTTCACAGGTAAATTTTTGACCAGCCAGGGTCCCTCCCCGACTGCATGAGATTCTAACGAGACTGTCAATCATGGAGATAGGTGGGGAGTCAGGGAATTCAGAGAGGCTAGAGAAAAAATTCCAAATTAAACTAAACTCTCAGAGTAACTGAAATATTTATTTCTCTGGAAACTAATTAATCCAGAAGTGTTCACATGACTCAAACAGGGATAATCAGACTATTTCTGTTGAGAAGAGGATTGTTCTCTTTATCTTGGCTCACAAGTCAACAGAACATGTGTGTTTGGAACTGTCATTCAAACTTTGAGTGATAGATCTGCTTGGCTCAGCTCAGCTCCTTGGACTTCCCAGAAGAGTATTAAGCCAAAAAGTTGTGTGTGTGTGTGTGTGTGTGTGTGTGTGTTTGCTGAAGGTTTGGATTCATTTTCTGTCACATACATCAGAAGGAATTTTTAATAAATAAGCCCCCTTAACTAATGCCATCTGTCCCCTTGGTTAAGATCTCCAAACATGAGGACCCTACACTATTCCTGGGTCTCTCAATTCAATGATTTTTGTTTTTATAATAAGTGGTAGCAAAAACAAAATTACATTTAACTTAAACTTTCTGCTAAAATATAAAGTTAAGAACTTCTATTTCCACCAGATATAGAGTAACAAGAACTGAATATATGTTGTATATATGTTCTTACTGAAATAACCAAGAAAAACAGACAAAGTATATGAAATAAATGTTTTCAAGTTACTAGATATTAGGCAACAAATACAGTGATTCCTGAGATGACTAAACTAATGAGATGAGCCCTGTCATTGTCCCTTAATACCTTTTTCAGAGAGTTCACAGCCTATAGCATCAGGAGGAAAAGCCTGGATAGAACTTGACAGATTCCTTGAAGTCAGGAAACATAGCTGAGAGTCTAGAAAGATGAAGAGAGGTAGAGTTTGCAAGACAGAGTACCAAAAAGGCAAGAACTGCACAGAGAGTGATCTGTGGAGGTTCCTTTTCAAGTATTCAGCAAAGCACAGATTAGCATATATTTTTAAGGAAATGACCTGAGGCTGAGGGAAAACCACCTGGAAGGATCAGAGAACAGTGTCCAGGGCACACACAGGATAGTGAATAGTGCCTGTTCTAACCAGCCAGACTGGAAAAAAACATAATTTGTGGTAGACTGGTGGAGTACTCAGGAAAGTCATGCCTCAGTGGTAGGGAATACATAGCCCTAGACTGAGCAGTGCTCTGGACCCACCTAAACAATGACAAACTCAAGACCCAAAAGGACCAGACTGTTTCAGAGCAACTTGACTGCTTCCCAGAATAAAGTTCAAAGATATTTACAGAGATATAAAAATAATCAGCACCAAGCAGGGTACAATTCACAATGTCTGACATTTAATCAAAGGTTGTCAAATGTGCAATGCAAAGAAGCTAAAAAATATGACCCAGAATGAGAATAGTCAATCAATAGAAACTGACACTGATGATGGAGCAGGCAGAAAAGGACATTAACGTGTTTGTTGTAACTGTACTACAGTATGTTCACAAAGTTGAGTAGAGACATAGAAGACATTTTTAAAAGATCCAAATGAAATTTGAGGAAATGAAAACGATCATGGCTTAGATAAAAAATACTCTGGATGGCATCCACAGCAGATTAGAAATTTCTAAAGTAAAGATTACTAAACTGAAAGGCATAGCAATGGAAACTATTCAAAGTGAAACAATGAAAGTAAAAAGGATCCCTCCTCTTGTTCCCCCCAAAATGAAAGAAGCATCAGTGAGCTGCAGGGCAATTATAAGAGCATGATACCTATGCAGTTGGAGCCTCCAAGAGACAGTGGAGAGAGAGGTGTGGACAGAAAACATATTTTAAGAAAGAATAACTGAAAATTTGCCAAATTTGATGAAAACTGTGTATCTATGGATCAAAGAAGCTCAATGAAACATAAAACTGTACCAAGACACATACAATCAGATTGTTTAAAACCAGTGAAAAGGGGCAAATCCTGAAAGCATCCAGAGAATAACAATGTATTACACACAGAGAAACAAAGACGAGAATTACAGCAGAGTTCTCCTTGAAAACAGTGAAAGTAGAAGGACAGTGAGAAACATTTTTAAAGCACTGAGAAAAAACTGTAAACCTAGAGTTTATGACCAGTAAAAGTATATCCCAAAGTAAGGGCAAAATAAAGACATTTTCAGTCATGATAGCTGAAAGACTTCATCACCGCTAGACACTCACTCTAAGAAATGTTCAAGGAAGTCCTTCAGGCAGAATGAAAATGATACCAAATGGAAATCTGTATTCACACATAGGAATGAAGAGCACTGGGAATGGTAATAACATGAGCTAATATGGACATTTTTTTCTTACTATTAAATATTTAAATTTTAAGTCACTCTTTCTCACCTGGTCCTCCATGGTCTCCAATTCTTCATTAAAGTCCTTTATATAAATGGAGATCAATCCAATGCCTTTTACTCATCTTTCCTTTTAATTTAACATCATTTTACTATTGATTTTTCTCTTCTCACGGGACTCACTTTCTGCATCTTCAAGACTTGTGCTGTTCCTCTTTCCACCTCCTTTAGCTTCTCCCCACCTCCCTGAACTGTGTAGCCAGATGTCCAAAACAAGCATCATTTGTGTCAATAAGGACACAGTGGCTTGGATGCCACCTTTTCCATTAGAATCTTTTTAGTTGCTTATGAAAACTTGCACTTTAACTTTGTTCTGGAAAGTCAGGGTGCATATTAGCACATTAAAGTTTCTGAGAAAGTCATTACCAAACTATTCTATGTTATAGATCCCAGGATTTTCCCAACATATTATCTACAAGATCCTTGGAACACAATTTGAAAATTATTAATCTCATCCTATGTCCTCACTTTATAAGAGAGAAAACTTAAGCCCAGAGAAGTAAGGAACTTGTCCAAGATCACACAGGATGTTAGTGTCAGAGCAGCAGCTAATACTGAAGTCTCTAGAATAAGACTACTCTTCTTTCCTCAGCATTCACCCAGAAATCTTGGTATTCTTTAAATTTTCATTAGGAATTTTCTATCTCTCCAAATCAAGCTCACGGCCTACAACTTTGCCCTTCACTATCAAGTTTGATTGTTTCTTCCTAGCGTAAAACTCTGCAACTCTGTGAATTAGTGGATGCCTGGGCATTTGGACAAGAATCCAATCGGGTCCTCAGGCTCTGCAGCTAGCTCATTGTGAAAATGCCATCTGAAAAGACAATGCTGTGCCTCCTCAGAGGTGGCAGTTCTACTTGGAATTGGCAGCTATTTCTCTGTCATCACTTAGTCACTTCTCTGCTCCAGCTCTGAAGACAGCCCTGGCTCTGCTGGGAGTGACAGACGCTGCGCTGAGCAGAGCCCCCGGCTACCCCACCCAGCCAGGCCCACTTTCAGCAAAGGCTGAGTGAAAGGGGCAGATGTGGGGCCCAGACTATTTTGACAGAAGATTCACTTTCTCCCCTCTCCCCTCCAAAAGACTATTTTATCTCCATATGTGTGGGTGAATTATTTCTATTCTCAATGAAAAGCAAAGAGGAACAGTAAGAAATGATTCCGGATGGCACCTGGTAAGAAATGCACAAAAAGAAAACCCCAGGGGTTTGCAGTATTAAAAATGGTTAGTAATCAGACCCACCCAGCCCACAGATTTGCTCATTTGTTCCTGGCTTTGGGATTAAGGAAAGGGAAGGGGGTGAGGAAATGTTATTTTCTGAAGCTGCCTGCTACTTAAGCTTGATGGTCAGTGAATCAATCTTTAAAAAGAGTTCTGATTTTCTGACTGGGAAAAACAACTGAATTGACACATTTGATTATGAACAGGAAGCCTCCTAGGAACAGATAACCTAGATAAGAAAGTAAGACAAAAAGGAAATAAATTGTCCTGCATAATGCAGAGGAATCTAGGATTTGGCCAGAAGTGGCTTCCAGTGACTGGAAGTGGGGGTGGGGTCTCTTGAGCAGTGGAGGAATGAAAGCGAGGGGGAGCAAGAGACAGTGCCCCACAGAAGGGCAGTGGGCAGGGGCCCGGGAAGAAGCATAGTCAGCAAGAAATTCCTTGTGGCAGAAATGACAACATGATGGCAGTAACTGTGACCCAGTGCTTCCAGTTGTCCCAAACCTCAGTGCAAGTCTGTGACATGCTGCGTCTTGAGTTGGCAGTGTTTGGAGGGCTTAAAGGAAAACAGGCTGCCTGCGGTGCAGGGTGAGGAGGAGAGAACAGCCATAGGAAAGATGCTGCTGCTGTGATCAAAGGCCAGCAAGAGTGAGCCGTGCACCTGTGTCAGGATCCCCAGCTGTTTTTATTGTTATATTAAATGGAAGATTAAGCACTGAGAGCTGGCAGTAACTTGGTAAGAAAAATAAGATCTCATTTAAACCTCACACCTGGGCCGGACAGAATCATGATGCTATTTTACAGACACAGAAACAGAACTTGAGAAAGTGAATTCATCACCTAAGATCACTCAGCCTTTGCCTCTAGAGCATGGCAAAGCCAGGCTGCCTACCCTGCTCGGACCCACTCCAAGACACGTGCTCTTAACCAGTCTGCTTTTGATAAAACTTGTATGTCCTTGAACTTAACTGTGGATCTCCTTGATGGTAGGGAGTCTGATTTACTCATTCTATAATGCCTGGTGCCTGACATGCAGCAGGTGCTCAATCTGAGTATGTTAAATTGGAACACAGATGTGAAACGAAGTCCTACTAGTTCTGTCATGAAGAATATTCCCCAGCTAGCTCAAAAGTTAATTTGCCTGAGGTCATATAGCAAGAATGTGATGCTCTATCATGTGACCCCTGTCAGCCCTAAGTAAACTCTCACTGAGGACCTGCTATGTGCAGCGTAGAGCTAGTCAAGCAGATAAATAAAGAGGGGACTAGAAGTGAGGCATTGCAGGTGCTAGGGGAGCACAGAGGAGGATTCCCAGCTGAGTGGAAGGAAGAGGGGGTAAGGACTAGTTACTGGGCAGGTAACACCTGTCACCTGACCAATGAGTGAGAGATGCCAAGTGCCAAGTCTTCAGTGAAAGCAAAGGCTGAAGCAGGGAGGCATGGGAGGGAACAATGGCTTCTTTCTCCAGCTAATGTGGGTCAGTTCTTAGAATTTCCAGCACAGACGTCCATCTCAATTGGTCCAGACCTCCCTGCCTGAACTTGAGTCTCAGGAGCTGTCCACCCTTACTCTATCAAATATAATCAATTCAAGGGTCCTCTGCTGTTGCAAAATTTAAACAGCCTGACTCTTTAGGGCTGTACTGTCCCATGTGGTAGCCACTAGCCACATGTGGCTATTTAAACTTAAATTTAAATTAATTGAATTTAAATAAAATTAAAAGTATTTCTCGATCACACTAGCCACATTTCAAGGGTTTGATAAGAACTTGTGGCTTGTGCCCACTTTACTGACAGCACAGTTGTAGAACGCTGCCATTGTTGCAGAAAGGTCTATTGGATTCCACTGCCCTAGGGCTTCTTTGCCTTCCCAGGCCTGGAACTCCGGCCTGGATGTAAACAGCATTTCCTCTCTGGCCAGTTTCCCATTCTTCCCTGATTTTTAGTCTCCCCTGGTTCCCAGTCTGAGGAGTCTGAGTCTGGGCTGCTCTCTTCTCAGTGTTTCAGCCCCGCTGCCCTGCTCACCTCTTGACCCTCATAGGTGACATCAGGCTGCCACGCATTTTTCCAAGCTCTTCTCCCAGCCCATATTCCTCAGCAAGCTGTTCAGCTGAGTACTGTCTTGTTCTTCCCCAGCCAAGCAGTCTAAATGGCAGTTCTTCAAATGAAACCTAGATTTTCTCTCCCCAAGAGATGAAAGCTCCACCAGAGGGTTTGAGACATGCTTCTGCCCCTTATGGGGTGATTCGAATAACTTTGGGCAAATCACTGAACCCTTCAGCAAAGCACAGAAATACATCAGAAGGACATGATGAAGTTTCCATAATCCTACAAAGTTCCCTTCATGGTCCTTGGTCTACATTCTCTTCCTGTGAGATGGTAGTCAGAAATCCTCCTGGCTTCTCCAGTGAAGGCATGCCACATCTTATTGAAGGCTCTACCTGTCAACCCTTTCCTTTCACATCACTCCTCTTCCCTGCCTTAACATGCACTCCAGTCTGACTCGAGTCTCACATATGCCACGTGTTCCTCTGGGGACCCGTGGAGGCCTTGCCTTGCCCAGAAGTCATCCTGGGTGGGATAGTGCTCCTGGTTTGTGGAGAGCTGAGTGACAGTTCTTGGCCAGGACAGAGGCTGCTCCTGTCCCATTGGCTCAACTATCTTTTTGCTGCCTGTTTGCTGCTTCAGAATGCAGTGTGTCCAGAGTCCTGACATCACCCCCTAACATTAGACCCACATCAAAGTGGACATCTATTAAGAAGAATGCTGTGCCTTCTCCATTCAGCCTCCTTAAGGGGAGGCTTTCCACAAAGGTGTTGACAATAATGGTGTCTATGTATAGGATCCCATTGATGTGAGTGTTGAGCATTGCATTGGGTTTCTTGTCGCTGCCTCTCACAACAACACTGCAAGCTAAGTAGTATTGATTCCATACGTTCCGATGAGGAAACTGAGGCTCGCAGAAGTTCAGGATTTCAGATAGTAAATGGCCAAGCTAGAATTAGAAGCTGGGTGCACCTGGCTCATGACTTTGACCTTTCCGTTGGCCCAGCCTCTCTCTACTGCTGATTGAGAGGGGCTTAGTGTGTTATGCTTTCAGGAGAATTTGCTTTCTTTTTCAGAAGTACTGGAAATGAGTCTTAAAGACTGTCTTTCTAATGATGGGTTTATAGACACCTGGATAGGCAAGGGAGTCATATTTTGGGGCAGCAATCTGCTTGGTATCCTTCAGCCAACCTCCCAATGACCCTGTGTGGGCATCAGAGAGCCCCAGCCTCCCACACCTCTGCTTAGGGCCAAGCCAAAGGTCCTGAGTCAGAGCTGAGAGATGGAGTCACATATTGCCCCCTAAAGTAGGAATGCCCTCCAATCCTTTTCCACGCAGGGTGAGATCCCAAAGTCAGGGCAAAATAAGGGGCAAGGAGAGGCGGGGTAAAGGGAGAAATCAATAAAGGAGTCTGTTTTTCTTAAAAAAAAAAAAAAAAAGTCCTTTGCACAACATGATAAAGCCTCCTGGCTTCAGGAAACTGATTCTGGCAGAAATCTTGGTTCAGCTTGATTCTTTTGGTTCCCATAGGGGTCTTTGGGTGATAATAAAAGCTCTGTGTCTGGAGCAAACATAGAGCCACAACAATTATTTGCAAAGTGAATGTCTAGTCATCTGGAACCAGAAATAAATTCAGCATGAGTATCAAAAGCAAAAGTCAAGGGGCATAAAGACACTTAACTAGAAACACCTATATGCCCTCCTGTGTGTAAGCATACCCAGAGAAGTCCTGGGCTCTTTATCTGTCATTGGAGTATGGTGCTTTCCTGCCTGGGTGTGTGTTCGGCTGATGACACCATACCATTTCAGCCTCCTCCCCGTCTGCTGCTATCATGGGTAGGATGTAAAGAACCAGGATTCATTACATTTGGACTATAAACTTTTGCATACAGTACTTCAATGCAAATGTCCTAACAGCCATATGAGATTCTCATTATTTCTTGTACACATTTCACTCAGGAGGCAATGTGATTTCAAGAACGTAATTGACTTGTGCTGGTTCACACAGCTAAGTGTTGAGCAGATTCAGTATATCCCCAAGCCCATGGTGAATGCGGTTTCTTGGTTAGGACCCAGGGACCAATTTTTTAATTTCAGCTGTACTACTAAATATTAGTGTGAGCTTGGGAAAATCTCTTCCCCTCCCAGAGCCTCAGTTTCTTCATTTGTAAAAAAGAAGATATTGGCTTCAATTTTGTCAGCAAACACTTTCTTCTAATAATCTGTGGTTTTATTATCCTACATAGCCACTGCTGGCCTCATAAATAAGACACTATAAACGAACTCACATCACATGTATTTTTCTGCAAATTATATACACATATTTTTGCTCAACATCTTCCTGAGTCATCCATGCTGTTGCCTATTGCTATTTTACCATTTTACATATTTGATAGGATCATACTGGATGATTATACTCAATGTCTTTATCCTCTCTACTATTTACTCCAGACACACATTCAAGTGATTTCTGGGTTTTCTGCTTTTTTGAACAATGCAGCTGTGAGCATGTTAAACATGCTCCTGGTGCATACACGTAGGAATTTTTCTGGGGTATGTATCTAAGGAGTGGAGATGCTGGGTTGTATTTATTAGGTAATGCCATTTATTTCCAAAGTAGTTACCCTCCACTGGGAGTAAAGGAGAGTTCATGATGTTCCACGTTTCTCAATACTTAAAAATTTTGCCAATGTTATAAATTATAAATATTGTTTCATTTTGCATTTCCCTAATTATGAATAGGTTGGGTTTTTTTTTAATGTTTATGAGCTGTTTGTATTTCTTTTTTGGTGAAATGTCCGTGTCTTTGGAGTTTTTCTAAAGGATTCTTTGCATTTTCTTACTGTTTGCAGTTCTCTATTCTCTAATCTTTTGTCAGGTACTCAAGTTGCAAATATCTTGAATGCATCGTGGCTTACCTCATTCTCTTTTTGATATCTTGTAGTGAACAGAAGTTATTAACCATAACAGTGAATTTATTGATCTTTTACAGGTAGTGTTTTTTGGGTCTCAGGAAGTCCTTCTTTAAGGAAATCTCCTTGAGAAGGTAAAGATATTATCCTATATTGTCTTCTAAGTTTTACAATATTGCTTTTCATGTTTAGATATTTGATTCATCTGGGGAGTTTTATTTTTGTGTATAATGTGAAGTAGGGACTCAATACCATTGTTTTTGATATGGATAATCAATTATCACAGCCTCATTTATTAAATGTATGCACACTTGCTCCCAAGCCATCTATTCTGCTCTATTAGTCAATTTTTAAAATATTCCTGTGCCAATACTTCTACAGGTCTTGTAATAAACCTTGACATCTTATAGGAAAAATGCCCTTATCTTATGTTCTTCTGACTTATCTTGATTATTCTTTACCTATAAAAATTTTACATTGTTTGTCGGGCTCCATAAAAAGTCTTACTGAAATTTTGATTAAAACTTTAGATAAATTTGAGAACTGATATTTTTATATCTTGTTAACTTTATTGCTAGGTTCTTGTTTACATTTTTATTAATGATTGCAATAGACATGCAATTTTCCTTTATTGCATTGACCCTACTGTGCTCTTGGTATTAATGTTGCAGTCATCTAAAGAACTGAGTTTATTTGCTATTTTTTGGATGTTTGTGTAAGACTGGAATAATCCATATCTTGAATGTTTGGTAGGAATAGCTTATAACACTGGATATGTTGTTTTCTTCAAGGGAAGATTTTAAAAAGTTGTTAATCCAACTTCTTTCTGGGGGATGACTGTTATTTCTAATTTCTATTTCTTCTTGGTTCAGCTCTGTTTTTTCTAGAAATTTAGACATTTTATCAAAGTGTCCAAATTTATTGACAAAGTTTGTTTATAATATCCCCATTACCTGTTTACTCTCTGCAGCTTCTGTAATTTGCCATTCCTTATCTTTTACACCTTCTCTCTTATCTCCTGATTAAGGTTTCAAATAACCAACTGATATGGTTTGGCTGTGTCCTCACCCAAATCTCATCTTGAATTCCCACATGTTGTGAGAGGGACCCTGGTGGGCAGTAATTGAATCATGGAGGCAGGTCTTTCCCATGCTGTTCTCGTGATAGTGAATAAGTCTCATGAGATCTGATGGTTTTATAAGGTGGAGTTTCCCTGCACAAGCTCTCTGTCTGCTGACATCCACGTAAGATGTGACTTCCTCCTCCTTGCCTTCGGCCATGATTGTGAGGCCTCCCCAGCCATGTGGAACTTAAGTCCATTATACCTCTTTTGTAAATTGCGCAGTCTCAAGTATGTCTTTATCAGCAGTGTGAAAAAGGACTAATACACCAACTTTGACTTTGTTGATCTGTTTTCTGTTTCATCAATTTCTGCTCATTATTCCCTTCAAATTGGGGTGGGGGAACTATTCTGTTATTTATATTCCTGATACAGATATTTATTGATTTTTGGCTTAATGAATGCATTTTAGGCTAAAGGCCAAAAAAAAAACTCTAGAACTGCTTTAGTCATATTCCACACACAATTTGTAGCATATAATTGTTCTATTTTTTCTCAAATTTTCATCATAAATTATGAATTAATATTTAAAACTGTTTCATTTGTGCTGATTTCCAACTAAAGGATTTTCAATCCTTAAGATTGTTTTTTCCCCCCCAAAGAATTGCCATTTGGCTCCAGGTATGATCAATTCTTTCCTTTAACAAATATTGGGCACCCACATGTGTCAGGTACTGTTCTAGATGCTTAGGTTACATCTGTAAACAAAATAGGCCAAAAAGTCATGCTTTCTTGGAGCTCATGTTCAAGTTTTTTGTTTTTTTTGGAGGCAGGGGTCTCACTCTGTCACCCAGGCCATAGTGCAGTGGTACAATCATGGCTCATTGCAGCCTCAACCTCCTGGGCTCAAGTGATCCTCTCACCTCAACTTCCCAAGTAGCTGGCAATACAGGCACATACCACCCTGGCTAATTTTTTGTAGAGACAGGGTTTTGTCATGTTGCCCTGGTTGGTCTCAAACTCCTGGGCTCAAGAGATCTGCCTGCCTCTGCCTCCCAAAGTGCTAGGATTAGAGGCATGAGCCACTGTGCCTGGTCAGGAGCTCATGTTCTACTGTCAATTCTTGGAAATGTCCCATATACCTGAATAGAATGTATACTCTTCACTTGTTGGGTGCAGTTCTACATATGACTGTTAAATCAAGTTGCTTTTATTACTCAAATCATGCATTTCCTTACTGATCTTTTTGCTTATTATCTCAATTTCTAAGGAGAGGTATATTAAAATTTCCTGCTGTGATTGTTCCTTTGTCTATTTCTTGTTTCTAATTACTATCCTAAAAGCCATATTCTTTTAAAAGAAACTGATGTTCAAGAAACATGCCCTATTTCACTAAGTTTGTAAAGGATGGATTATGGATTCCAGCGTAGTTGTCTCTATTATGACAATATTAATTGTGCAACTGTTGTCATCTGTTTTCCCTAATATCTACACCCAATAATAACACATCAGTCCCTTCTCATCCTTTGGAAAATCCCTCTTCCCAGACTTTTAATCAAATTACCAGAGTTCCTTGCTCCCTGTTCAGCAGCAAATGTGTCTATGGCTGGTCACCACAGTATCCTGAGCCACACACTGAAATCAGTCAATGAGTCCCGCCCCTGGACAGATGTATGTGTCTTTATCATATTGCCTTCCAATAAATTCATATGGTCACTAGCCATGTCTGAAAGTACCTACCAAGGATATGCTATGAGGTTAATTATTGTTTAGCTGTTTGACACGGATATTTTCCCCTATGATATTTACCTCATCTGATGATGTCCTGCATTTCCTTGTTATTTCTTTTCCATGGCTGGAAAACATAAACTGTCTTTTAGTCCTAAAAACAACTTTTATTGCCATCTGCAATTTACTGCATTGTTGAATAAAGTATGGTTTATTTCAAAACATCATTAAGCAGTACTACTTTCCAGGAACTGTGCTAAGAGGCACTGTGGATTCAGAATGGAGTAAGACATGTTCTTTTTATGAAGAACACAATAGAGTGGGGGAAAAGTCATGTTGATAAATGTGTGCGTGGGAGTTATGGGCACGTGGGCAGTGGGAGGCAATGCACTCAACCAAATGGCAGGCAGTCAGGAAAGACCTCACAGAAGAGGTGACATTTGAGTTGTATCTGAAATACATACTAAGAAAAGCATATTCCAGGAGGGGCAAAAAGCATCTGCAGAGAAGACACATGATTCCTCACACAATAAATTTTCAAAGTGATTTGTATTTTTTCTTTTTGCTGCTATATTCCCATTTCTTCTTGACACTCTAATCAGGGTTTACAAATATGTGGCACCTGCACTGCCACTCTCCCCCTTCTCCCTGCCATTGGCAGCATCCATAACTGAAGACAGAATTCTTTCCTGAAGAGTCTACTCAACACTAGGTGCCATGATTAGAAATAATGTAGAAATTAATAATCACAATTAATAAAGTGTACATGACAGACGCTTGCCATTCCTACTTTGACTGGGTGGAGATGTGGAAATCTTGTTATTCAGAGGTGAAGTAGGGAGGGCAAGTTCTAAAATGTTAGCCCTAGGGCACTAGAATCACTGGGGATTAAAAAAAATTCTAAATCTCAGGCCACACATCTCTAGGGGTGGGAAAAAGGCTTCAGGATTTTTTGAAGCTCCCCAAGTAATTTTAATGTGCAGATAAGTTTGAGAATTACTGCCATATAAGTCTGTTCAAAAAGGTCAAATTTGTTACCTATGTAAAGGGCTCAAGGGATTACCAAATTGTACTCTTCTGGGAAGAGAATTTTCCAGAGCAAGAGCGAGGCCTCCGAATCTGAAGTCTGTTCACTAAGCGGATACCAGAGTGAAGACTTGAGGAGCCTGGCCAAAGAGCAGGATATCAGCAGCAGGGGGCAGAGCCAGAGGTGGCCTGCAGGCATCTTTCTTTCCCAGTTTTCATGACATTATGCCAAATCTACTTAGCAGTGGCCATTTCGTATTTTCATTTCTATTTTTTCAGAAATGCATAAGGACTAAGGGTATCAGAGTAATCAGCATAACAACCAAACGAGCTGAAGTCTGCAAAATTCAACTCCCCCCGCCAAGATATTAAATTTGCCTACAGGAAAAAGGCCCACCAGATACTTAAAAAAATCAACGAAATGATATTATGCTGCATTTAAAAGAACATGCCTATGAAGCAGAATACCATGTAGTGCTACCATTTATTTGAAAGTCATTTTGACAACACTGTGCATACTTATTTAGAGTTTTGGGTTAAAGATAACTGAGTATAGAAAACTATAGAAAACATTGCTTTGAAAGTGGATCCAGTATCAATGTTATCCTAATCTCTTTGAAAAAAAGGAAAACTATCTCTTAATTACACTACAATCAAATCGAGTCTTCAATTCTTATATATTCATTCAGAATTTTAAAATCTCTCTCACGGGAGGAAATGTAAAAGGAAAGTTTTCAAGACCTTTTTGTACCTTAATATCCTTTTCAATTTCTAATGTAAAATGTATTCGTCCTGATAACGATGCTGTGAAATAAAGACCAATTCAGGAATGTAATGAAGTTTAAAAGTAGCTCCTCTTTTTCTGCATTGAGAACAATTTTGTTGATTCAAATTAGAAACTTCTAGTTGGGGGCAGGAGAAAAAGGAGGAAGAAGAAAGAAGCAAGCAATCTGTGACCTAGCGCTGATTATTGGCTGACTTCTAATAAAGGAAGAAGATTCGGATTTGTGGTGCCAAAACAAAAGTAATAAAGTGGAAAATGAATTTTTGCAATCCCCACACATCATTGAATTTATGTATTGTCTTCTAGACAAAGTAATCCTACAAAAGGAAGTTCTATTTCAAGGATTTTCACTCCTTTTCCATCTCTGAACTGAAAAGAAACGAGGTGCAGTTTGCAGCTTCAAAATATGTAAATAATCTATAATTCATATCAGTGTTCCGATTAAAAATTTCCTAATCTGTTCTTTGCTCCTTGCAAGTTTCATTGAAGCAGTGCCCCCTAACAGGCAAAGAAGGTACGTGGTAAAATTCAGCTCCTGGTAGAGTGTCCATCAACCAGCTCTGGTGGGATTGCTGTGAGGAATGGAGCGCCCCCTGGAGGCCAGTCATCCAGCCAGTCTGTACCCACCGATTAGAGCAGAGGCTCTCAAGTATCGTCCCTGGACGAACAGCCTCAACACCACCTGAGAACTGTTAAGAAATCCAAGTTCTGGGGCCCCACCATAGGCCAACTGAAACAGAAACCTCTGTGGTGGGGCCCAGCAATCTACAGGCCTTCCAGGTGATGCTGATGCCTGCTAATTAAAAGAGGAGCTACTTTTAAACTGTATTAGAACACCTCATTCCCCAAAGATGTCAGAATCAAGGTGTCATTGTGTTAAGAAAGTAATTACACAGGAATGAAGAGAGCTGAAATGTCTTTCCTACATAGAGAAAGAACCAAGAAGTTGATGTTTGTATCAAGTAAAAACATTGAGCTACAATTTAGAAAATGTTGATACCAACGTATTTTTTAAATACATTAAAGCAGCTTTTAGCAACCCTTTAATTATTCCCAATATATAGTTTGAATGAATTACTGTGTCCCTTGATGAAAAGGATAAAGGAATGTAAGTGACTCTACCATAAATACAGGAAAAGTTCGGATAATCTCAGTGCCTACCACTACCAACAACAAGACCAGAGTCTACCCCCACTGTTATGATCCCTCCCTCTCTTCTCAGGACTGCCATCTGACTCAAACCAGTTCATGGCTATCTGACTACAAAACGAGGCCGAACTTGATCACAGTCAAGGTGGAAATGAAAATAACAATCAAGAAAAACATTTCCCTCATTTTTCATGATTTTTTTATTTAACATATATAGTACATGTAAACAACTGGCACAAAATTCATAAAAATACAATACTCCTATGCAATATCACTTTATTCCTGATATATACTTTCATTTTCTCATTAATATCACTGGCCTATTTTAACACTATAGTTTTTTTGCCAAGCATTTTTAGAGGCTTATCTTTTTAAAGAAATACGGCCCCAACTTTGTTTTCTAAAATGTCATAGCAATAGCTATTTTGATCGCCTCTTTGCCCATCCTTACTTTCCTCACACTAAAGCAAAAATATTTTTAAATGCTAAAAATATGCAAAATACTGAGCTTTAATGCTGTTTTGTCACACCTATGGAACCTGCTATCACTCTGCATTGCCATCAAAGGTGTGGATGCTCCACAGCACTGGTGCTGTGAGCTGTGGCCACGGCTGCATAGCAGGGACCTTCAGGCCTCTGCTCCAAACTGGCTCTCCTAATATATAGTCACATTTTGCTGGGGGTTACATTCATAAACCCTGCTACAAGAGGATCCTTCTGGAAAAAGCTAATTTATACTACTTGTAATGGTTCCCAGCAAATGAAGCAGTTATAATAGTATTTTTAATGCTTTTTTCCTGTACAGAATTTCTACTTATTACATGTGAACTTATTTGGAAGGAAATTACTGGGGGTGAGAAAAATATAAAATAAATGTAAAAATATAATTTTTAAAAATTGTAGCTGCTGGATGTACACAATCAGCCACACTCAGGTGAGCAACAATCACAGATAAGCAGCGCGCACCTCCCTCTCCCTGCTCATGTCGACTCCCATCCTCAGCCTCAAGTGTCACTGCCCATTTTCCTGGACTGTTGTGCATCATCGCTCAAATGTTGCTTTTAATCCACAAATCACGGGCTGCTTTCCTATTTTCTAAAACTAGCAAAAGCCTAAGAAATAAAAATAGTCAACCAGCAAATGAGAAACAGTGGTCACAAATCTGAAGAACGCTGCCAGAGTCCCTCTCCTGGGCCGCCTCCAGGGAAGGAGCATCCCTAGGAGCTGCGGCTCTGGGCACTGGGGCAGGACTGGGGGGCGCTGCTTCTCTGAGGGCACACTCCTCAGCCTTTGCAGCTGACTCATGTCAGCAAGCTGCTGCTTCCTCGAGACCAGGCCTGCCCTTGGGCTCTGGTAAGAAGGTAGAAAGGGAACAGCGGCTTCCAGGAATGGGCACCAGAAACCATGCCTGAGGACTAAGGTCTGAAGGACAATCCACAATGAGGTTAATCTGCCTGTGGTTAAGAAAGAGAAGCTGTATAATTAAATGTGTAGTCAGTCAGCCATAGTCATGGTTTGCTTAGAATTTAAAACCCTAAAACCTTTTCTCAGAGCTACGAGGTTTCATCGTTTTGAAGAATCTCATTTCACACAAATTAACTTCTAGGAAACAAAAATTCATACAAGGAATTCAAAGAAGGTGTAGAAATTTCTCAAAATAAAAATAAATAGGAAGAAGAAAACTAAAGAGGAGGACGAAATATACTCATTCCTCATACTGAAATGATGATTTTTAGAACCAAAATTATAACATAAGGCTTAAGGCTTTGTCTTAGTAAAGACAGGCAATCTTAAAAGTAAAATATAAAAACTTCATTTATTGTTATTCTTTACATTTTTGACAGGAAAATTAGTCATGTTTTATTGTATCTTAAGAGTAAAAGGAAAATTACCATGTACTACAGTCTACTGTTCCACTATAAGTGATGTCTACTCAAATATACATTAGTTTCTAGATGCACTATATTTGGGGTTGTTCAAAATAGTTTTTCTTAAAACTACAATTAAACATGAAAAAATTTTAAAGTGGTTTAAAGTATTAAAATGTAAACATTTGAATAATGCTAAAAAATAAGAAAAGTACAGTTACCAATAATTTTTTTAAAACCAAGAATAAGTATTTGATAAGCAACTAAATGAGTAAACAGTACTTATTTGACAGAAAATGTTGGGGGGAGGAGGAGAGGAGAGAGAGCGAGAGAGAGAAAGAGACATGATAATGCCACATGGCTGGAAGTTAAGGGAATTTCCTAACCACAAGGCCCAAGAGTTTGGATTAATAATGGGCAGGAAAAGCTTCATTAACAGGAGAACAGAGAACAAAAAGAGCACAAGGAAGCAAAACAGACAGATAGTTCCGCAAAGCAAACACTCCATGTCTGCCCCATCTACTGTAACTCAAGTTGATGACAGGGGCTGACATGACCGAAGAACTTACAATCACTGAAATGTCCAAAAGACAAGAGCAAGAGGCAGAAAAAAGAAGCAAGGGGCATTAATAGTTCTTACACTATAAAATCAGCCCCTACATTGTCAGAATTGTCCTGTATTTTCACGTCATCCTTGTCACAACTCATTGTGTTTTCTTTATATAGATAACTTTGCTCACTTTAGCACAAATATGGAAGTCAAGTACAAGCATATACTCATTTGCATAGCAAATTTTAAAGGGGGCATTGAAATAGTAACCAATTGATAAAGGTATTGTCAGGCCTCTGAGCCCAGGCCAGGCCATCGCATCCCCTGTGACTTGCACATATACATCCATATGGCCTAAAGTAACTGAAGATCCACAAAAGAAGTAAAAACAGCCTTAACTGATGACATTCCACCATTGTGATTTGTTCCTGCCCCACCCTAACTGATCAATGTACTTTGTAATCTCCCCCACCCTTAAGAAGGTTCTTTGTAATTCTCCCCACACTTGAGAATGTACTTTGTGAGATCCACCCCTGCCCACCAGAGAACAACCCCCTTTGATTGTAATTTTCCATTACCTTCCCAAGTCCTATAAAACGGCCCCACCCTTATCTCCCTATGCTGACTCTCTTTTCGGACTCAGCCCACCTGCACCCAGGTGAAATAAACAGCCATGTTGCTCACACAAAGCCTGTTTGGTGGTCTCTTCACATGGACGCGCATGAAATTTGGTGCCGTGACTTGGATCGGGGGACCTCCCTTGGGAGATCAATCCCCCCTCCTTCTGCTCTTTGCTCCATGAGAAAGATCCACCTACGACCTCAGGTCCTCAGACAGACCAGCCCAAGAAACATCTCACCAATTTCAAATCCGGTAAGCGGCCTCTCTTTACTCTCTTCTCCAACTTCCTTCACTATCCGTCAACCTCTTTCTCCTTTCAATCTTGGTGCTACACTTCAATCTCTCCCTTCTCTTAATTTCAATTCCTTTCATTTTCTGGTAGAGACAAAAGAGACACGTTTTATCCGTGGACCCAAAACTCCGGCGCCGGTCACGGACTGGGAAGGAAGTCTTCCCTTGGTGTTTAATCATTGCAGGGACGCCTCTCTGATTATACACCCACGTTTCAAGGGTGTCAGACCACGCAGGGACGCCTGCCTTGGTCCTTCACCCTTAGCGGCAAGTCCCACTTTTCTGGGGAAAGGGCAATTACCCCAACCCCTTCTCTCCTTGTCTCTACCCCTTCTCTGCTTTCCTGGGGAATGGCCAAGTACCCCAACCCCTTCTCTCCTTGTCTCTACCCCTTCTCTGCTTTCCTGGGGCAGGGGCAAGTACCCCTCAACCCCTTCTCCTTCACCCTTAGTGGCAAGTCCCGCTTTTCTAGGGGGAAAGAACCCCCAAACCCCTTCCCTTCATGTCTCTACGTTCTCTTTTCTCTGGGTTTGCTTCCTTCAATATAGGCAACCTTCCACCCTCCATTCCTCCCTCTTCTCCCTTAGCCTGTGTGCTCAAGAACTTAAAACCTCTTCAACTTACACCTCACCTAAAACCTAAACACCTTATTTTCTTCTGCAACACCGCTTGGCCCCAATACAAACTCGACAGTAGTTCCAAATAGCCGGAAAATGGCACTTTGAATTTTTCCATCCTACAAGATCTAAATAATCCTTGTCGTAAAAGGGTCAAATGGTCTGAGGTGCCTGACATCCAGGCATTCTTTTACACATCAGTCCCTTCCTAGTCTCTGTGCCCAGTGCAACTCGTCCCAAATCTTCCTTCTTTCCCTCCCGCCTGTCACCTCAGTCCCAACCCCAAGCATCACCAAGTGTTTCTAATCTTCCTTTTCTACAGACCCATCTGACCTCTCCCCTCCTCGCCAGTCCAAGCTAGGTCCCAATTCTTCCTCAGCCTCCGCTCCTCCACCCTGTAATCTTTTTATCGCCTCCCCTCCTCACACCTGGTCCGGCTTACAGTTTCGTTCTGTGACTAGCCCTCCCCCACCTGCCCAGCAATTTACTCTTAAAAAGGTGGCTGGAGCCAAAGGCATAGTCAAGGTTCATGCTCCTTTTTCTTTATCCCAAATCAGAAGCGTTTAGGCTCTTTTTCATCAAATATAAAAACCCAGCCCAGTTCATGGCTCGTTCAGCAGCAACCCTGAGATGCTTTACAGCCCTAGAAACTAAAAGGTCAAAAGGCCATCTTATTCTCAATATACATTTTATTACCCAATCTGCTCCCGACATTAAATAAAACTCCAAAAATTAAATTCCGGCCCTCAAACCCCACAACAGGATTTAATTAACCTCGCGTTCAAGGTGTACAATAATAGAAAAAAGTTGCAATTCCTTGCCTCCACTGTGAGACAAATCCCAGCCACATCTCCAGCACACAAGAACTTCCAAACGCCTGAACCGCAGCGGCCAGGCGTTCCTCCAGAACCTCCTCCCCCAGGAGCTTGCTACAAGTGCCAGAAATCTGACCACCAGGCCAAGGAATGCCTGCAGCCCAGGATTCCTCCTAAGCCGTGTCCCATCTGTGTGGGACCCCACTGGAAACCGGACTGTTCAACTCACCTGGCAGCCACTCCCGGAGCCCCTGGAACTCTGGCCCAAGGCTCTCTGACTGACTCCTTCTCGGCTTAGCGGTTGAAGACTCATGCTGCCCGATCGCCTCAGAAGCCCTGTAGACCATCACGGACGCCGAGCTTTGGGTAACTCTCACAGTGGAAGATAAGTCCGTCCCCTTCTTAATCAATACGGAGGCTACCCACTCCACATTACCTTCTTTTCAAGGGCCTGTTTCCCTTGCCTCCATAACTGTTGTGGGTATTGACGGCCAAGCTTCAAAACCCCTGAAAACTCCCCCACTCTGGTGCCAACTTGGACAACACTCTTATGCACTCTTTTTTAGTTATCCCCACCTGCCCAGTTCCCTTATTAGGCCGAGATATTTTAACCAAATTATCTGCTTCCCTGACTATTCCTGGACTACAGCTGCATCTCATTGCCACCCTTCTCCCCAGCCCAAAGCCTCCTTTGCATCTTCCTCTCATATCCCCCCACCTTAACCCACAAATATGGGACATCTCTACTCCTTCCCTGGCAACCGATCACATGCCCATTACCATCCCGTTAAAATCGAATCACCCTTACCCTGCTCAACGCCAATATCCCATCCCACAGCATGCTTTAAAAGGATTAAAGCCTGTTATCACTCGCCTGCTACAGTATGGGCTTCTAAAACCTATAAACTCTCCTTACCATTCCCCCATTTTACCTGTCCTAAAACCAGACAAGGCTTACAAGTTAGTTCAGGATCTGCGCCTTATCAACCAAATTGTTTTGCCTATCCACCCCATGGTGCCCAACCCATATATTCTCCTATCCTCAATACCTCCCTCTATTACCCATTATTCTGTTCTGGATCTCAAACATGCTTTCTTTACTATTTCTTTGCACCCTTCATCCCAGCCTCTCTTTGCCTTCACTTAGACTGACCCTGACACCCATTAGGCTCAGCAAATTACCTGGGCTGTACTGCCGCAAGGCTTCACAGACAGCCCCCATTACTTCAGTCAAGCCCAAATTTCATCCTCATCTGTTACCTATCTCAGCATAATTCTCATAAAAACGCACATGCTCTCCCTGCTGATCGTGTCCGATTAATCTCCCAAACCTCAATCCCTTACAAAACAACAACTCCTTTCCTTCCTAGGCATGGTTAGCATGGTCAGAATTCTTACACAAGAGCCAGGACCACACCCTGCAGCGTTTCTGTCCAAACAACTTGACCTTACTGTTTTAGCCTAGCCCTCATGTCTGCATGCAGCGGCTGCCGATGCTTTAATACTTCTAGAGGCCCTAAAAATCACAAACTATGCTCAACTCACTCTACATTTCTCATAACTTCCGAAATCTTTTTCTTCCTTATACCTGACGCATATACTTTCTGCTCCCCAGCTCCTTCAGCTGTACTCACTCTTTGTTAAGTCCCACAATTACCATTGTTCCTGGCCCGGACTTCAATCTGGCCTCCCACATTATTCCTGATACCACACCTGACCCCCATGACTGTATCTCTCTGATCCACCTGACATTCACCCCATTTCCCCATATTTCCTTCTTTCCTGTTCCTCACCCTGATCACGCTTGATTTATTGATGGCAGTTCCACCAGGCCTAATCGCCACACACCAGCAAAGGCAGGCTATGCTATAGCACAAGCCACTATCCCGCCTCTTAGAACCTCTCATTTCCTTTCCATCGTGGAAATCTATCCTCAAGGAAATAACTTCTCAGTGTTCCATCTGCTATTCTACTACTCCTCAGGGATTATTCAGGCCCCCTCCCTTCCCTACACATTAAGCTCGCTCAATTCATCCAAAACCGTATCCAGGCCATCACCAATCATTCTATACGACAAATGTTTCTTCTAACATCCCCACAATATCACCCCTTACCACAAGACCTCCCTTCAGCTTAATCTCTCCCACTCTAGGTTCCCACGCCACCCCTAATCCCGCTTGAAGCAGCCCTGAGAAACATCACCCATTCTCTCTCCATACCACCCCCCAAAAATTTTCGCCGCCCCAACACTTCAACACTATTTTGTTTTATTTGTCTTATTAATATAAGAAGGCAGGAATGTCAGGCCTCTGAGCCCAGGCCAGGCCATCGCATCCCCTGTGACTTGCACGTATACATTCAGATGGCCTAAAGTAACTGAAGATCCACAAAAGAAGTAAAAACAGCCTTAACTGATGACATTCCACCATTGTGATTTGTTCCTGCCCCACCCTAACTGATCAATGTACTTTGTAATCTCCCCCACCCTTAAGAAGGTTCTTTGTAATTCTCCCCACACTTGAGAATGTACTTTGTGAGATCCACCCCTGCCCACCAGAGAACAACCCCCTTTGATTGTAATTTTCCATTACCTTCCCAAATCCTATAAAATGGCCCCACCCTTATCTCCCTATGCTGACTCTCTTTTTGGACTCAGCCCACCTGCACCCAGGTGAAATAAACAGCCATGTTGCTCACACAAAGCCTGTTTGGTGGTCTCTTCACACGGACGCGCATGAAAGGTATGAGTCATTTTTATAATTAGAATGACATTCAAATTGACCAAATAAAACATTTTCTATTTGAAAACAGTTACCTATAAAAGTTTTTGGGATATGAACAACACATGACTTAGCAAAACATTAAAACCATTAGAGATGTAGTTCTCCGTAGGCAGCAGGTCATGTAGCAGTCATTCTTTTACAACTTCTAGGACTTTGTAAACACTGTTCTGGAATACAGTGGTGAAGTGAGGTTTGGAATCCTTCACCAAGAGGTTACATAAGGGAGTTTTCCCAGCATTGGCAGGATCTTCTACATCCCAAATTTCAGGCATACTGCAACCAGGCCTAGAAAAATGAATGTACATGTTAAAAATCAGTATGCATTATATAACTGCAGAGAAAGCAGGGCACTTCTTACATTCCTGATCTCATTTCCTTTTTTCCCCTTAAATTACTTTAGTTTTTAAACAATCCTGTCATGTAGCTTTCATGCGCGTCCATGTGAAGAGACCAACAAACAGGCTTTGTGTGAGCAATAAAGCTTTTAATCACCTGGGTGCAGGCGGGCTGAGTCCGAAAAGAGAGTCAGCGAAGGGAGATGGGGTGGGGCCCTTCTGTAGGATTGGGGTAGGTAAAGGAAAAAGGGGGGTTTTTCTCCGGTGGGCAGGAGTGGGGGTCACAAGGTACTCAGTTGGGGAGCTTTTGAGCCAGGATGAGCCAGGAGAAGGAATTTCACAAGACAATGTCATCAGTTAAGGCAGGAACAGGCCATTTTCACTTCTTTTGTGGTGGAATGTCATCAGTTAAGGCAGGAACCCACCATCTGGATGTGTACATGCAGGTCACAGGGGATACGATGGCTTAGCTTGGGCTCAGAGACCTGACATTCCTGTCTTCTTATATTAATAAGAAAAATAAAATGAAATAGTGGTAAAGTGTTGGGACGGCAAAAATTTTTGGGGGTGGTATGGAGAGATAATGGGCGATGTTTCTCAGGGCTTCTTTGAGCGGGATTAGGGGTGGCGTGGGAACCTAGAGTGGGAGAGATTAAGCTGAAGGAAGATTTTGTGGTAAGGGGTGATATTGTGGGGTTGTTAGAAGAAACATTTGTCATTTAGAATTATTGGTGATGACCTGGATACAGTTTTGTATGAATTGAAAAACTAAATGGAATAAGACAAGGAGAAAAACAGGTATTAAAGGACTAAGAATTGGGAGGACCTAGGACATCTAATTAGAGAGTGCCTAAGGAGGTTCAGCATAGCCTTGCCTGCAAAGATTATTTATTTACTATAAGAGTTAAGAGTGGCGGTTTGGGGCTAGCACCAGGAGATATCAGCTGTGATGGCTTGGAGAAACAGTGTAAACTGGCAGTGTAAACAAGAGCAGGGCACGTATGAGTAGCTGAGAACAGTGAATAGGAGTATGACTAGACAGAAGACAGTAGGGATGACAAGTTTTTTGGGGCACAGTCCAAGTTGGTCTGGTGTCTGGAATGATACTGGGGCCTAATAAAAAGGAGCATCTATATGGGAGCTCAAATGGGCTGTACTTTGTAGCATTCTGAGGACAGGCCTGAATTCTGAGAAGGGAAAGTGGTAAAAGTATTGTCTATTCCTTTTTAAGTTGGTGGCTGAGCTTGGTAAGGTGTGTTTTTAAAAGACCTTTAGTATGTTCTACTTTTCCTGAAGACTGAGGACTGTAAGGGATATAAAGGTTTCACTGAATACTAAGAGTCTGAAAAACTGCTTGGCTGATTTGACTAATAAAGGCTGGTCTGTTATCAGACTGTATAGAGGTGGGAAGGCTAAACTGAGGAATTATGTCTGACAGAAGGGAAGAAATGTCTGTGGTGGCCTTCTCAGACCCTGTAGGAAAGGCCTCTACCTATCTAGTGAAAGTGTCTACTTAGACTAAGAGGTATTTTAGTTTTTGTGACTCAGGGCATGTTGAGTAAAGCTAATTTGCCAGTCCTGGGTGGGGGCAAATCCTTAAGCTTGATGTGTAGGGAAGGGAGGGGGCCTGAATAATCCTTGAGGAGTAGTAGAATAGCAGATGGAACACTGAGAAGTTATTTCCTTGAGGACAGTTTTCTACAATGGAAAGGAAATGAGAGGTTTTAAGAGGCGGGCTAGTGGCTTGTGCTACAGCATAGCCTGCCTTTGCTGGTGTGTGGCAATTAGGCCTGGTGGAACTGCCATCAATAAACCAAGTGTGATCAGGGTGAGAAACAGGGAAGAAGGAAATGTGGGGAAATGGGGTGAACGTCAGGTGGATCAGAGAGATGCAGTCATGAGGGTCAGGTGTGGTATCAGGAATAATGTGGGAGGCTGGATTGAAGTCCGGGCCAGGAACAATGGTAATTGTGGGAGACACAGCAAAGAGTGAGTACAGCTGAAGGAGCCAGGGAGCAGAAAGTATATGCGTCAGGTGTGAGGAAGAAAATAGATTTTGGAAATTATGAGAGCTGTAGAGAGTGAGTTGAGCATAGTTTGTGATTTTAAGGGCCTTTAAAAGTATTAGAGCGGCAGCAGCCACTGCATGGAGACATAATGGCCAGCTTAAAACAATAAGGTCAAGTTGTTTGGACAAAAAGGCTACAGGATGCCATCCTGGTCCTTGTGTAAGAATTCTGACTGCACAGCCCTGCACTTCAGCAGTGTGTAATGAAAAGGGTTGGGATGAGTCAGGGAGAGCTAGAGTGGGGGCAGTCTCTAAAGCTGTCTTCAAGGAACGGAAAGGAGTGGGGAAAGGATTTAGGATCTATGGGGTCAGCTAGGTTTCCTTTTGTGAGTTTATAAAATGGTTTTAGAATGGCAAAACCAGGCATCTAAAGTTGAAAGTATCCAACCATGCCTAGGAAGGAAAGGAATTGTTGTTTTGTAGAAAGTGCTGGGTTTTAAGAGATCAGGTGGACATGATCGGCAGGGAGGGCACATGTGTTTTTATGAGAAGCCAAGATAGGTAACTGATGAGGAAGAAATTTGGGCTTGACTGAAGTAATAGGGGCTGTCTGTGAGGCCTTGTGGCAGTATAGCCCAGGTAATTTGCTGAACCTGATGGGTGTCAGGGTCAGTCCAAGTGAAAGCGAAGAGAGGCTGGGATGAAGGGTGCAAACGAATAGTAAAGAAAGCATGTTTGAGATCCAGAACAGAATAATGGGTTGTGGAGGGAGGTATTGAGGCAGAGAGTATATGTGTTGGGCACCACGGTGTGGATAGGCAAAACAATTTGGTTGATAAGGTGCAGATCCTGAACTAACCTGTAAGCCTTGTCTGGTTTTAGGACAGGTAAAATGGGGGAATCGTAAGGGGAGTTTATAGGCTTTAAAAGGCCATGCTGTAGCAGGTGAGTGATAACAGACTTTAATCCTTTTAAAGCATGCTGTGGGATGGGATATTGGCATTGAGCGGGGTAAGGGTGATTAGGTTTTAATGGGATGGTAAGGGGTGCATGATCGGTCGCTAAGGAGGGAGTAGAGGTGTCCTATACTTGTGGGTTAAGGTGGGGAGATATAAGGGGAGGATGTGAAGGAGGCTTTGAACTGGGGGAAAAGGCAGCAATGAGGTGTGGCTGTAGCCCAGGAATAGTCAGGGAAGAAGATAATTTAGTTAAAGTGTCTTGGCCTAACAAGGGAACTGGGCAGGTGGGGATAACTAAAAAGGAGTGCTTAAAAGCATATTGTCTAAGTTGGCACCAGAGTTGGGGAATTTTAAGAGGTTTAGAAGCCTGGCTGTCAATACCCACAACAGTTATGGAGGTAAGGGAAATAGGCCCTTGAAAAAAAGGTAATGTGCAGTGGGTAGCCTCTGTATTGATTAAGAAGGGGACAGACTTACCCTCCACTGTGAGGGTTACCCAGAGCATCTGTGAAGGTCCTATAGGCTTCTGAGGCGATCGGGCAGTGTCAGTCTTCAGCTGCTAAGCCAAGAAGGTCTGGGAAGGTGTCAGAGAGCCTTGGGCCAGAGTTCCAGGGGCTCTGGAAGTGGCTGCCAGGGGAGTTGAACAGTCCGATTTTCAGTGGGGTCCTGAACAGATGGGACACAGCTTAGGAAGAATCCTGGGCCATGGGCATTCCTTGGCCCAGTGGCCAGATTTCCAGGGCTTGGGGAGGAGATTCTGGAGGAACCCCTGGCAGCTGTGGTCCAGGCATTTGGAAGTTCTTGTGTGCTGGAGATATGGCTGGGATTTGTCTCACAGTGGAGGCAAGGAATTGCAACTCAGAAATACATTGCTACTTGGCTGCCTCCACTTTATTATTGTACACCTTGAAGGCGAGGTTAGTTAAGTCCTGTTATGGGGTTTGAGAGCTGGAATTTAATTTTTGGAGTTTTATTTAATGTCGGGAGCAAATTGGGTAATAAAATGTATATTGAGAATAAGACAGCCTTTTGACCTTTTAGGGTCTAGGGCTGTAAAGCGTCTCAGGGTTGCTGCCAAGCAGCCATGAACTGGGCTGGGTTTTTTATTTGGTGAAAAAGAGCCTAACGCTCTCTGATTTGGGATAAAGAAGAAGGAGCATTAACTTTGACTATGCCTTTAGCTCCAGCCACCTTTTTAAGAGGAAATTGCTGGGCAGGTGCGGGAGGGCTTGTTGCAGAAGGAAACTGTAAGCCCGACCGGGTGTGAGGAGGGGAGGTGATAAAAGGATTATAGGGTAGGGGAGCGGAGGCTGAGGAAGAATTGGGACCTAGCTCAGCCTGGCGAGGAGCAGCCTGGGGAGGAGGGGAGAGGTCAGATGGGTCTATAGAAAAGGAAGATTGGAAAGAAGAAAGACTCAGCGACGCTTGGGGTTGGGACTGAGGGGACAGGTGGGAGGGAAAGAAGGAAGATTTGGGACAAGTTGCATTGGGAACAGAGACTAGGGAGGGACCGATGTGTAAAAGAATGCCTGGACGTCAGGCATCTCAGACTGTTTGCCCATTTTACGACAAGGATTATTTAGATCTTGTAGGATGGAAAAATCGAAAGTGCCATTTTCTGGCTATTTGGAACCACTGTCGAGTTTGTATTGGGGTCAAGTGGCATTGCAGAAGAAAATAAGGCATTTAGGTTTTAGGTCACATGTGAGTTGAAGAGGTATTAAGTCTTTGAGAACACAGGCTAAGGGAGAAGGAGAATGGAGGGTGGAAGTTTACCTATAGTGAAGGAGGCAAGTCCAGAGAAAATAGAGGGTAGAGACACAGAGAGAAGGGGTGGGGGGATGCTTGCCCCCAGGAAAGTGGAGAAGAGGTAGAGACATGGAGGGAAGGGGTCGGGGGGTTCTTGCCCCCCAAAAAGTGGTACTTGCCGCTAAGGGTGAAGGACCAAGACAGGCATCCCTCCGTGGTCAGACACCTCTGAAACATGGGTGAATAATCATGTAGGCATCCCCATGTGGTTAAACACCAAGGGAAGACTCTTCCTGATTCTGTGACCGGCGCCGGAGTTTTGGGTTCACAGATAAAACGCTTCACCTTTGTCTCTACCAGAAAAGGAAAGGAACTGAAATTAAGAGAAGGGAGAGATTTAAGTGTGGTGCCAAGATTGAAAGGAGAAAGAGGTTGAGGGATAGTGAGAGAGGTTGGAGAAGAGAGTAAAGAGAGGCCGCTTACCCGATTTAAAATTGGTGAAATGTTCCTTGGGCTGGTCAGTCTGAGGACCTGAGGTCGTAGGTCGATCTTTCTCATGGAGCAAAGAGCAGGAGGATAGGGATTGATCTCCTAAGGGAGGTCCCCCAGTCCGAGTCATGGCACCAAATTTTACTCGCATCTGTGTGAAGAGACCACCAAACAGGCTTTGTGTGAGCAACAAGGCTGTTTATTTCACCTGGGTGCAGGTGGGCTGAGTCTGAAAAGAGAGTCAGCAAAGGGAGATGGGGTGGGGCCATTTTCTAAGATTTTGGTAGGTAAAGGAAAATTACAGTCAAAGGGGGGTTGTTCTCTGGCAGGCCGGAGTGAGGGGTCACAAGGTGCTCAGTAGGGGAGCTTTTTGAGCCAGGATGAGCCAGGAGAAGGAATTTCACAAGGTAATGTCATCAGTTAAGGCAAGGACCGGCCATTTTCACTTCTTTTGTGGTGGAATGTCATCAGTTAAGGCAGGAACAGGCCATTTAAGTATCACTTCTTTTGTGATTCTTCAGTTACTTCAGGCCATCTGGATGTATAAGTGCAGGTCACAGGGGATGTGATGGCTTAGCTTGGGCTCAGAGGCCTGACAATATTGATTTAAAAAAATTATAAAGAACAAATATGCTTAATTCAGAGGCAAGTTGCATTAATTGTATAGATGCTCCTCAACTTACAATGGGGTATGTTCCAATAAACCCATCATAAGTTGAAAATGCATTTAATACACCTAATCTACCCAACATCACGGCTTAGCCTAGCCTACCTTAAACATGCTAGGAACACTTGTATTAGCTTACAGTTTGACAAAATCATCTAATACAAATGCTGTTTTATAACAAAATGTTGAACATCTCATGTAATTTATTGAATGCTGTACTGACACTGAAAAACAGAATGGTTGTATGGGTATTTGAAGTATGCTTTCTACTGAATGCATATGGCTTTAACACTGTCATAAAGTAAAAAAATCAGTAGGTCAAAACATCTTAAACTGGACAGTTGATATTCTAGAATGAATCAATTTAAAGAAATTCTGGTAGTGTTGGACATACATCTTAGCTAAATACATAATTAAATCTCAAAAGCAATATATATAAAGAATAGAATAAGTAAAATTGGCATCATATGACATTTGCCTAAATAAGTCCTTCAAAATAACAGTACCATTTATTTTAAATCAAGAACAGTTTTATAGATAGAACTGTTGGATACTGCTATCTACCTTTTGAGGAATTTTAAAAAACAGAAAAACATATGGGAAAATTATAGAGAATTGACAACTGCTCATGTTTTGTCATAATTGCTTCCCTTTTTAGTTTTATTTCTAAATAAGAGAAAAAAAATTCCCAACAAGTCCCTCTTATGTTTAGTAGCAGTCCCTTCCTCACTCTCCACCATGAGGCAAACACTGTAGCAGGGATGTACATCATTTTCCCTTTTTAAATAACATATTTAATTTATAAGTAATCAGTCATTATAAAAGTACCAAATATAGACCTACATACATTTTAAGAAATGAAAGTCACCATCATCTCCAATAGCATTTCTCAGAGGTGACTTCTATAAACAATCCAGCATATATCCTGCTGGACCTTTTTTAAAAAAAAAAATTATTTCAATAGCTTTTGCAAAACAGGTGGTTTTTGGTTACATGGATAAGTTCTTCAATGGCAGTTACTGAGATTTTGGTGCACCCATCACCAGAGCAGTATCAAGTATACTCAGTGTGTAGTCTTTTATCCCTCACCCCACTCCTTGCTTCCCCGGAGTCCCCATAGTCCATATCATTCTTTTGCTTTGCATCCTGGTAGCTTAGTTCCCATTTATAAGTGAGAACATACAATATTTGCTATCTGCTGGATCTTTTCTTATCCAATGTCAGATACACATACAGACACAGACATCATATATATAAGTTTATCCTATTAATTCTGTCCCTCTGGAAAATCCTGACAGATGCTCTTGAGTTGTTTTTACAAAAATGGAATTATTCTGGGACTCTATACTGAACAATAAAATGTGGCACTATTTTTCCATCTCAGTGCATAAAGACCTACTCTATTGTTTTTAAAAGCTGCTAGTTCTCATATGTATTATTTAACGAGTTCTTTACAGACAGATACTTTAATTTTTTCCCATTTTGCCATTATAAAGCAATGCAGCTACAAGCAGTCTTGTGCGGTGCTCCCTTCTGCAAGCTAAACCTCTAGAGCAGCAGTCCCCAACATTTTTTGCACCAGGGACTGGTTTTGTGCAAGGTAATTTTTCCATGGATTGGAGGGTGGGGGCAATGGTTTTGGGATGAAAGTGTTTCACCTCAGATCATCAGGCATTAGATTCTCATAAGGAGCACGTACCCTAGATCCCCCGCATGTGCAGTTCACAATAGGGTTCATACTCCTATGAGAATCTAATGCTGCCACTCATCTGTCAGGAGCCAGAGCTCAGGCTGTAATGCTTGTTCACCCTCCGCTCACCTCCTGCTGTGAGACTGGGTTCCTAACAGGCCACAGACCAGTACTGGTTCATGGCCGGGGGCTTGGAGACCCCTGCTCTAGAGGCAACATTATCACTCTGCCAAAGGACTGCACAATTTTTTTCTTACCTTCCCTTCATCAAACTATCCCCTAGAAATGTTTTGCCAGCGAGTGTTCCCATGAAGAGGGCTCAAGTACACACTTTTTGCACACCCTTGCTGACACTGGTTTCTACTGACATGGAACACCTATGATCATATGGCTGGGCATGGGTTTTCTACCTTGGAATTTTCTCCTACATGTCAAGGCTGAACTGTTACAACACTGAGGGCCCACGGTGGCAGAGAGTGAGACGCACAGAAAGTAGAGAACGACCCACAGTTTTCCTGAGTTCAACAGCTTTTAGGAAAAAGAGAGGGCAAACAGCTGTCTTGGGGAGCTCTGTTTGCCTTGTGCAACACTATTTAGTCCTCATCTGAGTTTCCCAAGGTTTCCCCAGGCCAGCCATCTGCAAATAGCATTAGTGAAAATCTGAATAATTTCCTTCTAAATACATGTATTCTATGTCAACTCTATTATTGGAGTAAAAGAAAGCAGAGAACTGTAGTTAATTTAAAACTAATCTACAACTTGCATGCAAATAGATTTGAATGTTTATATTTAAACTCAGTGTCAAATATTTAAGGAATAATCAAGCCATACAATTAAGCCACTTGTAAATGAGATCATTTAAACATAGTGCTCACCAATTGCCAGGCACAGATTAAGCACTAGATAAATATTGGTCCCTCTTCCCCTTCCTCTCCTAACTGAGTTCCCCATCTGCTTCCCCCATTCGGACATACTTTCACGTCCCAGCAATCTACAGGGGTTTCAGGCTGATCATAACTGAAATGGAGAGTGAAGGCCAAGGAAATAAGGAAGGTCCCAAACCTGGCAGAAAGCTTTGTCAAGAAACTTCCTACTGTAAATGTAAACACTAGATAAATATTAGTCATTCTTCACTTTCCTCTCCTATCTGAACTCCCCATTTGCTTCCCTGTCAGGACAGAAAGCACAGCTTTTGTTTTGTGTCAAGGTTGAAGCAGAGTGGACCTGTCCAAGGTTTCCTGACAGTGTGTCATCAGCCTGGCTTAGATCTTGTACTAGATGGAGAGTGTTGTTTTAATGAGTGGGGAAAACAGATGAGAGAGTCACTTTCGTAGCTTCCTCCCACTCAACTCCTGCTGTGACAGACACAATAAATGGCAAGTCAAGGCCCAGATGGGGAAATCCAGCACACCCTCTTCTGCACCCCAACTCTCAGTCTGAGTGCTCGTAAGTGACTTGAAGTCAGTTCAATGTCTGCTGATTTTGTTTAGTGTGCAAAGTTTATTGCCATACATCCTGAATTTGCCTTCATATCCCTTCTTGTGTGGGTAAAACAGTGCTCTGCCTACCCAAACATGAGACTGTTAGAGCTATGCAAATCCAGGCAGCTCTCTCAACACTCTACAGCACAAAGCCTCTGCAACTTTCACATATTCAAACTCTATGCAGGGGTCTAGGCAAAAAATGAACTCTCAAAGGCTCATTGTTAGCTTGGAGAAAAAAGGTTACGAAAATTATTTTTATGTTCCAGTAACTTACAGTTGTTTCAAGAGAGTGAAGCCCAAAGAAATAAAGAAGATCCCCATTCTGGTGGAAAGCTATGCTAAGAACAGAGTTCTTCCTATTGCAAATGTCAGCCTATCATTCATTTCATATAATTTCCTGATCGTCATGAGATGCTTAGAACTTTTCTGTCCTAAATTTATATAACAATGTGAAAGGTGAGTATATGAATTTCATATATATTCACAAACGCTTAAAGCATTTTCTAAATTATTACAAAATAACATTTTCTATAAATCCTGACTGAATTCAAACCACATAGCACACATTCATAGGAAAATCATTTTATAATCGACAATTATTTTAGTTGCCTTATGAGCAAAGCTGTAGATACTATGTCACAGAACTATTTTTCACTCACGACTCAGTATTTAACAATGTTGTCTTAATACCATATGTGTCATTGAAATATATGGTGGGCAAGTATGATCAAGCCACAAATATAGCAATCTCTTGAACACTTTTGTTTAGTTACAGAGTAGTAAGAATTTTAAAAATATTATTATTCCATAAAATAGTGTTTATTTCTGATAAAATTGTTCCTGTACTGTGCTCTTCATGAAGTGACTGTTTTGGTACTTTAAAAGCAGGCTACTGTCACCTGGTGTCCAGTCACTTACGTGCCACATTTCTAGATAGCTTTAGATTCACATCTGCTTTGAAGATCTTACTGTCACTTGGAGCTATACTCAGCTTAGTAAACATCTCTTTGGAAATAGAAACTTAAAAACTATAAACCCAAGAGAATGTGGGTCACAGTAGAGTCATTTTCCCATTCAAGTAAGATGTGAAACACCAGGAAAGAAAAGTTTCATTCTGAGTTTTTGCTGACAGGGTATCCCATCCATCGACAGGACATGGTGTAGCACAGAGACCCAGTAAGGATAATGTGACCCCTGGTGCTCAGCTGCCTGACTTCACCAAAAGAGACTCCCCATTACTTGGTTTCAGACCCTGGAAGTCTTTTGAAAGAAAATACATCCAACTTTAAATAAAAGTTTCTTTAAAAACATCAAAAGCAAATATGAACAATTTGGGAGATTATCAACTAGTTCCAATAAAATCTCTTTAAGGTAGTATGCACATACAAACCATTATTTTAAAAAAAGATATTTATAAAGACTAGAAAAGAAAGTCTCCAAATCATTATCAAGAAGGTTTTTTCAGGCCAGGCATGGTGGCTCACGCCTGTAGTCCCAGCACTTCGGGAGGCCAAGGCAGGAGTAGCACTTGAGGCCAGGAGTTTGAGACCAGCCTGGGACAACATGGCAAAACCCCATCTCCACTAAAAATACAAAAATTAGGCGGAGGCTGCAGTGAGCTTAGATTATGCCACTGCACTCCAGCCTGGGCAACAGAGAGCCTATTTAAAAAAAAAAAAGTTTTTTCCACGTATACTTTATGTTATATACACACCCCCGCCACCAGCAAAGCATGTGCCATGTGCTTGAATTAACCTTCGTGTCTTATGATTATAAAATGTTAACTGTGTTGATACTCACTTGGATCTTCTTACACACCATGACTTTTCTAGAATGTAATAGTTCACTTTTAACTATCAGTTCTCGCTTCACTTCTTCAGCTGCTTTCTGACTATACATTGAGTATACTATTTTTGTTCTGGCACTTTAAAGAAAAATAATTGGGAACAAAATTTCAAGATTAAAATGATACAATAACACATTTGGAAGAAAGCACTGAATTAGACTAGAAGACAATGAAGAAGAATCCAGTCAGGAGGAAATTCCCCATGGAAGTTCCTGCGAAGGGGCATCAGTGAGGTCAAAAGCAGAAGGCAGGAGGAGGACAAGTTGTGGAGAAGAGGGTGACCTTTAACACACCCCTACATTCCCAAACTTGGTCTCTTTGTGTTTGTTCACTTATTTATTTGTCTTAAATTCTTCACTAATCTATCACATATAAGAGTAAGGTACCCTGTGTGTGAACAGGGATGAACTACAAGAAATACAACTACAGGACTACTCTGAAGCTGCAACAGTCCCAACTTTGATATCAACAATAATTCACATTAAGTGGTTCTTCATTTTTTTTTCTAGATTTTAGAAATACTAAACTTATTTAACAAAATTGGTCTGGAAATTAGCTTGATGAGATTGATTTTTTAATGAAAAATCTTATTTGTAAATGTACATGCCATTGATATGCAAAAGAAGATGCTAATAAGATTCATCTAATCACTTAGAAAATGAATAGCTTCACCTGCCTTAGAAACTGCATGAAAAATTTAATCTTTTTTAAAAAATAATTTAGACAACACATCTCTAAATTATTTTTTAAAGTCTCAAAAAAATCTAAAAATAAAGAAAACACCCAAGATCATTCTAACAGGCTATACTGGTGAAAACCAGAATAAACTCCTCTTTGAATGGGATTATATTTCAAATGACTTCTCCAAACTCAAGAAAAATCACCTATGAGAAAACCTTACTAAACACTCTAAGCTAAACTCTTCAGGGAGTTACAGGATGAAAAGGACTTGGACATTTTAGAGCCCTGTTAACCTGTGGGAAAGTGCTACAGTATTACTTCTTTTTTCTGCCTGCTAGAGAAGATAGCCCCCAAAGTTGTCGCTTTCCTGCCCTGTGAAGACTTAAAGGATTTGTTTAGAGCTTAGCAGTCTTATTTCAGCCTTCTGCTCCCCGACTTGATAAACCTCAGTTCATCATATCCTTTTGGAACATTCCTCATTACTTTGCTGGTGTCCTCCACTCACTGTCTGTTTGCATGGAAGGTTTGATCTCAAGCCTGCATCTTCATAATGTGGATGATTCACAATGGGCTGAAGCACAGAGAGCTTAACACTTGCCATCCTGGGCGTGGCACCTGCAAACATTGCATCTGGAAGTCAAGAGGAATGTCTCAGGAAGACACTCAGTGAGGGTGAGAAGGGGTCTCCTTCAAGTGTAAATTATTTCACAGGTAGCAGAGTGGAGGCCCAGCAGGTTCATGACTTCAAGATTCAATGGCAGAACTAGAATGAAGTCAGATGCCTAGGTTTTCTTCTAGGGTTTTTATGGTTTTAGGTCTAACGTTTAAGTCTTTAATCCACCTTGAATTAATTTTTGTATAAGGTGTAAGGAAGGGATCCAGTTTCAGCTTTCTACATATGGCTAGCCAGTTTTCCCAGCACCATTTATTAAATAGGGAATCCTTTCCCCATTGCTTGTTTTTCTCAGGTTTGTCAAAGATCAGATAGTTGTAGATATGCGGCGTTATTTCTGAGGGCTCTGTTCTGTTCCATTGATCTATATCTCTGTTTTGGTAGCAGTACCATGCTGTTTTGGTTACTGTAGCCTTGTAGTATAGTTTGAAGTCAGATAGTGTGATGCCTCCAGCTTTGTTCTTTTGGCTTAAGATTGACTTGGCGATGCGGGCCCTTTTTTGGTTCCATATGAACTTTAAAGTAGTTTTTTCCAATTCTGTGAAGAAAGTCATTGGTAGCTTGATGGGGATGGCATTGAATCTATAAATTACCTTGGGCAGTATGGCCATTTTCACGGTATTGATTCTTCCTACCCATGAGCATGGAATGTTCTTCCATTTGTTTGTATCCTCTTTTATTTCCTTGAGCAGTGGTTTGTAGTTCTCCTTGAAGAGGTCCTTCACGTCCCTTGTAAGTTGGATTCCTAGGTATTTTATTCTCTTTGAAGCAATTGTGAATGGGAGTTCACTCATGATTTGGCTCTCTGTTTGTCTGTTATTGGTGTATAAGAATGCTTGTGATTTTTGTACATTGATTTTGTATCCTGAGACTTTGCTGAAGTTGCTTATCAGCTTAAGGAGATTTTGGGCTGAGACAATGGGGTTTTCTAGATATACAATCATGTCATCTGCAAACAGGGACAATTTGACTTCCTCTTTTCCTAATTGAATACCCTTTATTTCCTTCTCCTGCCTAATTGCCCTGGCCAGAACTTCCAACACTATGTTGAACAGGAGTGGTGAGAGAGGGCATCCCTGTCTTGTGCCAGTTTTCAAAGGGAATGCTTCCAGTTTTTGCCCATTCAGTATGATATTGGCTGTGGGTTTGTCATAGATAGCTCTTATTCAGGACATAGGCATGGGCAAGGACTTCATGTCTAAAACACCAAAAGCAATGGCAACAAAAGCCAAAATTGACAAATGGGATCTAATTAAACTAAAGAGCTTCTGCACAGCAAAAGAAACTACCATCAGAGTGAACAGGCAACCTACAAAATGGGCGAAAATTTTCGCAACCTACTCATCTGACAAAGGGCTGATATCCAGAATCTACAATGAACTCAAACAAATTTTCAAGAAAAAACAAACAACCCCATCAAAAAGTGGGCAAAGGACATGAACAGATACTTCTCAAAAGAAGACATTTATGCAGCCAAAAAACACATGAAAAAATGCTCACCATCACTGGCCATCAGAGAAATGCAAATCGAAACCACAATGAGATACCATCTCACACCAGTTAGAATGGCAATCATTAAAAAGTCAGGAAACAACAGGTGCTGGAGAGGATGTGGAGAAATAGGAACACTTTTACACTGTTAGTGGGACTGTAAACTAGCTCAACCATTGTGGAGGTCAGTGTGGCGATTCCTCAGGGATCTAGAACTAGAAATACCATTTGACCCAGCCATCCCATTACTGGGTATATACCCAAAGGACTATAAATCATGCTGCTATAAAGACACATGCACACGTATGTTTATTGTGGCACTATTCACAATAGCAAAGACTTGGAACCAAGCCAAATGTCCAACAATGATAGACTGGATTAAGAAAATGTGGCACATATACACCATGGAATACATGCAGCCATAAAAAAGGATGAGTTCATGTCCTTTGTAGGGACATGGATGAAATTGGAAATCATCATTCTCAGCAAACTATCGCAAGGACAAAAAACCAAACACCGCATATTCTCACTCATAGGTGGGAATTGAACAATGAGAACACATGGACACAGGAAGGGGAACATCACACTCTGGGAACTGTTGTGGGGTGGAGGGAGGCGGGAGGGATAGCTTTAGGAGATATACCTAATGCTAAATGACGAGTTAATGGGTGCAGCACACCAGCATGGCACATGTATACATATGTAACTAACCTGCACATTGTGCGCATGTACCCTAAAACTTAAAGTATAATAATAATAAAATAAAAATAAAAATAAAAGAATGAAGTCAGATGGCTGATAAAGTAGCAGTTGGCAGCCAGGCCTGGGTAAACTATTTTCCTTGGAAAATAGAGCTTCATCATCTCATCATTAAAGATTTCTTTCTTTAAAGAAAAATCTTAGAAATCTTTCCTGAATCTAGAAAAGAAGTATGAAATGGACTAGGAAAGCTTTATAGTAACAAAGAGTTCTGGAAGATGATTTAGTATTCAATCATTTGATACTCAGATGACAACGAAGTCTCCCTTTCCACACATGAATAAAATACCACATTCCATGAGTTTATTTCAAGAAGGAATGTGAAGGACTAATATTAAAAATTCATTAAAAAAATAAGCACAGTAAAATTATTTTAAATGTGGCATTTATGACTGTGAATAAATTTTGAAAAAATTAAAATCTATAAAAAGTGGCAGAATAAATTACTAAGAACATATGTATAACATTTCCCATGCAAACCATTTAAACAGGATTGATATCTCCTTTGTTTTAGATATTCTAAAAGCAACATTGCTTAGAAAGAGTAAGATCAGTGGAAGTAACTAGGGTTTAAGAGTTTGGAGTTTGCAGTGGTATATAAAATTGTGGGAAAAACAGTTAAATAATATGACTTTTTTTTTTTTACCTGGTTTAGTACTATATTTGATCCATTCTATAAATTCTTGTGGCAAGTTGCTGAACTCCCCTACAGTATTCCACTGGGTTTGCAGATTTGCTGAACCTGGTATTGACATTGCTGCTAATATAGCAAAAACAACAGCACCAGGATGTACTTTGCAAAAGAGCCATCCAAATAGCTGAAACCAAATTAAGAATACATCGGTAATTGTTAGTATAAAGTAGTATGCATCTGTCATGCAAAACTTCTTCCCAGAGAAGAATGTGGCCTCTGCTAGAGTCCCAAATAAAGGATTAATTATCCTAAAGAAAAAGCCCCAAAATAATAATCTTTGAGATCAAAAGAATTCTACCATCAGCCTCATATAAGTGGAACACAATGTAGGAAGCTCTTTTCTCAACCTGCTTTCTCTACTCCCAGATTCAAGTAAAGCCACAACCACCTATGCAATTTACAAGGCCCAATGCAAAACAAAAATGTGGGGTCTCTTGTTAAAAAAGTATTAAGACGTTCAAAACAGCAGCAGCAAACATTCAACCAAGTTCAGGGTCCTTCTGAATGCGAGGTCCTGTGTGACCAGCAGGAACCCCACACTTGCAAAACCTGCCCTGGGTGACACTTTCTATTAGGTTGGTGAAAAAGCAATTGCAGGTTTTGCTATTTTAATGCCAAAACCCGCAATTACTTTTGCATCAACCTATATCATCAGTCATGCTGTGGGATAAGACTCAAGATTAAAGGCTTCCAACCAGCCTCCTTTCTTGTGCCAGCCTGAAGGGGTCAGAAAGGTGGAAAGTAGTGCCTTTCTAACATAATACAACATTCTGATTGGGAACCTCCAGGCTGGCTAATTTTTTCCACATCCAAATAGTCCACACACCATAACAACACTTTGCTCTCTTGATCTTTCTCTACAAGTCTACAGAGCTAGATTTCAAGTTTCTTGAGGGCTTATAAACACTGGCTTTTGACTTTTCTGTCTACTACTCTCTCCTCCATCCCTAGAGTGCACAGTGTAGGTGCTCACTGACTATCTGCTATGTTTAAGGGAGGTGCTGCTGTTGTACCTAGGCTGGTTGACTGATGGAAAGGTGACACTATGGAGAAGCATAAATCTGTAAATACAGAACAAGGAGGCAGTTATCCAGGAAAAATAAGCAACAAACCACCAAGGAAGGTTTAAACTAAATTTTAAAAAGCACAAGTCAAGAATGTGCACACAAATGTGCACCAAATGAGAAAAAAAGAGTAAGTTTGATACTAAAAAAGGAACATATAATTTTCAAGCACTTATAACTTGAAATTGTTAGAATTCTTTGTGATGTGAATGTCAAAACAAAAAAAAGTTATTATTTGTACAATTAAGCTCTGCTTTCTATCAGCACCTGCAGTAATCACTCATGAACTCAGTCTGTACTAAATCGGTATTTGTTGTACACCAACAACTATTTTAAATCTTTAGAAAGATAGAAAATGATCAGCTTTGGCCCTTACCCTTTAAGAAAGATAAGTACAAAACCATGAAGAGCTTTAACTATAATCACTTAAAAGACTTTGTAATTCATTATTTTAGGGCCACTCAATAATAAAGGCTAAAATTATCACAGTGGCTATACTCCAACATAACATGTTACCTGTCTTGAGCAGATCAGTGATGCCATAACACACATGTGTGGTGTCAAGAAGAGTTTTAGTCTCATAATTAAAATACCAAGGGCTGTATATGCTAACAATTGCAATGCATGGTAAACCAGCTGAAAGAAAGAAGAAAATGTTTTTTACTCCTACTGTTTGTGAAGTTTAAGAATACTAAGCTGGCAATATGCAGAAAGGGGTATGTTCTCCTTAGTAACAAAAAATACTACTACTTTGGTTTCTGAAATTTCTAAAACAATTCTTAAAATTCACTTTCAAACTGTTCTATTTTAGTGGAAGGCTGAAATTATAAAGTCATTAAGGCAAGTGTTTCTGTGATTCTCAGAGTCAAACCTGTGGTTAATAAAGCCCACATTTTTTAATCTACCTTGATGCTACCATCAGACCAAGAAAAGACAGTGGTAAAAGAAATGACTGCTGCCTCAAGATCTGAGGGCTCCACCTTGGAACTGCCCTCAAAACCAGACTGGACCACTAGGAGATGGGAGCAGTAACCAATCACATCTCTGAGGCCTCAAGCAAGGTGAGCAGAGAGGAAAGTGATTTCCAATCATGCAATAGACACCTCACACGTATGTCTAAATGGGCTCCAGAAATCAACTGCTGTTAGCGTAAAGATGATCAGAGCAGAACAAATAAGTTTCCTAGTTAATTTTAACAAATGAATGGTCAGTGAATCTGCATGTAGCATTCTCATAAAAACACATAACAGGCTATTTTCAAGATGATTGCTGATAATTCCAACAAAGTTAGAAACTGGAACTAGAAAGGAAAGTCCAAATGCATGCAACTTTAAGATAAGTAAAATTATAGTGATATTAAGTCTTTACCTCTCCATGATCAAACTGGTGTTTTCTGGAACAGAAAAAAATATATTGCTATCAATTCATTATTGAAGCACTTATTTCATATATTTGCATTTTCATCTTGCAAATAGGAGTTTTACAACTTCTATAACATTCTCTCAGGACACATATAGGCAAATCAAAATAACTAAAAGTTACATGCCAAAACTGGTGCTATACTATTTTAAGAAAATTTATGAAGAATGACAATGTTGTATTATATCCTATTTGACTACATGGGTATTTATTAGGACAACAAAGGCACACTGTGGTGTCCCAGCTCCCTCACTGGTGATAACCCAGCAAAGCATGGAATGAAAAAAACCTTTGAGATTTTCACTAGGCAACCAAGTAGAGATGACAAATAGGTGGTTATATGTGTAAATCTGAGTTCAAGGGAGAAGTCTGTGTCAGAGACAGAAATGTGTGAGTTGACAACGCACACCTTCTCTTTCTTAAGCACTGATATGTTCCCAAGTTCTAGAGTAATACCTGGCACTTACAGCTCAACATTTTTAATGAATGAACAAGTGTATCAATAAACTGTTAATCCAGGCCAGGTGCGGTGGCTCACGCCTGTAATCCCAGCACTTTGGGAGGCTGAGGTGGGCGGATCACAAGGTCAGGAGATCGAGACCATCCTGGCTAACACAATGAAACCCCGTCTCTACCAAAAAAACATACAAAAAATTAGCCAGGTGTGGTGGCGGGCGCCTGTAGTCCCAGCTACTCAGGAGGCTGAGGCAGGAGAATGGCGTGAACTTGGGAGGCGGAGCTTGCAGCGAGCCGAGATAGTGCCGCTGCACTCCATTCTGGGCAACACAGCGAGACTCCGTCTCAAACAAACAAACAAAAAAACAAAAAACTGTTAATCCAGGTAGCATATAATCTAATTTGAGAATTTGGCCTCAAAAAGACTGATATATTAGCAAACTCAGTAGTACATAGGGGGCTAGTGAAGGAGATGAAACAGTTCTTTCTTTATTCTTGTTTCACTCCACATAAAAACTATCAGTTACCATTTGTTGAGTACTTACAATGTTAATATGCTTAGTACATTCCATTAACTCTAATCCTACAACCATTTATTACCCCAATTTACAGCCAAGGAAAGGGAATCACAGAGCTGCTAAGTGGCAGCCAGGACTATATTCTGCCTGACTTCAGAGCCAATATACTTTTTACTACATCATGCTGCCTCTAACCCACTTTACTTCCTGGGTCTTTGAGTAAAGAGAATATTGGCATTCACGTCTTTCATAGTTAAAATTTATGTCCTACTCTTCTCCTTTTTACACTGGCTTTGGTAGCTATGCAAAATAAAATGTCAACATTGCCACTCCTCTTCCAAAAAAGAGCTCTGATCCTATTTGAACTGAAAACCCCATGAAGCTTAATGGTTTCCTATAATTATTTCTATAGGTGAGTTATTACTCTTGAAGGGACAGCTTTGTTTCTGTGAGAAGTTCCACCTTCCTCTTCCAGAGCTGCATACTACAGCTGAAACTTTGTAGCTTCTTCCTGAGCTCTTCAAAAGTAATTTCACCTCAAATGAAGAAAAATTTCGGCATTGTAAACCAGAACGTTTTTCTTTCCCCCTTAGCCCTCAACTCAAATGTTACAGGTATAAACATATACCTGTATATGTTACAGTAAATTGTTTCTAAGTGAGAACAAGGATTCTCTCAGGAGTATGTGCAATAATTTATCATTATGTTGGCAGAGACTTGGAGGTGAGGGAATAATATAAGGGTGTGTATATTCAAATTATAAAAGAAAATATAGGGCCAGGTGAGGTGGCTCATGCCTATAATCCCAGCACTTTGGGAGGCTGAGGCAGGCAGATCACGACATCATGAGTTCAAGACCAGCCTGGCCAATATGGTGAAACCCTGTCTCTACTAAAAATACAAAAATAAGCTAGGCATGGTGGTGGTCGCCTGTAGTCTTAGCTATTCAGGAGGCTGAGGCAGATGAAATTGCCTGAACCCGGGAGGCAGAGGTTGCAGTGAGCCAAGATCGTGCCACTGCACTCCTCCAGCCTGGGCGACAGAGCCAGGCTCTGTCTCAAAAAAAAAAAAAAAAAAAAAAAGAACAGAAAATATAGATACATACATTAGACAATCCTTGTCCTCCCAAAATCCTACAAAAGAATAAAAGTAAAGTTAAAACTACCTTCACTCCATCTTCCAATCCCACACTCTTAATAATTACAGGATTTATCTTTCCAGATCACTTCTATGCACAAACACATAAAAATCTCCAAATTTTAAACAGAAGTATAATCATCCTATACACACACACACACACACACACACACACACACACACACACACACACACACACACAGAGGCAATTTTTAAAATTCAATAATGTATACTGGACCTATTTCCAGAAAGATGGCCTAACATTCCACTCTATGATTGGATCATAGTAGATATTTTGGATGTTTCCATTTCTCACATTACACACAATACTACAAAAGACATTTCTCCCCATCATCTCTGTATTTCTGTGAGCATCTCTGGAGAGTACACTTGCGCTGGTAGAACCTGCAGGGCTAAAGTACAGGCCCACTATATGTTTTACTGTTTATTGCCAAATTTCCCTCCCATCTACTACCTCCCACTCTTGCAAGCATTGGGTATACTATTAATTTTTAGAAATATGAGAAGTGAAAAGGTCTTCACTTCAACCTGAATGTCTTTACCATAGGATCAAGACTACCTTTTCATGTTCATTAGTCATATGTAAATACTCACTCATTCAACTACTATCCTTTACTATCTTGCAGGCACTGTATATAAACTGTTGAACAAAAATGATCCCTCCCTTCAGGAGATACAGGTCACACATCAACATTTAAGTACAAAGGGTGATAAATGGTAAGAGAGTAAGATGAAAGGGTGTGATGGCAGAAAATACCAAGCATACTGTAGGCCTCCCTAACTCTCAGATTATAAACCTACCCTCTTAGTTAATTTTGGGGCTTTATTTTTTTTCTATACCTAATTCTCTGCTTCATCTGAAATTTATTTTCTGCAAAAAGTGAGGTATGAATCCAGTTTTATATTTCCCTGCTCATTTCCCAAAAGGCAGTCCACTGGTCCTAAAACCACTCACATAATAATTTACTTTCCCTGCTGAACTGAAGTATAAAACTGTGTCCTTCGAGTGTAGATTATGTGCAGGGCTACTGTCAGATTGTACTGGATAACATCTGAAGGATGAATAAGTGATGTGCTGTGTTCTGCACAGATAGGAAATAAGAAGAAACACCAAGAAGGGAAATGACCACAATAAAAACATCAATTATCAAATATTAGGTACACAACATGTGAGTATAAAATTAATACACTGTAAATATCTATTTAATAAATGAACAGAGGAGGTAACAAAATTCTTAATAGCATATTTACCTTATGTGTGTCTGTTGTTTAGCTAAGACACCCCACATATCACTAATAATCTGTAAATAGATTTTGAAACACTTTAGAAAAGCTGTGTTGGGAAAAATGATATTTTAACTAAAGTATCTTCTAAATTGTAAAACTTTTAATGAAAAATATAAGTATAGAGATAAGAGATAACTCAGAAAATAATAATCACAACAACATAATCTTATATTTGTGTAGTATTTGATCAACACTAATATTCAACAACCCTGTTGGGTAGATTATATCATCCTCATTTTGTAAATGAGCAACAGGCTCATATGGATTAAATGATCGCCCTGTAGGTAGACAACTACTAAGAAGAACTGCAGTCTTGAAACCAGATCTTCTGGCTTCAAATTCACATTCAGCGCTGCTTCCACCATGCCAACGTTGTTGGCAACACCTCTTCTTAACAGTGCACTCAGAAAACTGGAGAGCTGGCTCAGAGGTTGATAATCACAGCTGGAAGCATTCAAAACACAGTCACTGTGCTTTCATATTTAGCAATAACGAGGAGGTCATCTAATCTAAAATCCTATCTCCAGTACAAATATTCTCTACAACACTGATGACAGGCTGTAATCCAGCCCTTAGAATCCACCAGCTGCTGCTTGAATCTATAACACTTTCCTTATCAGTTGAGATCAGTTCTGGTCAAAAGTCCTACCGCCTGGAATTGGCCATGATTCTAAGGAGCCAGATTGTGTGTAACCTTATTTTCAAGGGGCAGGCTTTTAACATATTTCAAAGTAATTATCCACTTTCCATCTGAATCTTTTCTTCTCTAAACGAAACAGCCCAGCTAATAGTTTTCATCATCTGTCACCACTCACGTTGCTGTCTTTTGCATATGTTCTGGATGGCCAGTGCTTAGTAGTTTTTGAGTACCCACTAGGTTCAAATCCACATAAAGTATATAAAAGTGCAAAGCACACACAAAGCCTAGCACACAGCAGGAACTATTTATTTATTTATTTATTTATTTATTTTGAGGCAGAGTCTTGCTCTGTCGCCCAGGCTGGAGTGCAGTGGTGCGATCTTGGCTCACTGCAAGCTCCGCCTCCCGGGCTCACACCATTCTCCTGCCTCAGCCTCCCAAGTAGCTGGGACTACAGGTGCCTGCCACCACGCCTGGCTAATTTTTTGTATTTTTAGTAGAGATGGGGTTTTAATGTGTTAGCCAGGATGGTCTCGATCTCCTGACCTCGTGATCTGTCAGCCTCAGCCTCCCAAAGTGCTGGGATTACAGGCATGAGCCACTGCACCTGGCCAGGAACTGACTATTAACTGATTAGAGATGAAAAGTGCTGTTGGAGTGCATAGCTGAATACCAGACGTAGCCCAATGATGGGGGAAGGTGCAGAGCCCGAGTCATACTCTTCCCTTGCTTTTAAGTGGACATGATGTGAGGTTCCTAACATCTTTGATCTTTCAGTTCCGTATGTTAAAATGGAGATAACATTTGTCTACCCCATAGGGCTGTCGAATAAACAATTTAAATACTCACGTGAAATTGTTCTATACAAAGCAGAGTACAAATATATAATATGAACAATTGTTATAATACAGAATATTCTACAAATAAATGAAATTGTATTAACACAGAAATCACTGGCTACAAATCAGGAAACTTTTAAGTTCTGTCATCTCTTTTTCCATCACAGATTAACTTCTATTCATTCTCTTAAGACACATTGGGTTACAGAGTGCACAATTCTTGAAAGAAAAAAAGAGAGGGAATATCACACTTGCTTTGACCTTATTTATATCTGGGCTTAGAATTTTATTATCAAAGCCAAGTTGGGGATCCTAAACATTTTATCTAGTTCATCAACACATTGCAAATACTGTTTTTTCTTTCTGATTAATAATAAACACAATCCAGGAGTTACTGCACACTGCACAAATCACTTAGAAAGGTATGTATTAAATATTTTAGGGAAATATTACATTAAAGGTAAAAGCCAGTAATAATTTACACAGGCAAGTTGTATCTGGGTCAATATGGTCTCTGATCATGCCTTCCAAAATACATGACTATTGAAACTTGAGCCATCATTTTCCGATGTCTATTTTATGCTAGCAGATAGAATATTTTGAAGATATATAAATGTCTATCAAAAACTATCATTAAGAAAACATATAATATGTTACAGTAAGCCCATACAAAACATTGTATCAGATTAATATGTGGCCAAGTATATGCAACTACTATGTAAAAACAAGAAAATATTCTATTATAAGAAAGAGCTCTTAAGTGATAGACATACCTTTCTAACAATAGCAACAAACACTACAAGAACAACTGGAAACAATAATGTCTTTGTGTATCTCAGTGGAGTCTGAAATTCAAAGAGATGTTTTGTTAGAAGGAAACATTTTAACCAAATAAAGTTTCATTTCAAATAATGAAATAGGTAAATTTCTAAAAGTAGAGAAATATGAACATTCACCAATCTTCTCACTGACTGCCATCATAAAAAGGAAAGTGCATTTCCATAGAAATGAACTTCCCCAAAATGCTGAGTTGAAACACTAAAAATACAGTACCCAAACACCTGTAAGTGTGAAATGTCACTGAAAAGATTACTGCTCACTTTTTGCATGCTACTTATCTAACTAGAGAGACCAACTTAATATTCATCTAAGGTACGTAAAGCTCCTTAAATGGAATAAGCTTTTCCTGTATATTTTGTGGGGGATAAAAATATTATCATTGAAACATACACACACACAAACACACACACACACACACACACAGTTTCTCACACATAAACAAAATAATGATTGATGTTTGAGGGGAACAAAAGACTTTTACATTTTCTTTAGTAGCAGAAAAAAAATAGAAATAAGTTTAATAAAAAAGCCCTATACCTCTCGATTATCTCTCCACCCAAAAAACCACTCTTAAAATTTTGCTCTTTTACACTTTTTTTTACTTTTATGTTTGTTAATTATGCATTAATAAGACTATATCATTTTGTTTACTCCCTTATATATCTTAAGCATCTTTCCATGTCAGTATGATATCATGTTAGGAAATACCATGTTATAGGTATTGTATGGGTGTATAATTGGAACATATATTCCCTGAATTGACACTACTCTGTCTCTATGGCACAGTCCCTAAGAATTCAGATACTTACAGTGATGAGGAATGGTATGCTGGAAACAGCTTTGCTATTTTCTTCAAATTAGCTGAAGTCATGCTATGCCTCAATAAATTATTTCTTTCATTACATAACTTACATTTAATACTCTCAGATTGTAGCAGTATGTATGATGTTCTCAATAACATTAAACAACTTCACCACATCCTAATTCTCTAATATGTGAAGGAGTCTTGAACCCCTATGAACATGCATTTCAATGTCTTGCAAGATATGCTTCCTTTGTTTGTTTCAGCAGGTTTAACACTAAAACTCATATACCTTTGTCAGCCACTGTGTGTCAAAACCATTTGCCGGAACACAATAAATGAAGACTGACAGGCCACTGGAGTAAACAGTACCTCTTCAGAACACACTCAACTCCAAATGGCCGGTAGATAAAAGTTTCCTGTGTGGTGCCCTCTCATCCACTGGTCTGGAACTCTGGACACTGGGCTAACACAGTGGGATCATGAGGGAAACTAACATGTCAATAGAGTATTGTTGGCCAGTTTCATATACACACACATACCACTCTGAAGGAGTGACACAGATAATATAATTAATCAGTACCACGTGGATGGTGTTAAAAATGCACATATATACATGTTTATTGAACTAAACCAGCTCATAAAGTATTGCAAATTAATATTTTGTTTATTTAAATATTTATTTATTTAAAATATCAAAGTACTTTCCTTTGTATTATCTCATTTTGTCTTCACAATATCTGTTTATGGCATGCTACTAGAAACTAGTAAACTGTAACACAAGGAATGAGAGTTGCTTGTTCAAGAACATCAAGCAAAATTGCAGGCTTCTGTCTCACAATCCACTAAACTACTCTCTGCTTTCCTTCTAAATCTCTGAATACAGTTTTAGAAAGAAAAATGCTGTTGGAAGGAAAAGCTTGGACTTGATGTTTCAAAGCAAATATCTGTTTAAATAACCACAAAATGAGTGGAAATGTAAGAGCTTGAAAGCTTGACTAAATTAATGCTATCACTGAAAAATGGCAACTTTTAATGCCTCTGTGTTTACTCACCTAGAAAACCACTGCTAGTCTGAATGTGTATTTCTAAATTATCGAAATGAGTAAAGGCCATATATTTCAGGGAGCTGCACTAAAGTAAATAGAAAAATCTTTCTCTAAGTTGCCAGATTTTCCTTTTCCTTCAAACTGAGATAACAGTACATAAAGAGTCTGATATAAGAGGGGCACCCTTTATGAAAAATGTATGGGCCAAAACCTTAGGAAACAGAACTAGAAATCACATCTTACCTCTTTTTCCATAAAGTCAAACTCTGCTGCACAGGTATATAATAAAGTATCAAAATCCTTATAACTGAAGAATTTTGATGTTAATAAGTTGCCAATATGAGCCTGGTAAGAAATAAAGTTACCATTACATTAAGCCATACACTGCAATAATACATTTTAATTTCAATAGTATCTGAAAATAGTTTTCATTACATTATAGAGCCCACTGTTCCCACACCAAGCCTGCTTTTGTTAAAGAAGGAAATGCTATATCCTCCACCTTCACAGTTCCCTTCTTTTGCTGAATAGTGATAGCTCCAATGACACCCTACCTTCCACACTCATCGACATCCCAAAGGCTTTTTCCCTTGGGTTTTCCCAGCTTACTGTGCTAAACCTGGTGAAACAGGCCGCACAGCATCTCCCTTGCTGGAGCCTACCAGCAGCTCTGGGCTTGGGAACACATACAGAATTCTTTTAATCATAAAAGCACAAAGGATTATGGGGTAAAGAAAAGGAAATACGAATTCTGAAAAGGAGATTGAAAAGAGTACTTGAGTGAAGTAGAAAAGGGTGGGCATTGGAATAAAAGGTAATTTTTGACTGATAATCACCTCTCACATAATTATTCACATGTTATCAAGCATTCTCACTCACACTGCCACATTTACCTCCCACAAAAAGCCACGTGAGGAAGGTGGAATTATTTTCACTTTATAAATAAGAAAACTAGGGCACAAAGACATAAAACATTTGCCAAATGTTCAAGTTCACTATAGTCTAAAAAAAGCAACAACCAAAGAAAAGAGGAGAAATTATATCTAGGACAAACCATGACTAAAATTCTGTATGATATCTACATGAAGCAGAAGGAACAGGGTAAGAGTAGGAACTAGATGGTGGCAGGTATGTGATGAAGCATTTCAAAATACTATGTCTTGTTGGGGGAAGAAATGTATGCTGATAAGCGTAAAAAATCAATAGGAAGAATATGCAGCACCTAAAATAGCATAAGAAAACAAATCCCAAACAAAATGAAAGAAATAAGTCCTAGTATTATGACAATTACCATATATGTAAAGAGCATAAATTCACTAATTAAGGGACAGACGCTCAAATTGGACTTAAGGGAAAAAAATCTAATATTATGTTGTCACCAAAAGAAATACTTAAAAGTATGCTGAAAGGTTGAAAATAGAAGAATGGAAAAAGATATACCAGGTAAGTTTAAAACAAAGAAATCTGTTAACAATTATAATGTCTCACAAAACTGAATTCAAGCAAAAAATACATGAAAAGAGACAATAAATATTATATGCTAGTAAAATTAACAAAGAAGCAAGATTATACATATTGCCAACATATCTGCAGTTAAAAATATGGATTCAAAGTACACAGAATAAGAACTGACAAAAACTAAAGGAAGAAATAGAAAAGTTGACAGTGTTCATTGAAAATGTTAAACACTGCCTCCTAGAATAAAAAAGTTGACAAAAGTTAACATAAAAGCTGAATACAATCAATTAGCTCACAGAGAATATAAACTTTACAAAGAGAATACACATTATCCTTGAACACAAGTGAAATATTTTTAAATATTCACATACCATGCAACAATAAATTCCAAATATATATATATATATATATATTTGATTATAAATGCAGGCTGGAGTGCAGTGGTGCTATCTCGGCTCACTGCAAGCTCCGCCTCCTGGGTTCACGCCATTCTCCTGCCTCAGCCTCCCGAGTAGCTGGGACTACAGGCACCTGCCACCACGCCCGGCTAATTTTTTTGTATTTTTAGTAGAGACGGGGTTTCACTGTGTTAGCCAGGATGGTTTCCATCTCCTGACCTCGTGATCCGTCCACCTCGGCCTCCCAAAGTGCTGGGATTACAGGCATGAGCCACCGCGCCCAGCCTAACTTCTTTTTTTTTAAGAGATAGGGTCTTGGCTGGGCGTGGTGACTCACACCTATAATCCCAGCACTTTGGGAGACTGAGGCGAGTGGATCCCTTGAGGTCAGGAGTTCCAGACCAGCCTGACCAACATGGTGAAACCCCGCCTCCACTAAAAATACAAAAATTAGCCAGTCATGGTGGCATGCACCTGTAGTCCCAGCTACTCAGGAGGCTGAGGCAGGAGAATCCCTTGAACCCGGGAGGCAGAGGTTGCAGTGAGCCGAGATCACACCACTGCCCTCCAGCCTGAGTGACAGAACAAGACTCTATCTCAAAAAAAAAAAAAAAAAAAAAAAAAAAAAGAGAGAGACAGAGTCTTGTTATGTTGCCCAAGCTCCTGGGCTCTCCTGCCTCCACCTCCTGAGTAGCTAGCTATGACTACAGGTGTGTGCCACCATGCCTGGCTTCTGTATTATTATTATTATGAGACAGGGTCTCTGTCAGTCAGTCTGGAGTGCAGTGGCATGATCATAGCTCACTGCAGCCTCCAACCCCTAGGCTCCAGAGATCCTCCTAACACAGCCTCCCGAGTAGCGAGGACTACAGGCACGCACCGCTATGCCAGGCTGATTTTTTTAAAAAGTTTTTGTAGAGATGGACAGAATGAGCCCAGAGGCAAGCCCGGAGCCAAGTGAGTGCCAGGCAGGGGCGCTGCTGGCTGCGGAGATTTCCAGATGGTGAAGCTTCACAGAAAGAATCCTGTGTCAATATTACCTTTACCAGTTTTACTATATCTTTTCTATATTTAGATACAAAAATACTTACCATTGTGTTACAGAAGTCTACAGTATTCAGTACAGTAACATACTGTACAGGTTTGTGGCCTAGGGGCAAAAGGCTCTACCATATAGCCTAGGTTCTTCCATCCATCTAAGTCTGTGTAAGTACACTGTATGATGTGGACACAATGATGAAATTGTCTAATGATGCATTTCTCAGAACATATCCCTGTTGTTAAGTGACACATGACTGTATACAATTCAGTAGTTTTTTGTTTTCATTTTTGAGACAGGGTCTCACTGTGTCACCCAGGCTGGAGTGCAATGGTGCGATCTCAGCTCACTGCAGCCTCAACCTCCCAGGCTCATGTGATCCTCCCAGCTCAGCCCTCCAGTAGCTGGGACTGCAGGTGCATGCCACCACACCTGGCTAATTTTTGTATTTTTAGTAGAGGCAGGGATTCACCATGTTACCCAGTCTGGTCTCTAACTCCTGGGCTCAAGCAATCCACGCTCCTCAGCCTCCCAAAGTGCTAGGATTACAGGCACGAACCACCACACCTGGCCCAATTCAGTAGTTTATAGTATATTCACAAAATAATACAACCATCACCAGTATTGAATTCCATCACTCCACAAAGAAACCCTGTACCCATTAGCAGTCACTTCCCCTTTCTCATCCAGCCCCTGGAACCCACTAATATACTTTCTATTTCTATAAATTTCACTATTCTAGACATTTCATATAAATGGAATCATATACTTTGTGGTGCTGTGTCTGGCTTATTTCACTTATCATAATTTTTTTTTTTATTTCTTTAAAAAAATTTTTTTAACACCTTTAAAAAAAAAACAACAGGGTCTCACTCTGTCACTCAGGCTAGTGTGCAGTGGCACGATCTAGGCTCACTGCAACCTCTGCCTCCAAAGCTCAAGCAATCTTCCCACCTCAGCCTCCCGAGTACCTGGGACTACAGGAACGCACCACCATGCCCAGCCAATTTTGTATTTTTTGTAGAGATAGGGTTTCACTTTGTTGCCCAGGTTGGTCTCAAACTCCTGAGTTCAAGCGATCCACCCACCTTGGCCTCCCAAAGTGCTGGGATTACAGGTGTGAGCCACCATGCCTGGCCACGTAATGTCTTCAAGGTTGATCCATGTTGTAGCATGAATCAGTCCTATATTCCTTTCTATGGCTGAATAATAGTTCATCATATATTTTCAGCTGTTATGAATAATGCTGCTATGGATACCTGTGTACAAGTTTTTGTTGGAGTCATATTTATTTTTAGCTGTTTGTTTGAATTAGGACCAAAATAAAGTCAACACATAATGATGCCATTGGTTGATACATCTTGTACGTCCCTGTGGGTTCCTCCTCCATTCCTTTATATTTTTTTCCAATTTGTGGAAGAAAATGAATAATTTAACCTGTACAAGTCTACAAAATGAAGATTTTTTTTTCTTTTTCTTTTCTTTCTTACTTTTTTTTTTTTTTTTTTTGAGACAGAGTCTTGCTCTGTCACCCAGGCTGGGGTGCAGTGGCCTGATCTCAGCTTACCACAGCCTTGATCTCCTGGGCTCAATGATTCTCCCACCTCAGTCTCCCAAGTGGCTGAGACTGCAGGCATGCACCACCATGACTGGCTAGTTTTGTTTCTTTTTCATAGAGACACAGTCTCACTATGTTGCCCAAACTGGTGTCACAACTCCTGGACTCAAGTGAATCCTCCTGCCTCAGCCTCCCAAAGTGCTAGGATTACAGGCATGAGCCACCATGAAGCACAAAACCTAGATTTTGCTGATTGCATCCTCTTGGTATAATTTAACACGTTCTTCTAATATCTATAGTTTTATAAATTGGTAGCTGGGTATAGAGGCTTGATTAGATTCAGACTTGATGGGGAGGTTGGAGGCAAGATTACATTATAGATAGTCTGTTAATTCTACCAACGTAATGTTTAGCAGTCTCTCTTTTAAAAAATATTAATAGCCATTGGTGATCATTGCCTAGATCCATTACGGAATGAGAAATAGTGATAGTCTAATTCTGTCATTCCTTCTTTACTAGCTGGAATATGGTATAAAGAAAAAACTGGGCTGGGCGGCTCACGCCTGTAATCCCAGCACTTTGGAAGCCAAGGCAGACTGATTGCTTGAGCTTAGGATTTCAAGACCAGCCTGAGCAACATGGCAAAACCTTGTCTCTATAAAAAATACAAAAATTAGCCGGACATGCTGGTGCATGCCTGTGGTCCCCGCTACTTAGGAGGCTGAGGTTGGAGGATGGCTTGAGCCTGGGAGGCGAAGGTTGCAGTGAGCCAAGATCGCACCAATGCACTCCAGCCTGGGCAACAGAGTGAGACCCTGTCCCCCCCGCCAAAAACAAAATGGACTCAAGGGTCAAACATATTTGGTATATTCCAAACCATTGGATTTATTATTCTTACCGTTGCTCATACTGTCTTTTCTTTGGCCAATGGCTCTTGTTGCCTAGTTGGGTTACAAGTCTTTGGACTCTAGCGGTTATTTTGTTTTGTTTTGTTTTGTTTGAGATAGAGTCTCGCTCTGTCACCCAGGCTGGAGTTCAATGGCGTGATCTTGGCCCACTGCAACCTCCGCCTCCCAGGTTCAAGTGACTCTCCTGCCTCAGCTTCCTGAGTAGCTGGGATTACAGGCGCACACCACCACACTCAGCTAATTTTTGTATTTTTAGTAGAGACAGGGTTTCACCATATTGGTCAGGCTGGTGTCGAACTCCTGACCTCAGATGATCCACGCACCTTGGCCTCCCAAAGTGCTGGGATTGCAGGCGTGAGCCTCCGTGCCTGGCCAACTCTAGTAGTCTTTGATAGCTTCCTTGATATCTGGTAGAATGAGATGTTCTAGGCTCCTTTCTATATTTCCTGACTCTCATCTGGAATCAGCCTTTTCTCCAAAAATTCTTGGCTCCTTTAGTGGGAAAGGTCAATTCAAAATTACTGTCCAAGGGCTAGGATGCTCGCTGCCATAGGATTGGTGATTATTTTTAGGCCTCTTCAGTATAAATAAAAAGGAGATATGTTTTGTTTTCTTTTACAGTAAAATACAGAGTGCATTCATACAGATAATTGCAATGCAAACTCAGGACCACAGGGTTTTACTTCTCTTCTATTTTACATCTCCTTTCTCCTATGCAGAGAATCTCAGTTCTGAACTACACTACTAATGACAGATTAGATTATTGCTCATTTGCTTTAACCCACAGTACACATGCAACGGTCTCAGAATACTAATACCAACATCACCACTAATAATATGACTGAAAATACATATTTTTACTATCTTATTTTCTTTGAGGTATATTCCACTAGTGATGCACAAATTACTGTTTTGATAAAAAGCTATTATTGGTATGGTTATGCTACCCCCTGGATACTCATTTAGATGCACCAGCTTCATCCTCAAATCTTTTACTTTGGTTTCATAATTATGTAAAATATTTACATCATTCCAAAGTCAAGTTTACAAAACAGGAGATACTGAAAGAAACATTTTTTTTTTGAGACGGAATTTTGCTTTTGTCGCTGGAATGCAATGGCATGATCTCGGCTCACTGCAACCTCCGCCCCCCAGGTTCAAGCGATTCTCCTGCCTCAGCCTCCCAAGTAGCTGGGATTACAGGCATCAGCCACCATGCCTGGCTAATTTTTGTATTTTTAGTAGAGACAGGGTTTCACCATGTTGGTCAGGCCAGTGTCAAACTCCTGACCTCCAGTGATCTGCCTGCCTCGGCCTCCCAAAGTGTTAGGATTACAGGCATGAACCACCACACCTGGCCAAAAGGGACTTTTATTATGTTGTTTTCGGAGACAGGGTCTCATTCTGTCACCCAGGCTAGAGTGCAGTGGTGGGATCATGGTTCATAGCAGCCTCCACCTTCTGGGCTCAATCAATTCTCCCAAGTCAGCCTCCCAAGTAGCAGGGACAGGTGTGCACCACCACACCCTGCTAATTTTTTGTATTTTTTGGTAGAGATCAGATTTCATCGTGTTGCTCAGGCTGGTCTCCAACTCCTAAACTAAAGCAATTCACCCACCTTAACCTCCCATAACTTTTATTTTTATCCCTCACTTTGTTACTTCCCTCTTCCTGTAATTAACCATTCTTAAATGTTTATAGTTTATCCTTCCATTTAAAAAATATAGCAAGTACTGGCCGGGCACAGTGGCTCATGCCTGTAATCCCAGCACTTTGGGAGGCCGAGGTGGGCGGATCATGAGGTCAGGAGACCGAGACCATCCTGGCTAACATGGTGAAACCCCATCTCTACTAAAAATACAAAAAATTAGCCGGACGTGGTGGCGGGTGACTGTAGTCCCAGCTACTTGGGAAGCTGAGGCAGGAGAAAGGTGTGAACCCAGAGAGCGGAGCTTGCAGTGAGCTGAGATTGTGCCACTGCACTCCAGCCTGGGCAACAGAGCGAGACTCTGTCCCCAAAAAAATATATATATATATATAGAGAGAGCAAGTATTTTATATACATAATATATTATGCATTTTGCTATACACAGACAAACTTTCCTCCACTTTGCATCTTAATAATAATATGTTTTGAAGATCTACTCTATCAATCTGACATTATTTGTATAATCAATCCTCTATTGGTGGACAATTGGGTTGTTTCTGTCCTTTTTGCTCCTACAAATATTGTTGTAAGGATGGCTGTATGTGGTGGGCCATGCCTGTAATCCCAGCACCGTAGGAGGCTGTAGTGGGAGGATTGCTTGAGCCAGGAATTTGAGACCAGCCTGGGAAACAGAAGACCTCATCTCTATAGAAAATTTTCTAAAATTAGCCAGGCTTGGTGGCATGTGCCTGTAGTCCCAAGTCCCAGCTACTCAGGAGGTTAAGGTGGGAGGATTGCTTGAGCCTGGGAGGTTGCGGCTGCAGTGAGAGGAGACTCAGCCACTGCACTCCAGCCTGAGTGACAGAGTAAAACACTGTCTCATATATATATGTGTGTGTATGTATGTATGTATGTATGTATGTATGTATGTATGTATGTATCTATCTGTTGTAAGGACTAACAGCCTTGTGTGTACATTTAAAAAGTATTTTTTGTGGCTGGGTGTGGTGGCTCACACCTGTAATCCCAGCACCCAGCACTTTGGGAGGCCGAGGCGAGCAGATCACGAGGTCAGGAGATCGAGACCATCCTGGCTAACATGGTGAAACCCTGTCTCTACTAAAAATACAAAAAGTTAGCTGGGCGTGGTGGCGGGTGCCTGTAGTCCCAGCTACTCAGGAGGCTGAGGCAGGAGAATAGCATGAACCTGGGAGGCGGAGCTTGCAGTGGGCTGAGATCGCGCCGCTTCACTCCAGCCTGGTGACAGAGTGAGACTCCGTCTCAAAAAAAAAAAAAAAAAAAAAAAAGTAGTTTTGCTCATGCCTGTAATCCCAGCACTTTGAGAGGCTGAGATGGGTGGATCACTTGAGGTCAGGAGTTCGAGACCAGCCTGGCCAACATAGTGAAACCCCGTCTGTACTAAAAAAAAAAAAAAAAAATTAGCCACGCATGGTGGCACAGGTCTGTGGTCTCAGCAACTTGGGAGGATGAGGCAGGAAAATTGCTTGAACCTCAGAGGCAGAGGTTGCAGTGAGCTGGGATCACACCACTGTATTCCAGCCTGAGTGGCAGAGCAAGACTCTGTCTCAAAAAAAAAAATTGTATTTTTGCCAGTTTGTTTTGGGGATAGATTCCTAGAAGCAGAATTGCTGGTCAAAGGGCGTATGCATTAGTAATTTTACCAAATTCTGCCCAATCCTCCACAACCACCATAGTAAGAGGGTAATTTACAGGACCATCAGCAATGTGAGCATGCCTGTTTACCCATCAGCAGTCATGTCAAACTTTCTAATTTTTGCCAATTTAATATGTGAGAAAGAGAATCTGTGATTTTATTTTTTTACATTTCTGTTAGTATGAATGAGATAAGCATATTTTCATATGATAAAGAATCATTTGAATTTCTTTTCCTGTTTATTGTTCATCCTACAAGCTCATTTTCCTAAGGTTTGGGTTCTTTTATTATTATCTGTTTATTTTACTTATTTATTTTTGAGATGGGGGTCTCGCTATGTTGCATAGGATGGTCTTAAACTCCTGGCCTCAAGTGATCCTCCCACTTCAGTCTCCTGAGTAGCTGGGATTACAGGCTTAAGCCATCATGCCCAGCTTTTTATTTGTAAAGGTTGTTTATATATTAGAGATACTAACACTAGGAGTACCTTTGCCCATTTTGTCATTTGTCTGTTTACTTTGCCTGTGATGTCTTGTTACTTGCAAATGCTTAATTTTTGGTAAGCAAAATTATACTTCTGGAATTTGAGCCACAGTTAGGAAAGTTTTCCCTACTCCCTGGTTATAGAGGAAATCACCTATGTTTCTTTGAAATGGTTTGGCTCTGTGTCCCCACCCAAATCTTATCTCAAATTGTAATCCCCATGTGTTAAGGGAGGGATCTGGTGGGAGGTGACTGGATCATGGGGCAGTTTCCCCCATGCTGTTCTCATGATAGTGAGAGAGTTCTCATGAGGTCTGATGGTTTTAAAGCATGGGACTTCCCCATTGCTCATGTTCCCTCTCTCCTGCTGCCATATAAGTTGTGCCTTGCTTCCCCTTTGCCTTCCACCATGATTGTAAGTTTCCTGAGAGAGCCTCCCAGCCATGCAGAACTTTGAGTCAATTAAACCTCTTTTGTTTATAAATTATCCAGTCTCAGGTAGTATCTTTATAGCAGTGTGAGAACTGCTGAGAATTGGTAGTGGGGCACTGCTATAAAGATAACTTGAAAATGTGGAAGTGACTTTGGAACTGGGCAATGGGCAGAGGTTGGAACAGTTTGGAGGGCTTAGAAGAAGACAGGAAGATATAGGAAAGTTTGGAACTTCCTAGAGATTTGTTGAATGTTTTTGACCAAAATGCTGACAGTGACATGGACAATGAAGTCCAAGATGAGGTGGTCTCAGATGGAGAAGAGGAACTGGAGCAAAGGTCATTCTTGTTATATTTTAGCAAAGAGACATTGACATTTTGTCCCTGCCCTAGAGATCTGCAGAATTTTGAAGTACAGAGAGATGATTTAGTGTATCTGTCTGAAGAAATTTCTAAGTAGCAAAGCATTCAAGAGGTGTCCTGGCTTATTCTGAAAGCATTCCACTATACGTTCACAAATAGATGGTTTGAAATTGAAACTTAAGTTTAAAAGGGAAGCAAAGCATAGGTTTGGAAAATTCACAGGAAGCAGAAATTTGGAAAATTTGCAGCCTGACCATATGGAAGAAAAGAAAAACCCATTTTCTGGGGAGGAACTCAAGTGAGCTGCTGAAGTTTGCACAAGTAACAAGCAGTCAACTGTTAATAGCCAAGACAATGGGGAAAATGTCTCCAGGGCATATCAAAGACCTTCATGGAAGCCGTTTTCATCACAGGCCTGGAGGCCTAGGAGGGAAAAATGGTTTCATGGGCCAGGCCCAGGGCCCCACTGCTCTGTGCAGCTTCAGGACTTGGTGCCTTGTTTCCCGCCTGCTCTAGCTTGAGCTGTGGCTAAAAGGGGCCAAGCTAAAGCTTAGATTGTTGCTTCAGAGGGTGTAAGCCCCATGATTTGGAAGCTTCTATGTGGTGTTGGGCCTGTGGGTGTGAAGACAAGAGATGAGCTTTGGGAACTTCTGCCTAGATTTCAGAGGGTGTATGGAAATACCTGGATGTCCAGGCAGAAGTCTGCTGCAGAGGCAGAGCCCTCATGGAGAACCTCTCCTAAGGCAGTGTGGAAGGCAAATGTGGGGCTGGAGCCCCCATACAGACTCCCCACTGGGGCACTGTCTAGTGGAGCTGAGAAGAGGGCCACTGTCGTTCAGACCCCAGAATGGTAGTTTGCACCATGAACCTGGAAAAGCCACTCAACATCAGCCCATGAGAACAGCTGCAGGGCTGTACTCTGCAGAGCCACAGGGGCAGGGCTGCCCAAGGCCATGGGAGCCCACCCCTTGCATCAGCATGCCCTCGATGTGAGACATGAAGTCAAAGGATATTTTGGAGCTTGAAGATTTAATGAGTGCCCTATTGGGTTTCGGATGTGCATGGGGCCTGTGGCCCCTTTGTTTTAGCCAGTTTGACCAATTTGGAATGGGAACATTTACCTAATGCCTTTACCCCCATTGAATCTTGGAAGTAACTAACTTATTGATTTTACAGGTTCATAGGTGGAAGGGACTTGCCTTGTCTAAGATGAGACTTTGAACTTGGACTTTTGAGTTAATGGTGGAATGAGTAAGACTTTGGGAGACTGTTGAGAAGGTATAATTGATTTTGAAATGTGAAAAGGTTGTCAGATTTGGGAGGGGCCAGGGCAGAATGATATGGTTTGGCTCTGTGTCCCCACCCAAATCTCATCTCAAATTGTAATCCCCATGTGTCAAGGAAGGGAACTGGGAGATGATTGGATCATGGGGGTTGTTTCTCCTATGTTGTCCTCATGATAGTGAGGGAGTTTGCCTGAGATCTAATGGTTTTAAAGTATGACAGTTCCACTTCACTCTCTCTCCCTTTCTCCTGCCACCATGTAAGATGTGCCTTGCTTCTCTTTCATCTTCTGCCATGATTGTAAGTTTCCTGAGGCCTCCCAGCCATTCAGAACTGTGAATCAAGCTTCTTTTGTTTATAAATTACCTAGTCTCTTGTAGTATCTTTATAGCAGTGTGAGAACAGACTAATACATTATTCTATGAACTTATATATCTACAATTGTTCAAGCACCATTTTTGAAAAGACTATCCTCTCCCTGTTGAATACTTTTATTAAAAATATTGACTATATGTAGGGTCCAGCCCCACGGGGTCTGTGGGTTTTTCTCCCCGTGTGCAGAGATGAGAGATTGTAGAAATAAAGACACAAAACAAAGAGATAAAAGAAAGGACAGCTGGGCCCGGGGGACCACTACCACCAAGAGGCGGAGACCAGTAGTGGCCCCAAATGCCAGGCTGCGCTGATATTTATTGGATACAAGACAAAGGGGCAGGGTAAGGAGTGTGAGCCATCTCCAATGATAGGGAAGGTCATGTGGGTCACATGTCCACTGGACAGGGGACCCTTCCCTGCCTGGCAGCCGAAGAGGCAGAGAGAGAGAGAGAGAGAGAGAGACAGCTTATGCCACTATTTCTGCATATCAGACACTTTTAGCACTTTCACTAATTTTGCTACTGTTATCTAAAAGGCAGAGCCAGGTGTACAGGATGGAACATGAAAGTGGACTAAGGAGCATGACCACTGAAGCACAGCATCACAGGGAGATGGTTAGGCCTCCAGATAACTGCTGGTGGGCCTGACATCAGTCAGGCCCTCCACAAGAGGTGGAGGATTAGAGCCTTCTCTAAACTCTCCTGGGGAAAGGGAGACTCCCTTTCCTGGTCTGCTAAGTAGCTAGTGTTTTAACTTGACACTGACGCTACTGCTAGACCACGGTCTGCTTGGCAACAGGTGTCTTCCCAGACGCTGGCGTTACTGCTAGACCAAGGAGCCCTCTGGTGGCCCTGTCCGGGCATAACAGAGGCTCGCACTCTTGTCTTCTGGTCACTTCTCACTATGTCCCCTCAGCTCCTATCTCTGTATGGCCTGGTTTTTCCTAGGTTATGATTATAAAGCGAGGATTATTATAATATTGGAATAAAGAGTAATTGCTACAAACTAATGATTAATGATATTCATATATAATCATGTCTATGATCTAGATCTAGTATAACTCTTGTTGTTTTATATATTTTATTATATTGGAGCGGCTCGTGCCCTCGGTCTCTTGCCTTGGCATCTAGGTGGCTTGACACCCACAACTATACAGGCCAGGCGCTGTGGTTCACGTCTGTAATCCCAGCACTTTGGGAGGCAGAGGCAGGCGGATCACTTGTGGTCAGGAGTTTGAGACCAGCCCAGCCAACATGGTGAAACCCTGTCTCTACTAAAAATACAAAAATTAGCTGGGTGTTCACACTTGTAATCCCAGCTACTTGGGGGACTGAGGCAGGAGAATCACTTGAACCTGGGAGGCAGAGGATTCAGTGAGCCAAGATCACACCACTGGACTCCAGCCTGTGCAGCAGAGCAAGACTCCATCTCAAAAAAAAAAAAAAAAAAAAAAAAAAAAAAAATATATATATATATATATATATATATATATATATATATATATGGACTATACATGTGTATGTGAGGATCTTTCTGGATTCAATTATATCCCATTGATCTATGTCTATCCTTATGCAGTACCATGTTATCTTTATTATAATAAAATTTTGAAATAGTTTAGAGTAAGTCTCCTTTGTTCTTTTTGTAAAAATTGTTTTGACTATTGTAGGACCTTTGCTTTTCCACATAAACGTTATAATCAGCCCATCCATTTCTGCAAAAAAAGGAAAAAAAACATAGTGGTGGTTTGATAACAATTGCATTGAATCTGCAGACCAATTTGGAGAGAATTACCAACTTACCAATATCAACTCCTCCAAACTATGAACATGGTATATTTCTCTCTTCAGATCTTTTTAAATCTCTCTCAGCAATGTTATATAGTGTACAGTTCTTATACATCTCTTGTTGAATTTATTGCTAAATGGTTTTCTTTAATGACACTGTTAATTTTTTTATGGCTGGGCACAGTAACATAATCCCAGCCCTTTGGGAGATCAAAGTGGGCAAATTGCTTGAGCCCAGGAGTTTGAGACCAGCCTGGGCAACATGACAAAACCCCATCTCTACAAAAAATATGAAAATTAGCCGGGCATGGTAGCTTGTGCCTGCAGTCTCAGGTACTCAGGAGGCTGCAGTGGGAGGACTGATTGAGACTGGGAGGTTGAGGCTGCAGTTAACCATGATGGCACCACTGCACTCCAGCTTGGGTGACAGAGTGAGACCTTACCTCAAAAAAAAAATGTTTTTTAATAGTTGATAGTACATACAATGCAGTTGTTTATTGACTTTTTTTTTTTTTTTCAGAGATGAGGTCTTGCTCTGTTGCCCAGGCTAGCCTTGAACTACAGGGCTTAAGTGACCCTCCCACGTCAGCCACCTCAGTAGCTGGGACTGCAGGCATGAGCCACCAAGCTTGGCTTATATTGGTCTTTATCTTGTAATCCGGCTACGTTATTATTTCTAGAGTTTTTGTTTTGTTTTTTGAGACTCCTTCAAAGCCATATGCCTTTTCATTTTTCCTTAAACTATTGAGGGTTAAATTTTTTCTTTTCCTTGTCTTATTGCCTCAGTTAGGACTTCCAGTACAATTGTGAATAGAGGTGGTGAAAGCTGACATCTTTGTTTAGCTCCTGATGGTAGGGGGAAAGTTTTCCATCTTTCACTATTATACATATTAGCTGTAGATTTTTCATAGATGTTCCTCATCAGGTTGAGGAAGTTTCTTTCTCTTCCTAATTTGGTGAGTTTTAATCATAAATGGGTCCTCTAATTTGTCAAATAATTTTTCTATGTATTAGTCCATTTTCACACTGCTATTAAGAGCTACCTGAGAGTGGGCAGTTTATAAAGAAAAGATGTTTAATTGACTCACAGTTCCACATGGCTGGAGAGGCCTCAGGAAACTTACAATTATGGCAGAAGGCAAAGGAGAAACAAGCCATATCTTACATGGCGACGAGAGAGAGAGAAGAGAGAGAGGAGAGAGACAAAGGAGAGAAGGAGAGAGAGAGAGAGCAAGTGCAAAGGGGGATGTGCCACACTTTTAAACCATCATATCTAGTGAGAACTCACTATCACAAGAACAGCATGGAGAACTGCCCCCATGATCCAGTCACCTCCCACCAGTTCCCTACCCTAACATGTGCGGACTAAAAATTCCACATGAGGCCGGGCGCAGTGGCTCATGCCGGTAATCCCAGCACTTTGGGAGGCCGAGGCGAGCGAATCACCTGAGATCGGGAGTTGGAGACCAGCCTGACCAACATGGTGAAACCCTGTTTCTACTAAAATACAAAAAATTATCCAGGTGCACAGGCGTGGTGGCGCACGCCTGTAGTCCCAGCTACTAGGGAGGCTGAGGCAGGACAATAGCTTGAACCCGGGAGGCGGAGGGTGCAGTGAGCCGACATCACCCCACTGCACTCCAGCCTGGTGACAGAGCAAGACTCTGTATATATATATAAAAAAAAATTCCACATGCGATTTTGGTGGGGACACAGAGCCAAACCATATCAGTATCTATTGGCACAGTCCTATGGTTTTTGTCCTTTATTCTGTTAGTATGGTATGTGATTTTCTGATATTAAAGCAATCTTTTATTTATGAGATAAACTCTACTTGTTTATATCATTTTTATATGTTGGGAAGTTTTTTTTTTTTTTTAATTCCAACTCATTTGATGGTTATTTGACAAATCCTTTCTCCATGGTGTCAGAGACATTTCAGTACTAATTAGAATTCCAAAATAGTTGCCTGAATGACTTTACTGAAATTAAATTTTTCTTCATGACCTATACACTCCTTTACATAGGTTTTGTTCAGTTCTGTGCTTGTTATGTGCCACACACTTTTAGGTGTTGAAGATAAAGAGATAAATAGGGTAGACACAAGCCCTTGCCCTCACAGCAGTGAAGACAATCAAAATGACTAATACAGTTGGGTGTTAAGTAATATGAGGTGCATTTGAAATTTAAACAAAAGGAACCAAGATAGAATTTTTGTTAAAGCCTCCTGGAGGAAGTTACATGAGGTGTAAATTGAACTTAACCAGGGTTACCATATCATTTACCATCCAAACAGGCACACTTTTGAGAGTGATAGTGAAAACAAGCATAAACTAGGATGTATGGTTACCTAAGATTTAACCAGTCCATGGGGAATGGTGCTTAAGGCAGAAAAAACTGTATGAAAAGAAGGCCCATTAAAGTAACTAAAACATTCAATTTGGTCAGTTTGTAAATTGTGAAGAAGGAAATTAGTCCAGAAAAGCAAGCAAAGACCAGATTCAAAAGGCCTTATAAATCAGAAAATAACCTGGATTTTATTTCAAGGGTAATAAATGTTCTAAACAAAAGCATGACATTAAAATTGTATTGAAAAATATCTGATTGCAGTGTGGAGAAAATGTGAGCAAAGAACTGCACCAAAGAGATCATCTGGGGAGGGAACGGAGAGTGGTATGGGGTTTTGGGGGTCATGAAAATGTTACACAATGGATTGATAGGTGCACAACTCTGTGAATACTCTAAAGATCAATGGATTGTACATGTTAAATGGGTGAAATGTATGGAATGTGAATTATAGCTCGATAATGCAGTTAATTTTGAAAAACGGATCACTTAGAAATTTATTAAATTCTCCAGGTGACAGATGATAGGGGCTCGATTCATGTGTTAGAAGTGAGGATGAATTCAAGAGATTTGAGAACCTACCAGGCCTTGTGACGGACAGAATTCATGGAGGTGAGGAAGAGGGAAGAGTCGAAGTTGACTTTCAAGTTTCTACCTTAGAAAGCCAGTGGGGGATGGTGCCACTTACTGAACCTGAACCACAGGCAGGTGTGGGGTAGATAAGAGCCAGAGGTTCTTCAGACATGTTAAATTTGAGACCTTTGAGATATCCAAGGTGGATATCCAAGGCAGACTCTCAGGTAATGGTCTGGGCGGTGATTCACTGTAATGAACAAGACTGCCTACGGCATGTATGAATAGAGGAAGGCCAAGATCTGAGATGGTTAGAGGTGAGATCAGCAAGAGGCTGAGAAAATCCCAAGATAGGAAGAAAACCAGGGAAGCATAACATCAGAAGTCCAGTTCAGAGTGTTTCACACAAAGTGTTCAGTGTGGATTACTATCATGTGTCAATGAGACAAGTAGCCTCTGAACTTTAAAAAGATTGAAGTTTCAACTTCAGTGGAGTGATAGTTGCACAAATCACTCTCACCTCGGTTCAGTGGAGAATTGTGGTTCATCGGAAGACAAGGCATGGAACAAGGTTTGTGAAGGGGAGAAGAGGGAAAGAGTTGAGGCGAGAAAGATCTTTGTTTTTAAAATGGTTTGGCTGTTTTTCCTTTAGAGAGGTTAAAGATATTGAAGAAATGAGCAGGCTGCATAAAAATCAGCTAGGAATGATCGTTTAAAAGTTAAGGTTTGGTGGCTGGGCGCGGTGGCTCACACCTGTAATCCCAGCACTTTGGGAGGCCAAGGCGAGTGGATCACCTGAGGTTGGGAGTTCAAGACCAGCCTGACCAACATGGAGAAACCTTATCTCTACTAAAAATACAAAATTAGCCGGGCATGGTGGTGCATGCCTGTAATCCCAGCGACTCGAGAGGCTAAGGCAGAAGAATCGCTTGGACCCGGGAGGCGGAGGTTGCAGTGAGCCGAGATTGCGCCATTGCACTCCAGCCTGGGCAACAAGAGTGAAACTCAGTCTCAAAAAAAAAAAAAAAAAAGTTAAGGTTTGGCAGGCCGGACACGGTGGCTCATGCCTGTAATCCCAGCACTTTGGGAGGCTGAGGCGGGTGGATCACAAGGTCAGGAGTTCAAGACCAGCCTGGCCAAGATAGTGAAGCCCTGTCTCTACTAAAAATACAAAAAATTAGCTGGGCATGGTGGCAGGCACCTGTAATCCCAGCTAATGGGGAGGCTGAGGCAGAGAACTGTTTGAACCCAAGAGGCGGAGGTTGTAGTGAGCCGAGATCACACCGCTGCATTCCAGCCTGGGCGACAGAGACTCCATCTCAAAAAAAAAAAAAAAGTTAAAGTTTGGCGCCAGGTGCAGAGGCTCACGCCTGTAATCCCAGCACTTTGGGAGGCTGAGGCAGGCAGATCACTTGAAGTCAGGAGTTTGAGACCAGCCTGGCCAACATGGTGAGACCTGTCTCTACTAAAAATAGGAAAATTAGCTGGGCACGGTGGCGGGCACCTGTAACCCCAGCTAATGGGGAGGCTGGAACAGGAGAATCGCTTGATCAGGGAGGTGAAGGCTGCAGTGAGCTGAGATCATGCCACTGCACTCCAGCCTGGGTGACAGAATGAGACTCCCTGTATGTCTGTGTCTACACATGGCATTCTCCTCTCTGTGTGAGTCTCTGTGACTCTTTCCCTCTTATAAGGACACCAGTCATATTGGATTAAGGTGCACCCTAATGACTTTATCATAACTTGATTACATCTGCAAAGACCCTATTTCCAAATAAGGTCACATTCTCAGGTACCGGGGTTAGGATTTTGGCATATCTTTTTGGAGACGCAATTCAACCCGTAACAGTTGGGAATATCTTTCTTACATTTATTTGCATGCCAAGTTCTTTGTTAAGATTCAAATCTCCTCTCAGGTTTTCTTTCCTGCAGGAAGAATTCCAAGATGCCTTGCTCCCATTTCCATCTTGGTGGCACCACCATATCATATTGAAGTTATATTTTTATATGCCTTCTCCCTTATTGGACTACTAGCCCCTCAAGGCCCAGGATATTCATATATGCCTAGGGCAAAGGCTGGTGTCTAATAGAAGATATTCAAAGCAGAATTTAGATTTTGTGTGTGTGTAGTTTAAATCTATTTTTTCTTTGTTGCGAGTTCTTATTGTGAAAAGAAAAAGTATGTTTTCCAAATCATATACCCTGGAGGCACCCAAAAAAGATCCATTGGCATGTAGAAATAATACATTAGAATATCTATTTACATATTTTATCTCTTCCTTTAAAAGCTTTTTGTCAAATGTGCATTATTATATTTATACTATATTTGTACATAGTACAGATATGAAGTCTAGAAATATTAATAAGTAATCAATAAAATTAGTAAATAAATACAAATATTGGCAAATGCTAACATATATCTCTCTGTTTCCCTTTTAAATGACAATTACTAATTTAAGGTGGCTTCACCAGGGTAGGCAAAAAAAAATCACATTTGCACAAACACTCAGCACTCTGGCTCATATTCAAATGACCCATCCTCTTCTCTGACCGATCAGAGCTTCAACTCCTGTCGTACTGAGCCTTTGGTTTTAAAAAATTAACATTTTTGGTCGGGCACGGTGGCTCACGCCTGTAATCCCAGCACTTTGGGAGGCCGAGGTGGGCAGATCACAAGGTCAGGAGATGGAGACCATCCTGGCTAACACGGTGAAACCCCGTCTCTACTAAAAAAAACAAAAAACAAAAAACAAAAAAACCCCAAAAAATTAGCCAGGCATGGTGGTGGGTGCCTGTAGCCCCAGCTACTCGGGAGGCTGAGGCAGGAGAATGGTGTGAACCCGGGAGGCGGAACTTGCAGTGAGCCGAGATTGCGCCACTGCACTCCAGCTTGGGTGACAGAGCGAGACTCTGTCTCAAAAAAAAAAAAAAAAAAAAAAATTAACATTTTCCACTCCAGCGTGGGCTATAGAGAGAGACCTCGGCTCAAAAAACTAATAATATTTAAGAATACATGAGACTTCAGAATCTATAGTGAACTCAAACAAATTTACAAGAAAAAAACAAACAATCCCATCAAAAAGTGGGCGAAGGATATGAATAGAGACTTCTCAAAAGAAGACATTTATGCAGCCAAAAGACACATGAAAAAATGCTCATCATCACTGGCCATCAGACAAATGCAAATCAAAACCACAATGAGATACCATCTCACACCAGTTAGAATGGCAATCATTAAAAAGTCAGGAAACAACAGGTGCTGGAGAGGATGTGGAGAAATAGGAACACTTTTACACTGTTGGTGGGACTGTCAACTAGTTCAACCATTGTGGAAGTCAGTGTGGCGATTCCTCAGGGATCTAGAACTAGAAATACCATTTGACCCAGCCATCCCATTACTGGGTATATACCCAAAGGACTATAAATCATGCTGCTCTAAAGACCCATGCACACGTATGTTTATTGTGGCACTATTCACAATAGCAAAGACTTGGAACCAAGCCAAATGTCCAACAATGATAGACTGGATTAAGAAAATGTGGCACATATACACCATGGAATACTATGCAGCCATAAAAAAGGATGAGTTCGTGTCCTTTGTAGGGACATGGATGAAGCTGGAAACCATCATTCTCAGCAAACTATCGCAAGGACAAAAAACCAAACACCGCATGTTCTCACTCATAGGTGGGAATTGAACAATGAGAACACATGGACACAGGAAGGGGAACATCACACTCTGGGAACTGTTGTGGGGTGGGGGGAGGGGGGAGGGAGATATACCTAATGTTAAATGATGAGTTACTGGGTGCAGCACACCAACATGGCACATGTATACATATGTAACTACCCTGCACGTTGTGCGCATGTACCCTACAACTTAAAGTATAATTAAAAAAAAATTAAGAATACATGAGACGTAACACCTCCAGGGATACTTTTTTTTTGTTTTTTTGGTTTTTTTTTTTTTTGAGATGGAGTCTTGCTCTTGTTTCCCAGTCTGGAGTGCAGTGGCACGATCTCAGCTCACTGCAAGCTCCGCCTCCCGGGTTCACGCCATTCTCCTGCCTCAGCCTCCTGAGTAGCTGGGACTACAGGCACCCGCTACCACGCCCGGCTAATTTTTTGTATTTTTAGTGGAGGCGGGGTTTCACCACGTTAGCCAGGATGGTCTGGATCTCCTGACCTCGTGATCCTCCCACCTTGGCCTCCCAAAGTGCTGGGATTATAGGCGTGAGCCACCGCGCCCGGCCACCTCCAGGGATACTTTCATAAAATTTTTCTTGTGGAAAATGTCAAGCATTGACACAAATAGGAGATTAGTAAAATAAACCGCTGCGTGCCCACCACCCAGCTTCAGCAGTGAACACCCAGACAATCCTGTTTTGGTCACTCCCCACTCCCACCCCCACGTCAGTTACCCCTCCTCCCACATTATGATTTTTCAAAAAGGTTTGTTGAAGTATGATGTTCATACACATGTATACATATACACAGGCACAGAAAAGCATATGCTATAAAATTAAAGCACAGTGAATTTTCATAACCCAAAGCCATTTGTGTAAATGCAAATCCCAGATACCCACCTCGTCCTATCTACTGGTCACTATCTCCACCCTCCGCCCCACTCTCCTCACCTCAACAGCATGGGTTTGTGATTTTCTTTTTGCTTTTGTACTTCATGTAAATGAAATCATACTCATCCTGTATTATTTGAAGCTAATCCCACAATCATATCATTGTATTCATAAATATTTCAATATGTGTCTCCAAAAGATAAGAACTTTAAAAAAATGACCACAATACTGTTATATAATTAGATTTCTACCCTCTGTATTTCCCTATTCAATCTTGGCTGCCACAATCAGACAGACAGAAAATGTAAGGTCACTTTTTTCTTGCATCTGCAGGGGAAACCTTAGCAGCAGATAGTAATTATTCTAGTCTGTCAAATAGACGCAAATATAATTGAATTTTTAAAGAGATGTGTTGTTAATGCCAACATATCACTATCTGTGGGAATGAGTGGAGGAGATAGTTGTGAGGGTCATTTACTGCCAGCAGTGTAAGTTGGGGCATGGGGCAGGTTGTTTACTGCACCATGTTCTCCTCTGCCCCTTCGTGAGGTTTTAGACACACCAGATTCAACAATGACAGGGCTGGGGATCAAATGTCTCCACTCACACCTGTGCTGGTTGCTGATGTTTATTCTGTAGTGTGTTTCTCCTAAGGTAGTTACAGAAAGTCCTCTTTGGAGAATTGAAGAGCTGGAATTGGGGAAAACTGATCCTGGTTATGACTTCAGGTGAGGATATATCTGCTTGTCCTGCTGTCCTTGATGACTGCACCGTAGAGGAAGAATGTATCTTTTGAGCATTCATGTCAAGGATCCTTGACTGGAGAAATCCCTCTACAGCTGCACTCAGGGCATCTTGTAAAATGTATGGGTAAAGCAGAGATCTGCTGAGGTTCTTCACTTGTCAGAGACGTAAGTGCCCTTGACTCAAACGCTCCAGCACCCCACCCCTGGAAGCTTCTAGAGCCCTTGCCCTAATGTTGGTTCTATTCTAAGTCCATGAATGGAGCCTCTTGTTCCAGTCATGTCAGCTGTGGAACTCAGTTCTGCCAGATTTTCACAGAAAATGCAATCACACTAGCATTGTGTGAGCCATTGGCTTAAGGCTGAGAGTGCAAGTCAGAGGCCACACCACCTCCCAGACAGCCTCCTCCAGCTCCAGACTTCTTCCCCCACCAGAAAGAACCTAGGGGCTCATTCCCTCAGGAGCAAACACATTCCTCTCTTCCCCAGGGTGAGTCGTCCCACTGCCTTTCTTTCCAAATCCCCTGCCCGCAGACTCTCAGCCAGTTTTCAGACTGACTTGTCAATGATTCACGTTCAAATATTACAGAAGTCATAATAAGTGGTCAACAAATATTTCCAGAATTAAACTCTCCCTGCACGTTGGCTATTAAAAGAGGAAAGAAACTAACATTTGCTGGGTGCTGTTATATGCCAATCATGATGCTACAGTCTCTCACAAATAATATCTTATGTAATTCTCACAACAGCCTTGTGAAGAAGGCACTATTATCCCTAGTTGGAAAGAAAAGGAAACTGGATGGATGCAGTGGCTCATGCCTGTAATCCCAGCATGCTGGGAGGCCGAGGTTGGTGGATCACTTGAGGTCGGGAGTTTGAGACCAGCCTGGCCAACATGGTGAAATCCCATCTCTACTAAAAATACAAAAAATTAGCCAGATGTGGTGGTGCACACCTGTAATTCCAGCTACTCAGGAGGCTGAGGCATGAGAATCACTTGAGCCCAGGCGGTGGAGGTTGCAGTGAGCTGAGATTCTGCCATTGCACTCCAGCCTGGGAGGCAGAGCACGACCATCTCAAAATAAATAAATAAAAGGAAATTGATGCTCAGAGGGATGAAGTGATTTGCTGCAGCCGTTCCAGACATCACTCCAGACCCTTAATATTCAGTGTCACTCCCTCAAGAGCCAGGGACCTTCCCAGCAGTTTCTCCCTCTCAAAAAAGTCTTCCCCTCAGGCTGCCTCCAGTCAGAAGTGAAGCAGAGAATGAAGAATCTCAGTATTCATAACAAATATTTGTCTCAATGGCTGAAGGGGAGAAAAAAGCAGACATCTTCTCTAACCATCTGGCCCCAACCCTGAGTCTTCAGAGCAGGCCCACATTGTCACTGCATCCTGAGGAGGGTGGGTGGCGATGGGGTCTGTGGGAGCTGGACGATGGTCGTGATCAAGAAATCCATTGAGTAGATACTGTTATCATCCCTACTAGATGAGAGGAAACTGGGCTTAGTGAAGGACAGTAACATGCCTGAGTGTTCAGTGCCAGACTCAGATTTTGAATCCAGTTCTTTCTCACTCCAGAAACTTGTTCTTCACCAGTGTGAAGCACTCACGCTGGACTCATACCAGATCTTCTCCCCTCCTGCCCCAGGGAGAGCAACAGCAGACTCAGCCCTGGCATGATGGGGCTCTGGCTTGAGAGGGGTCTAGGGTCCCCAGTGAGAGCCCTGGCACCAGGCACAGGGCGACCTGCAGCACAGGGGAGCCTCCGCACAGCAGCCTCTCCTCCCCACCATGTTGATATCAACCTCAGTTTCCTTGCTCAGCTCTTTCATTTCCTGCTGACTAGAGCCCTATCCTGAATGCATGCCCAGCCCCCCAGCCCCGATCTCCTCCTTAACTCCTGTGGAAAAAAAAAGTCAATATATTAATTTAATAGAGCGAAATGAGTGTTCATTTACAAAAGCCAGCCGTGCAGTCTGCTAGTCAGAATGAAGAGTGTATTGAAACAAACACATACGAAGACTCTCCAGAAGAAAGGAAGGGGACAGCACGCCTCGCTGGGAGGCATTGCGTTTTTAGGAAACCCACACACGGAATCTGAGCTAAGCCTCTCTGGGAGTCCAAATATGTCATAATCTGCTCCCCAGCACTCACAAAATCATATTTTCTTTATGAACAGAATAAGTGTTTATTATAGAAAGTCAACTGAGAAAGGAATAAAGAAGAAAAACCTCTATCATCCTACAACTCAGATATATGCGCATGTGTGTGTGTGTTTATAGAATCGGAGTTATACATTTATTATATACCACAATGTATATTGCTTATATATTTACAAAATTGGACACAAACTCTTAGCTATCTTTTGTGAAGTCATTTTTAATATTTGGATAGTTGCATTGTTTTGTGTAGATCAATATTTTCCAAATTTGGCCGTGCTTCACAATTGTCTGGGGGTTGAAACATTTTTGCAAATTCCTAGGCTCTTTCCTACATGTTATTGCATCAGAATTTCTAGGTTTAGAAGTCTGCCTTCTTTGCCGGGTGCGGTGGCTCACACTTGAAATCCCAGCACTTTGGGAGGCTGAGGCAGGTGGATCATTTGAGGTCAGGAGTTTGGGACCAGCCTGGCCAACATGGTGAAACCCCGTCTCTACTAAAAATACAAAAAATTAGCCAGGCATGGTGGTGGGCAACTGTAATCCCAGCTACTGGGGAGGCTGAGGCAGAAGAATTGCTTGAACCTGGGAGGTGGAGGCTGCAGTGAGCCAAGGTCGCACCATCGCCCTCCAGCCTGGGCAACAAGAGTAAACTCTGTCTCAAAAAAAAAAAAAAAAAAAGAAAAGAAAAGAAAAAGAAGAAGTCTGCCTTCTTATAGCCCTCCCTGGTGATTCTGATGCAGGCCATCCTGCTGTGACCCATTTTGGGAACCACCGGTGTCCATGTGCCCTGGTAAGCAGTGAGAAGTGGCACCAGGCACAGGGCCACCTGCAGCACAGGGTGAGAGCTGTCACCTTGGAAGAGCCCAGGAAGGTACACCTGGCCAAATACCCTTCCAGTTCTCTCTTTGAGGGCAGAGCATTAGCGCAGCCTCCTGGAGCTTACAGGGAGGGATGACCCTGGGAAAGAAGAAAGGCTTATTGAAATGTATAGGGACCTGGGTCTTCCTATTTGCATAAAAGGAAGGAATGTGTGACCTCACTGTGGTCATTTCTCATAAGATATAGTCTACCTCCCACCTTGGTTCTTCACTTTGTACTTAATACCACCACAAATAGCCTTTTATTTTGGGTGACAGCTCTGCTTCATTCATCTTCTCCAACTCTTTCCTAAGGGCTGGGCCCTGCTGCCTCTTCTGGGTGTCTGTTTTGAAGTGACGACTGGCATTGTGGCCACTCCAGCTGAATGTGGACAGGATCTTTGAGCACCTGACTCAAAGCCTCCCTGGAGGCTTTAGAATTACTCTAGTGATTCTGCAGCCATTTCAGTTTTATGATTCTAATGGGCACCAACATGTTCTCCCATATCTGTCACCAATTCTACCCTGACGGCCGCCTCTCAGCCAACTGACCCCTCTGCCTCTGGTCTCCCTGGACTCCTTGAGTGGGTGGACCAGTCCTCATCAGGCATGTGCAGTCTGCTACCTGGGCACTCACTATTGCTCCGTCCAGCTTTTCTGAGGCTGTGCCTCTGACCCTGACCTCCATCCCCTTCCCAGACCCCCAAATAGTGCAGTGACACTTGTCCCAACATCCGCGGCCTGGCTGCCACACTCTCTCTAGAAGCCCTTGTCTTGTCTTCCACTGCCCTCTCCTCAAGACTGTCTGCAAGGAGGCAGGAGTGGGCCACCCTCTTTGTGTCAGGTTTTGGATAAGGGGCCCTAAGGGCCACCATTTTGATCTCAGCTTGGCTCTGTGCTCTTGCCACCCCCACACCCCCATGCATCCAAGTCCCACCACCTGTCAGAACATTACCTTCCTGGCCCCACCCCATGAGAATTGTGGCTCATCAGTGCTCAGTGGCTACACTCTCCATGCTGAGATCCAGATCCTTTTGGCTATCAGAATGATTGTCATCTTGGTGGCCCCATCTTGTGGTTCATGAACCAAATGTAGACCTTCTAACTTCCCAACTCCTATGGAGCAGTGGTTACGGGTCTCTACTGTCCAGGAGTGGGGGGCAGGCCCAGGTTGTATGTCTGTATGGGGGACTCAGGCTCTGCCATGTGACCTGCAGCCCTGACTCTCCCAGGCCTGATTCCCCAGTGACTCCTGCCACCCACTGACCCCCACTGCTGGAGTCATGCTGCAGAGCTCCTGGCATTCCAAGTCTTTTTCTGCTGTCAGAGCATTTCTCTCTAACCTTGCTCAAAGAAAGCTGGATTCAGATCATATTCAATGGTCTCAGACAGAGGCTGAGTAGGAAAGTGGTCCCATTGCGGTCATGACTCAAGAGATATCAGCCTAGGTCCTTCTCGGACCTCCTGATACCATTTCCATGATTAGAGAGTCTTTCTTTCTCTTTCTTTCTTTCTTTCTTTCTTTCTTTCTTTCTTTCTTTCTTTCTTTCTTTCTTTCTTTCTTTCTTTTCTTTTCTTTTCTTTTCTTTCTTTTTTTTTTTTGAGACAGAGTCTAGCTCTGTCTCCCGGGCTGGAGTGCAGTGGTGCCATCTTGGCTCACTGCAAGCTCCGCCTCCGGGGTTCACCCCATTCTCCTGCCTCAGTCTCCCAAGTAGCTGGGACTATAGGCGCCCGCCACCGCGCCCAGCTAATTTTTTTGTATTTTAGTAGAGATGGGGTTTCACCATGGTCTCGATCTCCTGACCTCGTGATCCACCCGCCTCGGCCTCCCAAAGTGCTGGGATTACAGGTGTGAGCCACCGCGCCCCGCCGAGTGTTTCTTTTGAAACAGAAGCCATTGACTCTTTTGAAGTCCCCACTTAAATACAAATATTAGGTTGTATTAAAAGTAATGGCAAAAAGTGCAATAGCTTTTGCACCAACCTCTAATATGTTGAGATGAATCATGCCTTAAGCCTTTCTCAGGGGGTGACATGGGCAGGACTGGGGTGGTGCGGTATGTACTAGTTGACAGGCAAAGGAAGCAATTTCTTGTTCTTTCTGATCTAGAATTGACAGTTTATGTGTCAAGAACTGTGCTAAGCACTTTCCTATGCTTCATTTCAGTTAATTTCATTGGCATATCACCACATACGGCTAATATCAGCATCTGCATGTTGCAGACCAGGAAAAGGAGATCCAGAAAGCACAAGCAAAATGCCTTAGTCACATAGCCAGTATGTGGGGCAAGGGTTTTGAACTTGGGCTTCCTGACATCCTGCCCCATGATGTGGGACAGCAGTGGATATTTCCCTGCCCCCTTCTTTCTCTCCTCTCTTCCAAGCTGCAGTACAACATTTGCAAATTCTGCCGTCTGCATCCTTCCCTGATCCGCTTGTGGTCTATGGCTGTCACCTCCTGTCCCACCTGTCTTTTGCCCCTTCATCTCTCCCTGCCTCACCATCCCTCCCAGTCCCTGGCAAAGTTTGCTGTAGCTTTCCACCCTTTTCCTTGAGGAGAGACAAATAGGCCTTGCAGTGTGTCCAAGGAGCCACAGTGTTTCTGAGGAGGGTGGTGGGGCTCAGGAGGGGCTACAGGAACAGTGGCCATTATAATAGGGCTTTCAGGACTGGGCTAAGCATGGTGCACACACAATGCCTTGACTTTTGTCTCTTAATCATTTCCTAGTCCATTTAGCTGGTTCCTGCCATTCAAATCCTGTAGTAAAGGGCCATTGTGTTTCCTTCCCAAATAGAATCGGGTATGTCATTCCAAATGCAGATAGGAGCCCCGCCTTTTAGTCAGCATGTACAGTGCCACTGTCCTCGCAGCTCCTCATTCTCTCCTAACAATAGCAGCCAGGTGCTGCCAAGAGCATGATTCTGCACAGCTGGAGGCCTCCAGGAGGCGCTGGGGCTTGACACCCTCTCAGGGAGCGCTTGATTCCTTGCCTCACACTTGGGGATCTCTAGGCCAATCTGGAGTGGAGGGTAGACTGATGATGGAGCCCCAGGGCCAGAAACCTTAGTGATCTGCCTGCATTTGCAGACTTCCATCTCATTCCTTGAATCAGACCCTTGAGGTAGGGCACTGGAAGCAGCTAAGCTCTCTGGAAGACGTTACCCCTTAGAACAGGGCTTCTTAACCTTCAATGTGTGGGAATCATCTGGGGATCTTGTTAAAATGCAAGTTTAGATTCAGCCTGAGAGTCTGTATTTTTAATAAGCTTCTGAGAAAAACCAATGTTGCTCCAAGGGCCCTGTTTTTACTAGCAAGAGCTCAGGAACTTGCTCAGTATGGTCACTTCGACTTTTAATTACTTATGTGTGGGACTAGGGCCTGAATTTGATTGTCAGGAAGAGTTCCAAGCATTCGTTCATTAACTCATTCATCCAATAAATATGCAGTGTCTACTATTGTTTTGGAGCGATAATGCCACAGGGACGAAGATAGAATATACCTGATTGTAACTGGTCAGTGGTGGAAGAAGGCAATTAAGCTGATAATTAGGTATAGTGCATCAGGTGAGATAAGTGAAGTGCTAGAAGTACTTCCCAGGAGCAGGATCCTTGAAAAATACATCTGTTGTTGAAAAAAGCAGAGGTAGTGGGAGCCAGGAGAACAGAGGAAAAGGGAGAGCCAATGGTCTGCTTAGCCTTGATGGAGCAGTAAGTCCAGAAAGGGGAAAGGGAACCAACATGGCCTGCTGGGGTCCTTTAACTTGGTACTCACATGGGACCTGGGTTTTCCTGTTAGTTTCTCATGCAGGGAGAGTTTGCCTGGCTCTGCTCTGTTTAAATTATTCTCTCCCTACTCCCTTCCTCCCTCATTCACCATTCCTAGGGTCCTCAGAGGATGTTACCCAGAAGCTCCATAAATCTAACCCTTTCAGCTTTCAGTGGTTTTAAGCAATAAGACAAGATGGTCTCACGGTTTAACTGAGGTTTCATTGAACATCCCATGAAATAATCCATTTCTGACTATTGTGGCCCTTGCGCAATTCCAGGGGTAGGACCTGGGGACAATGTAAATGACACCCCCACCCCCAAATTATCCCTCCTTTTTTTATTTTAACCGGTGCCCATTTTCATCAGGTCTCTACCCAGGAATCTTTGAATTCCTTGTAGCAGCCTGATGGTAGGGTGAATCTTAGGGTAATGTGAGCTCAAATATGACACCACTATGTTTTAAAATATTAAGTAATTTAATTCTTACAGGAAGATCCTGAAAGGCAGTATTATTGTTTCTACATTACATTTGAACAAAGGGAGGCACACACAGATAGATAAGCACTGCAACTTTCCTAGCATCACTGGGCTGGTGGTGGCCAGCATGCCAAGGCTCCCCTTAGCTGACTGGGTGAGGACCGTCCTCTGGTTCCAAGAGCACTGGGCTGGGGTGGGAAGCCAGATTCCAGTCTCAACTCTCTGCTTGTTGGGAAATTTACTCACTTCTCTGGGCCTCAGTCTTCTCCTCTTTCAAGAGAAGACTGTGTATCATTAGGGCTCTTGCCAGCTCTAACTCACCATGGCCCTTACAGGTATGAGTTGTTGTAACTTTAGTTATCAATGATCAGTTAGGGGCTGACAATAAGGCCCCTTTGCTGCACTCAGGGGAGGTTGAATGATGAGGAGCCTGCTTTGTTCTGCACTGCTTCCTGCCGTCTTGTCTTCCTGCCTCCTGCCTAGGCTGTTTCTGAAGCCTGTTCCTGGCTTGCCCCACCTAGTCCAGCTGTCTTGGCATTCATCTCTGTTATGGTTTGGATGTTTGTCCCCTCCAAATCTCATGTTGAAATGTAACCCCCAATGTTGGAAGGGCAGCCTGGTAGGAGGTGGCTCCCTCATGAATGGCTTAGCCCTATCCACTTGGTGAAGAGTGAGTTCTTGCTCTGGTAGTTCATGTGAGATCTGGTTGTTTAAAAGAGTGTGATACCTCTGTCTCTCTCTTGCTCCTGCTCTGACCATGTGACACATTGGCTCCCCCTTCACCTTTCACCATGGTGTAAGCTCCCTGAGGGCTCCCCAGAAGCGGGTGCCAGCACCATGCTTCATGTAAAGCCTGCAGAATCATGAGCCAATTAAACCTTTTTTTCTCTATAAATTAGCCAGCCTCAGGTACTTTTTTATAGCAATGCAAGAATGGCATAATACAAAATAAGTACTGAGGAGAGGGGCATTGCTATAAAGATACCTAAAAATGTGGATCCAGCATTGGAACTGGGTAATGGGCAGAGATTGGAAGAATTTCGAAGTTTCAGAAGAAGACAGGAAGATGAAGAAAAGTTTGCAACTTGTAGACTGGCTAAATGGTTGTGACCAAAATGCTGATAGAGATATTGAAGTCCAGGCTGATGAGGTCTCAGATGGAAATGAAGTTATTAGGAACTGGAGTAAAGTCACCCATGTTATGCTTTAGTAAAGAGCTTGGCTGCATTTTGTCCAGGCCCTAAGGCTCTGTGGAAGTTTCAACTTAAGAGTGATGACCTAGGGTATCTAGCAGTAGAAATTTCTAAGCAGCAAAGTGTTCCAGAAGTGGCCTAGTTGATTCGAACAGCCAATGCTTATATGTGCGAGCAAAGAAATGACCTGAAACTGGACCTTATATTTAAAAGGGAAGCAGAGCTTAAGAGTTTGGAAAATTTTCATGCTGGCTGATATGAGTGGGCTGTGTCCTCACCCAGATCTCATCTTGAATTCCCATGTGTTGTGAGACAGACCAAGTGTGAGATAATTCAGTCATGGGGGGAAGTCTTTCCTGTGCTGTTCTCATGAAAATGAATAAGTCTCACAAGACCTGATCATTTTATAAAGAGGAGTTCTCTCTCTCTTTGCCTGCTACCATCCATGTAAGACATAACTTGCTCCTCCTTGCCTTCCATCATGATTGTGAGGCCTCCCCAGCCATGTGGAACTGTAAGTCCCTTAAATCCTTTTTCCTGTATAGACCATGCAGTCTCGGGTATGTCTCTATCAGCAGCATGAAAATGGACAAATACACAGGCCATGTGCAGGAAATAAAATCATTTTCAGGAGAGAAATTCGAGCAGGCTGTGGAGCAACCACTTGCTAGGGAGATTAGCCTGACCTAAAGGGAGCCAAGTGTTAATATCTAAGACAATGGGAAAAAGGCCTTGAAGGCACTTTAGAAGTCTTGGGGCAGTCCCTTCCATCATAGGCCCAGAGGCCTAGGAGAAAAGTGGCTTAGGGGGCCAGGCCCAGGGCCTTGCTTCCCTGTGCTGCCACACTGCTCCCTGCATCCTGGCCACTCTGGCTTCTGCCATGACTCAAAGGGACCAAGGTTCAGCTTGGGCTGCAGCTCTAGAGGGTGCAAGCCATGCCTCGGCAGTTGTCACATGATGTTAAGTCTTCAGATGCTCAGAATGTAAGCATGAATGAGGCTTCCACCTAGATTTCAGAGGATTATGGAAGAGTTTGGGTGCCCAGGCAGAAGCCTGTTGCAGGGTGGAGCCCCAACAGAGAAACTCTACTAGGGCAATGGCAGGGGGAAATGTGGGATTGGAGCCTCTACACAGAGTCCCCACTGGGACACTGCCTAGTGGATCTATGGGAAGGGGGCCACTGCCTTCCAGACCCCAGAATGGTAGATTGGCAGCTTGCAAACTCTGCTTGGAAAAGCCACAAGCACTCCACTCCAACCCTTGAGAACAGCCATGTGTGCTGTACACTGCAAAGCCACAGGGGTGGATCTGCCCAAGGCCTTGGGAGCCCACCCCTCATACCAGGGTGTGGGACATGAAGTCAAAGGAGATTATTTTGGAGCTTTAAATGCAATGACTGTCCTGCTTGGTTTTAGACTTGTGTGGTGCCTATTACTCCTTTCTTTTGGTGAATTTCTTTCTTTTGGAATGGGAAAGTTTACCCAATGCTTTTACCACCATTGTATCTTCGAAGGAAATAACTTGTCTTTGATTTTACAGGCTCATGGTGGAAGGAGAATGAGTCTCTGATGAGACTTAAGACTTTGGACTTGATGCTGGAAAGACTTAAGACTTCGGGGAACTACTGGAAAGGTATGATTGTATTTTGTAATGTGAGAAGGACATGATATTTGGGGGCCAGAGATGAAATGATATGGCTTAGGTGTCTGTCCCCTCCAAATCTCATGTTGAAATGTAATCCCCAATGTTGGAGATGGGGCCTAGTGGGAGATGTTTGTGTCATTGGGGTGGATCCCTCCTGACTGTCTTAGCCCCATCCCCTAATGATGAGTGAGTTCTTGCTCTGGTAGTTCACATGAGATCTGGTTGTTTAAAAGAGTGTGGTGCCTTCTCCCTCTCTCTCTTGCCATGTGACATGCTGGCTCCCTGTCACCTTCCGCCATTATTGTAAGATTAGTGAGGCCCTCAGCAGAAGCAGATGACAGCATCATGCTTCCTGTAAAGCCTGCAGAACCATGAACCAATTAAATCTCTTTTATCTGTAAGTTACCCAGCCCCAGATACTTCTTTATATCAATGCAAGAATGGCCTAATATAATCTCACTTGCCACCTCCACTACTAAGCCATTCACAACCTCTGCTTTCAGATATGCATCTATCCATTCATCTACTGTTCCTTTCATCCATCCATCCATCTATCCGTCCATCCATCTATCCATCCATCCATCCATCCATCCATCCATCCATCCATCCATCCATCCATGTTACCCACTTCTTCCTGATTAAGCTGTCAAATTAGGCCACCCTGTTTTTTCATGTCTAGATGAGATGAATTTAAAGCCCTAGTCCAAGGATTCTGAAGTATCTGGAGCTTCACAAGATTTTCATAAATTCCCAGGGGGCTTATTAATTGTGGTCACTTCTGGCTCCAGCCTCCTTATTCTGAGCAAATTCAGTCTAGGGATCACCGTGCTTGTTGCTCGTGTCTTCCCTGTTCTGCACCCCATTAACTCAGTTACAGAACTCAGCCATTTTTCTTAACATTCACCAGTCCAACCATTTACATAAGGCATTCACATTGTGAATATCTTGTAGGTATGGAATAATTTTAGCTCAGAAAAGGAAATCTCAATGTTACATATTACTATACCTAAATATCCCATGGTCATTTCCACAATTTGGGCTCATTCAACCTCATACTTGATTCCTTTCCTAAAATGAAGTCTGATGACAGCTGTTAAAATAAGATACATATTTTTTCCTGGCTCCAAATGTATTCAACAGGAATTTATTTTACAGTGGTCCAGGAACTGGGCCAGGCACTGTACCAGGGGCTGGGGATATTGATGAGTCATGCCTGACTCATCCCTGGCTCCAAGAAATTTACAGTACAGTGGGGTGACAGTCACATGACTAGGTAACTGCTGAAGGTGTTCTGGGTGTGCGCATGGTACAGAGGCAGCTCAGAGGGAGGAGTCTGCTCTCCCTCTTGGGTCCAAAACTGCTTTGATATTTGAATTAAGTCTTGAAGGTAGGTATTCATCAGGCAGATGACAAGAAGAAGAGATTTCTAGGCACAGAGAGCAGCCTGGGCTAAGGTACAAAAGTATGCTGGTAAATGTTCAATAACCTGTTCCTGAAAAAGAAAAAGCCTAGTGTCTGCTTATTTGTAGTGACTGCTGATTTCCATGGTGTAAATATTTCCACCCAGGTTGATTTCAAGCTACCAAAGCAATATCACTGAATGCAGAGTTGGGAAGAGATGTGCACCCTTGGTCTCCATGAGCTGGTAAAAGCCTGTGCCTACACCACTGAATGCAGAAGAGCTGAACACAGAGGGGTGCTAAATTTTGCCCATAGAATGTAACTTCCTAAAGTCAGGGACTTTTGGTGTTTGGTTTACTGTTCCCTACCACTCTTAGCAGTAGTCTGGGATGGAGTTGGCACTTGATAAATATTTTTTAAATGAGTGAATGAATGGATGGAGGCTGTTATAAGGCCTATAATGTGTGTAGACTTTTGCCCCAAGGGTGTAGGAAGTCAAGGAACATTGCTAGAGATAAGGAGGGCCCTGAAGAGTTTGGAGATTTACACGGATTGTTGTGAAAGCAGTGGGGAAGTGGGGGAGTGCAGTGAGGTGAGACTGTTGACAGAAGACTACTGCAATAATCCTAGCAGTAGTTCATTATGTCTGATAGGAGAGGATCTGTGGGAATGGAGAAAAGGCAGAGATTTTAAACAGGATCTGATGTCATCAAATTTGCATTTTAGATTAATCACTTTGCAGTACTATGAATGACTGGGCCTTTATGTCCCCCAACCTTGAATTGTTTTGTTGTTTCACTTGAACTGTTTCATTGTCTAATCCATGCTTCCCTGGTTTTTGCCTCCGCTTGGTTATGCAGGACACTTTCTCCCCATGGTTTCCAGAGGCTGTCATTGATGAAAAGTCCTGTCTGCTACCATACTGTGGCAGCCCTGTCATGGAGTAGACGTTCTTCCTGCCAGTGTTGTGGGACTCATTTCCCCAGAACCTTGACCTTAAATGCGAAATAGAGTGGTGCATGCAACATCTTTCCTTTATCAATGATAGAAACAGTAGGTGCAATGAGAGGCAGCAAGGGGCAGGTCCTCAGGAGTGGTTGGTCTCCTCTCCCGCCGAAGTCCTGTCTTCTGCAAGTGGGCTTGTTGCAAGTAGGCAGTTTGTTGCTCTGGGCCACCCCCATTCAGGCCTTTGGAGATTTAAGGGTCATCAGCACCTCTTTCTCCATCTGTGTTATATTTTGTCAGAGGGGGACAGAGTAGTCCTAATGCCTCACAGACTTCTAGTGACCCTGCCTGCCTGACTCCAGGGTTTAAATGGGAGTCCATGGAAACTGACTCAGGGGACAAACACAAGTGACCAAGACCACAATACTGTGAGAGCTGCCCCTCTTATTTTGATGAGAAGGTTTGTCTTACTGGGCCAATCTCATGCACCCAGCTCCTTCTTCCCTTAGTGGGAGGTTTCTCTCTTCTGCCGAGAGCAAGCTCACCCTGACATGTCTGCTGGACAAGCATAGACACTGCTGTGCCCAGTGGTGCATCCTGCTGAGAGTCATGCTAGATGTTGAGTGCAGCTCTGTGTCCAGATCTCATTCCCTTTCCTTGATCTTGGGGCTTACTTTTTGCAGACTGACCCTCGAACTTTCTTGTTCAGGAATGCTGAAATTCCCAACTTTGATTTTCTCCTTACTTGGGTTAGAGTTACTTAGGTCAGGCTAAGGGAGAGACTAATAGGCCAGGCGGGAGTAACAGAGTGTTGTGTGGTGCAGAGTGGGGCTGCCGCCTGGTGCCTCCCTCTCCAGGGCTGGCTTTCTCGTGAACGGGGAGCAGAGGTTTTATACCCTTCCTAACTCTCACTTTTAGCTGTCGCTGAAAGGGTCTACATCCCCACATTCCTGGGGCTTTGAAACCTGCTGACTTCTTGCTCTTTAATAAAGAAAATTCACCAGGGGTTTATTTAATAACAGTCCACTATCCCTCTGTGACTGCAGATTATTTGGCGATTTGGCTAGTTGAACTGTCAATCTTAGATTCCTCTCATTTGATTTCCTCCCTAACGTCATTGTTTTTGGGGAGACTCAGATACTTCAGTATAGTATAGCTTTCCATGTTATAAATTTTAAAGCCTGAAAGTTTTCAATAATACTGGCTGGATTTTCTCCATTTACAGTAGGCATACCTCATTACTTTATTTATTCTACAGATTTCAGAGTTCCTCCTTTTCCATAGGTGAGCTTGGAATTGAGTGCCAAACTGTTTTAGACTTATCCTGAAAGACTGGGAGTACAATGCCACAGACACCACTGAGCAGGGGAGCCGCTTGCTTTGTAATTTCTTAAGAGAGATTGCTTCTTAAGGAAGCTATAGTTCTATTCATGTCCCCAGTGACCCATTACTTATTTCCAGAGCAAAAATCAATCATCCCTTCTGCTCCTGGGGTGATACAGGAAATCTTCAGGAAGAAAGATGACACTACTTCACAGCTATGACAGTTGTGAGTCACGGGGACTTAGATGTGTTTCCAATGGGCCCTCTGATGTTACTGGCCAGTGGGCATTGCCCCAGGCCTGCCTTCCTTGGGCTGAGGAGCTGGCCTGGCCAATTGCCTGTTCCCTTCAGCTGCTGGCTTCTGGGCTCCAAATAGCCTCAAGCCTTTACTGAAGATAGAAATAGGAGGTACAATGAGAGGCAGCAAGTGCGAGGATTTGTGAGGCATCAGCTGGGATATCCTATCTCACATGGGACTCCACATCTACCACGCTTTCCACCTGCCACTTTGCCATCCTCTCCAGGGCTTGGCTTGGGAATAAGCCTTCTCACCATCCCTCCTCCCATCTGCTCTGTTTTGGAGGTTGAGTCCACAAAGCCTTTTGGCTCTCAAAACTCTGTCAGGACAATCACTCCCTTTCTTAGAGACATTCATTGGCTTTGATGATTAGGGTTCTGGGTTCCTATGTTACAGTAGCCCATGTTTATGGATACTTATACTCAGAGCCTCTTTCACCTTTGCTTGGAAGGGTCTTATTCAGGCCTCAATGTCCCACAGTGGAAGGGCTCAGTCTTGCTCCTGGGTGGAAAGATGACACTGAGGCCTGGCTTTAGTTTTTCCATCCCCAGAAGAAGAGAAAGTCAAAATCTCTCTCCCTTTTTTTTTTTTTTTTTTTTTTTTTACCAGCACCATGATTTCCTTGAAGACCTCCTATGTGGTCTAAAGAATTTTTCAATTTGGCATGGGTTTTGCTGCAGGAAACTTTTTTTTCCTAACTGTAACCTCCAAACCTCATAGTAACCTAAAGAATATCCCAATAATTCACCTAGCTTACTCTCCTTTCTCCCTAAAGTGCAAATCTTGCAAAACTATCTAGTGCTTATTCATACCCTTTTCCCAAAGTTTGTAGCCCAAGGCATCTGCTATTTTAGGTAGGAAGAGGAGAAGCCGATATGATCATGGTTTTCTGGATCACTTATCACAGTTTAATGCAATTGTGGAAATGAGTTGTTTCAATCAGGCAAGGCACAGTGACCTTGACCACCCAAGTCAGGTCAAGGAAAAAGGGGCTTATTATAAACATAGACATGGAAAGAAAGCACTGAACAACGGACAGGTTCCGAGATATCTCTGTGAATAGTTTCCTCCAGGCTGTGCGCTCTGCCTTCTGTCCCTCCGCTATCCTCTCATCATTTGCATGTCTGTCTACAACTGTGCCCTTGTCCTTTCTCCATGAGCTGACTTCCTCTGTTTACTCACGGGTCCTGCTGTTTCATGGTTTTGAGATGGTTCATTGTGACTTATCTCATTTGAATTCTACATCATGAACTTTGGGTTTCAATTCCCGTTAACTGGCTTATCTCTCAGCCATAGTGTGCTGACCAATCCATGGGCTTCCACCTCTGCCTCATCTGTTTTGGTTGGGAGCTGGAGGCCATGTGGGACCAAACGTTGGCCCAAGTATCCAGGACTATGCAGGGTATTGTCCCTCAGTAGGGACTACGAGCATGGCAAGCACATTGAAGTGGATTCATCCCAGCATTAGTTTTGTTATGATGAAGATTGGAGCTTTTCTCTCTCCTTTTCAAATAAAGGCAGAGAAGGAAGGTGGGTCTGTAAGGCAGGAGGACTCTGGGCATTGCTGTGGGTGCAAACTTCCCTTAGGAAGAGCCTGGTGATTTGTGAGGAAATGACCTCATTGTTAAAAAGAAGAATGCATCCAGGATCCTTATTATGTCTGCTGAGAATGACCCTTCATGGACTCTGGAATCTGGAGCAGGTGGGGAGAGAGGTCAGGAAGGGCTGTTTCTCCTTAACTCTCACCGAAGCTTGCCCAAAGGCCCAAAGGGGACCGTATGACTGGCATTCATGGGCTAGTCAGAAGACAGAAATGTAGTGCCCCTCTGTCTCATACCTGCTAAGGATGCTAAGAGGGGGTGTGTCTTGAGAAACAGTATATAGAATCTGGATGGGGAACAAAGGGAAAGATTTCTAGACATCAAGAAAGAGCTGCACAAAAAGAAAACACATTTCGATGGGGAGCTGTTTCCTTCCATGTGGCGGTGTGATTATTTTAGCCTCTGGAAAGAAGCTCCCTCACTCCTACCAGGGAAGAAAGAGGGGCTTAAGCTGCTTGGATTGAATGTGGAAAGATTCTACTGAGCATGCTTAGCTCAGCCTTACTCTCTTTTTCATGGGGGGAGCTGTCCATAGGGTCAGAAGTTTCTTCTGCATCTCTGGATCACCTGAGCAGTTCACTTCCTGCCACAGGAAAACCTGTCCTGCATCAGGGCTTCCAGGGATTTTCGGGGTGTTTCAGGCAGGATAGGCTAGCCAGTGAAACAAACAACTTCCAAACATTCCGTAGCGTAACAAAAATAAATGTTTGTTTCTCACTTATGTCAGTGTTCAATGAGGATTGATGGTAAAGAAACAGGCTCTATTCCATGCACAAATGCTGAGACCTAGTGTTCTTCCATCTGGTGGCTTTGCCCTCTTTTAAGCCCTGAGAGTCCTCTTTATTCAGCTTGCAAATGAGGGGAGGGTGTGAAAGCATGAAACACATTTGGGAAATTCTTATTGACCATGTTAGGAGGGTGCACAGAATTTTTTCCACATTCCATTGGCCAAAATTCAATCACATGAACAGAGTTAACCAGAAGGGAGGCTGAGAAAGATATAGTGTAGTTGTGCCCGGAAGAGGGGCCAAACACACACATGGGTGAACAGTAGCTGTTTATGCCACAGTGGGGAAGACCAGTTCTAGAGTTCATTGTTAGCAGGCTTTCTTGCCTGTAGGCACAAGCCACATTTGTTAGTAATAAGGGTGTTGTTTTAGTCTCTTCTCTGTTCTCTTTGTTTAATTTTATAATTTGTTCAAGATGCTCATGAGGAAAAAAGAAGTTATATTTGGACATCTCAACTCCAACATTTTGCGCATAGCCTAGGAACATTGAGAAATATAACAAAGAGGTTGAATAAGAAATTGGGATATATTTTGGGCATTAATTTTCTTTAAACTTTTAATTACAAGGTGAAGAGAATATGATTTTGGACTTTAACTCCTTTGGGGTTTAATATCTTTGTACATTAATCATTGAACTTAATCTTTTAATTTTAATTTCAGAAAATTCATGATGAGAAGGAGTTCATATTCAAATTTGGAATATCTTGTAATTGGTATTTTATTGCTGGAATATCTGTTTTTGTCTCTTTTTTTCTTATTATACTTTAAGTTCTGGGATACATGTGCAGAACGTGCAGGTTTGTTATATAGGTATACACGTGCCATGGTGGTTTGCTGCACCCATCAACCCGTCATCTACATTAGGTATTTCTCCTAATGCTATCCCTCCCCTAGCCCTCTACCCACTGACAGACCCCAGTGTGTGATGTTCCCTTCCCTGTGTCCATGTGTTCTCATTGTTCAACTGACACTTATGAGTGAGGACATGCAGTGTTTGGTTTTCTGTTCCTGTGTTAGTTTACTGAGAATGATGTTTTCCAACTTCATGCATGTCTCTGCAAAGGACATGAACTCATCCTTTTTTTGTGGTTGCATAGTGTTCCATGGTGTGCACATTTCCATATGTGCCACATTTTCTTTATCCAGTCTATCATTGATGGGCATTTGGGTTGGTTCCAAGTCTTTGCTACTGTGAACAGTGCTGCAATAAACAAATGTGTGCATGTGACTTTATAGTAGAATGATTTATAATCCTTTGGGTATATACCCAGTAATGGGATTGCTGGGTCAAATGGTATTACTGGTTCTAGATCCTTGAGAAATTGCCACACTGCCTTCCACAATGGTTGAACTAATTTACACTCCCACCAAAGTGTAAAAGCGTTCTGATTTCTCTGCATCCTCTCCAGCATCTGTTGTTTCCTGGCTTTTTAATGATTGCCATTCTAACTGGCATGAGATGGTACCTCATTGTGGTTTTGATTTGCCTTTCTCTAACGACCATTGATGATGACCTTTTTTCATACGTTTGTTGTCTGCATAAATGTCTTCTTTTGAGAAGTGTCTGTTCATATCCTTCACCCACTTTTTGATGGGTTTGTTTGTTTTATTCTTGTAAATTTGTTTGTAGATTCTTGATATTAGCCCTTTGTCAGATGGATAGATTGCAAAAATTTTCTCCCATTCTGTAGGTTGCCTGCTCACTCTGATGTTAGTTTCTTTTGCTGTGCAGAAGCTCTTTAGTTTAATTAGATCCCATTTGTCAATTTTTGCTTCTGTTGCAATTGCTTTTGGTATTTTAGTCATGAAGTCTTTGCCCATGCCTATGTCCTAATGGTATTGCCTAGGTTTTCTTCTAGGGTTTTTATGGTTTTAGGTCTTATATTGAAGTCTTTAATCCATCTTGAGTTAATTTTTGTATAAGGTGTAAGGAATGGGTCCACTTTCAGTTTTCTGCATATGGCTAGCCTGTTTCCCCAACACAATACATTAAATAGGAAATCCTTTTCCCATTGGTTGTTTTTCTCAGGTTTGTCAAAGGTCAGGTGGTTGTAGATGTGTAGCATTATTTCTGAAGGCTCTGTTCTGTTCCATAGGTCTATATATCTGTTTTGGTACACAGTACCATGCTGTTTTGGTTACTGTAGCCTTGTAGTATAGCTTGAAGTCAGGTAGCATGATGCCTCCTTGCTGGAGTATCTTAATATTGTCATTGAATTTCACTGTAGAACATATGATGGCCTATATTTAGAGTGACCATATAATTTATCACTCAAACTACATAGTTTCGAGAGAGAAAGGAGGCTATATTAATAATTTTGCTGGGATAACAGGCAAAAACCTGGACTGTCTTGGGTGCATTGGTATGTATGGTCACCCCAATTATATTGGGCAATGAGGAAGAGCATACTTCGGGAAGAGAAATGCAATAAGGAATGGATTTGCAGTCTTGTAGAAATTTAATTAGCAAATTTTCTGACCCACATCAGAGCTCCCTGGGGATGAATTTTAATTTGTTCACTGATGTTCCGAAAAGTATCTACAGAGAAGCTGTATGAGTTAGGGTCCATCCAGGCAAAGAAAGAGAAACCACACTAGGTATTTCAGATAGAGAGACTCAATGCAAGGAACTGATCCCATGGCTATTGGAGGACTGAAAGAGCAGGAAGGAGGAGTAACATAGAAAGTCTAACTGCAGAAAGCTGCTAATATTCCTAAGACGAGAGGAACGAAAAGTAAAGGGTAGAACTATCCTGAGGGTTCAGAGAAGGCCCCAGGGCTGATGCTGGGACTCTGGGGGTGAGCTCCACGCAACTCAGGACAAACAGTGCCTGGATGCTGCTGGTAACTGAGGAGATGGCAAGGCTGGGGCTTGGAGGAAGAACTGCCCCCTGCCACCCCTGACCTCCCCCCCCCACAATTATGTTCTTGCTTGCTTCCAGTCTCCTGCCTATCTCCTTTTGGCAGACAGGAAGTCAATGACTGAGGTAGTCTGAGAAATTTGGTTTGCAAAGTACTCACCCCACCATCAAGAGAAGGGAATAGAAGGGTGGCTTTGGAGCTGAGAAACAATAGGGAAATAAAGGGCACAGGTGCAATGGTTGGCACTGGGGGAGTGCCTGTTGAAGAGGGAGCAGAATGCTCTTGCTGGAACTTCTGATCGCTGAGGATCACCACAGGCTTAAACTGAGCATGGGCTTAGGAGTTGAATGCAAATGAGTTAATAACAAACAGTTGGGGATACTGGGGTGGGTTCTTCTTTTCCATTCCTGATGTCTTCTTTCTTTGTGGAGATGTCACATTCCCAATTCCTATTTGCCCTTCAGTCACTCTGATGAAAAGGAATGGCTGAACCATGCATCATGAATTTGCAGAGAATAAACCAAGCATGCTCAGCTCTGCCTTCCCCTTCTCTTGGGAGTAGGCTGCTTATAGGAAGCTGATGTTCTCCTTTGCCCCTCCATGTGTAAATATTACCTGTGCATTCATTAAGCTAATATTTATTGGTGTCTACTCAATTTTGGGTGTGGTTCTGTCCTTGGGAATACAACATTGAATCAAACAAAGATCTTTGTCTCATGAGAAATATCAACAATAAACAATAAACATAGCCAGTAAGCACATTGTACAGTATGTTAGAAAGCAATACATACTACTGCAAAAGAAAAATGCCGGATAGTCAGGCATCCGGATTACTGGGCTGGCAGCTGCAGTATTAAATGATGTAGTCTGGATGGGCCTCTCTTAGAAAGTACCATGTGGGCAAAGATCTGAGGAAAGCAAGGATGTTGGACAAGCACATATCTGGGAGAAACATATTCTCAGAGGGGGAACTGCTCAAGTTCATGGGGAGGTGGCTCAGAGGCTCATTCTGACAAACATGAGTGCTGTTTGTTGCTGAAACTCAGAACCCTGGCAAATGCCATCGACTTTGAGGTGAATCTTGACTATTCTCTTCCTCAATTCAAGCAATCACCTGTCCCCAGTGTAAGTAGGGCATCAGGTTCTTGCCCCCAGCATAGGTGGGTTTAATCACCAGGTGAACCTGCTGAGGTGTTTGTTGCCTGGAACGAAGCCTCAATCGGCATTGGCTATAGTTAGCACTTTTACCAGCTCTGCAAATGGATGCGAATGGTCCCTTAGCTTGCCTGCCTCAGCCGCCTCAGCTGCCTCAGCTTTGTGTCCAAGAGGACAGTGTTACAGCAATGGCTGTCTATTGGCAAAGAAAGGAGCACGTTGCTTTTCTTTGAAGATGCAGTCTTCAGTCTCCAAAGCATGGTCCAGAACTAGGATGGGGGTGGGGAGAGTGGGGAAGTGGGGGCCAAGTCTGAAAATCCTGGGGGTCTGTGAAGTCAAAACTATTTTTCTAACAGTATTAAGATGTTACTTGCCTTTTTCATTTTTGTTCTGTCATGTGTACAGTGGAATTTTCCAGAGGTTACATGGCATGTTATAATGCAACAGATTAAGTGCAGAGGGAGATTAAAATACTCTTTTTTTTGCTAACTACATATTTGTGAGGACTGATTTTCCTTATATATTTCCATCAAAACAGCATATTGCAACAGATTGAATGCAGAAGATATGAAAATCTGTCTTCTATTAAGTCAAACTTAAAGAGATTTGCATAAAGTTAAAACAATGTCACTTTTCTCACTAAATTTTTGTTGAAAATAGTTATTTTCATATAAAAGATATTTCTGTTAATATAGTGAGTTTATTATTGTTATTTGTAAATGATTTATAAACAAATATTTTTTCATTTTAAAGTTTTAACATGAATGGATTATAAATATCCATGTAAATATCAATGCATACAATACACTTAAGCAATCATAAAGGACTTGTTTGGTCTTTTTGAGGCCAAAATATTTAAGAATGGCTGCTCTAGAGTGCTTTGATAAGGGATCACATCAGCATGTTGGTATAGCCCTCAAAACACCTCTGCAGAGGTGTCCTTCCTTGTTCCAAGACATCACATCAACACATGGCCATATTTCCCAACTTGGCTCTCATTTGGACATTTATATGCATACATAACCACATTAGATTAAAGTCTATCTTTATGTGAAAAAAATGCATTTAATCTCTAGTGGAAAGAGGAAGAATTAGAGATGTCTTGAGTTTACCAGCAGATATCTAGATGGTTAGAAGAAGTGATAAAGTTGGACTCTTAGGAGGTAACATTCGTATTCCAGTTGGACCAGGGGAAAACATTTAGATGTAAGCAAAGGAGGCCTACACAGTTCCTGGCCATGAGGTACGTGAGCTCTGACCCCCTGGGATGCTCCTAATTACCATCCCATTGAAGAGTTGCACCAGAGCCACCTGGATAAATCACCTGGGTGAGTTGCTGTAAATACAGATTTCCATGTTCTACTCAGAACCCAGTAAGTCAGAATCGAGGTTGGGGGTTCAGAAATCTGGATAAAAAATAAATTCCTTGAGTGATTCATGATGCAGCCAGGCTTGAGAACATTGGATTGGCCTCCTTAAAGTCTGTCAGATAGTTATGATGATGTTTGAGTTACACTGTTTGCCACAAATAGCTCTTCCAGTTGCCTACCATGGGCCCAAAGTCCCAAGCTTTGGTGATGAGTTCTTTGGGGTTAGAGCAGCAATATCTCCAGTGTTCCCTATATAGAGGATGAATCTTCTCCTGAGGAATGCTGTGTTCAGCTGTGCTCTGGGGCTAACATCACCGCATAGTGGGGTATTATGCACTTGAGATCTCCACCCTGGGGGACAAGGAAGGGCAGAAAGAATGAAAACAAGCAGGAGGAGACTCTTTGGATGAATATTGAAGTGGGAAACCAGGAGCAAAAGCTTAAGGATTCCAGGTCCCCTTGGCAGGCAAGAAGAGAACAGAAGATGGATATTGATTTCTTCTGAACTGACTCACAATGCTCTGTGGAGGAGCCAAGTCGTTTCTGCAAACTTTGAAAAATGTTGGCATCAGTGTTCCTGCTATCACTGGATGCTAGTCATAGATGATGGCTGTGAACACAGAGAAGGATCTTTCAGCTGTCTCTGCTGTTTTCTGTATGTAACCGAGACCCAGTTGATCACCTCCCTGTTTCTAGTCTGGCTCCCTTCTCTGCACTGCTTCCAAAATAACCTGAACACCCTTGAACCTGCCAGCTAGAGCAAAAAAGAGACTCTGCCAGCCCCTCTCTGTACATCTCCTCCCTCTCCCCACAAAGATATTTCAATCTGGACTCTTACAAAAAGTGATTTCCTGCTTTGCTTTAGAGTTTTATCACTGATATGGTTTGGCTCTGTGTCCCCACCCAAATCTCATCTTGTAGCTCCCATAATTCCCACGTGTTGTGGAAGGGACCCAGTGGGAGATGACTGAATCATGGGGATGGGTCTTTCCTGTACTGTTCTTGTGATAGTGAATGGGTCTCACAAGATCTGATGGTTTTAAAAATGGGAGTTTCTCTGCACAAGGTTGCTCTTTGACTGCTGCCATCCATGTAAGATGTGACTTGCTCCTCCTTGCCTTCTGCCATGATTGTGAAGCCTCCCCAGCCATGTGGAACTGTAAGTCCAATAAACCTCTTTCTTTTGTAAATTGCCCAGTCTTGGGTATGTCTTTATCAGCAGTGTGAAAAATGGACTAATACAATTACCTATGTGTGCATTGCCAAATATGATAATTTAATTTTGGCTAGTTTTGAATTTCATATAAATGAGATCATATGATATCTTTAATGTCTCTGTCTTTGACCTTTATATTATGTTTTTAGAAGTTTTTTTATGTTGCTGCAAGCATATGCAGTTTCTTCATTTTTTTTTGTTGCTGTAAAGTATTCCATTGTATGAAATATACCATAGTTTATTTATCTATTCTACTGCTAATGGGCATTTGTTTTGCCTCCAATTTGAGGCTCTTATAATTAGTGCTATTAAGAATATTTTTTCATATCTATTATGGTGTATATCAGTCTGATAGTCTTTGATTATTAACTGGGGCATTTAATCTCTTTGCACTTATAATTACTAATAAGTTTGGATAAAAAAACCACCATCTTCCTATGTGTTTTCTGTTTATCCTAGCTGTTTTATGTCCCTGTTTCTCTCTTTTCTTGCTTTCTTTCAAATTGTTTGAGTGACTTGTCACTCAGCTTTCCTTCTCTTTTAGTCTGAAAGATATGTATTTTTGCATTTCTATTATTTCAGTGATGACTCTGAAATTGTAACATTCATTCTTGGTGTATCAATGACTAATCTTAATCCACATTTTGCATGCAAGATAATTCAAGGAACTTGAAACTATTTAACTACATTTAATCGCCTCTTGATTTCTATGCTATTGTTGTGTGTAAGAATTTTTTTTTTTTTTCAGGCGGAGTTTCCCTCTTGTTGCCCAGGCTGGAGTGCAATGGTGCAATCTTGGCTCACTGCAACCTCCTCCTCCTGGGTTTAAGTGATTCTCCTGCCTCAGCCTCCCAAGTAGCTGAAATTACAGGCGGCCCCCCACCATACCCAGCTAATTTTTGTATTTTTAGGAGAGACGGGGTTTCACCATGTTGGCCAGGCTGGTCTCGAACTCCTGACTTCAGGTGATCCACCCTCCTCGGCCTCCCAAAGTGCTGGGATTACAGGCGTGAGCCACCATGCCCAGCCATGTAAAAATATTAATATTGAGTCACCTCCTTGGAACAGCTTTGGAGTCTCTCAGCAATCTGAAAACCATGAGACCAGAAGATATAAGACTCCATCCACTTTAACATTCTGTAAGCCTGGAATTGCACTTTGAAAATGTTAACTGGACCAGCCCTGTTGCAGATAATGTATTCTTAAAATGCAATTGCAGAGAAATGAGGCATGGGTTTTTCATGTTTCCAAAAACACAGAGATTGGCACCTAAACAGTTATGGCCCTCTCCCTTCAATTGAATGCAATTGGAAAGCTTCAGGGAACACTAGTCAATCTGCATATAAGATGAGGTATATTCAAATGATGTTGAAAAAATTGGAGTTAGCAGCAGGTTTGTAGCTCACCTAAGATAATTCTAGAAGAGCAGAATCACTTTATTTCCTGCTAAAGATATTTTTGTTTTCCTTTTTTCTCTCAGACTCAGGCTTGTGGCCTTTTCTGATTGACATGGCAAGTTGGTGTCTTTCCACTTTCTCCTTGATGAAGCACCTGCATCCAATATGAATTTAAAGAGGCTCTGTAAAGTAATTCAACAGCAGCAAATATGCTATTTAAAAATGAGTCAATCCAAGATATGTAAATCTAAGGAAGGTTTTAGATTGAAGCAGTTGTTTTATAAAATACACATGTCCAAAGACACTTTTTTTAGTGGAGGCAACTTGCTGAAGAAGAATTTGAAAGGATCTTTTAACATTTATAAACAGACCAATTTGAAATTGCCTAGAAAATAAGTAAGCTCCAAGAAGAACATACCTATGGCCATGCTATTTTTTGAAGACAAAAATGGAGCTACAAAATTAAACAAAGGATGTATTTCATGTTGGAATTTGTAGAAGTCTTAGAGCGGGATAATGAAAATAAATAAAATTACTAAATAAAATAACTATGAGATCCCAATAATTTTGCCACCATCTTTGGGAATAACTAAAGCTGATAAACTAGAGACTAATACTTTGGTGCCAATTCCAACTCCTTGCACTGTACAAAGGGGGAAAAGTATCTTAATGCATAAGAAATTATGAGACAGCACAAATAAAGACCAATCTTTTATGCAGAAAGTTTCAATTAAAGTGAAATTCATATTTTAAATTACCAAATTATAAGTGGAAAAGTTTGTAATATTTTCAAAATGGTCTTCACTGAACTACCTCTATCTAGCCTGGAGGCTAGAGATGGAACTTAACTATCCACTTAAATTTATATGTATGTATTTGTGAAAGTTAAAACTTTAAATCTAATAAATTATCTGAATCAGTTAAAACAAAGTCATTATTATTTGGAAAACTAAATCTTGGCCATGATGAATATCTTGATTATTTTGATATATGAAATATGCAATGTAATTTTTATGTGGGGTTACATTTGGAATTTTCCTACATTTCATATTTAGTAAATGGATTTATTATAAGAACAGTGATTTTTTTTAAAGAACGAATTTAATAAGTAACTGCGTTTTGAAATTTTGATTTACAGATCATTATTGCCATCTGCTGGTTAAATAGTTTAATGGCATTTTTTTCCCAGTTGCTTTACTAAAAGACAAAGGAAAAACTGAGGCAAGTTTTAGATATCCATAACCGGATTAGAGATCTCTATGTAAGACAAATAATTTGCAGCCAGGTGCAGTGGCTCATGCCTGTAATCCCAATACCTTGGGAGGCAGAGGCGGCAGGAGTGTTTGAGGCTAGGAGTTTTAGACCAGCCTGGGCAACATAGTGATACCCTGTCTCTACAAAAATAAACAAATTAGCTGTGTGTGGTGGCCTGCACCTGTAGTCCAAGCTACTCAGGAGGCTGAGGCAGGAGGATCGCTTGAGCCCAGGAGTTCAAGGTTGCAGTGAACACCATCACACTTTAGCCTGTGTGACACAGTGAGACCCTATCTTGAGAACAGCAACAAAAAAAGCTAAATCATGAGGCATGTCTGTTTCAAAGATAAGATAATGCAAGAATATATTGCATCATACCTAATTATAATGTGCTATTTTAATTGACAATTCATCATAGATTAAATTATCAGGCTAACTGCTTTAAGTTATTGTCATTAGTTAGTATGCAGCTAAAATGCGACTAAAATAACCATTGAAAATAACGAGGTCAAAATAAGTGACCTCTGTTAGAGAGGCTGTAAAAACATGAAAACATCCATGATTCTATTTAACCGCACATAAAACTAAGTGTCATGATTTCCCTCTTATACACAAATCTACTCCTCTCCTTAGTAGGAGTAGATACATAATGATTTAGGCAACTATCTCTGTTAACTAATGAACCTAAAACATGTACTACTGTTCAATAATTACTAACATATCACTTGATGACAAACAAACCAAGTGAGCAAAATATTAATTGGAAGTGTTGGCAAAAATAGCAATAACTTTTGCACCAACCTAAAAATCCTCACTACTGCACTATAGGATGGCCAGTCTAGAACATAATAAAGGAACATTTGTTTAAGCACGTGCTTTGTTTTTGATGCTTTACAAGCATTAATTCATTCGATCACATCATCAGTAAGACAAATATAACTGTCTTCATTTTTCAGATGAGGAAATTAATCCTAGAGTGGCTAAATTACTAGCTCAAGGTCATACATTGGTAATCTTCCTATATGAGTCCCCTGTGTAAAAGATTTAGAGCAGCACATGGCACACAGTTAATTTTATGTGTTACTAAACATATGAATCATAAAATATATCCTGCTTCATTTTTCCTTTAACACTATATCATGACTATTTTCCCATATTATTAAATATCCATGCAAAATGACTTTAGTGGCTGTAATGCTTCATTATATGAATGTTTCATAACTTAGTGTTTGGCATTGAGGCCATTTCTATTTTTTCAACGATATAAATAATAGCACAATGAACATTCTTATAAAAAGATTAATTTTTTAAATGATAAAATGACCAGATTTGCACTTTCAAGGACTAGATCATGGGTAAGAGCATATTTTATCCCACCAGGACACCAAGTGATGCAAAAGGCAGTTGGAAACTCCAGAAGAAACAAACTGACTAAAAAGAAAAACAATCACTCCACTTCACTTATTGTTGCAAAAAAATTAAAAAGTCATACTTTAAAATAAGGTCCTTTATTTTGAGTTTGCCTAGCCATTCAAGAATATATTCTTAACAACCACCATAAATACTTTGTATTTTAAATGCAGTATTGGACAGATAGAATTTATTAGCTGTTAAAACTTGGGCAAATAACTACATCCTGATGCTTGATTTTAAAATTTGCATATAGTTATTGCATGAATTAAGTAAGAAAACATTTTGAGCACCAAACACAATGCCAGGAATGTAGAAATGCTCCTTAAAAAAAAATCTCCCAAAACAAGAAATGAACAGTAATAGCACTTACTGAATTTAAATGAATGACAAGATAAATAGTACTGTCAGTTAAGTGCTCTAGACCTTCAGAAAAAGCATAATTAATATGGACTGGAGAAATGGGCTGGGGCTTGGAAGGTGATAGCATTCAGATGGGCAGGGAGAAAAGGATGTAAAAGCCAAGGGGTGGCTTTTCCATATGAGTAAAGGAATTCAGCAGTTATGGTGTCTCAGGCTGTGGACCTCACCTGAAATGACTGGGATGGAAGATTTGTGCCTGAGGAAGTGGGAAATTAAAGTTGAAAAGGTATATTGGGCAATTATTGAAGGCATTGGTGAGCAAGCCTAGGACTTGATTTGTGGGCTATGGGGAGCCATGAACATTTTTGTGCTGTGTTGCATCAGGAAAAATTAACCTGGCCACAATGAGCCATGATTTAGACTGGTCAGTTAGGATATGGGAGTTCAATTTGATCCATCATCAGACAGATGGGAAGTGAAGCGGTGTGGGCTCCATCCAGCATATGGCCCGTGACAAGAGGACATGGAAAATGTCAGTGGCCCCAGTGCATCTGTGCCAGCCGCTTTGGCCTCCTGTAGGGCTGCGCGGTGACTGGGAGCTAAGGGCTCCCCTCTTAGTTGGTCCTGGCTGGTGCTGAAAGCGCTTGAGCACACCGCTCCTAGGGCTGACGACTTCTGAGGAACCTTATTTTAAAAGCATTTTGCTTTAAGATTCAGTAAACGCTGTCCCATGCCAAGGAATTGGCGTCAACCTGAGGCTCTGGGATCAGACCCACCGGACTCAGGCCGGCTCTGCCACGTGTTGCCCGCAGTCTCGGCCCGTTCCCTCCGCATTGACAGCGGGCACTGACTGTCCGATACCCCAGCGATCGTAGGAGAGCAGAGACGTTCCTAATGCCGCGGGCACCACGGGCGGGCCTGCGGGTCCGTTGGCTTTCCTGACACACTTCCTACAGTCATTTCTTTCAGCTGAGATCTTCCCCTTTAATACTTCGTTAATTTGTGGCAGGACGAGTCGCAGACAAAACTCCTCAGACACCAGATTAAAGAAGGAAGAGGTTTTTTATTCGGCCGGGAGCGTCGGCAGACTCGTGTCTTAAGAGCGGAGCTCCCCGAAAAAGAAATTCCTAGGCCTTTTAAGGGCTTACAACTCTAAGGGGTCTACGTGAAAAAGTCATAATAGATCAAGTAAGCGTGAAAAACGTGACTGGGGGCTACATACATCAGCTAACAGAACAAAAAGTTTTACAGTACTTTCTCATACAGTGTCTGGAATTTACACATAACACCAATAGTTTTGGTCAGGGGTTAATAATATTATTATTATTTTAGCCACCAGGGCCAGGTGGTGGTGCCAAGGTCCTCCAGCTATTTATCTTACTTCTGTTTCTTTCTAACTTTTTGCTTTCTCCCTTTTCTCCTGTCTTATAAAATAGGGAATAGGAGAGGTTGGGGAGAAACTGAGAAGGACAATAGGAGAAGTGGTGACCTCATACCATAAATTAACGTGTAACCTTTTGGTTAAAATGTCAAAGCTAAGACTAAACTCGAAGAAAAGAATTAAATCACGGGAAGTTCTTCAGACTTAGTCGCCAGCAAGGTTATGGCCCGAAGTGGTGCAGGGGCGGCACGCGGGGAAGCGACTGGCAGAGCTGTGCGCACTGGGGGTGCTGCAGGCGCTGGGGAGAGTGTGGAGAGGCTGCGTGGAGCTGCGCGCTCGGGGTGGGGGCTGCACTCCCAGTGAAGCGCGTGAAGGGCGAGCGGTGATGGGTTCTGCGCCAGTGGGGCTGGGAGCGTGTGGGGGGCTGTACGTGCAGCTGCCGCAAGGTGGAGAGTGCACGTGTGGGCTTGGGGACTACGCGCACCGGGGGCTGAAGGCGTTGGGGAGGGTGTGGGGGGCTGTGCGTGGGGCTGCCCTCACTGGAAGCTGCACGCTCAGGGAAGCTCGGAGGCGGGGGTCCTGCGAGTGCTGGGGAGCACGTGGGGGGACACGCAGGGACTGCCCGCGCAAATGGCTTCGAACGCATGCTCCCCACCCCACATTTCACAGTCGCCATGACGACCAGGAGGTCCGCAAGGGCTGCGGGGACAAGTCCGTTGAGGCTGCCAGGCAAGTCAGGCCTTTCTGGACCTCGCCTGACTGAGCTGGGCTGTGCCTGAAATTGACCCAGCTCCGCCAGGGATTATAAGAAAACAAGTAGTAAGCTCAAAGCCGCTACAATCTTCCCGCCCTGGAGCCAGAGGTGGAAAAGTCGGCCCTATGCGGCGGGAACCTGCCAAGGGGCGCCCCAAGGTGCTCCACGCGGAGGATCCGAAATCTGAAAGCACAAAAAGGCTTGGAGCTACAGTTGGGGGCCAAGACCCTTCTTCTCGGCCCCTTCCAGTTCGTCCATAATTTCCTGGCGCAGCTTCGGGAAAAGGTGCACGAACTGCAGGCGCGGCAGTTCTCCAGCAGGACCACTCTTGGCATCGGTGAGGAGAGGGCAGGAGAGCCCTGGGAGGGAGCCGCATGGCGCTTTTCTTAAGTCTTGAAGGAGATCAGTTTAACAAGCAACGGTTTGTGGGTGCCTAGTAGCAAATAATAGCAAGGTCCGAGTAGAAAGCAGTTGGCCAAAGATCTTGCCATTGAACCAGGGGAGAGAGATGGGGAGTATATTGGTTTGAAGGGCTGTCAGATCACAGAGAGTGTTTTAAGGTCTAGGAGTTTTAAAGGCTGAGGGGAGGGATCAAGGGAAGAGGATGAGATTAAGATTCCAAGAGAGGAAATAATTAGTGGAGCAAGTCTTGGAATATTTGGGAGGGGTAGAATTAAAGGCACAAATTTGAGAAGCTAACTGTGGAAAAGAGGAGAGAGAATTCCTTTTCTGAGATGACAGGGAGTAGAAAAGTGAGGATTACTATATGGAGAAATGTTAAAGTGGAGATAAAAGAAGTCGGGAGTGCTGGCGTCTAATGGTCTTTGTTTCAGTGAAGTATGAGACTGGGTCACCTTCAGAGGTGAGATTGACAGGATGCCGGGGTCCAAGGGACATGCTTCTGTCACAGCTTGGAAAGGGCATGTGATAAGCCCTTCAAGCATTTAGAATACTGGCATCGTTACACCATATCATTTTTTTTCAGATGTGGTATGTGGGTTAAGGGAGGGAGTGAGAGACACAGAAAGATTTTGAGCATCTTTGGAAAGCTGGATGAATTCGGTAGTATATTTGACCTTTTCCTTATATATCATCTGAAGAGTTTTTGCCAGTGTATATAATTGTTAGGAGAATTAGAAATAGGATACAAATATAGTTGAATAGGATAGTCTCTGTATATTTTAAAATTAATGAAGCCTAATAAACAGTTAATGAGCATATTTACAAAAATTTAAAGTTTTCAGCCTTTTAAAAATTATAGCAACTGTGCTTGCAGACAGTCCAAAAATACACTGTGGGCCATACTTTGCCTATCCTGGTGTAAAACAAGTAAATCTTCTGAGAAGTATTTAAGATAAGCCCAGGGCAGTTAGTAGTATAGGAAAAGGTCTGGATAAGCATGGTTGAGAATTTCAACATTGCAATTTTTTAATTTTAAAAAATTTAATTTCTTCAACAATTATTAAATTAATTTGCATTTATTTTGTTAGCCAAGAGGAGTAATTTTTGAATTTTTAAGAGGCTATTATTGGTGGTTTATAAGACGACTTGCCAAGTATATTTGGGATAACCATAAGAAATACCATTATAAAATCTCAGAAGGGAGGTAGGACTTCTGGAATAGCCAAGGAAATGCACTCCTCCATGATGACAATGAAAATACTTGGAAAATTATCAAAATCATTTTCTTCAAAACTTTGGAAGTTAACCAAAGGTTTACAACAATCTAAAGGGCATTAATTCAAGAAAAGCTGCTGAACCTCTATAAGAACAGCAAAGTCTGTGGTGTTTTAACTTGTTCTATTCCCCACTTTTCTCTCTCCAGCTCCATGGTACCCTTGAAAACAAGCAATTCCCCAACGAAACAGGGGCACAGGCTGCGTTTGCAGCTCTGGTAAAAGCTCCATACCCAGAGCAGTGTCTCCCAGCTCCCTGGTGAAGTCTTACGTATACATGGGGTGCTGGCACAGGTGCCTCCAGATAAGTCTCCTAGGCCATCTAGTAGTTCCTAAGTCTGGGCGCTTGCAAAGAGCTTGCAATTCATCAAGGGTTGAGTTGCACAATGGGGCTTTTAGATGTGCTGCTGAGGAAGTGATTGCCTGCATTTAATCGTCTTCTGATGAATGCTAGAGAAACTGATCTAGAGTGGCACCTCTTGGTTAGAACGAGCTGAAGCATACTGTATATATTTACTTCTTTAAAAAATTTCATATAAAGGAATAGAATACTAAAAAGAAAAAAAAACAAAAAAGGTCACAATATTCCATAATTCCATCACTCCTACCAATTAACTGAAGTAAAAAAACCCTCTCAAGTCTCTCCCTTTGCTTGTCAAGCCCTGCTGCAGAGAGGTAAGCTCTGTTCAGAATTTACTTTGTGTCCTGGATTTTTTCCTATGCTCATAGAGACAGGATTAGCTGGCCATCTTGCTTTCTGTGCTATCTTTTCTAGACATGTAAAATAATACATTTGAAATACTTGTTTTAATGGTATTTTATAATAAAGCAGCTTTTAATAACTTTTCTCTTTTCCAGCCGTCTTTGTGGCAATTTTACATTGGTAAGATTTAGTTTCAGTTCGAAATATTTAAAAACATTTGAATTAAAAATTGCCATCACTCTTTGCATACAGTAAAACAATAACTTCTGGCTATATTTGTAGAACATCTTTATGTACGCCATTTTATACATATATTTTGCTTTTTTACAAACCTCATATGTGAAACAGCATTTACAAAATAGATGCATTGGGGGAATAGTAACTTATGAATTAAAATATTTTGGCTTTACCAAATAATTCACCACGTTTTTAAAAATATCTAGCTTTTCTAGTGTATTTTGCATGTGTAGTTCATTTAAAACCCTCCTTTGTTTTATGGTAATTATATGTTGCTAGTGAAATAACTTTTTTTTTTTTTTTTGAGACAGTCTTGCTCTGTCTCCCAGGCTGGAGTGCAGTGGCGCGATCTTGACTCATTGCAACCTATGCCTCCCAGGCTCAAGTGATTCTCGTGCCTCAGCCTTCTGAGTAGCTGGGATTACAGGTATGCGCCACCACACCCAGCCAATTTGTTGTATTTTTAGTGGAGATGAGGTTTCACCGTGTTGGCCAGGTTGGTGTCAAACTCCTGGCCTCAAATGATCCACCTGCCTTGGCCTCCCAAAGTGTTGGGATTACAGGCATGAGCCACCACGCTCAGCTAGTGAAATAACTTTGGTGATAAAGTTTTAGTAACACCCGCCAATTGGAAGTCAGGTAAAAAAGAAGATAAAGATTCTGCAGTGGTTATACAGAGTTAAATGGCTTTGACTCTTTCAGTGTGCAAGGCTGTGTACATTATTTTACAAAAGTGTTTATAAAAATTTGTAAAATAATATTTCCCTCTGGAATATTTTATTTTTACCTGTGCTCAGCGATTTCTACCCTTGGAAGGTATGAGATCTGCCCCTATGTTCTATTGATACAGTGCTGCTCTAGACATTTAGTCTGCAGGGAGATTTTGGTATTAGAACTGAGGCTGCAATGCTAGGGAATATTCCTGCAGTTTTTGGTACCCTGGCATATGTCCTACATGTAAAGAAGGGTTAGTGGAAAACAGGGTTAATACATGGAACTTTGCTTTATTTTCAACTTCACTGGAAAGTACTGACTACATAAGTTAGCTATAGCATAATTGTTGACCACAGCTAATTTTGTTTATCACATATGCTCCTTTCTTCACTGCCTACAGCTGCTGAGTTTCACTACTAAAAGGTCTTCAAGTACACACCTGTATTCTTTGGCGCTTGAAAGTTGATCCTTTATGTGATATTATACTTATTGTAAGTCTGTTTTGATCTAAAGTAATTTTATTTAAAATTATATTCTGAACCCTTTTCAACAGTTACGGAGGTATTTCCCAAGGCTGGTACATTAGAATCACTTGAAACTTAAAAAACAAACACTAACCTGCCTCTGTTCTGATTTAGAGGCCTGGGATGGAAGGAAGGGTGAAACAAGCCACAAGAATTTTAGATATACAATTAAGTTGGTTTTTTTTTTTTGAGACAGAGTCTTACTCTGTCGCCCAGGCTGGAGTGCAGTGGCATGATCTCTGCTCACTGCAACCTCCGCCTGCTGGGTTCAAGCAATTCTTCTGCCTCAGCCTCCCTAGCAGCCAGGATTACAGACATGCACTACCATGGCTGGCTAATTTTTGTATTTTTAGTAGAGACAGGGTTTCACCATGTTGGCCAGGCTGGTCTCAAACTCCTGACCTCAAGTGATCTGCCCGCCTCGGGCTCCCAAAGTGCTGGGATTACAGGCATGAGCCAACGCACCCGGCAACAATTAAGTTTAAAAACCACTGAGTTAAGGAATTTCAGGTGTGTGCCATACTGCATTATAAATGCCTAAAAACATACGAGTTAGTAAGCAAATTATAAAAACAATATTATAACAATTTATTGTTTCCTTTTTTATGGCTTTCTTACTTATCGCTTATTTTAATGTTGGTTTTGAAACTTGTTCTTATTGTAATATGATACTTCATTGCACTGTTTCATAAGCTATAACCCAGGTTTATTATTTAAATAGTAAAGTGTTTGAGATTATTTTTCTGTTACTTCATTATCTCTCACCCTTTCCTAATGCAGACTTCTTTTTAAGATAATGAAGATGAATTATAGTAGCTGAGGAAGGAGGACAAAGAAAGCACTGAAGAAGTGATAAAGGGGAATGAAATGAGATGTTATCAGAAATTGCTTTTTCTTTGGCTACAGTTGGGAGGTCCCATGTTTTACTGGGTCTTTTACTGATGATGATTATTATTTGGTTCTCTTTTGATTTCAAGATAATCTCTTTTAAGAGATGACTTTTGATATAATTTTTAAATATTTTTCTGTTTTTCGATACTTAATCTTTAAAATGGAGTTTTCTGCCATACACATCTCACATAATTATTGTGAGGAGTAAATGGGATAGCGAATACCAAAATTGTGCAATTTTACATTTAGAAGACACCACAACCGTCCATCTTCCAGATCTGCTCCCAGCTGGTCGGGGGCCTACTGAAGCATTGAAGCTGACTCTCCTCACTCTAGCCATTGCTTTTTGTTTAAATTATGGTGAAATTTAGATTTAAGTTTGTAATAGAAAAATGTCAATGGTTATCATTTAAGCGTACAATTCAGTGACATTAAGTACATTCGTGTTGTCTTGCAACTATTACCACTGTCCACATCCAGAACTTTTTGCTATCCCAAACAGAAACTCCACCCACTAAACACTAATCACACTCAGCTCTATTTTCTATCTCTATGATTTTGCCTATGCCAGGCCCCTCCGTCACTGCTTTTTAATTTTCATCCCTATATTGCCCCTATAAAGTTTCAAAGCATTGGATACATTAACATATGTATGACATTTGAACATTTTAAAGAGAATATTTAATATTTCCCTAAATATAGACTTTTGCATATTAGATATCCTTTAATTATTGTATTGCTTTATCCTCCTAAGCAGAAAGGAAAATTCTTTATGAACTCATATTTTGCCAATCAACTATGAGGTAATGGCCTTTCAGACATCAGCTAAAACAGACGTTTAATTTAGTAGTTACTCGTGTTGGATGAGGCAGATATGATTATAGCATATAGCATTTTTTAGGGAGAATGCATTTTAAACAATGTGGCCCTTTTTTGCTTTTAGATTTTAGGAGCGAAAGCAAGAAATTGATGGGGAAATAAGACATAACATGCTATTGTTAATCCATGAATTTTAACTCAACAGCACTTTTACTATCCTAATGAAGCCTTTATTTTATATGCTGAAGTGTAAGACACTAAAATAATCTGCTTTTTAGTACATAGTATTTGTGAGCAACAATAGTCAATCAACATTGAGCTTTCACTTAGCACAGAGGATTAGATGGAGCTATGAATTAAGCTAGAAGCACTGGATTCCTTGCTCATGATGCTTATGGTCATTATATTTTATTTCCTAAGAGCATGGGAAAAAAAGAAGTAATTTTCTATATGCAAAGTTGTACAGAGGCATGAAGGCATCCCTGTTTATGACAGAATTAATCAGATGTCAACCTTCAAGCATCTCAAATGTGGGGGATAAAACCAGATTTGGGAAAATTGAACATATACTGTCTACACATTTTAAGACATTATTAGAGAAACTCTTTAAATCATTCGACCATCCCTCCAACTCTTTAGTTTGAAAGCCTATAGAAAACTTGAAAGAATAGTACAGTGATCACCTGAAAATACGTGCTTTTTAAAGTCCAAGAATGCAAAATAGCGAGGCGTAATTAGGAAGTCTTATTATTGACCTTTTTTTTCAGAAAAAAATGTTCTAAAGAAGTGATAAAAATAAATATTTTAAAGTTTTAATTACATTGACAACATGTGCCTTCTTTTTTTTTTTTTTTTTTTAAAGGGACTTTTATTCCTACTTCGAGACCAATATTGAAGCACCTTCATTTTTGGAAGGACTGGGGACGATAATGAATGACAGGCTTACTGAAATCCTCTTGGAATTAATGCAGTAAAATGCTTCCATCTTTATCCAGAGGTGAGTCATAATTTGAGACAAATAATATATTTATAGAGTGATCCTCTTTATCAGATAAAAATAGTAAGCACAATCTTTTTAAGAAAGGGAGGGGACCTTTCACGTTTATTAGTTGTGTGTATCCTTATAGTTGAGCAGAATATCATAAGTTCCTCTCTTAAAATTTAAAGACCCCAGAAACTGTTCTCTCATGAACTCAAAGAATGAACTTTAGTGTGTAAATAATAGCCAGGGTAATAGACAAGCCAAATGGAAAAGAGAGTCATGGGAGCCAAAAAGGTTCTAAATGGGGATGGGCTTTTGGCTTTGGATACCTCGTAGGTGGGCACGATGACCACGTGAAGGGACAGTGAGAGTGATGAGCTTGAATAGTTATCTTGGACTTACGTTAGTAAAGTAAGATTTATTTAGTCACACAGCCGGAAATCTATTACTATCTTCCAACACTTAGCCTAAAAGACTATGGTTGTTTTTTTTTTTTTTTTTTTTTAGTATTTATTGATCATTCTTGGGTGTTTTTTGGAGAGGGGGATTTGGCAGGGTCATAGGACAATAGTGGAGGGAAGGTCAGCAGATAAACATGTGAACAAGGGTCTCTGGTTTTCCTAGGCAGAGGACCCTGCAGCCTTCCGCAGTGTTTGTGTCCCTGGGTACTTGAGATTAGGGAGTGGTGATGACTCTTAACGAGCATGCTGCCTTCAAGCATCTGTTTAACAAAGCACATCTTGCACCGCCCTTAATCCATTTAACCCTGAGTGGACACAGCACATGTTTCAGAGAGCACGGGGTTGGGGGTAAGGTTATAGATTAACAGCATCCCAAGGCAGAAGAATTTTTCTTAGTACAGAACAAAATGGAGTCTCCTATATCTACTTCTTTCTACACAGACGCCGCAACAATCTGATTTCTCTTTCTTTTCCCCACATTTCCCCCCTTTCTATTCGACAAAACCGCCATCGTCATCATGGCCCGTTCTCAATGAGCTGTTGGGCACACCTCCCAGACGGGGTGGCTGCCGGGCAGAGGGGCTCCTCACTTCCCAGATGGGGCAGCCGGGCAGAGGCGCCCCCCACCTCCCGGACGGGATGGCTGCCGGGCAGGGGCTGCCCCCCACCTCCCGAATGGGGCGGCTGGCCAGGCAGGGGCTGGCCCCACCTCCCTCCCGTGCGGGGTGGCTGGCCGGGTGGGGGCTGCCCCCCACCTCCCGGACGGGGCGGCTGCCGGGCGGAGGGGCTCCTCACTTCCCAGATGGGGCGGCTGCCAGGCGGAGGGGCTCCTCACTTCTCAGACGGGCGGCTGGGCAGAAACGTTCCTCACCTCCCAGACGGGGTGGCGGTCGGGCAGAGACACTCCTCAGTTCCCAGACGGGGTTGCGGCCGGGCAGAGGCGCTCCCCACATCTCAGACGATGGGCGGCCGGGCAGAGACGCTCCTCACTTCCCAGACGGGATGGTGGCCAGGAAGAGGCGCTCCTCATTTCCCAGACTGGGCGGCCGGGCAGAGGGGCTCCTCACATCCCAGACGATGGGTGGCCAGGCAGAGACACTCCTCAGTTCCCAGACGGGGTCGCGGCCGGGCAGAGGCGCTCTTCACATCTCAGACTGGGCGGCCGGGCAGAGGGGCTCCTCACATCCCAGACGATGGGCGGCCAGGCAGAGACGCTCCTCACTTCCCAGACGGGGTGGCGGCCGGGCAGAGGCTGCAATCTCAGCACTTTGGGAGGCCAAGGCAGGCGGCTGGGAGGTGGAGGTTGTAGCGAGCTGAGATCACGCCACTGCACTCCAGCCTGGGCAACATTGAGCACTGAGTGAGCGAGACTCCGTCTGCAATCCTGGCACCTCGGGAGGCCGAGGCGGGCAGATCACTTGCGGTCAGGAGCTGGAGACCAGCCCAGCCAACATGGCGAAACCCCTTCTCCACCAAAAAATACAAAAACCAGTCAGGCGTGGCGGCGCGAGCCTGCAATCCCAGGCACTCGGCAGGCTGAGGCAGGAGAATCAGGCAGGGATGTTGCAGTGAGCCGAGATGGTGGCTGTACAGTCCAGCCTCCGCTCGGCATCAGAGGGAGACTGTGGAGAGAGAGAGGGAGAGGGAGACCGTGGAGAGGGGAGAGGGGAGAGGGAGAGTATGGTTGTTATAGTAGTCTATAAATGCTAGAAATTTGAAAAACGGAGACAAAATTAGTGAACTCAGTTTGTGAACTCAAGATAAATGCTAAATTTGACACCATGGTAAATACTACTGTTGAGTTTAAAGTTGTCTCAGAATCCAGCATATTAATGAAAAGTTACTGCTTTCTAGTCCTTTATTCATATTTTTATAGCTTTTAAAAATTATTATTCTTTAGATTTTGAAATGCTTAAAACTACAGAGACTTAGAAAATAATATTCAAATATGTGTGATCAACCATCTAAAATAAACGCTAATCTTTGTCATTTTTGCATCAGCTATTTTAAAATAATTAAAATATTATAAATACAGTTAAAATCACCTTTGTTCTGCTTCTAGTCCAACTTATACCTTTATTAAAATTTGGTGTGTGTATCCATCCAATCTCTGTTTTTAGAGATTGTTTTATTATGTGCTTTAAGTCCACATAAATGATCTCATACTGAATGTGTCACTGTAGGATTTTTTCTTCAAAATTGTATTTTTGAACTTTCTGTATATATATATTTCTTTAATTTTAACCATTTTATGAATTCTAAAGTTTATGTATTTCCCCATCTTAATATATTATTTCCAATTTTTTGATTACAAGCAATGTAATCTAAAATGTACACTTTTGTATGGTTTTCTTCTGTGTATGTGCAATATTTTGTCTAGGATATATACCTAGAAGTGGAATTGCTGTTATAGAGTGTGTGATTTTTCAGCTTTACCAGATACTGCTAAATTGCTGTCTGAAGCAAATGTGGCAGTTCACACTGCTGTCTAGAATTTTCTCATATCCTTATTAGATTTTGAATTGTCAGACCCTGTGATTTTTACTCTTATGATGGCTGTGATATGCTTTTTTGTTTTAATTTGTACTTCCCTTATTATTTATGGGGATAAATATATTTCCACGTTTAATAAGTATTTGGATTTTTTCTTCTATCAACAACATATATAAATCTTTGTCACCAAATCAGCTTTTTTGAGGTATGACTTACATGTAATAAAATGTGCCAATTTTGAGTGTACCATTCTCTGAGTTTTGACAAATATATGAAGCTATATATCCATCACCACAATTGAGTTACAAAACATTTTCAGAAATGCTCCATTGTGGTAACTGTCTTTTCCCCCATTGAATTAATTGTCTCCGTACATTCACTGAAAATTGATTGATCACATTAAATATGAATCTGTTTCTGGACTCTATTATTCTCTTGATCTATAATTATGTCAATACCACACTGTCTTGATTACTGTAACTTTACAATAAATCTTGAAAGTAGGTAGTTCTCCAACTTTGTTTTTCCTTTTTAAAATTGCATTTCTATCTAAATGTTAGGGTCAGCTTATTAATTTCTCAAAAAAATCCTGGGATTTTGGTTGGGATTATGTTGGATTTGTACATGTATTTGGGAAGAATTGACATCTTAATAATATTGAATTTTCTAATCCACGATCATGGTATAGATCTCCATTTTGTTGATTATTTTTAATTAGTCTCAGCAATGTTTTGTATTTTTTTAATGTACAGTCTGCCCCAGTAGTCTATTATAAATGGTATTATTTAAAAATTTTTCATTTTTCCATTTTTTGTTGCTCTCGTATAGAAATATAGTTGATTTTGAATATTAACTTTGTACCTGCATCTTGATGAAGTCAGTGGTTCTAGTAGCTTTTTTGCAGAATCCTTTGGATTTTTCTATGTACATGATGATATAGTCTGTAATTAAAAGCAGTTTTACTTTCCAGTAGATATACCCTAAATGTTTTTAAAACAGCTTTATTGAGGGATAATTGACATATGATAGCTGGTCATATAGATGAAGTGTAAAGTTTGATTAGTTTTGGCCCACCTGCAAAACCATCACCAGTCAAGATAATGAGCATATCCCTCATCCCGAAGTTTCCCTGTGCTCCTTGGTAATCCCTCCTTCCTTTGTCTCTCTTTGCCCACATCCCATCCCTAGGAAACCACTAATATTCTTTTTGTCATTATGGTTTAGTTTGCATTTTCTTTTTTTTTTTTTTTTTTTGAGACGGAGTCTCGCTCTATCGCCCAGGCTGGACTGCGGACTGCAGTGGCGCAATCTCGGCTCACTGCAAGCTCCGCTTCCCGGGTTCACGCCATTCTTCTGCCTCAGCCTCCCGAGTAGCTGGGACTACAGGCGCCCGCCACCGCGCCCGGCTAATTTTTTGTATTTTTAGTAGAGACGGGGTTTCACCTTGTTAGCCAGGATGGTCTCGATCTCCTGACCTCATGATCCACCCGCCTCGGCCTCCCAAAGTGTTGGGATTACAGGCGTGAGCCACCGCGCCCGGCCTGGTTTAGTTTGCATTTTCTAGAATTTTATAGAAATAGAAACAGAGTTGTTCTGTGCCTAGGTCTTAATTTATGCGGTTGACTGAGTGATGACACAGATAGATCAGTGCCGCTGAAAGAAGAATTTATGACTAATACTTCCTTGGAGAAGAGGACAAGTCACATCACACAGAGCTACAGGAGAGATACAGTTTGGACAGGCGGAAGCAGGACTGAGGGTAAAGCCTAGGCCCTCACTTTTATTGGGGTTTCTATGGGAAAGGCAAAACTGGGCAGAGTTTAAAAAAGAAAATAAACAAAATCGAAAGACAGTTGATAAACTGGGAGAAGATATTTGTTTGGTTTCTTTTTGTTTGTTTGTTTTGAGACAGAGTCTCACGTCATTGCCCAGGCTGAAGTGATCTCAGCTCCCTGTAGCCTCCGCCTCCCAGGTTCAAGCGATTCTCCAGCCTCAGCCTCCAAATAGCTGGGATTACAGATGCGTACCACGCCTGGCTAATTTTTTTATTTTTAGTAGAAACGGGGTTTCACCATGTTAGCCAGGCTGGTCTCAAACTCCTGGCCTCCAGTGATCCCCCTGCCTCCGCCTCCCAAAGTGCTGGGATTATAGGCGTGAGCCACCATGCCCGGCCAGGAGAAAACATTTGTAATATACCTCACAGATAAAGGGCTAATACACCTAATATATAAAGAACTCTTAATTCTTTATATATTTAGCTTCTGGAGGCTTCAGGTGTCAGTTTGATGATGAAGAGAGCTGGAATGATGACACTGTCATTCCTACAAGGAAAATAGCTGAACAAACTGCAAGATAACACCTTTTCTTGAACCCTTCAGAAAACTGAGGTCAGAGGACAACCAACGCAAAATTTCAAGGACAGGTGCCTGCAGAAAGCAACAGGAACTGAGCATTCTGGAATAGGAACGGCTTGACTGAGATAGATGCTTTTGAATGCCATATAAGCTGGTACAAAGATTAAACCAGAAATTTTTAATGAACTGCTACAGGCTTAGTGTGAGCTGGCATGAAATGTGAAGGCGAGCAGGCTCTGTCAGGGAAGATTGGGGAAGCATTTAGAGAAAGCTTTCCCTATGGTGCTGGCTAGGGGACAGGAAAAGCAATCATTGCTCAGACTCTGCTCACACCCAAGTTGTGAAATCTCTCCTAAGGAAAAGAAAGCCATGATCTGCAGGGAGAACGGTATCAAACCCATTGTCTGAGGACACTGGTGGGTATCCAGTGAAGCTGGTGAAAGAGAACAGGCAGGAAAAAAGAAAAAAAAAAAACCTAAATGTTAAAAAACAATCATATTCCTTGAGAAGGGAACACTTATGAAGGGTACAGCCCCCAAGTCCCAAATTCACAGTACCTGTCTAAGATTGAGGCTTAACTGGAACATCAGAAAACCTGCCACTCTTCGCCCATTACATTAACAAGCCTTTGGTAAAAATCACAGTGGAATGTGACTGAGTGAGTTTTGCAAGGCATTTTCTTTCTAGGGAGCAGCACAAAGGACAGCCCAAAACCAAGTTCAAAACAGGGTACCACTAGAGGAATTTGAAATCGCTAGTATCCATAGCAGCAACAAACTCCAGCTTTGGTAACTACAGCAATTACAAACTTCAAATCCCGCCCACCCTAACTAGATTAACACAAATACCTACAATAAAGACCTAACAGTAAGAAAGATGTTCTTATTTTCAAGCATAAAAATACTGACCTCTATGTCTACTGTCTTATACAACATGTCTAACTTTCAGCAAAAATTATGAGGCATACCTAAAGGTAAGAAAAAGCACAGTCCGAAGAGACAGAGCAGTCATCATCCAGACCCCAAGAAGATACAGATACTGGAACAACTGGACAGGAGATTTAAGTAACTATGATTAATATTTTAAACACCCAAATGGAAAAGACAGATGATACGCAAGATCAGATAGATAATTTTAGCAGAGAGTTGGACACTATAAGAATCAAAGGGAAATGCTGGAAATAAAAACAAGAAGTAAAAAATGCCTTAGATGGGCTCATCAGCAGACACAGCACAGCAGAAGAAATAATCAGTGAGTATGAAGATAGGTCAATAGGAATGCAAAGAGAAAAATAAGTGGAGGAAGGAAACAATAAGAGCATCTAAGAGCTGTGACACCATATCAAATATTCTAATACATGCGTAATTAGAATCCCAGTGGGAGAGGAAAGGATGAGGAAGAATAAACATTTGAAAAATAAATGACTGAGAATTTTCCAAAATTAGTGACAGATACCAAACCACAGATCCAAGAAACTCAGAGAACATCAAAAAGGATAAATATCAAACAAATGCATGAATGAATAGATAAACAAACCAAACATGCATATACAAACCTGGGGGTAAATGTAAACACATTAAAGAGTATGAGACAGAGACTATCTCACAAAGCCTAAAATACTTATCGTCTGGCTCTTTATAGGAAAAGCTTGCTGATCTCTTTTCTAACAGAATGAATAGACTAGGGATATAATGTGAGTTTCTTGGGCAGCACCAAGGGCTTCATTTGAGGTTGATGGTCTTGAACTGAGAACAAAACCAGCCAACAGAATTGTGTTTCTCCAGCTATAATCAGATTCCCAAGTATAAACACGGAGAAAATGGAGAGTTGGATTTAATCATGTTGGGTCAGCTTTCCCTTGGATGTAGAAAGCCAAAAAGAACATTGCTCATGGCCTTCCAGCAATGTCAGCAGCAACAACAACAAAAGCCAGACAGTCTTCAAATTGACAACTTTTCCTGAAGCAGTCAGGGAGCTGAGGTCACAGGACAATCAAATAACCCAAAATAAATTAAAAAGAAAAACCATGTGCAAGAACAGAAACAAGCATTTAATTATACGGGTCATGCCACTAGACACAATGGTAAAGAACTCAGCTCAAATTGTTCACCAGTCAGTCGGTAAATGCCTAGTATGGGTTAGCAAGGGAATCTGCAATTGCTTACAGACATTTTTACACAGAGCTCATAAGGTGCTGACAAAAGATTAGCAAGAGTGCTCAGAAAGCATCCTCCATGGTAAAGCCTGGGAGAACAGCAGCCACTTAGAGAAAGGCATGAAACCCACCCACCCCCCTCTTCCTTATCTCCCCTGTAAGTCTTAAACTCTCTTAGCTTAAACTGCTGCGGGAAAGCTGGGGGAAAACACTGTCCTTTTCACATTACTGGTACAAAAATAGGCCACAGATCCTGATTTAGTTCTTGAGCCTTACTTTTGCTAACCCCTTGACGCCTGTTTTATATCTTCTCTCTCCAGTTATCGCAAACCTCCTCTCCCCCTTTCATGCTCAGCGAATGACCTTGTTTTCTACTGTTTTCCCATGCCCATTATGTATTTCCTATCTGTATCCCAGGTGCCTACTTCCTGGAATATGGAGTTGATTCAATATCATATTTGTTGAATGAATGAAACTATGCAAATTTCCTTCTGCTACATACTCAGTAGTCAATGGATACAACCTAAGCACAACCAAAATTAGGTTTATCTGTATTCTCACCTGCATTTGGTATTGTCACTATTTTTTATGTTACTCATTCTTACACATATGTAGTGATATATCATTATGGTTTTAATTTACATTTCCCTATTGGCTAATGATGATGTACATCTTTTTGTGCTTATTTGCCGTCCATATGTGAAACGTGTCTTTATGTATTTTGCTCCATTTCTATTTGAATTGTTTGTTTTATGAATTTTGGATCTTAGGGTGTTCTTTATATATTATAAATGCTAATTACTTTTCATATATATGGCTTGCAAAAAATTTTCCCAGTCTGTAGCTTGCCTTTTCATTCTCTTAAACAGGGTCTTTTGCATAGAAAAATTTTAAATTTTTTATGAAGTCCAGTATGTCCATTTTTCTCCTATTGATTGTGCTTTTGGTGTCAAGTCTAAGGATTCTTTGCCTAGCCCTAGAGATAAAGATTTTCTCCTGTATTTTTTGTAAAGGTTAAGAGTTTTGCATTTTATATCTAACTGATCCATTTTGAATGAAATTTAGGTCAAGATTCTGTTTGTTTGTTTGTTTGTTTGCATATGGATGTTCATTACTCCAGCACCATTTGTTGAAAGTGGATCTTTCCTTTCTTTCCTTCACTGAATTGCTTTTGTGCCTCTGCCAAATATGTCAATTGGACATATTTTGTATGGGTCTATTTCTGGGTTCTCTGTTCTCTTCCACTGATTTATGCATCTACCCCTCTGCCAATACCATATAGGTTTTTGTTGTTGTTGTTGTTTTTTAGACTGAGTCTCACTCTGTTGCCCAGGTTGGAGTGCAGTGGCATGATCGCAGCACACTGCAGCCTCTGTCTCCTGGGTTCAAACAATTCTCTTGCCTCAGCCACCTGAGTAGCTGGGATTACAGGCACATGCCACCACGCCCAGCTACTTTTTTATTTTTAGTAGAAATTGGGTTTCACCATGTTGGCCAATGTGGTCTTGAACACCTGCCCTCAAGTGATCCGCCCACATCAGCCTCCCAAAGTGCTGGGATTACAGGTGTGAGCCACTGTGTCTGGCCAGTAGTCTTAATTAACGCATCTATGCAGTAAGTCTTAGAAGCAAGTAGCCTGATTCCTCCTACTTTATTCTTTTCCAAAATTGGTTTGGCTAGGTTCTTTTTTGCCTTTTCATATATATTTTACAACATGCTATATCTACAAAAATCTTGTTGGGACTTTGATAAGAATCGCATTAAATTTGTAAATCAATTTTGGAAGAACTGACATCTTTACTGAATCTTCCAGTTTATGAACATGGTATATCTCTTCATTTATTTAGATCACCTTTGATTCCTTTCATCAGCATTGTATAGTTTTGATCATCTAAGTCTTATATGTATTTTGCTAGATATACATTTAAGTTTTTCATGTCATAGAATTATAGTTTTAATTTTGGTGTCCATCATTAGCACATAAAATACATTTTTTATGTTTATCTTTTATCACGCAACTTTGCTGAACTCACTTGTTCTACGAATTTTGTTGTGGTTATCTTTTTGTTGTTGTTTTAGATTTGTTGGGATTTTTTACATAGTTCTGGCATGGGCAAATAGGGACAGTTTTATTTCTTACTTTTTAATCTGTATGCTTTTTATTTCCATTATTTGCCTTTTGCACTAAAACTTTTAGCACTGTGTTTAATAAGTGGTGAATGTGAACATACATGCCTTGTTGTCAGCCTTAGGAGAAAGCATCAGTATTTAATCATTAAGCACAATGTTAGCCACAAGTTCTTTGCACGTGATTTTTACACAGTTGAGAAAATCTCCCTTTTATTTCTTTTTTTTCCTGAGAGTTCTTACCATGAATGGGTATTGAATTCTTTCAAATTTTTTTTCTGTACCAATTTATATGATTATGTGATTTTTCTTATTTTGCCTGTTAACATGTAATATGATGTATTTGAATATTGAAACAGCCTTGCATCCCTGGAAGAAAACCTCATTTGGTCATGGTATATAATTAATATATTATTGAAATCTATTTTTGCAATTTTGTTTAGGAATTTTGTGTTTATATTCGCAAGGGATATTAGTCTGAAGTTTACTTTGTTTTGATACTGTTGGTACTTTGTTGGTTTTAGTATCAAGGTAATAATAGTTTGAGGTAAAGAATTGGGAAGTGTTTCCTCTTCTCTTTTCCAGAAGAGATTGTATAGAATTGATGTTAATGATTGCTTAAACCTCTAGCAGAAGTCTCTAGTGAAAATACCTGGGTCTAGAGATTTCTTTTTGAAGAATTTCTACATTTGAATTCAAGTTCTTAATAGTTATAGAAATATTTAAATGATCTATTTTATATTGATTTTATTTATGGCAATAGTTTGAGTTTTTCAAGGAATTGGTATATTCCATCTAAATTGATAAATTTAAGTGTGTAGAGTTGTTTACAGTATTCCCTTATTATCTTTTTGATGTATGCAGAGTCTGCAGTGATAGCCCCTGTTTCATTGACATGGATATGGATAATTCGTGTCTTCTCTTTTTTTGTCAGTCTTGCTAGAGGTTTGTCAACTTTATTGACCTTTTTGAAGAACCAGCTCCTTTTTTCCCTTGGCTTTTCATATAGTTAGATATTTGTTCCCTCCAAATCTCATGTTGAAAAGTGATCTCTAGTGTTGCAGCTGGGATCTAGTGGGAGGTGTTTGGGTCATGGGGGTGGAATCCTCATGAATGACGTGGTTCCCACCCCACAGTAATAAGGGAGTTCTCCCTCTGTAAGTTTATGTGAGATCTGATTGTTAAGAGAATCTGGGACCTCACTCGTCTCTCTCTTGCTCCCTCTGTCTTGACCTGCCCCCTCCCCACTGGAAACTTTCTCTCTCTTGTTTGCTCCCCCTTCGCCTTCCACCATGATTATAAGCTTCCTAAGGTCTTCACCAGAAGCAGATGCTGGTACCATGCATGCTTCTTGTACGGTCTGCAGAACCATGAGCAAAAATAAACCTCTTTTCTTTCTAAACTACCCAGTCCTCGGGTATTTCTTTATAGCAATGTAAAAAAGACTAATACAGCTTTCTCTATTATTTTTCTATTTTCAATTTCATTGATTTCTACTCTTTATTATTTCCTTGATTCTACTGGCTTTCAGTTTATTTTGCTCTTTTTTTCCTAGGTTCCTAACTGGACGCTTAGATTATTGATTTTTTTCCTCTTTTCTAACATATTCATTTTAGTGCCATACATTTCCCTCACAGCATTGCCTTCTCTCTTGCCTATACGATATATAAATATTTAAGTAATACAAATGTTTGCTATTGGGAAGACGGAGTGGATGTACTTTTCCTGATTACTCCCTTGAAGTACAACTGAAAACCCTTTGAGTTATATACAAATCAAACATAAGAAGACTGAAAAGTAGAGAGAAGACAGACTTGAGACCCAAAGAATAACATGGTTATGAGTTCCATGGGCTCTCTTTGTGCCTCATTTTCTCAGATTTGGAGTTAAAGAGGCTGGCAATCCAGAAATGCCAGTGGGCACTGCTATGGTTTGAATGTGTCCCCTCCAAAATTCAGGTGTTGAAACTTAATGGCCAATGTGATAGTATTAAGAGATGGGACCTGCAAGAGGTGAGTAGGCCATGAGGACTCCCCCCTCATGAGTGTGACTAAAGCTCTCTTACTCTCCTACTATCTGCCATGTGAGGACACGGTGTTCCTCTCCTTCAGAAGATGCAACATCAAGGCACCGTCTTGGAAGTGGAGAGCAGTCTTCACCAGACACTAAATCTGCTAGCGCCTTGATCTTGGACTTTCTTGGACTCCAGAATTCTTAGACTCCAGAATTGTAAGATATAAATTTCTATTTTTTTTCAGTTTTGCCAATTTTATTGAACCAATAAAATTCCTACTAATAATGATGAAATAATTTCTGCAAGTATAAATGTGATAGTTTAACAAAACCCATTGTTCTGTAACTATACATAGATTTTCAAAATGTCATAAGAAGTGCAGTTATGAATTGTTAACATGTTAATACACAGTTCCTTTATTCCAGCACTTTGGGAGGCCGAGGCAGGCAGATCACCTGAGGTCAGGAGTTCGAGACCAGCCTGGCCAACATGGTAAAACCCTGTCTCTACTAAAAATACAAAAATTAGCCAAGCATGGTGGTACACACCTGTAATCTCAGCCACTTGGGGGGCTGAGACAGGAGAATTGCTTGAACCCAGGAGACAGGTTGCAGTAAACCGAGATGGTGCCACTGCACTCTAGCCTGGGCAACAGAGTGAGACTCTGTCTCAAAAAAAAGAAAAAAAAAGCTTGAAAACCATTAGATTCCTTAGAGGACTAGTTGAACATGTTCATACCAGAGGACTGAAAGTGACTTTCACTTTTTTTGAATGATCTGAATTTTTTTTTTTTTTTTGAGACATAGTTTCGCTCTTGTTGCCCAGGCTGGAGTGCCATGGTGCGATTTCAGCTCACTGCAACCTACGCCTCCTGGGTTCAAGCAATTCTCCTGCCTCAGCCTCCCGAGTCGCTGGAAATTACAGGCATGCATCACTATGCCCGGCTAATTTTTGTAGAGACAGGGTTTCACCATGTTAGTCCGGCTGGTCTCAAACTCCCGAGCTGAGGTGATCCACCCGCCTCGGCCTCCCAAAGTGCTGGGATTACAGGCGTGAGCCACCACGCCCAGCTGCATCATCTAAATTTTTATAGGAGCGAATTCTTATTTCTTCTGCAATTAAAAAAAGAAAACTTCTAAGTAAAGATAATTAGTTGTACACATTCATTAGCTTCCGCTCAGTCCAAACATCCTACTAAAATGATAAAAATGTAATTTTTAAAGGGAATACGCCTATAAAAAATTCAAGAAGATGAAATAAAAAGCAGTACCTTTAGACTCTGGAAAGAAAATTAATGAGTAATAATTTTCACTGCAGAACTAGGAAAGCAGAGAAGCAAACTGCTTTACAGCAGGCACAAGAATTGGCAAGCACAAGATATCTCTGGAAGCAGGGGTGAAGGCAGGCCTAAAAGAGAAAGATTCATCGCCAGTCTGTGTGGAAGCCGTGAGATCTCCCAGTTGTCCTCCCTGACTTGCAGCAGCTAAGCAACCCCAACCCTGGCACTCTACTACAAATTTGTTATTAGGAGAGGGAAAAGTTTCTAGACTTGCAGACAACAGGAATAGCTGAAGGCAGAGGTCCTGTATTGATACTAAATATGGAGATTAAATGAAAGTATCACTTTGAGTATTAAGACTCTCAATCTTATTCTTACTCTGCTCCTAGACCACTAGCAGAAACGATTGTGTCTTCCAGGCAAGAAAAGCCATTTCTGGAAAATATGACCAGCCCAAGAGAAAAGACAGTAATATTCCTAAGAAAATGGCCCAGACAGAGGACATTACATGCACAGAGAGCTTCCAATTTGCTTTTTAGTGCCCCCCACTTTAAAAGTATCAGGAGTAGGCCAAAGATCACCAAACATTTAAAGAAAATATCTAACAAAAGAATGAAGCCAAACAAACAGAAAAAGCAAGTGGGAAGAAACTGAGTCATCAGGAAAGGGAACAAAGCATACACATACATATATATACATACACATACATATATAGACTTATACACAAACAGATGCACATGTAAATACGCATCAGTAATATTCTTAGAAAAAGATATTGTACCCACAAAACAAAAATGGAATATATGAAAAAAACATTATTTTTTTAAAGACCTCAGAAATTTTAAAAAACATTAAAAATTAAGTTAAAAATTAAAATTACAGAAACAAATAAAAACTGACAAAAGAGTTATAAGATCACATTTTTAAAAGTCCCTATCTGGGCATGGTGGCATGCACCTGTAATCCCAACTACTCAAGAGGCTGAGGCAGGAGGATCACTTGAGCCCAGGAGTTTAAGGCTGCAGTGAGCTAGGATCACATGACTATACTCCAACCTAGGTGACAGAGCCTCAAGACCTTGTCTTTAATTAAATAAATAAATCCCTCAAAAGAAAAAAAGAACAAAAACCAAAGACATAAAAAAATTGAAGAGAAAAAAGAAAAAGCAAAGGATTACTCTAGGTGTACAACATCTAAATCATCAAAGAAAAAAATGGCAAAAAAAAAAAAAATCACAGAAAGCAGCTGACTCAAAGAGCCTACCAAATATGTTGCACAATGAATGAAAAGAGTTCCCTCCCATGGCATGTAATAATGAAATTTTCATACAAAGGATCAAAAACCATAATGACATCTATGTGCTCAACAGCAACACTAGAAGCCAGAAGGCAACAAGGCAACACATTTTAAATTCTCAGGGAAAATAACTTCAACCTAGAATTCTATATCAAGTCAAAGTACTAATCAAAAATGAGGGCAGAAATAAAATATTTTCAGGAATGGAAGCCTCAAAAAAATTTTACCTTACACATATTCTTTCTCAGTAGGAACTATGAGATTATATCAACTAAAAACAATGGAGAACATCAAGAAAGAAGACACATAAATTCAAGGAACCAGGAAACTGAACATAAGAGAGAAGCAGGCAAATACAATTTCCAAGATGATGATGAACAAAGAGGGATCTCATAGGATAATCATTTCAGAACAGGGTAGGTCAGAGGGTCTCAAAAGAGACTTTAACAAGAAAATGAAATTCAGGCAATACTCATTATATGAATAATCTGAGAGGAGATTTATACAAATGAGGGAGGGTTGTAAAACTAAACAGTTTTTTTTAACTAACAAATTTTTAAAAGACAAAAGAGAAAACACAAAATTGTACAGGAAAAGAAAAGCAGCCAAGTGTGAAAAGGACTCTGAATTATTAAAAGCTAATTAGATTCTGTACACTTCACAACTAAAATACAGAATAACTCACACTTAAAATACTACAAGTGGTTGATCTAACTTCTGAGTCTCATCTCCAGATAATAGCTAAAAAAATTATCTACTCTACCACCGACTTCTTATGACATAGACTCAAAAGAGATAGTGCTTATGAAGTAACTTTCCTAACACATAAATTACTATATGAAAGTAACTGTATTAGTTCAATATTTA